>NC_000002.12:77292625-77917625 GCF_000001405.40 Homo sapiens | reverse complement strand
ATGGACTACCTACTGACAATTAGTTAACTTCTATTTGTTAAATGTGGAAAGCAATAAGATTATTATTTTTAGTATACTACCTGGAATTGAAAGCACAGAGCTATTTCCTTTGTGCTCTCTCTCACTGACCCATCAGGTGTTTTGTTGTGGTACAGACATGGTTCAAAAATGTTTTACCCCCCTTAACCATTGTATTTTAACAATTTTTGTTGCCCACTCACCTTCAGAAGACTTTAGGAGTTATGGAGGCAGTAGACAGTAAGTGGATACCACCACATACTGTGAAGGTGTATATATTTTCTTGAAATGTTACTATTTGAAATGTTACTATTTTGCTGTTCTCTAGTGTTGCTGTTTCTGTTTCTGTTAATCTGTTTCTGTATGAGAATCTGAAAATAGTTAAATCAGTAAAAGTATAATGTGACATATTTTCTCATATTTATTATACTTTAAATATACAAGGTATCTCAGAAAAAATGAGAAATTAATGTTTCAAGGAATTTTTCAGCTCTGAACTGGATGCCTCCACTGTGGTGCGATAGTGGTACGATCTCCGCTCACTGCAACCTCTGCTTCCCAGGCTCAAGCCATCCTGTCACCTCAGCCTCCCCAATAGCTGGGACTATAGACACGCACCACCACACCCAGCTAATTTATTTTTATTTTTATTGGAAGAATGGGGTTTCCCATGTTTCCAGGCTGGTCTCAAACTCGCGAACTCAAGCAATCCACTCGCCTCGGCCTCCCAAAGTGCTGGGATTACATGTGTGGGCCACTGTGCCCAACCATATTTTTTATTTCTCCTTACATTTCTAAAACTACTCACGTATCACTAAACTTAAGATATTCAACTATTTTATGTCAGGTGTTTTCCTCATGATCAATCTGGTCCATCAGCATATAGCCTATAGTCAGATTTGTATAAATAGTCTTTGTACAAACTCATACCTCTTTCCATGCTGTCCCAGCATAACAGCTTAGTCCTACCATGACTTATTCCTGACCCTGTTTTTTTTTTTTTTAACTGCCTGTCATTTGCTTTCAAATGTATATTAATGAGCCTTAATTACTTAACAGACATTAAGTAACTGGGGATAACATTTGATTTTTCTCTAAGCTTCCAAATGTAAAATCAAATATAGTGATAAAATCATAGTAGCTTGAGATCAAATCTTAATGAGAGTTTTATAAAGTAGATATTTAAATAAATACTTACTTTAAAGCCATTTTCTCCTATATTAATTCACTAAAGTATTACAGAAAAGCATTCTTAGCAACAATAACAATCTGCATACTACTAGTGAAGGACAACAAACAACATTTAATATACAAAAAATGTCTATAAAAAAGTCATTTCGAAATAAATACATTAAACATAATACATTTCATACTATTTAATAAGTATTTTTTAATTTTACAATTTAATCTCTCAAGCATTGCAACGAAAATCAACACACTTCTATTATTTTGCCATGACAATTATTTTTGTTCATTGCAACTGTAAAATTCAGTAGAAGCTTATCAACACTTACCTCCTTCTTTTAGAAAAATGCACTTCTGTGAGTCTTCAAAGTAATTATTGTGCTTCATAAAAACTGTGTTATTATGTTGGCTTAGGATAATATGCTTTTTACATCAAAATAACTTATAGTTATTCTCTCCTCTGTTGGTAATTATAACCCGAGTCCACTGTGGTAATAAACTTGGGCTGAATACTTGATGGGCCACTTTATTTTATTCTAACTACCCTTTTTCTATTATGACTATTTATTATGTCATCATAAATGTGATGCACGGCAACAGTAAAGTGCAAAGACACCAACACATCTAACTCATTTCCTGAGGTGTGCTCTTTTTTCCTTAGGCAAAGGCTTCAAGTTTTATTTATTTGCAATATCAGAAAGTATTCAAAAGCCATATTATCCCAGGTGTTTTCATCATGAAAAGGAGCTTTTTGAACATATATTATTGAACAGAACCAACATTCCCCATAAGAAATGGCCTTGTTGCCTATAGTCGGGCAACTTCACACCTAACTTCACTGCAAAAAAACAAAGAAAAAGCATTTGAATTGAACATAAGAAAATATTTTAGTAGGTGGAAATATGCTTAGTTGTGTCCATTATTGAGATTGCTAAAAGATGAGAATTAGTCTGACATACATTCTTTTCAATATTGATCAAAGGAAAGATGAAATCTACCCATTAAGTTTTTATAGTATATATTTTATATGTCCTCTTCTTTCCATAACAAGAATGTTTTGTTTTTTGCTTTTTTTGTATTCTTTTTATGACTATAGAAAATTTACAAATTCGTTTGCAGAGATAAAACATTTCCTAAAATTTAATGTACACAAAAGGTATTATGTGACCTGTTATAAAAGGCACATGATAATCTCATTGCCATGACCTCCAGTCATAATTTTACAAAAAAAAACTAATAAAATGCTATTTAACTGGATTGTGTTGGTATGTACATTTTATGAGCCCATGTGTGACAACATAGTGAAGAAATATTACATTTAGTGGTATTGTTCTCCAGACATTTTCACCTATTATGATCCAGCCTAATTTGTCCTGTCCTAAATATTTCCAAATGTTTACATTATTTTGCCTCTTTTGCCAAGTTTAAATTCACTTTTCCATCCCACATCTCATTTTTATTTTTTGCACATAAATGTTTGCTATGCTTTCCAAATAGGTCCTATATTATCTGCAGGCTTCTAATTTTAGGAGTTATAGCATTACTCAACTTAGAAATACCAAAAAACAGAAAAAAGCCCCCCCTCCCCCAATTTCATTCATGTAAATTCTTCCAGATGGATCCATGATCCATCCTGTGGCCTTCATTTTTAAAAAGTATGTTGGGCTTTACTGTAATATTCTTAGTGTTAAACCACTTTTTTCCTAAGCTGAGCCTTCTATTCTGAGACACTGAAATTGTAATTAATATTCCTAATAATTCAATTCCTGCATCTCTGAAGACACACTCTTTAGCCCTAGATCTAACTCTAAGTGTTGAGGTTGTGAAAGTCATAAATCTGTGTCAAATGTTTAGGTTTGTAGTATTTATTAAAAATTATTTTATTGCATAAATAATTCACATATATGATCTTTAATTTTGGGGATTTTTATGCCACTAATAAATGCTCATTTAGGATAACAAAATAAAGTAAGAATTTTTAAAAGCAAATTTATCAAAAATCTATCCTATAGAGATAATCATAATTATTATAAAATATAGTTTTAAAAATGCAAATATGCTCATGGGTATGCATCTTACACGTGATAGGTAAACCCATATAAGAAATCTTAAATAATATTTACATGTTGAATCATATTATCTACCTCTTTTTGCCGATGGACCTATAACTAGACTCATGTCCCAACACAGCCAAAGAATACATTACAAAAGAAGGTGAGGTAAACACCAAAAGAATTGCATAAATTTTCAAATTTATGTCAACATAATTAGCAAAATATGTTTGGAAATGCATATTAAGGATGTGGAATTTAGCAGGAAGGAGTAAGAAATGAGATCGGTTTAGATTTAGTGATGTGGGCCCATTAAGTAGACATTTTAGATTCAATGTTTTACATGGAGGGTTATTTTCATTAGATACTAAATTCTGTGTTGATAGTGTTTTCATCACCATTTTATCATCTTCTAATTTATAGAATTTCTGATAAAAATAACTGTTATTCCTAAAGTTTCATTTTTAAAGGAAATGAATTTTTTTTTTTCTTTTAGCTGTTTTAAAATGTTTGTCCTTGACTTTAGTTTTTAATACTTTTATTTAATGTACCCTATGGGCTATGTGTGGTGGGGCAGGGAGGTCATCCCACTTGGGGTTTGCATGGCTTCTTGAATTTTTGTGCGTAGGATTTGTATTAATTTGATAAACTCTCTTCTACTATCTATTCAAATATTGCTTGCGAAACTATTCTAAATCTGTTTAGTATTTTAATCACCTGTATATTAGAACTGTATATTTTTCCATAATCATTTTATACTATTATCTGTATTTTTTAACTTTTTCTGCTTTCCTGTTTCACTCAATGTTTTCTACTGATCTAGAAAATATTCTGGTGTCTTCTTCTGGTTGGGCTCCTATAATTTAGTAATATAGACTGGGTAGCTTAAACAACAAAAGTTTATTTCTCACAGTTCTGAAGACTAGGAAGCCCTAGAGTCTGAGTGCTAGCTATTTAATAACTGGTAATAGTCTGCGTTGTGGCTTGCAGACAGCTATTTTCTTCCTGTGTCCCCACACGGCAGACAGACAGCCATCCAGCTCTCTGGAATCTTCTTATAAGGACACTAACCCTATCATGATGACCCAACTCTCATGATCTTTTCTTAACCTAATTGTTTCCAAATGCTTAGTACCATTTCAATGGGGATGTTACATCTACTCTACTATCATACCCATCTACTGAGTTGTTAATTTTGGTTATTATATTTTACTATAGAATTTATATATAATTATATATTTGTAAGATTAGGTTCAGTTGTGGGATGCTCCATCTTGTCATCTATTTCTTAACCATATTAAGCACAGCAAACTGAAGGTCCGTGCCTGATAGCTCCCAAATCTGAACTATTTCAGGTATCTTTATGTTGACCTTTTATCTTAGCATTTGGTCACCAAGTTCTATCGCACCATGTAGTTACCACATTTTATATTTAATCTTAGATGCTGTATATATTAAATCACACAGCCTCTGGATGATTCCACATGTCTCCTAATAGAAGATAGTTCTTGGATGGACCAGAGTGCGAGTAGGGTGAATAAGCAACTGACCCCATTAGCAATTGCATTTGTTTGAAGTCCTTTGGACGTGGAGTGGCTGTTAAAAGGGAAGAAGTCATGTCTAATTCTAGTTTGCCCTACTCCTAGGTTATATCTTATCAGGGATCTCAATAGAAATACTAGCATGCTGACCAAGTACACAGTTTCTTGTTAAGCTTGAGCATTATATTGCTTTTTTTTTTTTTTTTTCCTCAGCTCTGTGAGGCAGTTTTATAGCTGGTTGCTGTCTCTTACCCCTTTAGAATTTGGCAATAAATTGTGGTCTAAATTCACATAGAAGGTCAGGCTCATATCTGTAGTTTCCTTTTCTTGGCTTCTAATAACGGGTTCCCTAATCTTGGTTTCAAGACTTTGCTACTTTAGTTGATCTGGATTCCAATTTTCATCTTCCCAGACCTTTGATACTTTTGCAAAACCTCTAGATTGCTGCTTTTAACCGGGCTGCAAATTTTTGCGTCAAGAATCGAGAAATGACCTTAGAGGAGAAAGGATTCAGGGAAAGAATATTTCTTCTATCCCCTTCAAGTCCTGAATTTATTGCTCTCTTTCTCATGCCTTCAAACAGTTGGGATTTTTATTTTCCTGGTGTGTTATCTAGTTTTATAGTTGTTCTCAAGAAAAGAGTTTGTGTAATACAAGTGGAGCCATGATAGCTAATTATAGAAGTGTTTCATTTAGTTTTATTTCTTTTTCATCAAGTACTATGAAAGTTTGATATAATGACGTTACTTCAGAGCTCTTTCATAGTTATATATGATAAGTTCTGATATGTGGTTTATTTTCTAGATTCTGAAATTTTAATTTAATCCATAATTGTTTAAAGGGAGTTTACAATTTTCCAACTAAAAGGTCTATTGCCTGACATTTTATTATTCATTTATAATTTTATTGAATTTCCATAAGAGAATGAGTTTATATTTTTATAAATTTATTAAGGCTTTTTTGTGGTTTCATATATGATGACTGTCAAAAGTTCCAGTGATATCTGAAATATTATATTTTGATATATTTCTATATCTCTCTTAAAAATTGTTAGATTTTTGAGGTTACAGGATAAATTTTCATCTGTCTGTGTGTTATGCCTGACAAAAGAAAGCTGTCCAATGAATTGCACTGATTGGAATGCTGAAATAAATGCCATACATAATTAAAATACTGTTCCTGATTTATTAGAGAAATAGCTCTTTTAGAGGAGATAAAGCTTTGCATTGGGACAGATTTAATATCCCCAAATTATCCATCTTTTCCTTCAGGAGAGGCAACATTTTTAAAAACTTCTCAATCACCATGTACCAAAAAGAAAATTAGACATATTCTTTTAAAATGGTTTTGTTGCTAATGTTATGAATAATTTTCTCTTTCCTATTTTCTTGATTTTTGACATTTCTAAATCTCATCTAAATAACAGAAAAAATTGTTTAAAACACAAAGTATGTAATTAAAACACAAAGTAGGTATTTAAAGGTGTTAAATACATAAGACTTTTTAAAATATGATCTTGTCATAGTACTCTGTTAATTCAGAGAAATCTGCCTCGTGTTTTTTCTTCCCAAAGTAAAGATTAAAAATTCTACTCACTGAATATCAAAGATCCTGATGGCAAACAATAGGGGAATTAGCAGTGTTGCCAGTAATATTCTCTATCTTTCCACTGGTTTGTCTAGCTACTTACCTATGTATATACCATAAGGACCTCTGCAAAGAAGTGCACACTCCAGGATTTTCTCTTACAGATTTATTTATTCATACTGAATTTCTCTTCTTGCATTACTTAGTTAACACAATACAAATTTTACACTATTTCTATATTTTGTGATGCAGACGGTGGGGGTCTATTGAAAATGTGTTCCAATTCCCCTTGTTCTCTTAAAGAAGACGACTTCTTAGCATTTAATACACAATAGGAGATGTTCCTATTTTCTTTCAACATGACATCAATAGTGAAAAATAATAAGAATTATTTTTGAATAGTAGATAATACTATGAAATGTCAACTTTTATTATGTGCATTTGAGTATTCTTAAATGACAACTTTAAAATGAAACTGTGCTCTGACCAATCGCTTTTAAATAAGTTTTATAGATTTAACTGTTACTTTTTTATAAATGTGTTACATCAAGACTAGCGTAAATGTTCTTTCTTTCCCAACAGTAACTTAATGTCAAAAGCTAAGGCAATAGTAACAACAAAAGTACCAACAAATATTTTCTTTTAATATTTAAGTTTTGAACATTTATTTATTTATTTAGCAGCATCTAAACTTGGGAGATAAAAAAGCAAGAAATACAACAAAAATCATACATTGTATGTTGAATACCATTATAAAATTAACAAAACTATTATCATAAAAGTAGTAATTTAACAACCCTCATAAATATTTTAACACACAGCCTACAATTTTTGAAATACTTTAAGCCCGCACTTTCTCAGCTGGGAATCTCACACACACGCTTCACCCCACCCCACCTCTGACACGGACACAGACACAGAAAAAAGAGAGAGAGGGAAAGAGAGAATATATTATTTTAAGAACAAAACTTTCACAACTGAACTATGCATTCAATTTGGACATTGATTAGCATTTTTTGAGCCCTCACAACAGGATAGCTGATTTCAAAAAGGTATGAAATGTAGTCATCACAAAAAATTTGCAATGTGGATTCTACTTTTATTATTAAACATATGATTACTTAAAGAGGAAAATATTCAAATGACCTCAATGTCTCACAGCTGGTAAATGGTGAATCCTGAATTCTAACTCTAGTCTGCCTACTTTCAATGTGCATGCATTTTACCTTGTATGTCACTACTTTCAGTCTTAGATCTAGCAAGAAGTATGATGTTAAATTGGGTTAGGAGACCAGTGGGTCACAGCCTTAAAGGCCAACTAAGGGAGATTATAAAATATAAAACAGCATGTCAGGTGGATATTGTGCTTGGAAAAGATGTCCTCATCATCTATTTATGGGATACGTGGAATATATAGAAGCAGGTAGAGACAAAATAACCAAGGATATATACGCACCTATGGCTCTATTCTAATCAGTTAAGAATAAGCCAATGGGGCCACGGACAGTGACTCACACCTATATTCCCAGCACTTCAGGAGGCAGAAGTGGGAGATCAGATTGTGTGAGTCCAGAAGTTCAAGACCAATGTGAGCCACATAGTAAGACCTCATCTCTATTAAATAGAATAAAATTTAAAAAAAAAAAACAAAAAACAAAGAATAAGCCAGTAGGCCTTGGAAAAATAATGGTATTGGCCATTATTGAAAAAAGTCAAAAAGGGAGAGAATAAAAAGCTCTAAGCAGAAAGGAATTAAGATAAATTATATAGAAGAATGAAAAGATGGCAAATTTAAAATTATGTAAGATTGTGTCTTTAGGAAAATTAGAAGCAGTGTGAATATTAACAATAACTAACTTAAAAATGCCTCCAGTAAGTGTGGGGAGGGGAATTATGTTTTTTAATTCCTCATATGTGAAAATCATTCTTTTCTTTTTTTAAAAAAAAAAGTATATAGATATTAGTATATGTTCCATGGAGCAGATGAATAAAATTTGTTGTCAAATTTATTGTCAGGCAACAGATGATTTAAAACCTTTCCTTATTTTTTTACTTTGTGGTCATTAGGAAAAAAGAAAAAAAAATTATTAGTTTTATTTACTCACCTGTAAAATAGAAATATATACATGATAATATCATGATGAAAGTTATATAAGATATGCATCAATTATGCTTGGATAGTATAGTAATTCAATAAAGAATTGTTGTGGGTTATTATTTCATCATTATTTAATATATATCCTTTATATAAAGTATATTTAAACCTTCAGTTTTGTTTTTATAACCTGATTTAAAGGAATTATTTAGCTATAACCCCAGTGTGTATTAAGTGATATTAAATATTATTGCCCTCTATGTTTTTCTTCTATAGTTAAGTTTTATATTTGCCAATAGTGAAGCACATTGAATTAAAACTTTTGAAATAAGGAGTTGTGTGCTCATTTGTTTCCCAAAACCAACATATGCAGGAATATCTTTGCAAATATTAGCCAACATAGATTGTTAAATGTTTTAAAGGTCACTTTAAAAAAAGAGTGTTTCATCAAGAACTCTAATCTGATTGTTCCCCCACTCCTTATAATTATCAAAAATTGCAATGATAAATCCTTATGTGTTTTTTAAAATTGATTTTGTTGTCCCATAAGTACTTCATATAAAGACTTCCTTTAGTACAAAAAAGGATTATTTGTTCTATCACTCGTTATATTTTTTACAATTTTTTCTACACACAGCATTGCAAATGATCTTTCTGTTGATTCTTTAGTTTTCCCTTCATATTAGTCATTTTCACTTACTTTTCCATTTAAATAAATTAATACAGGAAAAGCCCCTGAGTTCATCTTCCATGGTGCAACTTTTATTTTTTGCTTTATTACATTAGCCTTTTACTGCTGCCAGTGTGGATGCTGTAAATTTGCTTTAATTTCTTTACACATTTTACTTCATGCATACTTATTTCATTGCTCCCCAATGCCTGTTTCTTTCCAGATTTTATCTCCTCATGACTTTTTGCTACTAATTTACAAGAAGCTAGATATTCTTATATTCTAGAGAAGTGGTCCCCAGCCTTTTTTGGCACCAGGGACTGGTTTCATAGAAGACAGTTTTTCCACAGTTGGTGGGTTGGGGATGGTTTCAAGATGAAACTGTTCCACCTCAGGTCAACAGGCATTAGTTAGATTATCATAAGGAGCACACAACCTAGATCCCTCACATGTGCAGTTCAAAATAGGGTTCATTCTCCTATGAGAATCTAATGCTGCCACTGATCTGACAGGAGGCAGAGCTCAGGTGGTAACTGAGCAATGAGGGGAGGCTGTAAATACAGTTGAAGCTTCGCTCACTCACCCACCACTCATCCCCTGCTGTGCGATCTGGTTCCTAACAAGATGCAGACTAGTACTGGTCTGCATACCAGGGGTTGGGGGCCCCTGATCTAGAGAATATAAAATGTTTTCTCCTGAATCTTGTTTCACATACTTTCAAAGATATACTTCTCTTTCTTTGTAATTTTCAATGTGTTTAATGTGGTCATATAAATTATTTGCAAGATATAGGGAGATTGAATTCTCATTGGGCCTGTTTACTATTTATTTCCATGGTAGTAAGATCAAAACCTTTCTCAGACCACTAGAGAAAGTGACAGGAATTTTCTCTTGGTCCCTTTGCTGGACTCACAGCAGGGTTGCCATGTCTACTTGGCCTGCTACACTCAATTCCTTGCAGGAAGGAGCATGTGAGCAAGTGAGTGCAGGATCTGGTTGGCCACTCAGTTGGCCCCTGGCCCTTTTGTGAGTGGTGGCTGCCCTCTGCCAGTGAGGGCAGAAGGCCTGTGAGGCAGACTTTCTGGGTGTCTGCTCTTGGTGGGTCCCAAATTCTTGTCCAGCATCCAAGAAGAATGAGGATATGCTGGCAATCAATGAGTGAGCAAGTTGGGGAGTTTTATTGAATGATGAAACAGCTTTCCACAGAAAGGGGATGCAGGGGTGGTCCCCCTACCAGAATGCAGAAAAAGTCCTCTCAATGTGGCTGAGTCTGGGGCTTTTATGGGCTCAGAATAGGGAAGGAGCAAGCTGTAGTATAACAGTATTGGAAAAGGCAACATTCGTTTGGTTAAAAGGCATTATTTAGAAAGAATAAATCAGGAAAGGGTGGGCAAACAGGAACAGAAGTTCTCACTCTGGGTTGTGGGTTTCATGCAGGATTAGCAGTTAGGACTTTCAGCCTTCGGACTGTTTTTTGTCTTTAAGGTGGAGTTTCACCAGGGACCCATCTTTATCTACCTAGCCATTTGGCTGCCTCCTGTCACTATCAGAAGTGCAGGTTAATACAGAGAAATTCAAGTCAACAGTACAGGTTTGAAGGTTAATCCTCAGTAAATACTGCTACTTGATTTCTTTCAATGTTATTGCTTTCCTACTATTTTACTCAAGTAGATCAAATCAAAGATTATAATATCACTTTGCTTGGCAAAATATAAAATTACTCTGAAAATTTAAGGTATTGCTATCTTAGTTTTTACTTGCACAATATTTTGTTCCCTTTACTATTCCTAAAATAGTGGTGGATTGTCATAGATGAGTTTCCATAAGAAGCGGACTCTGGCGAAGATTTGTATGCATGAGGTGATTGCTGAGGAGAGCTTTGGAGAAAAATATATGTGAGTGAGGAAAATACAATTGCTTAGAGGGGAATACTGTACTATAATGCAGTTTTCACAGAGTAGGGCATCTGGCTCCAAAATCTCCATTCAATTATCAGAGGTCAGATTTTCTAAGAAAGAGTCTTAAAGGGAGATTTACTTGCAGAAGATTGATTGAGGAGAGCTCTCAGGACAACACCTGTAAGGAAATAGAAGCAGCTGACTTTCACAGAGGGAGAGGTTGAACTGAGATATATTTGCCTCCGAAGCTTCAGCAGACTGTATGGCAGCTGCTGCTGAGATTCAGAGTTGTTCTGAAGTCAAAAGATTTAGCCTTTGTACCCTTCATCAACCAGTTATTGAAAATAGGCCTGCCTCAAAGAAGGGATATAACTTCAGATGAGACAGCTCCTCTTTGCCAAGGTCAGTCAATGGAGAGGGATGCAGTGCCATTAAGAGACATTATTTCCAGCACCTAGTAAGAATGAGTACCTTTGTCTTGAGGGTACTATGATGTCCATGACAAGGATATAAAAACTATTAAAATGTGTGTAGTGGTTAAATGTATTTGCAAATGTTTATTCATTTATTTCAGGATCTTCTATGTCTTTTTGCCTTATATCTCCATACTGACCTATCAACAGGTATTTGATACCAGCTAGAACTAAAATGCAATTATTCACATATATGTCACAAACACTTCTTGTATGAACATAGCAATGATATTGTTTTAAGAGAATCATTAAGATGAAAGAGGTGTTTCTAAATTCTTTGGCATGCCACAGACATACCAGGGGCCAGAAATGCGGGGTTTTACCTTGGTGTTTTATGGAATGGAAGTCTTCTCCGGGAGAAGGAGGAAGTGAATAAAGCAGAAGATTTCTAGGGCAGGGGACTACAGTAAAGGCAAGAGACAGACATACCCATCTTTGTGCTTTTTTCTCTATTTCTCTCTCTTGCCATGGAACCTCAAGGAGAGAGAAAATATTTAAAAATTCCAATAAATTGGCCAGCCAGTGATGAGTAAGGGCATGCTTAGATTGGGAAGAATAGCCTGGAAAGACTCCAAGCCTTCAAGCCATACCCAATATGTCCTTGGAGAGAGAGTACACAATTTGCTAGGAAATGTGTCCTAATTGACAGCCTTACAGAACACTCCTGGCGCAGCAACTTCCACAGAGGGCATGCGTGCATTCCAAATATTCCAATAAGTCACAATGAGGGATTATGGAAGGGTGGAGAAGGCAGGACCACAAGCAGTGGCCTGGTATAGAACAAAGAGATAGGGAGAGTGGATTCTTTGATACTGGTGCAAATTTCTGATCAGACTGTGGCAATGGGTACTATTCAGTGCCCAAAGGACTAGATTGAACAGGTTGCAAATTAGTGGTCATAAATCCAGGGACCAGAGTAGCAAAGGACATCACAGACTAGAGGAATTACTCTTCAGCCAGAATTGTGGTGTCTTCTCGCCTATCCTAACCACTCAGTAAGCCATCCAGAAGATGAATAGGCAGTATAGGAAACCTGAGCAATCACCTGGAAGAAACTGAATCATCAAAAGGAGACTAAACTAGCTCAGAAGAAGACTATGAACCTGAATTCACTGCAAATTTAAGAGACCGTTCAAACTGGAGAATATTGTGAGGTCATTAATTAGTAAGTTACTCTTCCCATCTCTCCAGCAAGGAGAGGACAGTGAAAGTGATTATTCACTTATGGGATACAAGGATGTTAGATTTTGAGTAGCATGAGTAGCTTGAGTGAATGAATTAGGTATGTTATTCCAAATGTGCAAATGAATCGACTTGAATTCAGAAAACTCATTTAAAACTCTGCCTTTTTTTCATTTACTTGCTATATTTAGTGCATAAGGGCCAGCAGGGATTTAAAAATAAGCTCATCTGCTGAGAGCCACACTGATCAAAATTCACAAATACCCATCAGTTTTAAAATAAGAAACAGAGAGATTTTCTGGAACTCAATAAATTTAAGGCAAAATTGGAGAAAAGTAAAAATAAATATAAAAAAGAGTCATGCAAGTTTACAAATATATGCAAATAATTAATGTGTCAGAAAGAAGATAAGCTGTTTGGAATCCTGAAAAGAGAAGGCTAACATCAGCAACTGATCTTGCTCGTACTTCATTGTCTGATAAACATGAGAATTTCTGTCATAAGAAAAGAGTCATCTACTTTAGGTCAAAAGGTATGTTTACTCATTTATTCAATCAATGAATACTTGAGTGCATACAATAGATTGAGTAGATCTGTATTTACTCAATCATACAATAGATACAGTAGATTGAGACTCTATGCTGCACATGAGGTGCTCAAAGATGAAGAGGACATGGTCCCTGAATCTAAACACTCCATGGTTTTATGGGAGTAATAATAGATAAAAATGTATAGACAAATAGGGGAATAATAGAATAATAGACAAAAAAGCAAATCATTTTGATAAAGGGTATTAAATACTATAATAGAAGTTTATGGGGGGGAACCATGTGGTTTGTAAGGTTCATGAAAGGCTGTTGAATAAAGGTAGGAGATAATTCTGAGCCAATGCTCAGTATTAAAACTGAAGAGAGACAAGGGGACAAACCTAAAAACAATTGAATTTTTAAATGGTGAATAAAAAGAAGCAGAAACTTTATGAGAAAAAGAATAGGGGTGGCTGGATATTTGGTGGAAGACAAAATAGACTCCATTATTAAAAGTTTGCTTTGGAGGCCAAGAAAAGGCATAATTTCAAAATAGATATATTCATTAGTATATCTATATTTACATTTGATAGCAAAAGCTTCCTAATTATTGCAAAGCCATTTATTAAAGGAAACCCCATCTCTACAAGAATACAAAAATTAGCCGGGCATGATGGCAGGCACCTGCAATCCCAGCTACTCAGAAGGCTGAGGCGGGAGAATAGCTTGAACCCTGGAGGCAGATGTTGCAGTGAGCCGAGATCGCGCCACTGCACTCCAGCCTGGGTGACAGAGCAAGACTCCGTCTCAAAAAAAAAAAAAGTTGTTGAACAAGATTCATTAGCAGATTTTGGTATTACTAGGCATGTGCATCAGATCGGGCCCTCTTTTCCAGGGTTGGGGCTTGAACTTAAATGAGGTAGAAGAATGCGGTAGGGAGGGAGATTTGAAGAGGTTTACATTTAATGACCTTCTCTCATCTCAAAAGAGAGTTGTACTCTGTTGAGGGTCTAAGGAGAGGTGTTCAAGTGTGGAGATTGAAGACAGAATATTTTTTGAAAAGAGGTTACAAAACATGATAGAACAGCACTGAAATGTTGTTCAGTGGAGAGGACCAACCTATTTTCCTATCTAATAATAGATAGGAAAACACTGGAAATGTCAGGAAATATGAGGTGTCTATCAAGTTGGAAAAGAGGAACAGTGGAGGAAGAAGAGGTGCTTGGGACGATTCTAGGCATTCTGAGTTTGATGTAGTATTGAAAATGTCAGAAATAGTCTTTCCTAGAACATGACCATTTTAAACAATTTCATTCGCCTTCGTCAAATGGATGGAGAATTATCAAACATTTTGAAAATAATAGACAAAGGGGCTGCCTCATTTCTGGGGCTAAATTCAGTTAGCTTTCCATTTCTGCATTAGGTTTGTTATAGATACAAGTTGTTTTACATTGGACAATCCACAAATATTCTTTGCCTCAGTTTCTTATTCATATAATGTTAAATGGTAGAATTCTTGAAAAATTGTAGTAATTCACATCTTACTGAATATTAGATATGCGTATGAAAACCTTCAAACCTTACTAGTTCAGAAGATGAGCAGATATTACCATTTTAGTTATTAAATGTGCAAAAATGAAGTGGAATTTAAAAAAAATTTTATAGCTTATGGTAGCTAAAATGTAGTAAACACCAATAAACATTAATTCCTTTAAATTACCATATTACCAGACCCCTATAGCTTGCAAATATAATTAAAAATCTGGTCCCATAAATACTCTTAAGGTTAGCAGTTTCATTTAGGGGTAATAGAAAAAAAATGCCAGCAGTGTTTCAAAACTAATTTGAAAAGCAGTTGCCTCCTTTAAGGTATTTGTTAGATAATAGCCTCCCCTTATTCATTTGAAGTTTCATATAATTAGATGTTATTGTGGGAGTGAACTAAACATATAAGAAAAATTCACATGGGCATTTTTGGAGAGGCTTTTGTGTTGGATTAATTGGAGTCTAAGAGTGTAATGGAAATGTAAGTATATTTCATTAAAAAGAAAGAAACATAGAATATGTAGCTTCACATAATATTTTAGCTCCTCATTGCTACCAGCATCCTAATGATACATTCAGTTCTTAATCTTTATATGCCTTTTGTCTAATTTAATGGTTGCTGTTTAGGCTTCAGGCACTAATCTCAAAGCTTCATAAGTTGCTTTCTTTTTATCAATGAAACATTTTGGGGATATGCATATTTATTTAAGAATTTTTTAAGAAACAGTAAAGCAATGCCTGAGTTAAAATATTAAATTTGAGTGAGTGCAATTGTGTTACTTTAACCATATTAATATTTTACAAATGTTCTGTCTCAAAGCTTTTGGATCAAATCAGCTTGAACAGCAAAGTATTTTTGTTCATCTAAATTTTAGATTTAAATTATAACAGTCAGTGATTGAAGCATATCTAAAGGGTCAGAATTTAGTTAATGAACAGTATCTTTACAATATCTCCTAACTTCTGCCTTTATTTTTGATATACTTTAAAAATTTTTTCCATTAAAAAGATAATTCCAGAATGGTAAAGATTTGAAGAAAAAAAAAAAAGCATACAAATCAAACATAGCCTGATTTCCATAATACGAATTATAAATGTCTATATTTACATTTGATAGCAAAAGCCTCCTAATTATTGCAAAGCCATTTATTAAAGGAAGGGTAATATTTTCCATGGAGAGTGATGGTGTAACTGGACATCCATAAGCAAAAAACAAACAAAACAAATGAAGCCCTCAACTTAACTTAAAACTCACAATTTATGAAAAACTAACTCAAATAGATTATAGATTTAAATGTAAAACTATAAAAACTTTTAGAAAAAAATATAAGAGAAAGTGCCTGGGGCTTGGGGCTTGGGACTTGGGACCTCGGGCAAGATGAAGACTTTTCCTAATCTATAAAAGAAAAAAAGTAGATAAATTGAACTCTGCCAAAAAAAAGTTAACGTGTAAAAAATGGAAAGGCTGAAGATTGGGAGAAAATATTTGCAAGCCACATATCTGACAAATAATTTACATCTAGAATATAACTCAAAACTCAGCAGTAGTACAACAGAAAAATAAAAAATGGGCAAAAGACATGAATAGACTTTCCACTAAACATGGAATATGTGTAACAAGTAAGCATATAAAAAATATATTGAACACACTAGCTAGTAGAGCAATGCACAGTAAATCAAAATGAGATATTTCTACAGACTTATCAGAATGGTTAACATGTAAACCATAAATAAATAAATAATAATACCAAATGCTGGCAAGAATGCAGAGAAACTGGATCTCTCATACATTGCAAGTAAGAATGTAAAATGGCAGAAGCACTAACAAATTATTGGGTAATTATCTTAAAACCAAACATTGTTACCATATTTTCCAGCAATTGCAGTCTTGGATATTTATCTCAGAGATATAACAACCTATATTAACACTAAAATGTATAAAGAAATGTTCACAGAAGGTTTATATATAGTAGCCAAAAACTGGACACAATTCTGTCCTTCAACAGATGAAAGGCTAAATAAACTGTGATATGCACATTCCATGGAATATCAGTCAGCAACAAAAAGAAACTATTTATACATGTAACAACTTGAGTCTATCTCAGAGGCACTGTCTTTAATAAAAAATCCCAATCTCAAAAGGTTATACACTGCATGATTCGCTTTACATAACATTTTTTAAATGGCAGTGCTATGGAGAATAAGAACAGATTAGTGATTCCTAAAGGGTAAAGTGGGGAGGCAAGGTAGAACTGTCAGGCCTCTGAGCCCAAGCTAAGCCATCATATCCCCTGTGACCTGCACACACACATCCAAATGGCCGGTTCCTACCTTAACTGATGACATTCCACCACAAAAGAAGTGAAAATGGCCAGTCCCTGCCTTAACTGATGACATTACCTTGTGAAATTCCCTTTCCTGGCTCATCCTGGCTCAAAAGCTCACCCGCTGAGCACCTTGTGACCCCCGCCCCTTCCCGCCAGAGAACAACTCCCTTTGACTGTAATTTTCCTTTACCTACCCAAATCCTATAAAATGGCCCCACTCCTATCTGCCTTCGCTTACTCTCTTTTCGGACTCAGCCTGCCTGCACCCAGGTGAAATAAACAGCCTTGTTGCTCACACAAAGCCTGTTTGGTGGTCTCTTCACACGGACGCGAGTGAAAAGAACTATAAAATCAAAAGGAAATTTCTTTGTAGTGAGGAAACAGTTCTGTCTTGATTGTGGTGGTCATTACATACATTACATACATCTCTGCGCGCGCACACACACACACACACACACACACACACATAAAAACTGGTGAAAACCTGAAGTCTAGTTCACAGTATATACCAGTGTCAATTTCCTAGTCTTCGTATACATTACAGTTATATAAACTGTTACCCTTGCAGGAAGTTTAGTAAGGGTGTGCAATTCTCAGGACTATTTTTGTAAATTACACTAAATTAGAATTATTTCAAAATAAACATAAAAAATATAAATAATTTAAAAAGAGCAGAAATTAATGAATTTTTAAAATAATGTTTAATTTGAAGAAGCAAGTAAAATAGCCAAATGTCTGACAAATACGACAATTAAATAGATAATATGTGGGAATAAAAGAGGCAACTACAAGTAGATTTAACAATATATAAGTAAAACACTTTAAAAAATATGCCCTATGTATAAAAATTTTTTGAAATACCTAATTCTTTGCAAATATAAATTAAAATACTGTGAAAAGAAAGTGTGAAAAAATAACCATTAAAAAATTTGAATCGGTTCTTAAAAGCTACATGCCAAAAATCATCCCTGCCAAACAACTCAGAGGGAAATTTTACAAACATCAAAGAATGAAAATGCGCCTATATTCCACAAATGTTACATATTAATAGATTAAGTCACGAGGCGATGTGTCTAATTCTGTTATTGGTCTAGATAATTCTTGAAAAACCCAAGCTGAAGAGGACATATGCAACAGAAATAACTTAGTGCAAACTCAGTTATGGATAGAGAGGCACAAATCATAAATAAAGTTAGACAAAATTGTGTACATGCAAAACTGAAATTCATGAGAAAGATGAGTTTTCTCAGCACACCAAGAATTCCTTATAAATTAGAATATCAATTGATGCAATGTACTACATTAAAGCACTAAAGGAGAAAAACATTTATATCAAGAGATGCAAAAAAGCAAATCCATTAGATTTCCTATTAGCAGATATTATGTATGTGAGAAATTTTAGCACATTTTTAGCAATTTCGGTATAGCAAAGAACTTCCTTATTTAAAGAGAGTACACAAATATGTAATACATATATTTATCATTGGCAAATATTAGAAAGACCATTTAAATTCAAGAAAACAATAAAGAATTTTCTTGTACTGGGAATAACAATTAGTGGAGGAAGAAGAACATACATATAAATTAAGAAGAAAGCAGTCTCTTTCACGGATGATGTAAATATAATCAAAGAAAATCTTATAGGAAGCTATAAAATATAAGATTTCATTAAATAACTTAGCAAGTTTTTGGATGTAACATCAACTTTTA
Organism: Homo sapiens; assembly: GCF_000001405.40. Classification (NCBI taxonomy): domain Eukaryota; kingdom Metazoa; phylum Chordata; class Mammalia; order Primates; family Hominidae; genus Homo; species Homo sapiens. Next base: position 77,898,816 of record NC_000002.12, on the reverse strand, counting down.
GAAATCAATTATATTCTATATACTAGTTATAAACAGTAAATATACAGTATATCTCTTTTCAAGGTCCCATTCATAAAGATAAAAGTATGATGTACATAGAAATAAATTGAACTAAATATGCATAAGACCTTCATGGATAAAATTATAATATTTTTGAGAAATCTATCTGAAATGTCCTACAATGAAAGATATTTGAAGTTTATGAATGGAAAGATACAAACATCCAAAAGCATATTTATAAATTCAATATTCCCAAAAAATTTCAAAATTTCACCAATGTTTATAGAGCATGAGACTTTTATTTCATCTAAGAGAGAATTATTACCAGTACCTGTTATACATGTTATTCATGAGAGGAGAAAATTACCAATCTACATTCTATAAATAGTCTGAGAAAAAATAAACATTGAACGCTTATAGGAAAAAAATGTAGGAGATTATGTAACATGTTTTTGGTAAAGAAAAATTCTTTAAATAAAACAAGACTGAGCAACATGTAAAAGAAGAGTTTGAAAAACTTAATGAAAATAATATAAAGTGTTGTTTATCAAAAGCTATAATAAAAACTGTAGAAAAACAAATTATAGTCATGAAAATGGGGTATACTACCAATATGAATGCAAAAGGATTAATATTCGTTTGGAATATTTCAAAATTTTGTCTTTATCCTGGGGATCCTGAAAGGGGATTTTTTAAAAAAATTTATTATCTTCTATCACTCTCTAAGAATTTTTTTATCTTTAATCTCTCTCTAAGAATTAGAAGAGTATAGACTGGCAAGCTTAACTTTATTTGCATAAAAGGGGAGAGGTAGTAATGGCATTTGCTCCAATGCAAAAGTAAACCAAAATCATTTGGCATGGTAATTTGCGTTCTGAGATTCTATGTCCTTCCCAAATATACCCTCCACTTCTTTAAAGGGTTTATTATGTGCCCTAACCTGTAGGCCAAAGCAAATGCTATGCAAACAGGATTGTATTTGAGGAGTGTTCCTTCCACAGACAATTTTTAACTCATCTCTTCAATCTTTGCCCCACTTAAGATTTCTGCTCTCTGCAGTTGTCAAATACAAGGCTGCCTTTTTGTTACCTCTAATTGACTTTATCCATTAAAATGATAACTCACATTTTCAGTTCAGAAATAAATCTAAATCTTTGGGCTGTTGAAATCTTCAACTCTATGTCACGCGTGTCCATGTTAAGAGACCACCAAACAGGCTTTGTGTGAGCAATAAAGCTTTTTAGTCACCTGGGTGCAGGCGGGCTGAGTCGGAAAAGACAGTCAGCAAAGAGAGTTAGGGGTGGGGCAGTTTTATAGGATTTGAGTAGGTAGTAGAAAATTACAGTCAAAGGGGGTTGTTTTCTGGCGGGCAAGGGTGAGGGTCACAAGGTGCTCAGTGGGGGAGCTTCTGAGCCAGGAGAAGGAATTTCACAGGGTAACGTCATAAATTAAGGCAGGAACCAGCCATTTTCACTTCTTTTGTGATCCTTCACTTGCTTCAGGCCATCTGGATGTATTCCTGCAGGTCACAGGGGATATGATGGCTCAGCTTGGCCTCAGAGGCCTGACACTCTAGTTTTCAAGGTTTTTTTGTTATTATTAGTTTATTCTACCATATGGAATTTATTCAAAGTGCAATACACTTGAAAGTGAGAGGAATATAAATATATATACCTTGGCTTTCATTTTTAATCAGAACAGTTGTATTTTTTAAGTTAAAACATTGTTTTTTTAATTTAAATATTTATTTAAATGAATATTTCTTCAATAGAAAGAGTGCCAGAATGTAAACAAAGTAACTTAGCCCCAATAATTGTAAATATAACCAATAGTTTTAAGCACTTAATATTTGCCAGATGTGTTGGTTAATACACCTTATGAATATCTTAATTAGTCACCACAACAATCATGTGGGTTGTGAATAATTCTGCTAATTTTTTGAAAGAAAGAACTAAGGAAATTTACTTACGATCTCACAGTTGATAAATATAGTAAATGAGCTAAGCTTAGTCTCACTCTAAAGACTGTTTTCTTACCTGTACAACAGATTTCTTATCTGGGGATTTTTAACCTAGCATTTAGAAATTTCTTTTAGGGTGTTTCCAGCAATAATAATATATGTTTTTAAATAGGAAAGCAGGCAACATATAAAAAAGGAAAAATGAAATGACTGAAGATGGAGAATCTGAATAGGCTGGGTGAGTTAGAGAGTGGAAGGGCAGCCAACATTATGGTGAGTTAAGAAGAACACCATGGATTTCTCTTTCCCAAGACAATTATAGAAAAGTTCTCTGTTAGTAAAATTGAAGACTACATGTAAAAAACAATTACAGTAAAATATAATAAAATCACAGACACAAGGATTCCTTGATCTCTTGAATTAACAAAGAATTACCTTTGTTAATTTCTTCAAACTAAGAAGGTGACAGTCTTCATAAAACTTGAATAGTCAGTAGATTTCTGTATTCACAGGAGAAATTGTATACCTAGCACTTGTCTGAGCTGCTTTGCATGCACCACTGATGCTCAATGTAAGGTTGCGATCAAATCCAGATGCTTTTTTCCACTTGTAAAATCATATTAAAGAAAGGATAATGTACAACATTAATCATGTCATTTTACTTGATAAATCATAAGGGGTTCTCCTAAATAATCAAAGGCACTAAATAAGCTAAAAACATAAATGCCATTAAAAGAAAATAAGTGAAATTCTCCCATGGGTTAAGAGTTCAATTAAAATGGATATGCTTCATCAGCACCTGCAGTTTGCAAGATGAGTAGATTAGGGAACATCATCCATGAAGTAATGGAGAAAAAAAAGTCAAGATAGCAGTATCAGCATAAAGAGTTTAGAGATAAATTCTAATATTTTAAATGTTCAAGCTTAACTTACAGCCAGCCCTCTTCATTAACAGACTTCAGGGTATAATTTCAGTGATAAAAAAAAATTACTTAATGCCTAGCAAGTGATGTTTACTGAAAGAAGTGTTATTTAACAATTCCATATATACAAATACCTCTCTTTGTTCACTAAAAGTAAATATGTAAATGTATAAATTACAATGCAAAGCTCAAATTATATATAGACATATGAACAAAATTATATTTAAGCACAAAATCTAGATATCCTAACCTATGCTTGAGGAAACCTTAGTTCCTTTACAAATAATTTTCTGGATTGCAAAAAAGCATGGAATTTTGTGAATTGTATTCAGCTGAGTTCAAGTCTACAAATATTTCAGAGACCCTGCAAGAGAAAAGGAAGTATTATAAATTGTTTTGAGGTACATACACTTTATGAAAGTCAGAGAAACAAATTATTTTAAATAAAATGTGGCATTTTGAGATGTTAATATATAAAGATATTCACACATGAGATTATGAGGGGTGACAGGAAAAGAGATAGAGAGCTGGGTATAGGAGAGTTACGGAGCAGTGTGAAAGTCACACAGGTATGAATGAGTGACCGACATGGTTTGGCTGTGTCCCCACCCAAATCTCATCTTGAATTGTCATAATCCTCACATGTCATGGGAGGGACCCACTGGAAGTAACTGAATCATGGGGATGGTTAATCTCATGCCGTTCTTGTGATAGTGATTGAGTTCTCATGAGATCTGATGGTTTTATAAGGGGCTTTTCCCCCTTTTCTCGGCACTTCTCCTTCCTGCTATCATGTGAAGAAGGACATATTTACTTCCCTTTTTGCCACGATTGTAAGTTTCCTAAGGCTTCCCCAGCCATGTGGAACTGTGAGTCAATTAAACCTCTTTTCTTTATAAATTACCCAGTCTCAGGTATGTCTTTATTAGTAGCATGAAAACAGACTAATATAGTGACTCTTTCCACCCCTATTCCTAAACAATTAATATCGTGAGCATCTTGGGCAAGCCTGTAGAGGATAACTCTACAAAATTTGGATTTATTCCATGACAATTAGAGACTGTGGATGTTAAGTAGAAAAGTGAAATAGTTGACAGTTTTTCAGAAGTTGATAAAGAATGGCATGGTGCAGTAGAGGCTACTGCAGGAAGTCAAAACTGATGAAGACTTCATACATTGTCAAAAGCAAGGTCTAAAGAGGAGAGGCAAAATTTTACAGATTTTTTTAAAATACAATTCATGTAGTCTTGTGAAGAGATGGATCGATGTGATGAGTGGAGAAAGCCAGAGAAAAAAAGTGAAATATATTTTTGTGTTTATAGCTTGGTCTCAGTGTTATAGCTGAACAGCATAATTCAAAACATGGTATTGACAGGTAGTATAAATAGGAGGCTGGGGCTGAGGATTTTACAAGACCTAAAATGCATACCTTTTGAGTATTTTTTAATGTTTGAAATAATTATGAGACATAAAAGTGGAAATATCCTGTAGACAACTATAATTCTGCAAATAAATGACATGGAGAAAATTTATAGAATCATCACCATTTAGACATTAGTAGAAGCTGTAGGAATATTCTCAATCCACCGGGAAGAAATTATGGATCAGAAAGAAGAGGTCTTTTTTATTGTTGAAGGCTTATAAATAAACACTCTTAGGAAATCAGTTTAAATTTGTTGGAGGATTTAAATTCTCATGATTAATTGAGTCATGATGAATATCAGTGTTATTCTTCCTACATTATAAGGTGGAAAATCTTTTTTTTTTTTCACTTTAAAAGAAACTAAATCTACCAGAAATGAGGAAAAGAAAGCAGCAAAACTATTTGTCATTTATTGTGTTTTGGGGGCCAGAGTTTTTTTTAGAAGCTGATTATACGATTACCATTGTCTGAGAAGCAAAAGATAGAAGCTCACCATTGGTAACTCAGGGTGAAATTAAAGCCCAACACAGAACTGATGGGGAATGAAAGTAGTTTGTACAGAAAACTTAAAAGGTTAACTCTCCAGACAACAGTCCCTTTGCTTTGGCTTTCTCGTAGATTCAGAATAGAAAAGTAAATAGCAAAAGAGAAATCTCCTAGGTGTATGTCATGTCATCTCATAGAGATGTGTAAAAGGTGCAAATGCCGCTATCTTTCAGAATGACATTTCAACTATTTGCTTCTCTGAGAAATTAACTGTATCCAGCTTCTTGCTCATTTTCCACTTCCCCAGTCCCCTTCCCCTCAGTTCCCCAGTTGTCTTTGCTTCTAAACAGTGCATGTCTTTTGACTTGTAAACATTGATTTAGATCCTGCTTAATTTCATAATCTTTTCAGGCCACTACTGTTCACTTAGACGATATCCCCTTAGCTTGGATTTAGCCATGAACCATTGATCATTTACTTGGTTTCTCTTGGAGTTCAATGTAGTCATTCTGGTTTAGTTCAAAAGGACATTATGTTTGGGTAAGAGAATGTATTTTGTTATACCCTTGCTTGTTACTACTCCCTCTACCAGTTCTGCTCTTCCTTTCTCCCTTGCATCAGTGTAAGGCTATGTCTTTAAGCCCAACACTTTCCACAGCATCACGCTTCCTCTACCATTGTAAGTTCACATGTACACTTAGCCATCACTCTCTCCCATGTGCTACAACACTAGGCACATGCTGCTATTGCAGCACTCTCCATATTTGGGAGCTCCTTTGAGACAATAACCAACTGGTTAATGTTCATCCATCCTACTTAATATCTACTATAGTTCTTAACACTCAGTAACACACAGTTGGCAAACATCTGTTAATTGTTGTCATATTGCAAGATGTAAACGCTATATCTTTAGTCACATCAATTTTCATATTTTGTGTCTAGACTCCTTATGTCACAGGAGATGTTCTTATAAATCCTAAAAATATGAAAAAAAAGGGAACCCCAAAGGTAGTTAACCAGTCTTTTGAGATAGAACAAACAATAAAACAAATATGGAAAATGCAAATTTTTACAGCCCTCATAGCAAATGTCCAGCTCTAGGACTGGTAGAGTCACGGGCAGTTAGGTAGACATATATTCATGTGTTATACCCTTTGCTCAGAGACTCTGAGCACTTTTTCAAAGCCATTTTTTACGTAATAAAATAACTGATATTGGTACACCTGATTTCAGCATACGAGTCATGAAATCACTATCAGAAAAATAGGTTTCCATTTCCATGTTTTATTTTTTTAATTGTACATCGACAAATTACAGTTGTATATATTTATGGGTTACACAGAGATGTTATGCTTTTTAAATATAATGTGAAATAATTAAATCAAAGATTCAAATATTCATCACAAGTATTTAACATTTTTTGTAATAGGAATATTTCAGACCTACTCTCTTAATGATTTTGAAATGTATGGAAATCAATTATTAGCTATACTTACCATGTTGTACAATACATATCCAAAAAAAATTAATTTCTCCTGTCTAACCTAAGCCCTGTACCCTTTGACTATCATCTCACCATTACCCTCACTCCTTAGCCTTTGGCAACCACCATTCTGCTCTCTGCTTCTATGAGTTTAATTGTTTTAGATTTCATATATACAACAAAGGAAATAATTAAGAGTGAACAGACAATCTTAGATTGGGTAAAATATTGCAATGCATATATCTGATAAGGAATTTGATAACAAAAATATACAAAAATCTCAAACAACTTCATAGAAAGTAAAAAAAAAAAATCCAGTTAAGAAATGGGAAAACAACTTGAATAAACATTTCTCAAAAGAACACATATGGATGGATAACAGATACATGAAGAAATTCTCAAAATCACTAACCATTAGGAAGATGTGATGTGCATTAAAACTGTAATGTGATGTCAGCTCACTTCTCTCAGAGTGACTGTAAAAGGCAAAAGATAATAAATATCGGTAAGGGTATGGAGTAAAGGGAACCTGAGATGGAGCAGGGACCTTGTCTTAGGGGCCTGTGGGCTTCCACCAAACTTGAAAGTAAAGGAAAATTTTGAGTTCTTTCAAGGGAAATTGCTGTCAACTAGCTATCCGTGAAAAGTAAATAAGCAACTTGATAAACAAGAATGTAATAGTGGCCTAAAACAATAGTGAAGGAAGCTAGAATTGTGAGATGTTTGGTTCCCTATAGAAACTAAAGATAACATTTTACCATTCCTCTCTGAGTTGTTTTTCAGAACCTGGACCCCCACCAAAAAGCAGTCCACCAGCATGTAGACCTCAGGAAAGAGGTAACTGAAGACCAAACTCTGATCACCAGTGTTCTAAATTTCCTCCTCCAGGGCCTGGAGAAAGTCATGGCCATGAGCCAAAACATGTCTGCTGACCTTAAATTTTCAAACAAAGCTTATCTTCCTTAACCAATTGCCAGTGAGGAAATCTTTGAATCTACCTATGGTGTGTAAGCTCCTGCTTCAAGATATCCCAGTCTTTTAGGACAAAAACAATAGCCTCTATGTGTTGATCTATAATTTTTCCTGCAACTCTGCTTTCCTGAAATTTACCCCTGCCTTTAAAAACCCTTACCTGCTAGCCCATTGGAAAGATTGAGACTTAAGTGTGAGCTGCCTGATCCTCCTTGCTTGGTGCCCTGCAAATAAATGCTTTCCTTTCTTCCTCCAGAAACCTCGGTGTGGATATCTGGTCTTAGTGCACCAGGTAGTGGACCCGAGTATAGTTCTATAACAAATCCATGCACACTGATGGTAGAAATGTAAATCAGTAAAACCATCATGAAAGACAGTATGAAGGTCCCTCAAAAAACTAAAAATAGAATTACTGTATGATCCAGAAACTCCACTTCTGAGTATATACCCAATAGATTTAAAATCAGCATGTCAGAGAGGTATGGGCACTTCCATGTTCACGGCAGCACTACTCACAATAGCCAAGATACAGAATCAACCAAAATGTCTATCGATGGATGAATGGGTAAAGTGTGATACATATACACAATGGAATACTATTATGCCTTAAAAAAAAAGAAAATTCTGTTCTTTGCAAAAACATGGATGGAATTAGAGAACATTTTACTAAGTGAAATAAGCCAAACATAGGAAGACAAAGAGTGCATTTATATCATGTTTTCTATGGGTCTCATTTTCACCCGTAATTCCTTTGCACTAGTGAAGTAACTTTGATTTGTTAGCTTAGTTTGGTTTATCAGGCTTTTTAATCAATTATGTTAATCTACAAATCTATACAAGTATTTAAGTATGAAGAGTTAATATTTGGATGCTTTCCATATTGCTTCATAAATTGACTATATATGCATTTATCAACATTTATCAGTTCCATTTAAAAATAAAGAATGGTTTGGCTATCTAAGTCCATTACCAATGACATATATACACACACACACACACACACACACACACACACACATATACACAAAAAAAATATATAAATGCTATCTATTAAGACTTTCTAACCCCCTTCACTCCTTCATTATCATGAATTTAATTCTGTCTTTCATGCCCCATCAACATGTCAAAAAAATCTATAGTTCTTTTATTTTCAGATTACTGTTGTTCAAATGATGTATAGGATAATTTTTTATGGATAATGATATTGATATTTGTCTTAGTCAGCTTTAGCTGCCATAGCAAAATACCATGGACTTGGTGGACTAAACAATAGACATGTAGTTTTGCACAGTTTTGGTGGCTAGCAGTCCAAAATTAGGCTGCAAGTTTTGTTTATAGTGAGGGCCTTCTTCCTGGTTTGTAAATGGCTGCCTTGCTGAGTCTTCTTGAGAAAGAGGGTGATCTCTCTGGTGTCTCTTGTTATAAGGGCACTAATTTTGTCATGGCAGTCCCACCCTCATGATCTCATCTAAACCTAATTTCCAAAGGTGTCATTTCCAAATACCATTACAATGGGGGCTAGGACTTCAAAATTTATATTTGGGAGAGACAAAAACATTTAGACTATAACAATATTTACAATCAGTTTTACAGTTTGTTACATAAGTTTAGGCTTATTGCTATTTTAATTAATTCTAATTCCAGAAATCACTGCTACATTTGCTTGCAGTATGGCCTTGCCAATGTGAACAAATAAGATTTACTTATCCTTTGGCTCTTTCTTATTTATCTTCCAGTGATTCCTTTCCATGAGTTCGATGAGTGCTATTTATGAGTCATTATTTGAGAATATTTCCTGGTTGCCATCCACATGGACAACAGTTTAATTTGATTTGGTGTAAGATTCTTCAAACATACCTCTTCCCTAAATGTGTTCATTTATTCATTGTCTCTTGGCTTGTACTGTTGCAAAAAAAAAATCTTAATCTAATCTGATTTATGTGTGAAATTTAACCTTCATTTTCAACTGTCTCAGCGTACTTAGGACTGTAATTTGTTCTTCCAGCACTAACAGTAATGAAAACAACAACAAAACCAAACTATCTTTCTTGGTTAGAACCTACTTTAAGCCATTTGTCTGAAACATCATTAATACTTGCATTTGTAACAGCCTGATGGGTTTATCTTGCCCAATGTCCAGAAAAGTCAATGCACTGAGAACAGCAGGTATTTCAGCAAAGAAAGAGTTTAATGATCAGAGGCCAAGCCAAGGGGTAGGATGAGACTCGCTTCTCAAATCTGTCTCCTCTAGAGCTAAGAGGGTAGTGTTTTTAAGGATAATTTGGAGGGGAGGGGGCAGGGAATGGGTGCTGCTGGTTGGTTGGGGATGAAATTATAACAGGGTCCAAACTGTCTTTGTGAACTGAGTCAGTCAGTTTCTGGGTGGGAGTCACAGGACTGGTTGAGCCAGTTTTCTGGTATAAGTCATGGGTCTGGTTGGCATCAGCTCATCTGCCCAAATGCAGAAGTGTGAAAAATGTCTCAAAGAGCAATCTTAGGTTTTGACAATAGTGATAAGAGCAATTGGAGAAGTTACAAATCTAAAGGCCTCTGGCTTCATGACACAGGAGCAGTAGAGGATTACAGAAAAGCAAGCTAGGGAACAATGGCTGGTTATTGTTTAACTATGTATAAATTTAGCAGAATTCAGGCCCCTCCCATAATCCTAACCTTGTGGGGTTTCATTAGACTTACAAAGGTAATTTCGGTCCCAGACCAAGGAATAGGCTAGTTTTGGGAAGAACATGTTATCACCTTTGTTTTATATTTAACAAGGGCAGTTAGCTTGTGAAGTTAGAAGAAAGATGGAGTCACTTATGTCACATTTCTCTCACTGTTATAATTTTTGCAAAAGTGGTTTCACGATGTGAATACGTAAATTTTACTTCATGTCGGAAAATGATTTCTTATGATTAGTTCTTAAGTTACTGTTCTTGATTTGTTCTTCTCTTTTTTAGAAACACCTGTCTCTGTTACTAGTAGTTCTGAGTTCTTGCCCCTCCGCATGTATCAACTTTCTTTTTGTTGTTGTAGTTTCTCTGTTTTTATATTCTGTGGAGAGTCTTGGGTTTGTCCTGTACATCTAGATTTGATTTTGGAGAGAGCAACTTTTATTTTATTTACTGTCTGCAATATACTTCACAACTTGGCAATTGTGTTTTACTTTCTGGAAAATGCTTGCTTATTTCACGAGTCTCACTTCTTATTTCATTTTGGCCTATTTTTATCTCCTGGCTTCTGTTCATCTTCACCTCTCTCATTCTCTAATCATGCCCTTCTCCTCTTGATTTATCAAGGTCATTCTACTGGCATTTTATATTCTAATAAGGGTTTTAAATCTTTTTTCCTAAGTTTATTTTAGTGAATTTGTAGTACTTTTTTTTTTATTGTTAGACATTGCGTCTCAGTCTGGAAAATAAAAGTCTACTTCACTCCACCTGACTGCCTCAATTGGCTGCAGCAGAAAAAATATACTTTGTATATTTGATATTTCTCTGTGCCCCCTGGGAGTGAGTCCTAACCCCATATCTAGAATCCAAATTCATGTTCCTGTTCACTTGTTAGTTTCTAGTGAGTATCACCATACCATAGACTTGGTCATCATTTCTGGCTTTGTTTTCTTTCTTCCATTGCGTTTATCTAGTTAAATTTTCTGATCTACCATTTTGAATTACTTTTCATTGTTAAATTGACCCAACACCTTGTATACCCATTTTATCTATCTGAAATTCTTGTCTTTCTGTCCTGATTCTGAGAATTCTGGGAAAATTGACTATCTCTGACAACACTTTTTTTCATGCTAACTCTATTTCCCAGGAGGTATGTGCCATGTTAGTCTATCTCCTTCACTAGTCACCATTTGTGTTCTGTGACACAGTGGCTAGGCTTTATCACTTCCTAACCATGTAACCTTCAGTTACACTTCCTAATCATGTAACCATGTTACCTCACCATCCACCTAACCCCTTTAAACCTCACATGCAAAATTAAGATTTTAACATTCGTTCTCCAAAGGTTTGCTTTTGAAAGCAAATAAACACTATGCAATGCTGCTTCCATATAACCCCTGACATATAGCACTGGCTTCTCATGAATTGAGCTATTATCATTCCTGTAAATTGCTGACTTTCAGTGATTATAAAAAGGTGGGCCAAATACTTCAGTAATCTGATTACTGGAACAGAAACAAATAGTTTTATGGGGCAGAACCTCATGATTCTGAGTTCAGACATAGACAACTGAGTAGGAGAGATACATCTTGATGTTAAACATTTGATCTTGTTTAAATTAGTTAAGGTTCAAAAATACCAATATGCAGGTAGGTAGTATGTTCAAATTAACCTATAAATGCTTCACAGTTAGAAGGAAATTTTCCTCAATTAAAATTGGAATTGATACTTTGTAGTGTCAACCTAAATTAATCAAAAGGGTCAGATTCTAGTAGAAAGAATATTTATTCAAGTGCCAAACTTGAGGATGGCTGCCTGGAAACCACAGATTTTAAAGAATGGAAACGTGTGTTTTGAAGTATAGGAAGTATAGAAGTTTGGGATCACTTATATAGACAAAGTTTCAAGAAGCTTGACAGAATTTCACCATTGCTCTATGTAAAGCTTAATGCATAGCTTTAAAAAATCTGATTAGATGAGTTTTTTTTTTTTTCCCAGAAAGTTAGAGTTAACATGACACACTGAAAATGTAGCAGTCATTGTGTCTTTTGTGCCATCTGGTCTGAGTTAGGTATAGAGACAATCTACAACAAAGATCGGTGATTATAAGCGGGAATAGGAGTAGGGGGTCTTGTCTCTCATCTCTCCTAGTCTCTTACAGAACAAGAATAATGAGGAAGAGCGTTAATTTATAATCTAACAAGCAGAAGTTACACACATTCCATATGACTCAATCTCCAGGGCTTAACTTCCTACTTGGCATCATAAATTTAAATCATTTTTAAGTTTGTTCTTTTCTTTTACATTACTTTTTTCTTTTTTGCATTAGTTTTTATTTTAAAAATTAGACTAGGAGCTAGGTTGAATGAGAAGTTCTTACTCTGATTTCAGTACTTGGGGCCTGACGTTTGTGGTAGCCATCTCGTTTCTTCCTCTATTAAGGCTACTAGGGCTCATTCTTCCCTTTCTGTTTTATTTTTCATTTCTTAGTGCTTGAATTCACCTCAGTTATTTTAAGTCACCCTTCATTATTGGAAGATAAGAAAAAATCCTTTCTTATTTTTAAATGTGGTTTTTTATTTCTTAAACTAGGTTAATCATTATTATTATTTTATTTTTAGACATAATTTTCTAAAAAAACAGCAGGGGTATTAAGGTTTTTCTAATTTATTATTAATTCTGTAGTTAACACTCAGACTATGTCATGGATATACTAAGATTACACTACATGAGCAAATAATGAATGTATTAATGTATTGCTGTTAATGTTCTTATTTTAAAAAGTTCATTATAGTTATACCTTAAGCTGATTGAGAGCAAGAATCTTCATGTTAACTGCTCTGTTTCTGGTGCTTAGCACAGTGCCTCACACAGAGTAGGCACTCAACTTGTTAATTTTGAATAATTTAAAGAAAAAGTGGGCAAATGTCTGTTACAATTATCAATAACCTTGGGTAATTTTATTCAATTGGTTGCATGATTTAAAAAGGTGAATTCTTTTTTATAGTTTCTTCTATGTTTGGATCCTGAGATTATTAATCAATGCCTAGTATGGTGCTAATCAGAAGTCATACATTTACTGACAACAATCCGGTGACCAAATACTGTTCTTCTAGTCATTTCTGGCAAGTGAAGTACATGAGACTAAATATGCACACAAAATAGAGAAACTAAAAGTATCCAAACTATATTTGCCTCACACCAAATTAGTACATTCGTATTTTGTAATTATTTATGTTTCCACCATGAGGCCTAGTTATCCAGAAGCTCTCCTTGCAAAAATTACACTGAGACTCGAATAGAATTTAAAAGATTCCCCTCAGAGATCTCATGGAACTCTACACTGGATTTTTTTTGTTTCCTCTCAAAGCTCTTTCAGTTCTATTTTGCCAGATTCAATTCTGTGTATTATCTATGCCCACCACCTTAATATAGAGGCCAGTCCACAATTTTCTTTCAGCGTGAATTTAATCATGTCACAATATATATGTATGTCAAAACATCATGTTTCACATCTTAAATATATACATTTTTATTGGTAGACTCTAATTTAATAAAGCTGGGAAAATAAATTAAATTACTTCAAGTACTATTTTGAGTGTCAATTTAAAAAAAAAGGCCTAGGATATCATCCACAGTTCTTTATGCCAGAAACTCACCAAGCCTGGCCCCATTCCTATTCTGGGTTGGTGAGCACATCTTTCAGGACCTTGGTAAGCAGTTGTACTGCCTCATCTTAATAACTAGCATACTTCGCAGACACAATAAGGATGATCTGTGAATTTCTTATAATTTGTCAAAAATTCTACGTTGCTTTTTTCTCTTTATATGAGTAATAGCAAGAGGAAGTTTCTCCTGGAGCTCACTTGCTAGAAATAGAATGGCTTTGTAGCGAGAATAATTGATCCCTTTTTACAGAGAAAAAGTCTCTTTTTTCCTTCAGTCATGTCTTTGTTTTGTAGGATACAGGACCTACCTTTGATCAAAATAAGCATACCATGAAAGTAAAATAGTACCTATGAGACTTGTGGAAATGAACTGTTAAAATGAACTGTTAAACGTCTGTGTAAATGTGAAGGAGTTTTCCCCAGAATAATTCTAAGAAGTTTTGAAAGATAACATTATTGTAGCATTTATCTTTAATTTCAGTGTGTTGCAGTAAAAGGTTTTGGAATACTGCCCTTATAAACTTTGTCCTAAATGAATTAAGAAATTTATGACCAAAAGATATGGTTAACTTTTTGGCTATTATCATCTTCTCTATTAAATAGTAATAGATAGAAGAAATCAATTTAAAATACTCCTTACAGCATAGAATGTAATAAATTATATGCATACCATTTAGAAAATAAATAGAAGGATCAAAAATCCACATTAAGCATATCCAAACAGATTTATTAGGACAGATAAGTGACTTTTTAAAAGACTAGTAGCAATGACAACGAATCTTGAAAAATACATGCCTCTAAAACAACAAAGATAAAGTTAACTAATATCATATTCATTTATTCAATAAGTAATTATCTACTATGTGTAAGATATTCTTCAGGTGCTAGGTACACATCAAATCCAAGATGTCAGACAGTGTGTAAGGATAATAAATACATAAAGAAAAATATAAAGTTGTGTTATGTATGATTAAAACATAGATTAAAATAATAGTGTTTGGTTTACTTTAGAGAAGAACTTTCTGAACTTTCTGAAGAAGCGACAGTTGATCTGTAGTCTGCTTATCAGATACTATGCTAAGAAAAGAATCATATTTTCTGCATAAAAAGTGAGTATCTGTGGAGCATAAAGTACATATTAGTCACTCTGGAGTTATAAAACTGCAACAATGTCTCTTCTCTACAGGAGCTTGAAATATAGTAGCAGAGACCTGGCATTTACACACAGGTCTAATATAAGGGAATTTGCTTAACTAAGGTTACTCTAGTTTTCTCTCACTATGTTCCAATCCTATTATGAAAGTTCTCCATATTTTAACACTTTTAATCCTCCAAATGCATTATGAGGTAGCCTTTACTATTATATATAAGCAAACTGAGACAAAAGGACTAAGTTTCCCTTGTCAAAAATATAATAGTTTGCCAAATTTGGGGTTAAATACAGCTTACATTCTTAACTTCTATGATAAGGAATGAATGTTATGACATGAATGCAATACTATAAAATCATAAAAAATAGGTTTCTGGCTGAGATGATCTGAGAAGGTGGCAAGGTGTATTTGTTCAAAGGTAAGCTCTTCGTTATGTATTCAAGGAAATATGAAAGGAGTTATCTTTTAGAGATGTTTCCAAGACAACAATGACAACAATCACATTGATATTAGATTGGCAACACAAGTGGCAATGGTAGCTTAGATCATAAAAGACTCTGTGGAGTCCACCTAGAAATTTCTCTTGGGACTTTTGCTATATATCCACAAAGTGTTAATCATGCCTCTTCTTTAAAAAAATCTCCACACCAGTACACACTAACATATGTTAGTGTATCTTATAATATTAACATACCCATGTGTTATGTTTAAGCATTAAAAAAGGAGAGGCATGGTTATTAAGCAAAAATAAAAGAACACATTAATGAGCAAATGTCTTATGGAGATACATTCATTCTGAAAAGCAATCAAGAAAATGGCATTTTAAAATGTAAGTCATGTTTCAATAACATTGACAAAGAAGAAAGAAAGGAAGGGCAGGAGAAGGAATAGAGGGATGGTCAGGAAAGAAGGAGGAAGGGAAAGAAAGACCTCCAGCATCTCAAAAATGTGGAAAGCAGCAATCTTCACATAGGGGAAATATCTGACAAATATATTTAAAAATCTGTTAAAATTTCAGGTCCTTCAACAAAACAAGTTTGCTTCGATGAGGTAAAAACATGTATAAATGTTTAATGAAATGATTTTAAAATGTATAGCTGACTATCATAAAAACAATTAAAATGCAAATACACTTACTGATGTAAAAATACACTAAAAATGAATTGAGTTGAAAAATTATGTATATAGACTTTGTGTTTTGCCTGTAAATGGAAATATATTTTTGTCAGAGTCAGGTTTATTCGAAGCTAAGACTTTATTTTAAAATGTAATAAATGTCTGCTAATTCAACCTTTTCTATTTCAATTTAATATATAACACTATGCCACTTTTATTCTATTAATATAAGAAACATGTCAACTTTAAAATTGCTGTAAGTTTGAATACATTTATTAAGGTATATCTGTTTTGTCTAGTTTAAATGAAATCATTTTTCATATTTTTAAGTGTATTCTCTACAATTTAGGCATGGTTGATTTTGATTTTTCTAGAATTGATTTTTTTATTGCTTTTATTTCTTTTAAAAATGTGCAAGAGAGAGTGATTTGTACAAATATATTGTTTAGCTCTCTGTTGTATTTTTTAATATGTTTGTACTGAGTTAATTATAGATTCACAGCCTGTTGTAATAAAATATCAGAGAGATCCTAGGAATGCTTTACCCATTTTTCTTCCTGATAGTAACATCTTGCAAAACTGTAATACAATATCACAACCAGGATGTTGACATGGGTACAGTCAAGATATGAGATATTTCCATTCTTCAGAGGATCTTTTCTATTGAGCTTTTATAAGCATACCCATATCTCTCCCTTGATCTGTCCCTAACCCTTGGCCTGTCCCTATTCCTTGGCAGCCACTAATCTGTTATCAATTTCTATAAATTTGCCATTTCAAAAATGTTATAATGGTAGACTATGCAGGGCTGGGCATGGTGGCTCACACCTGTAATCCCAGCACTTTGGAAGGCTGAGGAGGGTGGATCACTTGAAGTTGGGAGATCAAAACCAGCCTGACCAACATGGTGAAACCTTGTTTCTACTAAAAGCACAAAATTAGCGAGGCCTGGTGGTGGGCACCGGTCATCCCAGTTACTTGGGAGGCTGAGGCATGAGAATAGCTTGAACCTAGGAGGCAGAGGTTGTAGTGAGCCGAGATCAAGCCACTGCACTTCAGCCGGGGCCACAGAGTAAAACTCTGTCTCAAAAAAAAAAAAAAAATATATATATATATATATATCTATATATAGGCTATGCAATAGGTAAACTTTTGGGATTGGCTTCTTTCATTCGGCATGATTTAATGATAATTCATCTCAGCTTCACATATATTAATATTTTCTTTCATTTCATTCCTTAGTAGTATTCTATAGCATGAATGTATCATAGCTTGGTTTACTATACACATGCTGAAGGACATCAAATTACTTCTAATTTGGGGCTATAACAAAGTTTTTTTCATTTAGAAACGTTATATAAATGGAATCATGCAGTATATGACCCCTTGAGATTGGCTTTTTTTTTTCACTTAACATAGTGCCCTTGAGCTTTTTCCAGGTTGTTCCATATGTTACTAGTTTGTTTTCTTGATCCCTGAGTAGTGTTCCATGGTACATATGAATCACAGTTTATTCAGTCATTGGCCATTTAAGGACAGGATTGTTGCTAGATTTTGGATACGAAGAATATTAATAAAACTGCTATGAACATTTATTTAGGTTTTGGTGTTAGGTTAGGTTGTCATTTCTCTAAGACAAAGGCCTGAAAGTGCAATTGCTGGGTCATATGGTAAGAGCATTTTAATTTTATAAGTAATTGCCAAATAATTTTCAGAATGACTATATCATTTTATGTTCTCACCAGCAATGTATGAATGATTCAATTTCTCCACATTCCTGTCAGCATTTGATATTATCATGGTTTTATTTTTAAATATTAGCCATTCTGATAGGTGTGCTAGAATAGCTCATTGTGATTTTAACCTCCTATTTTCTAGTGATTAATGAAGTGCAACATCTCTCTTGCTTATTTGCCATCTGGATATCCTGTTGGGTTAAACATATATTCAATTCATTTTTTCCCATTTTCTGACTGGATTGTTCATTTTTATCTGGTGAGGTTTTTGAGTTGTTTATATATTTTAGATAAAAATCTTTATTTGAATAAGAGGTTTGCATTTCTTTCTTTCCCAGACTGTAGGTTATCTTTTCAATTCTCTTAAGAGGGCTTTTCATGGAGCAAGGGTTTTTAATTTTGATGAAGTCCAATTTATCACTGTTTTTTCCTTTTATGCTTTGTACTTTTGGTGTCAAGCCTAAGAAGTCTTTGCCTAACTGCGGTTACAAAGATTTTCTCCTACTTTTCACAAAAAGATAGTCTTATATTTTGCGTTGAAATACAAGATACGTTTATTTATATTAACTTTTGCATAAGGCATGAGGTTAAGGTCAAGACTTTTTTTTTGGCCTATGGATATCTTGTTGCAGCGATACCATTTATTTGAAAAGCTATGCTGGATGGATGTGGTGGTTTATGCCTGTAATCCCAGAACTTTTGGAAGCCAAGGTGGAAGGATTGCTTGAAGCCAAGATTTCAAGACCAAACTTGCCAACATAGTGAGACCCTTATTTCTACAATAATTTTTTTTAAAAATAAATTAATCAGGTGTGGTGGCATGAACCTATAGTCCCAGCTATTTAGGGGACTGCAGTGAGAGGATCTCTTAGCCCAGGAGTTTAAGGCTGCAGCGAGCCATGATTATGCCACTGTACTCCAGCCTGCATGAGAGAGTAAGATCCTATCTTCAAAAACAAACAAACAAACAGAAGGTGATGCTTTCTGCATTGAATAGCCTTTGTGCCTTTGCAGGAGTCTAATGTTAGGTTCTCTGGTCTGTTCTATTGATTTATGACCTATTTTTCCACCAATACTACACTCTCATGATTATATAGCAATATGGTAAGACAATATTATTCTTTTTCAAAATTGTTTTAGATATTCTAGGGCCTGTGGCTTTGCATAAATATTTTAGAATGAGCTTGTCAAAGTGTAAAAATACGAAACAAAACAACAACAACAACAACAACAAAATTTGTTGGGATTTTCATAGGAATATCACTGAACCTGTGAATCAATTTGAAGAGAAATTACAGCTTTATTATGTTGGCTCTTCCTATGAGCATGGTATACCTTTACATTTATTTGGTACTTCTTTCATTTCTTTTATCAGCATTTTGTAATTTTAGTGTATAGATAATGTACGTGTTTTGTTCAGTTTGTACCTAAGTATTTTATAATTTTTTTGGAAAAATTATAAATGGTACTGTGATTTTAATTTTGGTTTTGATATGTTCGCTGTTACTATTTAGAAATGTGATTCGTTTGTCTGTGTGTGTCTATGCATGTGCTACTTTCATATGCTACAATCTTGCTTAACTCTCTTATTAGTTCTACAAAACATTTCTACTTTGCAAACTACTTGAAATTTTCTACATAGATAATTGTATCATCAACAAATAGAGACAGTTTTTCCTTCCTTTCCAATTTGTGCCTTTTATTTCTTTTTTACTTGATTCACTGTAGTTTTATGTTGAATGAGAGTGACGAGAATTGCCTTTTTTTGCCATGTTCTTCACTTTAGAGTGGAAACACTAAATATTTCAACATTAAGTATGATATTACTTTTTCCAATTTGTGACTTTTTCCTTCCTTTCCAATTTATGCCTTTTATTTCTTTTTTACTTGATTCACTGTAGTTTTATGTTGAATGAGAGTGACGAGAATTGCCTTTTTTTGCCATGTTCTTCACTTAAAGTGGAAACACTAAATATTTCAACATTAAGGATGATATTACCTCTAGGTTTTTTAATATATCTTTATCAAGTTGAGATTTTTTTTCTACTGAAAATGTACTGAGTTATTATTATTACTATAAATAGATGCTAGCTTTTCTCAAATGACTTTTCTGCATCGATACAGTCATGTGATTTGCCTTCTTAGCCTGCTGATATGTTGGATTACATTGATTTTTTTTAATATAGAACCAGCTTTGCAAACTTCTAATAAATCCCACTAAATCCAGTGTATCATTTTTTAAAAACATTGTACATAGGGTGGATGCGTTCCTCCTCTTGCTTTCAGGAACGTCCGACTCTGTCTAGGGAGTCCTTTCACCACTGTACTTTCTCAATAAACTTGCTTTTACTTTGCACTGAATTCTTTCTTGTGTGAATTCCAAGAACCCACTTTTGCAGTCTGGATCAGGACCCCTTTCCTGTAACACTTTTACTTTAAATTACCTATGCTGTAAAATTTGAAATCAATTATTTGTAAAACACCATAGAGTTGGTTTGTGATTTTTCCCTCCACTCCACCAGTCTGACTTTAATTGGTATTTCTATACTATTTTCATTTAACGATAATGCTATGTTGTTATAACTTAATACTTACACTTAATACTATGATGTTATAACTTAAAACTGCTATTTTGTGTTTTTAATTTATTTTCACTGTGTGTTATTCCTCTGTATCTCTTTTATTACCATTAAAATGAAGTATTAACTCTTTGTCTTAATTTTGTTGCTGTAATGGAAGATCACAGAGTGGGTAATTTATAAACAATAGAAGTTTACTTGGCTTGCAGTTCTGGAGACTAGGAAGTCCAAGAAAGTGGCATCCATGTTTGGTGCCATCATCCATGGCACCAAATGCATCATCCCTTGATGGAAAGTGGCAGAGCAAGAGAGTGTGAGACTGAGAGAGGAAGAGGCCAGACTTATCCTTTTCATCAGGAATCCACAACTGTGATAACTAAATCTCTTCCATGATAACAGCATTTGTCCATTCATGAGGACAGAGCTCTCATTATCTAATCACCTGATAAACTCCCACCTTTAAATACTATTACCCTGAGGATTAGGTTCCCAACATATGAACTTAAGGGAACACATTCAAACCATAGCATTCTTTAATATTCTCTTAGTTATTAATCATTTGTTTACTCTGTTTTTAGTCTCATTTCTCAATTTTTTTCATATACTCGGTGGATAATACAAAATTACCATAAGTTTCTTTATGTCCCATACTCTCATCTGATTTAGCAGATCTTGTCTTTGCTAAAAATATCCTTCCCAAAATTTTCATTTTGGCCACATTGTACTTACTCTTCAAGATTTAGCATTGTACTTTCTATTATAGAAGATATGCTCTGCCCAATTTTCCCCAACCTTGAAACTTTGCCCCAAACCTTGCTTTTTCTTAACTAAGAATCACTTACCTAAATCTTTTATCTCCTGTATTTCTCAATTATGAAACCCATTGTTGCATTTTGTAATTATTGGTTTACTTATTTGTCCCCCATACCAGATTCTGAACCTTTTGAGATCTGGGTTTACATTATACTCCTCTCTATATTCCTGTTTCTTAGCCCTATATCTGACATATGGAATTCACTTGTTAAATTCTGGTTATATAACAACGTTAAAATACTTTGCATATAATTTATTTTAGTGAAAATATGTCAATAAAGATATTTTATTATTAATATTAAAATTCTCTACTTAGAAAATAAAGTGTTAACAAACACTAAATAATTTCTAACTATATGTTCAGTACTGCATTGGGTAGGGTTTGAAAATACATAAGAAGAGAAATCTACTCTCAGGTTATAGTAATCTGTTTGGTCAGGCATGCTTCCACCATAAAATAGTGCAAACTATCCAAAAACTAATTGGGCTTCAATGGAATGGTGGGTCAATGAGCTTTTGCACTAATCAGGAAGGAAAGATAGGAAAAAGTGTGAGTCTGAAAGCAATACTTTCCAAGCTATAATTTTAAATTGCTCATGGATATTCAAATCTTTCTTTTATTATTGCCAAACCAGTTTATTCGTAGTTAAGATGAACAGTAAAACAGAGGAGGGTAGCCAGAGAGTAAAAGAAGTTTTACTAGGTAAACTTAGAAAAGTTAAACTTTCATTCACTGCATTTCTCTTTTCTTACAAAAATTGTGTATTGAATAAAATTATATCTATTTGTGAAGGTTATGAATAAAATAAGGAACAAAATTCTAGGTCTTATAAAAATAGAGGATCTTTGAAAAATAAGCAGAAGCATTATCAGTCTGCTTATAACACTGAAAGAAATATTTTCTCATGATAGAAAACAATATACTCTAACATTTTTAATCCAAAATACTTTTATGGGCAAACTTGTCTGAACAGTACTCCCGAAAGCCCATAAACCCCTCTGAGATACTCTCATATTAATGAGTTTTAATGGTGCCTTTGAATAATACCTAGATGACTACAGCACTACTTAAAAGAGAAACACACCTGTCACACTAATTAGAGTTCTTGAATGACATTGAAAGAGATAACTGGTTAAATCATTTTCTGCAGCACCAGATTTAATTGACATAGATATAATGCCAGTAATAATTTTATGCAATTGCAAGATCAGGAGTTTAATATATCGGGCAGTAAGGCAGGGATTTTCTTTCTCTGGCAGTGCTGAACAAACCTCTCTAATCCTTTTCCTTTAGCTTTCCCTTATTTCTAGGCTTAAGTTTAATAAAAGGCTAAAAAAAAATCAAGATTCCTCTAGGCTTCTCAAAGCTCAAGCATAGAGAGAAAAAGATGTTATCTCAGGGAGGTTGTGGCTCAGAATCATTAAAAAGACTAATGGCAGGATCACAGGACTAAGTTTACAATTCCCTTTGTATATCGCAGAAGCACCCTCTCTTGTAGTAAACACTTTATCTACTTTCATCTTGCTTCCAAATTGCCAAAACGGAGGCAAGTGTCCAAGAGGGATTGGATGATTATAGTTTACAAGGTGCTCAAAATGTTTCCTTGAATGTTCAATCTGGCTTACCTATGATGCTTGTTTATTCATTTACAAGTTATTCCAAAGCCTTGCTATATAGAACTAGGATATTTTGACAAAGTGGACTTCCACAGCATGTTTTCTGTAACATTTAATGTTTTACAGTTTAGAATTGTCATGTTCTATAGAAGTCAGCATCTTGTGGCCATTTGGCAGAAGTGATAAAAAGCATAATATTTATGCAAGTCTTTGAAATAGGCCAAATGATTTTCAGTGTAATAATCCATTTTTTTTTACTTTGTTTTAATTATAAATTATGAAGAGCAGAACTCAGGCAGATCTGAAGCCTGAATCTTTCTGCCCCTGTGACATTCCTGCTTTCCACGTTTGTTTTATGCTTTCTTTTTAACTTTTTGAACAGAATGGCTCATTTACAATGTTCTTTCTTACTTGACTTTTGATCAGTATTATAG
Organism: Homo sapiens; assembly: GCF_000001405.40. Lineage (NCBI taxonomy): Eukaryota > Metazoa > Chordata > Mammalia > Primates > Hominidae > Homo > Homo sapiens. The sequence goes on along the minus strand of NC_000002.12, from coordinate 77,875,786 downwards.
GTGGTCATATACAATGTTCTCATTTTCATTGTTTTCTAAAGCTTATGTAATTGTGGTTTTTTATTAACATTTAGACCCCAAAATTATTTAATGGAATGTATTTTTCATGTGGCTATTTTTTTCCTTTATACCTTTGTAAACCATATTTTAGATTGAATGCATGTGGATCATAAAATGTATCCTTTGAAATATCTTCTTTTAAAAATTCATTGAGATTCTATTTATAATCTAAAGTATAATTTTACTTTTTTTTTAGAAATAGGCTGTGGAAATTAAAAGGGCAAGTTGTAGAATGGAATTTCATAAATATTTATCAAGTCCTTTGAAATAAAAAACAATTTATAATATGTTTAATTTTTAAAAAGTATAGGATTATTTTACCAATAAAAATGAAATAAAAATTACCCGGAAATTGTTAAATAGATCAATGTAATTCCATATAGTAGCGTAATATGCGACTATTAGAATTTATGGCATATGAGAACATTACCAAGTTATATTATTTAGTGAGAAAAGCAGGTTAATAGAATATACAAATAATGTTCACAAATATATCTTGTTTTTTTATAATTCCCCAAAGGATAAAAAAAAGATGCAATCACATTAAATCAAATTTTAATTTGAGGACACTACATAGCATCAAAATAAAGAATACAGTGTGATATAATCTTTAAATTAGATATAATTCTGATTCTTCTTCTTCTCTCTTTTTTTTTTAATGTAGGAAAGGAGAATGGTTTGAAAATGGTAATGAGGAGAAAGAATGACACTGACACCAGCTCCAGGTCCCGTGGAATGAAATCTATGGTAAGTAGTGTTAACTAGGGTCCTTAGAAGAGGTTCAGACTTACATTCAAACATAAAGATGAAAGAAATATTTCGAACACAAGTATGAGATATTTAACTGTTAATGGAGCATAAATTTCAAATGGCATCCAGAAACTATTTTAGAATTTGAGGAAGCATTAAAAAGGAGACAGAATAGTAGCTATATAAAGATATATGATCATTCATGTAAAGAATACAAGATGTTACTAGGAATATGAGCATTTTCTTGGCACTAAATTAATGAGATAAATATATCTAGCTATATATCTATCTAGATAGATAAATATATATATATAGATAAAATAGATATGTATAGATATATGGATATAGATATATAGAGAGATTAATTCTGGTGAGTTTAAGGCAATGTGTGGGTCAGGGTGAAAGAAAGGAATAGATATCTCTTTACTATAATACTTGGGTAGATAGTGAGCAAGTAATGGTCTTACACCCAGGGTGTCAGTTCACTCTGACTTCCTGTTTAGGGAGAAGAGATCTTATTCCAGATACGTACACTATCTTGATAGCTTGCAGAATTCTGTAGAAGGTATGTATGACACCAATCACAAGAACACTTTTATTATCAGAAAGTTATGACTGTGGGTGTAGGCACATTTGTGTGTATGTGAAAATGTCTACAGACATGTAATGTCTCTTTCTATCTGGTTTTGCTAGATAGAAGTGATGCATTAAAAGTCTATTTTTTTGGCCTCAGAAATCTCTGAAATATTATTTTCTGTCTTTTCTTCCATATGCCCTTAAAAAAAAAAGTAGCCTAACCATATAAAGAATTTGATCGCAATTGCTCAAGCTGTAGAGTCTAGAGGACATGTAACTCATGAATGTCTGGAATTAAAATCTCAAAAGAATCATTAACTTTTTAATACTCACTTGAAATCCTGCCTTTATGAGATTTTTTTCTATTGAAATACTTTTGTGTATTCAGTTCTTAAGGAGAAGAATTTGCCATCTTGTGTTTTTGTCCTCTGTTGATGTAACTGAATCTAATGCTTGCATGTCTTCGTGAGTTTTTTATGTGTATGAAGGTTAAATTTTGGCTTAGGCATCACTGGGCTATTAATTTCTTGTGTGGTCTTATGAAATGTTTGGATATGATCACAAATCCTTCACTGGTAATGTTTATTTTTAAAAAACAAAAAATATATCAGGGATTTTTCTTTTTTTTTGGAGGTAGGATTTTTTTTACGGACTTCGTTCTTGCTTCTGGAATGCCAAATTGGGAATTATCCAGTTGGCAACCGCTTTTTATTACTTGAATAAATATAGAAAAATTGTGCTTTGTTTTATGCCAGACATTATATTTTTTCTTAAATGGAATGACTTATTCATTGATTCACAAATTACATATTGAGTTTCTGCTATGTGCCAGGCAGAGTTTACAGTGTCTGGGAGGAATGGTAACTAAAACAAACCATAATGCTTGCTGATGTCTAGCTTACATTAAAATGACGAGATGAGGGAATAATATAAATTAAACAATATAAATGTAAAACAACTAAATATAATGATTAGAATATGGTACGTGTTACGGAAGAAATAGAGTTGGTTGAAGGGAATCAAGAGTATGAGAGTGATAAGTGGGTTGCAATTTTACATAAGGCTGTGGGCTCAGGTCTTACTAATCAGGTGATATACATGCAAATATTGGGAAAGCAATACAGAGAGAGGGAACACCCCAGTGCAAAATGCTTGAAATGGGATTGGACTTGTGTGTTTGAGGAAAAACAGAGAGGTCATTATGATAGGAGCTATATAAGCAACATAGAAGGAAATGAGGCCACAGAGCTAATAGGAGTCAAACAATTTTGACCATTATAGGCTATTTTAAGGACTTTCCATTTAATTCTGAATAAATAAAAAGAGACAGCATTGAATGACTTGAACAAGAAAGTAGCAATGTCTGACCTCTATGTCATAATGGATAAATAACTCTGACTTCTGTTTTGATAATAGACTGGTAGGGGCAAGGAGATGAACCTAGAGGCTATTGGATCAATCGATAGCAGAAACAAAGATGGCTTGGATCAGAATTGTAGTGTGTAGATAATGGTTGAATTATAATGTATTTTTTTAGTAAAGCCAAGAGAAATTCTTGACAGATTCGATTTAATATGATAGAAAAAGAGTCAACAATGACTGAAAGCTTTAGTCTGAGCCATTAAACGAAAGAAGTTGTCATCTGCTGAAGTAGAGATGATTATGCTTTGTGTGTGTGAGTATGTGTGGGGGTGTATCTGTGCATATTTGGGATATCTATTAGGTATCTTAATGGAAATGTAGCAAGTTGAATATATGCATCTGGACTTAAGGAGAGTGACCAGCCTGAAGATAAAGCTTTGAAATTCTAGGCACACATTTGACTATAAAGCCATCTAACTGAATAAAATGATGATTCAGTGAATGTGAGCAGAAAAGAGAAGAAGGCCAAAGACTGATCTCTAGTATCTACAACACTAAGATGTTGGAAACAGAAAAAGAATTCAGCAAATAGCCCTAAAAAGGAGAGACTGGTAAAGTAGGAGGAGAAAAGAATTGTGTGATACCTTGGAAGCTGACTGAAAATGAATTAAAAAGGAGGGATTTGTAGTAACTTAAATGCTCATAATGGTACATTACATAAAATGTGAGGCTGGTGGTAATAGTAAGGAAATTAAATTAGGATGAGACACAGGCAACTTAGAGTTAGGAGGTCCAGAGTGGAAGAGAATGGAAAGGAAAGCATGAATATCTGTATAAAAAATAATAGTATATCAATATAGTATATCAATAGTATATCAATGTATTTGTGACAAATACACCTTATCAGTGTAAGATATAATGTCCTTCCATCCCCCAAAAATGTCTACCTCCTAATCCCCTAAATCTGTGAAACTGTTACCCTACATGAAAACAGGCAACCTACAGATATAAATTAAGGGTCTTGAGATGGAGAGATTATTCTGGATTACCTAGATGTGCCTAATCACAAGAGTCATTATAAGAGAGGCAGGAGGCTCAGAGTTATCGATGTGATGATGAAATTGAGATGTGTGTGAGTGTGTGTAAGAGAGATTGGAAAGTGCTACTCTGTTGGCCTTGGAGGTGGAAGAAGGGAGCTATAAGCTAAGAAATAGAGATAGCCTCTAGAAGCTGAAAAAGGCAAGGAAGTGGATTATCTCCTACAGCAAGGGTCCCCATTCCCCAGGTGGCAGACTGGTACCAGTCCATGGCCTGTTAGGAACCTGGCTGCACAGCAGGAGGTGAGTGGCAGAGACCCAGCATTACTGCCTGAGCTCTGGTTCCTGTCAGATCAGCAGCAACATTAGATTCTCATAGGAGCCCGAACCCTACTGTGAACTGAACATGCGAGGAATGTAGGGTAAGTGCTCCTTATAAGAACCTCACTATCTCATACCAGTTAGAATGGCGATCATTAAAAAGTCAGGAAACAACAGGTGCTGGAGAGGATGTGGAGAAATAGGAACACTTTTACACTGTTGGTGGGACTGTAAAGTAGTTCAACTATTGTGGAAGACAGTGTGGTGATTTCTCAAGGATCTAGAACTAGAAATACCATTTGACCCAGCCATCCCATTACTGGGTATATACCCAAAGGATTATAAATCATGCTGCTATAAAGACACATGCACACATATATTTATTGCGGCACTATTTACAATAGCACAGACTTGGAACCAACCCAAATGTCCATAAATGATAGACTGGATTAAGAAAATGTGGCACATATACACCATGGAATACTATGCAGCCATAAAAAACGATGAGTTCATGTCCTTTTGTAGGGACATGGATGGCTGGAAACCATCATTCTCAGCAAACTATAGCAAGGACAAAAAACCAAACACTGCATGTTCTCACTCATAGGTGGGAATTGAACAATGAGAACACGTGGACACAGAAAGGGGAACATCACACTCTGGGGCCTGTTGTGGGGTGGGGGGAGGGGGGAGAGATAGCATTAGGAAATATACCTAATGTAAATGGCGAGTATGGGTGCAGCACACCCACATGGCGCATGTATACATGTGTAACAAACCTGCACATTGTGCACATTTACCCTAGAACTTAAAGTATAATAAAAAAATAAATAAATAAAAATAAAGAACTTCACTAATGCCTGTTGGTCTAAAGTGGAAAAAGTTTCATCCCCAAAACATCCCCCTACAACTCCAACCCCATCCATCTGTGGAAAAATTGTCTTCCACAAAACCCATCCCTGGTGCTGAAAATGTTGGGGTCTGCTGCCCCAGAGCCTCCAGAAGAAACACAACCCAGCAGACAAATTGATTTTACTGCTTCTAACCTGCTTTAAGGCAAGACATTTGTGTTGTTGCAAGCCTCTAAGTATGTTGACATTTGTTAGAGTAGGAATAGGAAATTGATACAGTTTTGATAATGGAGAAAACCGAATGTGGATCATATGGGGATATCTGGGTTATCTTTGTAATAATTCTGTTAATCTAAAATTGTCCCAAAAATAGATAGTTAAAAACAAATTTCAATTATTGAGCGGTATGACGTAAAACCCAGCACCTGGGGTAACAGCATACAGGCCTCTGACATATTATAGCCCTTAGAACATATACTTAGCTTTGCGTTGTCTTCCCACTGTCTTTGCTTATTTCATTACCGATGGTTACTCAGCTCTCTGCTCAAGTGTCTCTTCCTTAAAATTTTCTTATTTTATCAACTCTAAAATCAGCAGGCATTTCTTCTTCAGATTTCTCTAAAATTATTTTTTTCTCTAAAAATACTGTTAAGGAATATAAATAAATGTTGAAAATTGGAAGAAGAGAATATTTGCCAATTGAAATTGTTCAAAATGATTTACTATGAAACCACTTAATAGACTATCATGCAGCCTTTGAAAACAATGAGAAAAACTAAAGGAGGCTTTAGGGAGGAAAAAAATAAAACAATAATTGCAGTTGTATTCAGATATATATACATATGTAACTAACATGGTTTCTACTGGCTCAAAATGACAATGCCATCCTACACCTTAATAGTGGTTTTCAACGAATATTTAAAAATCATTAGTGCCATTGAAATATTGTATATTACAAAATAGCTAGAAGAGAGGCTTTTGAGTGTTTTCAATACAAAGTAATGATAAATGCACGAGATGATAGATATGTTAAAATACCCCTGATTTGATAAACAGCATATATACATATTAAAACATTAAATTTTACACCATAAATATGTACAATTATAATGTGTCAATTAAAAAAATAAAGGCTGGGCGTTGTGGCTCACACCTGTAATCCTAGCACTTTGGGAGGCTGAGATGGGCAGATTACTTGAGGCCAGGAGTTCAATAATAGCCTGGCCAACATGGTGAAACCCCATCTCTACTAAAAATACAAAAATTAGCTGAGCTTGGTGACCCATGCCTGTAATCCCAGCTACTTGGGAGGCTGGGGCATGAGAATATCTTGAACCTGGGAGGTGGAGGTTGCAGTGAGCCGAGACTGGGCCACTGCACTCCAGCCTGCATGACAGAGTGAGTCTCTGTCCCTAAATAAATAAATCAAATAAAATTATTGGTGGAAATTATGTTTCTGACAGATAAATTATAATATTAAAGCACATTATGTAAAACAGACAAAACTAGAGGTGTCCTGGTATGAAACTAAATAGAGGTAAAGAGAACCTTGAAAGGCTTCTTCCTTCTTCCCTGTATGTCTCCTTACAATGAATTATTTAATGTTCTTGAATTTCCTATCAGCATAGTATAAAATCACTGGACTAAAACATAGGTATTATAAAAACTAATTCACTAAATTAGTGGACCCCAAATATATGATTCTATATTCTATCTGTTAAAAAGCTGAAGTCTTCCTACCTAATACATTTCTGTTTATGTGTTTATAAGTTATAGTTACACACTACCGTACTAATGTATTTTATATCATACACAATATACAATGTTTGAATCAAAACATTCACATTTTTAAAGGGTGAGATTTTAAAACTAATTATAAATTCAATTCTAATATTTTTTTCTGACACCCTGAGGCATTCTCTTACATACCATTTGATTGACTTACATGTGACTTCAGAGACCATGACCCTAAATCAACAATCCATAGAGGGCTGTTTTCAGTCTAGGTGCTGTCTGTGACAGAATTCATAATTGTAAATAGTGAAATCTGATAAATAAGAACAACATAATCAACTGTTTATAAAGTTAGATTGATTACGTTTGGAAAACAGTCCTTTATTCTGAAATTATTGAATTTATTGTGTCTAGCAAACTAAATAGCATTGTTTTATTTTCCAAATGTCACTGACAATATGTGTATATTGTTCTAATTTTTGTAGTTATTAAAGTCTGCTAGTTTCCAATGTCTGGGAATTGTAGTTTGGCAGAAAATTGTTATATGTGTACAAAATAAATAGAATGAAGAAGTCATCGAAGAGAAGCTGATGATGTTTGCATTCAAATGATGATTAGATTATATTGACATTCCGAATAGATCTCCACTAAGTGCCACAGTAGTGTCACAGCTTACTGGTGACATCTCGTGAGTCCTGTTCCACCTAAGTGGGGAAAACTTCAGTCTATTAGAAATTAAAGAAAAACACTGCTTGGGGTAAAGATATATCTTTTTTGAGTACTTTTGCAAAGTGCAAATGCAACTATGGTAAATACCACCAGAGATGAGAATAGTCAGTTCACTTATCTCAAGTTAAATATGAGAGTAAAACTACAATTTTAAGCCTAGAAAATACATGCTAAAGGCATATTAACTTGGAATTTGGAACTTACTCTATTGACTACATTTTTTTCTACATTGGAAAAATCAGAAAAAAAAAGAAATGGAGAATTAAACATTATAGAAAACAAAAGAAGAGCAAAAATATGTTTTAATAGAAATTTTAAAAATATAGCACTTATCAAATTTGTTTCAACCATGACCCTGAATTTATTTTTGTTTCTTTAACTTAACTCATTGAAGAATGTGAAAGATCAATGGTGTCTAAGTTTGATCAATAGAATAATATCAAAAATACTTTTTCACAAATGTAAAGACTTATTATCTTTAACATATATAAAAAGGCTTTTTTTGAAAATAAATAACACGTTTTTCCTTATTAACCAAAAATCTACCTTCTCAGTTTCAACAAACACATATGTAAACTTTTGTTATGAATGTCTGATTGATGGGAGACCGCTGCTCCAGCCTACCTGCTATACAAAACTCCAATGTGAAAAAAAAAAAAAAAATAGATTGCCCAGAACTCTGTTCACAAGTGGTGTCATGAAAACTTGAAGGCAAGTTCTCTGATCCTCAGTGGCTCATTCCAAATCACTCATCTAAGTATTGCAAGTAGAAATATGTTTTCCGTTGAAATATAAAGTCGCTAAAAAGTAATTTCAATATAAAACTGTTGTTTTCCAACAGTAACAGCTAATCTTATTTTATATTTGACATATTTAGAATAAATTTTAAACACATATCCAAGAGTAAAGGAAATAATTAAAAAATGTTTAGGACCAAATTCCTGTTGTGGAATCTAATTGTTCTGGCAAAGAATGGCCAAGGAGAAGCACAAAATAAGTAAGTGAATTGCTAACTGCTAAATGATACATGAGTAAAGCCAATCCAAGGAAATCCTCATGATGAAATATTCTGAGAGAAGTTCCACACTGCCAAACTTTTAGAGAAACATCTTTAGGCTCTTTGCTTAATGAAATGTCCTCAGATACACAGAGATATGAAACTTCTTGAGAGTCTTCTAAATACTAACATTTTTTACAATATATGGCTTTTAAATGTTCAATAAAACATCATGGCATTGAACATCTGGGACACAGGAAAAATAATGTCATGGCAAAAATATAAGTTTGTAGAGTTTCCATGTAAAAAAAAAAAACAGTAAGTATTTCAGATGTTCTCAACTAGTAGATATGTGTGGAGAGATATATAGAATAATGAGAAATTAGCTCTTTAAGAATTTAAGACATTATTATCTATGTGTTGTTGAAATTTGCCCCCGCTAACAGACAAAATGGACTCTCCCTGGCTAACTGAGCTTCTCAAAGTTAAAGCAGAACCAGGCCATCATAGTTAAGAGAGGGAACAATCACGTACTCTGCATTCCTAGAAAGATCTAAGTGTCACAGGACCTCCCTTTTTACAACCAAGCCAAAGAAGTTCCTGTTGTCAGTGCCAAGATTAACTGTGACCAGAAACTCCCCGTGCCACTCACTGGCTGTTTGAAAGAAACATCTGACAGAGACTTGGCTGATTTTGGGTCTAGAGACCACCTAATCAGGGCTCAACTATTTTGGCCAATCAGAAATGAACAAGTTTGAAACTTTCATTTGTGTAAGTGGACCTGGTTGATAACCTAGGTGAGAACTTTCCCTATTTAAGCCAGTCCCTCCCTTTGTTCTGTGGAGAGCATTCTTTTATTTCTATTGAATGTTATGCCTCCCCAATCAATGGATTATTTTATAATAGAAATTAAGCTTTCCATTTTTTCTCCACAGATCTCATGGCCTTTGTTGACAATGTGAATAAACCTTCCAAACATGCACACAGTTAATCATCTATGAAATTTTTTTTTTTTAAAGTGGCTGCATAAGAAATGTTATATTATGTCATCTGGACATGGTAGCTCACATCTGTAATCCCAGCACTTTGGAAGGCTAAGGTAGGAAGATCACTTGAGTCCAGGAGTTCAAGACCAGTCTGGGCAACATAGGGAGACCCTGTCTCTATGAAAAAATAATTTAAATACATTTAAAAATTATAAATAAGAATAAATGTCATATTGTTCAGAAAAGAGATCAGAATTTAGGAAAGATGCAGTGGAGAAGGCAGGAGGGAAGTTTTCCTAGAGAAGTACAACTTAAGAGATCATACACAAAATATGTCAGCTTTCAAAGTATGCCCCACCTTGATCCCTGATCTAACCAGATTTATTATTACTTTGGCTTCACAGTGTTAGAAGACATGGCCCAAAACCTAATTGTGAAGTGAATAGAGTTTTTTTTTGTTTGTTTTTGGTATTGTATGGTTATTATTTTAAATACTCTCTTCCTTTTACATTCCTCACAAATGATTGGCCTATCTTTTTGAGAAAAAACACTAATACTCTCAAGAACTTGAAAAGAAAAATATCAAATTCATATGACTCTTTATGTAAAGAGACCAATTATCTCCTGAATAGCTGCCCAGCATCAGTCATGTTCAGAGAATGGGAAGTAACATTGTCTCTTCTTTTTTGGCCTGAACAATTTGTGGAGGGTTCCTCTGTGAAATTTTTTAGAAATTGTGTGTGTGTGTGTATGTCAGACCATTTTTCTAAAATAAAGTTGTAAAATGATAATGTTGCCAAAATATGCAAACCAACATATGTGTTTTCTTTACCACCTTTTTGAAGAACATTTTTGGCTTGGGGAAGATTATCTTAAAATTATATTTCCCAATAATATTCAAAAAATAAGGAAATGCTAGAGGAGCAAATTCCAATGAAATTAACAGCAATAAGGGCCCAAAGTGGTGAGAGTTTGACTTAGTTGAAAAATAACACAGGAAGTCAGTGAAGCTGACTTTTGTGAGCTAGAAAGAGAATAATAAGAGGTGAAGTTGGAGAGGTAAGAATATATATTTACCTATATTATTAAGGATATGCCATAATAAGAGTTTACATTTTATTCTAATTGCAATAAATAGATGTTATAGTGATTTACACTATATCTAATTTGCATTCATAAATGACCCAAGCGGCTACTATGTTGAGAATTAGTTTAAAGGCTAAGAATAGAAGAAGGGCAGCTAGTATTATGGTATCCCTGGAAAGACATAATAATGACTTTCTTTTTTTTTTTTTTTTTTTTTTGAGACGGAGTCTCACTCTGTGGCCCAGGCGGGAGTGCAGTGGCGCAATCTCGGCTCACTGCAAGCTCCGCCTCCCGGGTTCATGCCATTCTCCTGCCTCAGCCTCCCGAGTAGCTAGGACTACAGGCGCCCACCATCACGCCCGGCTAATTTTTTTGTATTTTTTTTAGTAGAGACGGGGTTTCACCGTGTTAGCCAGGATGGTCTCGATCTCCTGACCTCGTGATCCGCCCACCTCGGCCTCCCAAAGTGCTGGGATTACAAGCGTGAGCCACCGCGCCCGGCCCATAATAATGACTTTCTAAAGGTGAAGAAAACTTTCCTTCCACCCTCTGAAGGTTTGAGCTCTGTAATGATCTTGACAGTAGACAGATTAGTAAGACAAATCTGGATGCTCTGGCTCATGCCTGTAGTCCAGCTATTCAGGAGGCTGAGGCAGGATGATCCCTTGAGCCCAGGAGTTTGTGGCTACAGTGAGCTATGATCCATCCCAGGCCACTGCATTCCAGAGTGGCAAGACTATCTCTTAAAAAATAAAAAAAGAGCAAGACTCTATCTCTTAAAAAAAAGAAAGAGAGAGAAAAGGCATACACATTTATTATGTGCATATGCACAGGAATCCCACAAAATATAAGACTCAAAGAGGGGCCAGATGGTTGAAGCTTAAATAGCATTTTGAGCTAGAGAAAGAAATAGGGGCTTGTTGTGGAGAGGTGGCAACACAGGCCATGGAGGGTGAGGGGAGGACATCCATGATGAACAAAGGTTTTTTTACTATACAGATCAGGTTTCTCAGGCAGCCTTCAGAAGAATAGGTGATGGGCTATGCAAAATTCTTTCTGGGCTAAGCATTGATATGATCTTTTCTAGATCTGTTTTAGGCAGATGAAGAGGCTCAGAGAAAGCCTATTCTTGCATTTGCTGTTTACTAATGTAGATAGATGTGAATTTCTTTTACAAAAGGACAGCTTTTCAGATCTATTCCTGTGTCTGCAGCTTCTCTGAATAGCTATCTCAAAATATGCCAAGAAGTATATTTTGTGAGGGCATATTTTAGTCTCCTATAGTCCCATTTTGGGGTAGTGTGTCCTGAGTCCCAACAACTTCAATATTAGGAAATGCAAATAACAAAAGGGGATGTATATACTTTGTAATTAAAGCAAAATGTAAAGGTCAATACAATATATCTAGATAGGGACAAAAAGTGTAACCAAAATAATCCTTATGATTTTTGGCTGGAGCAACAAGATAGGTGTTAAAGTTCTTTACTGAAGTGAATAAAATTGAGAAGTAACAAATTTGGGTGGAGTAGAAGACAAAAATCATTTTGATTATCATTTGTTTTCACTCCTTTTGAATAAAATGCAAGATGTCCATCTATTTTTTTAAATCCTTGATTTTTCATTATGTTATGGCATTCTACCTTATGATCGTATGCTAATTCAAATGAATATCTCTCTATTATTGAATATTTGTGTCTTCAAGTGCTTTGAAACTATTGACAGTTGCCCTCCACAAAGACCACCTGAAAAAGCTGTTGATTAAGCAAATTTAAGTTGATTAGACTTACTGCAATAAGGAGGGAATATCAACTTGAAGTAGTATTAGTAGTGTCTCAGTATGAACAAATTGGAGGATAGTTACAGAGTCTGATGACCTGATTTGTGTAATATTAAGGTAGGAGTTGTAATCTGTGTAAACGCCTAAGATTAGGAACAATTTATGATAAAGTGGCTTTGAATTGATTGGCAATGTGAATTAAGGGTCTTGAAATAAGTCTTGAGCAATCTGTTAGTCTTGATAAGAAAGCTATTTTAGGATGGGTGCGCTAGCTCACGCCTGTAATCCCAGCACTCTGGGATCGAGACCATCCTAGCTAACATGGTGAAACCCCGTCTCTACTAAAAAAATACAAAAAATTAGCCGGGCGTGGTGGCAGGCATCTGTTGTCCCAACTACTGGGGAAGCTGAGGCAGGAGAATGGCGTGAACCCGGGAGGCAGAGCTTAAAGTGAGTCGAGATCACGCCACCGCACTCCAGCCTGGGTGACAGAGCGAGACTCCATTTCAAAAAAAAAAAAAGAAAGCAATTTCAGTGGGCTCACTGTCATATCTTCCAGAAGCAAATATTTGATTGTCCCTAGCATTTTATGATAAAGACACAGAAATTGTCCAGTATTGTTCAATATAAGGACAGGGAATCACATTGATTTCAGACCTCAATACATGTTGTCAAATAGCTCTCAGTGAAGTTGACATTAATTTAGATGTTTCTGTATTTACTCCCACTGATTATATTTTTACTTGGATTTGGGGAATAATTACCTGAAAGATTGTTTATTATACTCAGATTTTGATGTGCTATATTGCTACATCTGATTTTTATTCATCTTTTAATTCTTAATATCAGTTTATAAACTAATAAAGGATAACTAATAGTTGGTCATTAATTATTCAATAAATATAATTATTAAAAATATACATGTGCAAACCAAGCATTAGTCTTCTAAGAAGAAATACTAATTGAGAGAAAGGTGTTGAAAACAGTCCCCTAAACTTTAGGGAAAACATATGAATGTCTCTAGTAAGAGCCACTTTTGTAATATTTTCATTATAGCATTTCAACTGTCAGAAGGATTAGTGAGCAAAGATGGCTTTGGCATATTTTCAAAATGATTCCAGGTATTGAATCCTTCATTTAAGGAGCCATAGCAATGTTAGACAGATGATGATAGACTTTCTTCCCAGTGGGAACACTTGAGTTGCATCTCTCACTTACCATTCTCATGCATAGTGACTATCACAAATAGCTGTAGGAGATTAGCCAGTTTGGCTGGTTTTATCCAGGCAGAGCTTTCATGGCAGGTATCAAAAGAAAGACACCTAATACTCATAATCCTTGTGAAATATAACCTAAGGGGGAGGAATTTCATTTTTTACAGAAACTTTGCTGGAAAATGTTTTATAAAGCAAAAAGCATTTCAGATAATGCATTGCAATCTAATTATTTCTCTATTGACAACGATGACCTTTTTACTAAAAAAAAAAACTTCCTTAGACCCAAAACAGTTACAAAAGAGTAAAAGTGTCTAATCTATATTCTTTAAAATTGCAGATAAACATACATATATAACATTTTTAATGCAAAAGAGTAAAATGTGAAGGGTACTAACTTGTATTTTTTAACATGCTGAATGAATGCAGCATACAGTGTGAATTTAATGGTTCCTGATAAGATTTGTCTCTGCGTCTCTACTGAAATCTCATCATGAATTGTAATCCCCATGTGTGTAGAGGAAGGGACCAGGTGGGAGGTGATTGGATAATGGGGGTAGTTTTCCTTATGCTTTTCTCATGATAGTGAGTGAGTTCTCACGAGATCTGATGGCATTAAACTGGCACTTCCCTCTTCACCCTCTCTCTTCTTCTGTCATGTAAGACATACATTGTTTCTCCTTTGCCTTCTGCCATGACTGTAAGTTTCCTGAGGCCTCCCCAGCCATGTGAACTGTGAGTCAATTAAACCTGTTTTTATAAACTACCCAGTCTCAGGTAGTTCTTCATAGCAGTGTGAAAACGGCCTAATACAATTTCTTTTCAAATTTTATTAACATTTTATCGTAAACTGACGTCATTTATTTAATATTTTACTTAAGTTTTCAATATATAGGTTTACCATGTAAATATGTATTTTCTTATCAAGAAAGCAGTACAGAATAATTTTAAATTCTTAAAAAATAAATTAAAAGAAAAAATTATTAATAACTGTACCATCAGAAAGTCATTGTTAATAGTTTTATGTCTATATATATATATACACACACATCTCATTTACTATTCAAAAATTTAGAACATGCAGCACATTTTTTGCAAATTTCCAATAAGCTGTAATAACACATATATATGAAAAAAATGAACTGAGTAAACTGTTCATTTCATGGAACTAGAAGATAGAATCAAATTACAGAAGTATAAAAGAAGCAATTATATTTTAAAAAATCTAAGACAACCAATTCTAAGACAATAAACAATGAAACATTTTGTGATTGCTAGGAGTTGCATAGATGGCATACAATCTTACTATTAGAGCCTCTAAGTTAGTTCCAGTCATCATTCCTCTACTGTCCTGCACAATGCCGTTTTCTATTGGGCAAATTTTCATTCCTCTAGGAAAACAAAATTCTATAAACTTTCTTAAATGGAAGCACCCTGTTACCTCACTAACTCTTCAATAATTCTACACACACACGCACACACACACACACACACACACACCCCAAATTATTCTGTGAAAAGCAATTGTAGCAATTATGTTATCACATAATATTATAGGATTAGATGGGTTTTTTCCAAATAATTGGAGTTTGTGCTTTTCATAATTTTCCAACAAGTGCCATAGTAAAAGTTTTTTGGTCCCCTGGCACAACTGTCATGCTAAGTATTTACCATAATAGTCACTGGAAAGGGGTCCCAAGAGAGGATTCTTGGATCTTTCTTACACAAGAAAGAATTTGGGGCTGGGCTGCAAAGTTAAGTGAAAGCAAGTTTATTCGAGAAATAAAGAAACAAAAACAATGGCTACTCCATAGAGGAGGGCATTCCTGAAAGCAAGAGGAGAAACATGCCTACCTTAGGCAGAATGCTTGTTTATATAGAAGTTAAAAAAGCAAAAAACAAAAAAAATATATATTGTATTAGTCTGTTTTCATGCTGCTGATAAAAACATACCTGAGATTGGAAAGAAAAAGAGTTTTAATGGACTTACAGTTCCACGTGGCTAAGTAGGCCTCACAATCATGACAGAAGGCAAGGAGGAGCATGTCACGTCTTACATGGATGATGGCAGGCAAAGAGAGAAAGCTTGTACAGGGAAACTCCTCTTTATGCAACCATCAGATCTTGTGAGACTTATTCACTATTATGAGAACAGCATGAGAAAGGCCACCCCCATGATTCAATTACCTCTCACTGGGTCCGTCTCATGACACGTGGGAATTGTGGGAGTTACAATTCAGGATGAGATTTTGGTGGGGACACAGCCAAACCATATCATATGTGTGTGTGTTTGTGTGTGTGTGTGTATATACACATACGTATACATATACACACACACAAACACACACACATATATGTGTGTGTATATATGTATACACGTGTGTGTAAATAAATATATATATAGAGAGAGAGAGGAGGTATGCTATACCACTAGGGCTCATAACAAAGGATTGTTAATCTTTGTGTAATTCTACTGATTTTGCAAATATCTCCATAGTTATCTTAAAGCAAAATATTCTTAAACTAAGAATGCTTTTGTCTTTAAGATATGGGGACATCAGGACACTTTCTGGGTCTGTTAAGTCCTGGGTTTGTTTAGTAAACATTATTAATCTGTTTCCTTGACCATTAACAAGTTATGATTTTGAATGCCTAAGCTCCTGGGAATGCAGCCCAGCAGGTCAGTCTCATTTTACCCAGCCAGTCCCTTTTCAGGATGGATCACTCTGGTTCGAATGGCTCTGATATATTCACAATAACACAGCCTTATGACTACTTTGAACTTGTATTATTTTTAACTGTAACATGCAATCCTTTTGATACTATCATTTAGAATAAATGGCAGTTTAATCGGTGAAGAAAAAAAGCAAATTTGTATCTGAGGAATGTGAGCTCCTGTAAATTATCAGGCCCAGAGAGGCATTTGAATAAAATAGCAGTCACATCTGTCCCATTAGAGCAAAACAATTATCTCTTAAAGGCACTTGCTATGTGGGCTCTAGATTAACTGATGCCAAGAAGCCTTTAAATGCCATATGATGGACACCATAACTCAAACCATTACTTCAATAATGTATAGCCAATCACTAATCAATGATATCTCTGTAGTCAATGAGAATTCCTATTAGATAACCTTGTATCAGCCCACTCCTTGTTTTATTTGCCTTTAAAAACTAGTTTGTAACAAGGGTTGATGGAGCACTCCCCAAAACTACTTGGAAGTGTCCCCCATGCAGCAGACCTCACTTTGGTTCATGTAAACTCTTAAAATTATATTTTGTGCTTCAGCCTTTTTCTCTTAAGTCAACAAGTCAAAAATAAGAAATCTAATGTATTTTTAAAATACATTATTTTCCTAATTTATTTAATAAGAATTTAATTAGAGTTTAGGAAGACAAAATTCTATAAACTTTTTTAAATGGAAACTCCCTGTTTCCTCACTAGCTCTTCAATAATTCTACACACACACACACAAATTATTCTTCAAAAAGCAATGGTAACAATTATGTTATCGCATAATATTTTAGGATTAAAGATTTCTTTCAAGTAATTGGAATTTGTGCTTTGCACAGTCTTCTAACAAGTGCCATAGCTGAACTCTAATTATAATTTATTTGTTTTTTAAAAAATATATGTATGCATATATAAATATTTGTGGTTGTTTACTTCAGATTGATTTAAATTATTTACTTTAGCTTTACTTGTTGTATTCCTTCTCATACTGCTGTAAAGAAATACCTGTGAGTGACTGGGTAATTTATAAAGCAAAGAAGTTTAATTGGCTCATGGTTCTGCAGGCTGTACAGAAAGCATGGCAGCATCTGGTTCTGGGGAGGCCTCAGAAAACTTATGATCATGGAAGAAGGTGGAGGAGAAGCAGGCAGGTCTTACATGGCAAGAGCAAAAGGAAGAGAGATGGGGAAAGTGCACACACTTTTAAACAACTAGGTCCCATGAGAACTCACGATCCCTATGACAGCATTGTCATAGGAATGGTGTTTAAACCATGAGAAACTGCTCTCATGACTCAATCACCTCCCTTCTCACCAGACCCCACCTCCTAACATTGGGAATTACATTTCAACATGAGATTAGGGTGGGAACACAGATTCAAACAATATCATTCTGCACCTGGCCCCTTCCAAATCTCATTTCCTTCTCATATTTTAAAATACAATTGTTGCAGGGATCTTTCTTAGTTCAGCTAAATATGGGTTTTTTGTTCCATGGCCATGAAAATTCAGGGTTATAGACAATTTAAATGGTGAGTAAGACAGGGTTTTATGGAGTAAAAATGAGGGAAAGGGGGAAACAGGGACTCTCTGCAAAGCCAGAGTCCCTGTTAGAGTGCTGCTGCCTTGAAGTTGGAATCCCAGTTTCCACACAGGAAGAGAAAGTGTCAGGCTCCTCCCTGCTGCAGACATTGCAGACTTCCTGAGGCTCCACTGCAGTGTGCAGGCTGGCTGGAGTTTTGCCAGGGACCTGCTCTCACCTGGCTGTCTCACAGTCATCCCTTCACAACAGTCCCCCAAACTCTTAACTCATTCCAGCATTAACTCAAAAGTCCCAGTCCAGAGTCTCATCTGAGACAAAGCAAACCCTTCTGCCTTTGAGCCTGTAAAATAAAAAATAAGCTAGTTACTTCCAAGATAGAATGGGGTTACAGGCGTTGGGTAAACGTTCCCATTCCAAATTAGAGAGATTGGCCAAAAAAAAGGGCCACAGGCCCCATGTAAGTCCAAAACACAGCTGGGCAGTCATTAAATCTTAGAGCTCCAAAATCTCCTTTGATTCCGTGCCTCACATTGAGGGCAAGCTAATGCAAGAGATGGGCTCCCAGAGCCTTGGGCATCTCTGCCCCTTTGGCTCTGCAGGGTATAGCCCCTGTGGCTCTTTCATGGGATGGCATTGAGTGCCTCCAGCTTTTCCAGGCTTGTGGCACAAGCTGTCAGTGGATCTACCTTTCTGGGGTTTGGAAGATGGAGGCACTCTTCTCATAGTTCACCTAGACAGTGCCCCAGTGGGGACTCTGTGTGGGGGCTCCAACCCCACATTTCCCTTCTGCTGTGCCCTAGCAGAGCTTCTTCCTGAGGGATCTGCTTCTGCACCAGACTTCTGCCTGCACATCCAGACATTTCCATACATCCTCTGAAATCTAGTTGGAGGCTCCCAAGCCTCAACTCTTGCACTCTGCACACCAGCAGGCTTAACATTTTGGGGTAGCCACCAAGACTTCTGGCTTACACCTGCTGGAGCATCAACCTGAGCTGTTCCTGGACCCCTTTAATCCAAAGCTGGAGTAGGAGACACATCTGGAACTGGAGCCACCAGAATACAGGAGGCAGTGTCCTGAGGCTCCACAGAGCAGTGGAGCCCTGGGCCTGACACACAGAATCATTCAGCCCCCCTAGCCCTCTGGGCCTGTGATGGAAGGGACATGCCAAGAAGGTCTCTGAAATGCCTCTGAGGTCTTTAACCCATTGTCTTGGATATCAGCACTTGGCTCCTCTTTACTTATGCAAATTTCTGTAGCCAGTTTGAATTCCTCCCCAGAAAATGGGTTTTTCTTTTCTACTGCATGGCCAGGCTGCAAATTTCCCAAACATGCTCTGCTTCCTTTTAAAATATGAGTTCCTGTTTCAGGTCATTTATTTGCTCACACATATGAGTATAGGTAGTTAGAAGCAACCAGGCCACTTTTTGAATGCCTTACTGCTTAGAAATTTTTTTCTGCCAAATACCCTAAATCATCACTCTCAAGTTCAAAGTTCCACAGATCCCTAGATCAGGGGTGCAATATAGCCAAACTCTTTGCTAAGACATAAGAAAGTGACCTTTACTTCCATCTCCAATAAGTTCCTCATCTCCATCTGCGACCTCCTCAGCCTGGACTTCACTGTTCATATCACTATCAGCATTTTGGTCACAACAATGTAACCAGTTTCTAGGGAGTTCCAAACTTTCCCTTAACTTCCTGTCTTCTTCTGAGCCCTCCAAACTGTTCCAATCCCTGCCCATTACCCAGTTTTAAAGCTGCTTCCACATTTTCAAGTATCTTGATTGCAATGCTCTACTCCTTGGTACCAGGTTTCTGTATTAGTCTATTCTCCCACTGCTGTAAAGAAAAACCTGAGACTTGGTAATTTATAAAGAAAAGAGGTTTAATTGGCTCATGGTTCTGCAGGCTCTACAAGAAACATGGCAACATCTGGTTCTGGGGAGGCCTCAGAAAACTTACAATTATGGCAGAAGCTGAAGGGGAAGCAAGCAGGTTTGAAGTGGCCAGAGCAGAAGGAAGAGAGATGGGGGAGGTGCACACACTTTTAAACATCCAGCTACCTGAGAACTCACTATTCTGAGGACAACAGAGAGGAGTAAGGAGTGGTGGTGTTAAATCATGAGAAACCACTCTTATGATCCAATCACCTCCCACCAGGCCCCACCTCCAACATTGGGAATTACATTTCAACATGAGATTTGGGTGGGGACATAGATCAAAACCATATTACTTGTGATTTTTAAAATATCTATTATTAACCCACATTACATTTTGATTAAAAAGTGTAAGTCTAAAGGTTGTTTAAAAAAAGGCTGCAATCATATTCAAGACTAACAAAATACTAAATGTATTTTTTTATTAACTATTTCAATTTTATTGTTTATCTCCTCTTAGGAGATACTACTTGAGTTTTTCATTTTATTAATGTACCATATTTTGTTTATCCAATCACATTGTATTGGATATTTAAACATTTTTACAATTTATTGATTTCTGTATAACATGCATAATGAATATAACATGAATATAGACCTCTGAAAATATGTTGTTTGCTTTAAAAAGGTGAGCTGGAACAAGTATATGTAATTTCTCGAAGAACTTTATGATGTTGTCTGCATTTTGGTCCATCTCCCTTGAGATTTTTCTCTTCAAATTTACCCTTCCTTCAAGAGTTTATGAATTTAACCATTTTCCAAAGGTCTTAATAACACTGGGCATTGCCATCATTTCTACTTTCACCAGTTTACAATAAAAAGTTCCTGTTATTTTGTTTTTTTATTAATAATAAAATTGAACTTTGCATATGTTTATAGATTTTTTCTTTAACAATAACTTTTTAAAGACATTTATACATGTAAAAACTGAGATTTGCATGATTTTATTAAACTTAATTTTAAAGATTCATTGAAAATTAAGGTGCAGTGGCTCACACCTACAATCTCAGCACGTTGGGAGGCTGAGATGGGAGGATCTCCTGAGCCCAGAAATTCAAGGCTGCAGTGAGCTATGATTGTGCCTCTGTAATCCATCCGGTGATCATGTCTGGGTAGCAGAGTGAGATCATGTCTCTGAAAAGATTTTTTCTTAAATTTATTTTTAAACTGATGAAAGTGTATCTATTAGCATACATGGTAAACACTTTTTACCTCATATTGACATTTTTCCATAATCTGTGGAAAGATTTTTGTTTTGACATAGTAATTAATTTTTAGTATCAGTTTATTTTTAATGTGTTGCAATTTTTTGCTATGTCTCACATTTAAATATTTAATCTGCCTATAATTATTTTTGTGTAAAATATGAGGTAGCTGTCTAACTCATACAAAAGCCAATCTAGTTTTCATATTAAAAAATTATTATAGTCCATGTATCCTTCTGTCATTAATATTAATAATATTAATAATTGGAAAGGCTTTCTTGATATAACTCATTTGTTTTCAATATTTTCCAAATTATTTCTTTTTATAGGTACTATAGTATTTTTTAATTGATAGAAATATTATCTGTATTTATGGTATACAATATGATATTTTGATGTATAGAGTGTATTCGTGTTGTAGTTGTTCAGCATTTATGTCTGTATACCAATGTTTGTTATAAGTACTGAGTACATTTAAAAAATTAGATTTTTTTTTTCTTGGCTCAGTAATATTTAAAATAACATAGGAATTATCTCTTAACCTTATCTGGTAAATTTTGGAGGCCTTTAGCTTCACTAGAGGATACCTAAGTGACATCACAATATTGAAAAAGGCATTTAAGTGTGATGAGAAAAAAAAAAAAAAAAAAAACAAGAGTTCAGGCTTTAAAGCCAGAAATGCCTGGGTTTAATATATTAGCCAAGCGAATCTTTTGAAGCAGCAGGTTATGTCTTTAATTAGACATAGCAATGTTGCCTGATCTATGTGGGTACCCCAAAGTCTTGAATATATCTGGCACATATCAAGGTTTTCTCATTATTATTTAAAAAGCTATTTCTGTAGTGTACTTGAAAAATAACAGAGCATTATCATAAATGAACTATAATAAAAACATAAAATTTATCCATTACAAGGGAATAAATTGATATAATCAATGACATCAATAAGAAAATAAGAAATTACCTTTACCTGGATAGACAAAAAAGACTTCTGAAAAAATACAACATTCATTTTGTATATAAACTTAAACCCAATTAAGAATACAAACGTACTTTCTTTATCTACTAAAGAATAACTGTTTTAAACAGACCCAAATTATTTAAGTCAACAATGAAAATAATGTAAGACACTCAAGATAAATTTTCATGTGATGGAATTCTCAAACAATAGCTTTTTCTTTTACTTTTTCGTTTTTTTTTTTTCCTTTGAGATGGAGTCTTGCTCTGTTGCCCAGGCTGGAGTGCAATGGCACAATGTCAGCTCACTGCAACCTGTGTCTCGCGGGTTCAAGCAATTCTCCTGCCTCAGCCTCTCAAGTAACTGGGATTACAGGTGCACGCCGCCATGCCCAGCTAACTTTTTTGTATTTTAGTAGAGATGAGGTTTCACTGTGTTGCCCAGGCTGGTCTCAAACTCCTGATATCAAGCAATCCACCCGCCTTGGCCTCCCAAAGTGCTAGGAATTCAGGCGTGAGCCACAGTGCACAGCCAACAATTTTTTTTTCTTGCATAAGTAATAATTGGGTAGAAAATATAACTGAAAATTGATGAATGTTTAAAATAGCAAAATGTTAAATATTTAGAAAAATAGCATAAAAATGAATGAAAGTGTAGAGAAAATTATTAAATTTTACTAAGCGAGTTAAAATTTTTGAACAAATTAGAAGACCATGGTGTTAAAAGCCTTATTTTATCCAAATTGATTTTCAAACCAAAAGCTGTGTTACTCAGGTTCTAGACAATGATGTGCTCTTCTCATGGAATTTACCACATTTGCAGCTCCTCTAATGAGTCAATTCGTGGATGCAAAAAGGCCATTTGATAGAGTGAAGATAAAGAAACTAAAGAAAGACATGGCGTAAATAATGGTAAATAATCTCTTCAATAGTTGTTAAAAGAGCACAGAGGGAGCCAATACACAAAGGGAAGGGCAAAGTTATACTGCATTCATGTCAGAGCATTCATGTTATGCTGCAAATTACTACTCCTGAGCTAGGAGGTTGTGTTATAGTTCAATAAAATTACTTAGATTTTTTGCAATTCCTGTGTTTTTAAATGCTGTAAAAATTCTTGTAGAAAATCATCTCTAGGCTGGGCATGGTGACTTATGCCTATAATCTCAGCCAGCATTTTGGGAGGCTGAGGTAGGAGAATTGCTTGAAGCCAGGAATTTTAGACCAGCCTGAACAACAAAGCAAGACCATGTCTGTACAAAAGATAGAAATCAAAAATTAAATTTAAAAAAAAAAAAGGAAATCACCTCTAAATCACTCATTACTCCTTACTGGAATAGAGTTTTAGTTTAGAAAATCCTAAAATCTCTGTATATCTGTATACTTGCAGAAACTAGAAATGATATACAAGCAAAAGTTTATTTTATTTAATATTGCATCGGTAATATCTATTTGTTTATTTAAGATTGACAGAGAAAGACAGAGGCAGAGATGACAGAGACAGATAAAACTACATTTTGATCTGCATGCCTATTTATCAACAAGAAATGACCAGGTCTCTCAATAAACTACTCCGCCCCCCGCACCCCCCACCCACATATACACACACAAACACTACCAAGCATTATTGTGAAATAAAAAGAGAAATGTAGGTACAAATTGAGAAATAGACCATAATTCTGGATGGCAACTACTGAAATACTTTCATAATTAGTTTATAATTTTAAATCAAGTATAATAAAATTCTATATTCATAAGTTTATTTATATGCTTTAATAAATAAGAAAATATTCTTGCAGGAATTTTTCCTGTGAATAAAATAAGAAAACTGTTTTATGTTTGTCATAACTGTGCATGTATTTTCTTTTTTGTGTGTAAATTTATGTAATTTCAAATTTATAACATTTACAAGGATTAATGTAATGAAATCTCATATAACTTTCACCAGGATTTTCCATGTATGCCCCTATTTGATTTGTTCACATTTTGCTCCCATTTTCTCTTTTTTTTTCTTCTCCCTCTCCTTCTCATTCTCTTTCTTCTTCCTCTTTCTTATTTGTCTTCTTTTAGATATTTTCTCGGTATCTAAAATATGTTTGCATATACATATATACTTTTGTGTATGTGTATGATATATATTTTTATCTTCTTTTGAAAATAAGAAAATAGAAATTCTGTCCCTTGCCTGTAAATAATTTAATCCTAATATCACAAGAAGAAGAAAATTCCATTAAAGAATTTTCATTTCTTTGCCAAAAATGATGGAATATAACTACAACTCTATTGCCTCATATTCATACTCGAATTGTTTCAACTGCCTAATAATGCCATTAATGACTGATGTTTTTTTTTCCCATCCAGGATTCACATTGCATTTACTTAACATGTGTTTTTAGTCAACTTTAATTCAGAGAAAATCCTGAGCTTTTACGTTTGTTTCTGTACCTTACATCACTGGCGAGTTATTTTGTTGAATGACTCTCTGTTTAATTCTGCGGGATGTTTACTCATTAGGGATTCAATGTATATACTCTTGGCAGGTACACAACTGAAACAATGTGCCCATTTCAGTGCATTGTATTAGCAGGAACATGGAGTTTGCTTCAATCATGGTGATATTAGTTTTGATGATATAATTAATATGGTATTCTCCAATTTTCTTCACTGTATTTTTTCCCCTTTGTAATGTAACAGTAATTTTTAGACAGACACCTTGAGACTAGTTTTAGCACTCAATATTGGGTTTCTAACTTCATCATCTCTTTTACATTTATTAGTTACCATTATACTGTAACAAGCTTTCTTTCCTGTTACTAAATTTTTATCTTGAAAGTTTTGAAACAGCGCAAGTCAGTAATACAATATAGGTTAGGATTAAGTCTATTAGGCTCCAGTCATACAATAGAATACTATAACTATTGAAATCATAATGGATGGATAGATAGATAGATAGATAGATAGATAGATACAAAAATACATGTATACATGCAGACTATGTTTCATAGGAGTTAAGATTCACCACAAAACTGACTAGAAGGTACAGAGATTTCCCATATACCCCCAGCCTCCCACAAGCATATTCTCCCCCAATATCAATATGCCCCACCACCATTTTACCTTCATTATACTTGATGAAGCCTACATTGATATATCATTATCAACCAGTCTGTATTTTACATTAGAGTTCACTCTTTGTGTTATACATTCCAGTGACATGAATCCATCATAATAGTATCATACAGAGTAGTGTCATTACCCTAACAATCCTGTATGCCACACATATTCATTCCTTCCTCCCCAATTCTTATCAATCATTGATCTTTTTACTGTCTTCATAGTTTTGCTTTCCCAGAATATCTCCCTTATATTGGGAATTAAACGATATGCAATCTGTTCAGGCTGGTTTCTTTCACTCAGTATTATGCATTAAAGAACACTTTCATGGCTTTATAGCTCATATCTCTTTGGCACTAATTAATGTGCCATTGTCTGCATGTAACACAGTTTATCCATTAACCTGATGAAGGAAATCCTGATTGTTTCTTAGTTTTGACAATTACAAATTAAGGCACTGTAATCATCAGAGTGCAGATTTTTACATGGACATAATTTTTTTACTTCTTTTGGTAAATATAAAGGGCATAATTTTTGGATTGTAAGGTACCAGTATATTTAGTTTGTAAGAAGCAACCAAATTTCTCCCAAACTGGTTGGACCATTTTGCACTTCCACCAGCACTGAATGAGAGTTCCTGTTGCTGCCCATCCTTACCAGCATTTGGTGTTCTCAGTGTTCTGGATTTTGGCCATTCTAATAGAGTTGTAGTAATATCTGCTATTGTTATTTTAACTTTCATTTCTCTAATGTCATATGATGTGGAAATCTTTTCATATGCGTATTTGCCATCGAAATATCTTCTTTGATGAGGTGTTTGTTAAGATCCTTGCTTCATTTTGTAACTGAGTTGTTCATTTTTTTAATTGTTGAATTTTAAGTTTTCTTTGGGTATTTTAAATAACAGCCTTTATCAGATGTGTCTTTCGCAAATATTATTTTCTCCCAGGCTATGCCTTGTCTTCTTGTCCTTTTGACAGTGTCATTCACTGAGCAGAAATTTTATATTTGAATTATGTCCAATTTATTAATTTTTTTTAACAGATTGAGCCTTTAGTGGTATATCTAAAAAGCTGTCCGGGCACAGTGGCTCATGCCTGTAATCCCAGCACTTCGGGAGGGCAAGGTGGGTGGATCGCGAGGTCAGGAGTTCGAGACCCAGCCTGACCAACATGGTGAAACCCCGTCTCTACTAAAAATACAAAAATTAGCCGAGTATGGTGGTGTGTGCCTGTAATCCCAGCTACTCAGGAGGCTGAGGCAGAAGAATCACTTGAACCCGGGTGGCAGAGGCTGCAGTGAGCTGAGATCATGCCACTGCACTCCAGCCTGGGTGACAGAACGAGACTCCATCCCACCCCCCACCCCCTGCCCCCTCAAAAAAAAATAGCTATCACCAAACCCAAGATTTTCTCCTACATTATGGTCCAGGAGTTTGGTAGGTCTGTGTTTTATGTTTAGGTCTGTGATCCATTTTTTGTTGTTGTTGTTAAATTTTTTGAAGAGTATAAAATCTATTTAGATTCATTTTTGTTACATGTAGGATGACAGTTGTTCCAACATCATTTATTGAAAAAGACCATCTTTTCTTCATTGTATTACACATACTCCTCTGTCAAAGATCAGTTGACTATATGTTGATCTATTTTGAAGATTTTTATTCTAGTCCATTAATCTATGTGATGATTCTTTTACCAATAACACATTAGCTTGATTACTATAGCTGTATAGTAAGTCTTAAAGTTGGGTAGTATAAGTCTTCCAACTTTGTTTTTCTCCTTAGGTATTGCATTGGCTATTCTGATCTTCTGCCTCTCCTTACAAACTTCAGAATCAGTTTATTGATATCCACAAAGTAATTCACTGGTATTTTTACTGGGATTGCATTAATTCTGTAGATCAAATTGAAAAGAACTAACATCTTGACAACATTCAGTCTTTCTACATATGAATATAGAATATCTCCACTTAGTTTTTTGATATTTTTTCTTCAAAGTTTTGTAGTTTTCCTCATGTAGATCTTGTACTCATTTTTCTAGGTATATAGATGATTACATTAGAAGATGGTGAGACATACATTTTTGACATTAAAAAATTATTAAAATGCGTGATTATAAAGAAACAGAAAAATAAACCCACTTCAAACCACATTTTCTTACTACTCCATATTTCAATTCTACTAAGAGCTTTGAAAGATCTTTATATAAAAGCAGATCTAATTTTAAAACCTCAGTGATCTCCAATTTAATTGAAATGATTAAATACACATAAAATACAAAAGCAGCAGAATAAATTTTGAAGAAGGGGAGGCAGAGTATTACTATCAAACACAGTTTCAGAAAATGTGAGTAATAAATAATATTTATTCTTCATTGTGTGCATCTGTAAAAATTCTGTACGGATATCCATCTTTCCTTGAGATGAAAATGCATGAATTTTTTGTATTTTTTATTTTATGGAATTAAATAATTGCAGAAGTATTTTTTTCAGTTATTTTTGGAACACAGAGCTCTCTCCTTTATGTTCCCCTTAGAATTAGTCCACCTAAATAGGACGCTCATAAATATATGCATTTTTTAAAACTGTAAAGCTATAAAAAGTTTAAGCATTCAATGAATATTTTTGAGGACCAAGTATATGCAAACAGTGTAGAGGATGCAAATATAAAGGAAGAATTGTAATTACTTTGTTACCATGCTAAACAGAAACCATTGCAGCCACAGTTGTTCTTTTCTAGTGCCTTCTGAGTAGACACTTTTTGTCATTTTTCCTTCATTTTTTATCTAGCACAAAGCTTGGCAGAGAGTTCTGCATATAGAAAGTGTCCAATTCTTTCTTGAACTTGTACATACAATTTACAACCGCACTGAAAATCTGTAATTGAAGAGAATAAACACAATTTAAAGTAAGTAATGAATATATAAAATATTCAGAAAAATATAACACATCACTGGCAATTATTTGTCACATCTCAGTGAATTCATTTGAGAGATTCTTAATATTGCTCTAGAGATACTTAACAGTATTAGAGTAAACTTTACTGAGGAGAAAGAAGAAATTTAAATTAACACTATTTTTCCTCTCTAAATTCCTCAGTCAAGTGGACCTTCTCCCACCCCTGACACCCCCTGACACAACCCCTAAAGAACTGAAGAGTACTCAGCTGACTTTTTCTCCCTTTATAAAAGCTCTCTCTATCTCAAAGGAGAAGTATTCTGTTGGCATTTTTTATATCTTGTTTGGAGCTAGTGCGGGCTCTTGTGACAAGCATATAAAAGAAAAACAGATGACTTTCTTTCCCTTTTAATACATAAAATGGATGCTATCTAAGTTTTTTGATATAATGTTTCTGGATCCTTCAATACTTTAAATGTTCCAGAAACCACAGGATGTCTAAAGCATAGGAATTTATATGATGTAGTATTGTAGCTTTTGAGATACATAGAAATCTAGGAGATAGATTAGATTAGCATACTGAAGATGGCAATACCAAAAGCCTTCACTCAGGTTTTCCTTTGTCTCCTAGGAGGTGTAACTAGCTACGGTGATATGGAGATTAGTGGTATATGGCGAAAAGCTAATACAGTGGTTCCTACATACTCATGGTCTCTACATCCCTAGATTCCACTAACCGCAGATTGAAAATATTTTTAAAAAGAAAACAGATGGGTATATCTCTACTGAACATGTACAGACTTTTCTTCTTGTCATTATTTTCTAAACAACATAGTATAACAACTATTCACATAGTATTTATATGCTATTAGGTATAATAAGTAAAGATGAAAAAATAGAAGGGAAGATATGTGTAGATTACATGAAAACACTACAGCATTTTATATCAGGGACTTAAGCCTAAGTAAATTTTGATGGCTTCAGGGGTCCTGGAGCCCATCACCCAGATATTGAGGGACACCTGTATTGAGGGTAAAAGTATCCTCTGAGGCACAGATAAAGTGGTTTCACTCTCATTCTTGGCATCCTGTAGCCACTTTTTTTCTCTCCCTCTTACTCTCCTCACCATCTTTCTTTCTTTTACTCACTTCCCCTCTTTCATTTTTCCACCCCCAAACCTAGAGTAAACTGGACTTTGAGGTTTAAGACACAGTTCTCCAGAATGTCAAGTCTGCCCAAAACTTCTGGCCCCAACTGCAAGAAATTAGGGTTATAGGGAAGAGTCCAAAGTTAAAAAAGAAGAGTCCTACAGGACAACTTTCAAAACCACATTCATGTTTAATAATTGACTGAAAAGACTCACAGAAAGCATTGAGAGCTACTATACTCATGGATATTTATACTCATGGATGTACTTATTAAGGGGAAAGGATACGAACTAAAATCAGCTAAAGAGAGAGATTCACAGGGCAGACTGTAGGAGAGTTCCAAATTTGAAATTTGCATTGTCCTCAGGATTTATTACTTCCTGATATTCTTTTTTTTTTTAATACTTTAAGTTCTAGGGTACATGTGCACAACGTGCAGGTTTTTTACATATGTATACATGTGCCATGTTGGTGTGCTGCACCAATTAACTCGTCATTTACATGAGGTATATCTCCTAATGCTATCCCTTCCCCCTCCCCCCACCCCATGACAGGCCCCAGTGTGTGATGTTCGCCTTCCTGTGTCCAAGTGTTCTCATTGTTCAATTCCCACCTATGAGTGAGAACATGTGGTGTTTGGTTTTTTGTCCTTGCGGTAGTTTGCTGAGAATGATGGTCTCCAGCTTCATGGTGTATATGTGCCACATTTTCTTAATCCAGTCGATCACTGATGGACATTTGAGTTGGTGCCAAGTCTTTGCTATTGTGAATAGTGCTGCAATAAACATACGTGTGCATGTGTCTTTATAGCAGCATGATTTATAATCCTTTGGGTATATATACCCAGTAATGGGATGACTGGGTCAAATGGTATTTCTAGTTCTAGATCCTTGAGGAATCACCACACTGTCTTCCACAATGGTTGAACTAGTTTACAGTCCCACCAACAGTGTAAAAGTGTTCCTATTTCTCCACATCCTCTCCAGCACCTGTTGTTTCCTGACTTTTTAATGATCACCATTCTAACTGGTGTGAGATGATATCTCACTGTGGTTTTGATTTGCATTTCTCTGATGGCCAGTGATGAAGAGCATTTTTTCATGTGTGTTTTGGCTGCATAAATGTCTTCTTTTGAGAAGTGTCTGTTCATCTCCTTTGCCCACTTTATGATGGGGTTGTTTTTTTCTTGTAAATTTGTTTGAGTTCTTTGTATATTCTGGATATTAGCTCTTTGTCAGATGAGTAGATTGCAAAAATCTTCTCCCATTCTGTAGGTTGCCTGTTCACTCTGATGATAGTTTCTTTTGCTATGCAGAAGCTCTTTAGTTTAATTAGATCCCATTTGTCAATTTTGTCTTTTGTTGCCATTGCTTTTGGTGTTTTAGACATGAAGTCCTTGCCAATGCCTATGTACTGAATGGTATTGCCTAGGTTTTCTTCTAGGGTTTTTATGGTTTTTCATCTAACATTTAAGGCTTTAATCCATCTTGAATTAATTTTTATATAAGGTGTAAGGAAGGGATCCAATTTCAGCTTTCTACATATGGCTAGCCAGTTTTCCCAGCACCATTTATTAAATAGGGAATCCTTTCCCTATTTCTTGTTTTTGTCAGGTTTGTCAAAGAGCAGATGGTTGTAGATGTGTGGTATTACTTCTGAGGGCTCTGTTCTGTTCCATTGGTCTATATCTCTGTTTTGGTACCAGTACCATGCTGTTTTGGTTACTGTAGCCTTGTAGTATAGTTTGAAGTCAGGTAGCGTGATGCCTCCAGCTTTGTTCTTTTGGCTTAGGATTGACTTGGCAATGTGGGTTCTCTTTTGGTTCCATATGAACTTTAAAGTAGTTTTTTCCAATTCTGTGAAGAAAGTCATTGGTAGCTTGATGGGAATGGCATGGAATCTATAAATTACCTTGGGCAGTATGGCCATTTTCACGATATTGATTCTTCCTATCCATGAGCATGGAATGTTCTTCCATTTGTTTGTGTCCTCTTTTATTTCATTGAGCAGTGGTTTGTAGTTTTCTTTGAAGAGGTCCTTCACATCCCTTGTAAGTTGGATTCCTAGGTATTTTATTCTCTTTGAAGCAATTGTGAATCGGAGTTCACTCATGTTTTGGCTCTCTATTTGTCTGTTATTGGTGAATAAGAATGCTTGTGATTTTTGCATATTGATTTTGCCTCCTGAGACTTTGCTGAAGTTGCTTATCAGCTTAAGGAGATTTTGGGCTGAGACACTGGGGTTTTCTAAATATACAGTCATGTCATCTGCAAACAGGGACAATTTGACTTCCTCTTTTCCTAATTGAATACCCTTGATTTCCTTCTCCTGCCTGATTGCCCTGGCCAGAACTTCCAACACTATGATGAATAGGAGTGGTGAGAGAGGGCATCCCTGTCTTGTGCCGGTTTTCAAAGGGAATGCTTCCAGTTTTTGCCCATTCAGTATGACATTGGCTGTGGGTTTGTCATAAATAGCTCTTATTATTTTGAGATCCGTCCCATCAATACCTAATTTATTGAGAGTTTTTAGCATGAAGGGTTGCTGAATTTTGTCAAAGGCCTTTTCTGCATCTATTGAGATAATCATGTGGTTTTTGTCTTTGGTTTTGTTTATATGCTGGATTACGTTTATTGATTTGCATATGTTGAACCAGCCTTGCATCCCAGGGATGAAGCCCACTTGATCATGGTGGATAAGCTTTTTGATGTGCTGCTGGATTCAGTTTGCCAGTATTTTTTTGAGGATTTTTGCATCAATGTTCATCAGGGATATTGGTCTAAAATTCTCTTTTTTTGTTGTGTCTCTGCCAGGCTCTGGTATCAGGATGATGCTGGCCTCATAAAATGAGTTAGGGAGGATTCCCTCTTTTTCTATTGATTGGAATAGTTTCAGAAGGAACAGTACCAGCTCCTCCTTGTACCTCTGGTAGAATTCGGCTGTGAATCCATCTGGTCCTGGACTTTTTTTGGTTGGTAGGCTATTAATTATTGCCTCAATTTCAGAGCCTGTTATTGGTCTATTCAGGGATTCATCTTCTTCCTGGTTCAGTCTTGGGAGGGTGTATTTGTCTAGGAATTTATCCATTTCTTCTAGATTTTCTAGTTTATTTGCATAGAGCTGTTTATAGTATTCTGATGGTAGTTTGTATTTCTGTGGGATCGGTGGTGATATCCCCTTTATCATTTTTTATTGCGTCTATTTGATTCTTCTCTCTTTTCTCCTTTATTAGTCTTGCGAGCGGTCTATCAATTTTGTTGATCATTTCAAAAAACCAGCTCCTGGATTCATTGATTTTTTGAAGGGTTTTTTCTGTCTCTATTTCCTTCAGTTCTGCTCTGATCTTAGTTATTTCTTGCCTTCTGCTAGCTTTTGAATGTGTTTGCTCTTGCTTCTCTAGTTCTCTTAATTGTGATGTTAGGGTGTCAATTTTAGATCTTTCCTGCTTTCTCTTGTGGGCATTTAGTGCTATAAATTTCCCTCTACACACTGCTTTAAATGTGTCCCAGAGATTCTGGTATGTTGTGTCTTCGTTCTCATTGGTTTCAAAGAACATCTTTATTTCTGCCTTCATTTCGTTATGTACCCAGTAGTCATTCAGGAACAGGTTGTTCAGTTTCCACGTAGTTGAGTGGTTTTGAATGAGTTTCTTAATCCTGAGTTCTAGTTTGATTGCACTGTGGTCTGAGAGACTGTTTGTTATAATTTCTGTTCTTTTACATTTGCTGAGGAGTGCTTTACTTCCAACTATGTAGTCAATTTTGCAATAAGTTCAATGTGGTGCTGAGAGGAATGTATATTCTGTTGATATGTGTGGAGAGTTCTGTAGATGTCTGTTAGGTCTGCTTGGTACAGAGCTGAGTTCAATTCCTGGATGTCCTTTTAAACTTTTTGTCTTGTTGATCTGTCTAATGTTGACAGTGGGGTGTTTAAGTCTCCCATTATTATTGTGTGGGAGTCTAAGTCTCTTTCTAGGTCTCTAAGGACTTGCTTTATTAATCTGGGTGCTCCTGTATTGGGTGCATGTATATTTAGGATAATTAGCTCTTCTTGTGGAATTGATCCCTTCACCATTATATAATGACCTTCTTTGTCTCTTTTGATCTTTGTTGGTTTAAAGTCTGTTTTATCAGAGACTATTACCTCCTGATATTCATGTGTGAAAATATGCCTGGAATATTACCAACCCAGAAGTTCACTTGAGTTTTAGGGTCCAGTCTTATGGAGACTTCATTATGTAGCCACAATTGATTTATTGCCCACATGGCTAAACGCAGTCTTTATACAGCTAAAACCTTCTGACTCAAATCCCCACCCTAAATCCATGGTTGTCTTTCTGTAATGATCAGCCCCCACACTGACTATCATGTGGGGCTGTGCAAACTCTGAGGCTTCTCCTTAGCATAAACTGTCAGTTGTCAGAGGAGCCTGCCAGGAATAAAAAAGGACCAGGAGAATCCGTATTACCTTGAAACTTGTAGGAAATAAAATTCCCGAACCTTTCCCAGTCTACTGCATCAGAAACTATGTGAAAGCGGCCCAGAAATCTGTTTTTAACAAGCCCTCCAGTTGATTCTCATTCATGCTCAAGTTTGTAATCCATTATTCTAATCCTGAGACCCATAATGATCATGTGATAGGGGAGAAAAAAGCGTAGAGTTTAAGAGCTTTTTCAGAGAAGCAATATCACTTTAAAAATAAGTAGTATTTGAAAACACAGATTACTATTCATTTAGTTCTTAAAATTTTAGTGAGGTTCTTTATTTTTATGTCAAGAAAATTTACATGAGACACCTTATTCATCTGCCTTTCTGGTTTCTTTTGTTTCATTTCTAAAACAGTTACTAATTTAGGGTAGCAGAAATGATCAAAGAAGTGTGCAGGAATATTTTTAATGAAATAAAAGCTATGCCTACACTGTCAATGTTGGGTTTGTATACAGTATTTTTTTCCAGTTGAAAACAAAGATTATTCTTTCATAAGTGAAGAACTTGTATCATATTCTGAAATATGAAATAACTTTTTTTAATAGCTCAGCAATAAACCATTCAACTTGGGGTCCATGATATGGAGGCCGACAGTTTGTAATGTAGGGTTTAATTAAATTGGGCACTGCTATAATTAAGGGTTTTGAGTTATTAATGCATCACTCTGGCAAACATTTAATTTTTTATCTCTCTAGTGAAACCCATATTAAAAGAGGATATTAGGACAGTTAAATAGAATTTGCTGCAGAAATGGTTTGGATTTTTAGATGTAATTCAGCATAATACACTGCAGTAATTGTTTTCATTTTAAATAAAAAAGAGAACTTTTGGAAGCTCAAGAATATGAGTGTAGTCTGAAATAAGAGAGCAATTCCTTTTTTAAAAATCAGGTATAATAAAACCAACTTGGAGAAGAAATTGCTCTAAATGTTCAATGTTGAAAATCTGTCCATGCTTACCCCAAATCACCGCAGCATTTTGGGCTCGCAAAATGGCATCTGAAGTTTAGGCTATTTTAGTATCATATGCTATTTTAGAAAATATTTTGCATATTTCATTTGTATCTACACAAGGCAAAGGGGCAGATAGATCTTTAACCTGTTGATTACCAGTTTTCTCTAATAGTTGATATTAATTAAAACATCATTTTTATTTATCCACCATAGGCTCTCAATGACTCTCCCAAGTAGGGGTATTTTTTTTAATCCATATTCCAAGCAGACTCAGTGATATTCTTTCACTGATAGTTAGAATCTGAACTCTGGAGTGTAGAATCACAAAGTCCAGCATTTCCCAGAGAAATTTCTAAGGAACTTTAGTTTCAGGGTTCACTCTGCCATAAAACAAACCTAAACTTAAATAAAATTGATTTGCCGGGCACAGTGGCTCACGCCTGTAATCCCAGCACTTTGGGAGGCTGAAGTGGGTGGATCACCTGAGGTCTGGAGTTCGAGATCAGCCTGACCAACATGGAGAAACCCTGTCTCTACTAAAAATACAAAATTAGCCAGGTGTGGTGGTGGGCACCTGTAATCCTAGATACTCGGGAGGCTGAGGCAGAATTGCTTGTACCCGGGAATCGCAGGTTGAGGTCAGCTGAGATCATGCCATTGCACTCCAGCCTGGGCAACAAGAGCTAAACTCCATCTCAAAATAACAATAATAATAATAATAAAATAAATAAAAATTAAGAAAAATAAAAAATAAAATTGATTCAAATTATTTGATAGCATATTACAAATTATGAGGAGTTGTCTAGTTAGAAAATATAGAAAATTTTCTTTATTTCAACATTTGTAGAACTTAATTTAGCACAGGGTCTCTTTTTCACTCTGTTCACAATACAGTTCCAGAGAACACACATTGGAAAATGCCGTTGTAATGAAAAGAGGGCTGGTTTAGGCATTAAGAGACCCCAAATCAGTCCTGCTTTCATTATTTGCTAACTGTATTAGCTTAGAAAAATTAATTAAATTCTTGAAGATTCAGTTTCTCATCTCTAAAATAAGGTTGGTAACTATACTTACAGACTTGTTGTGAGGATTAAATAAATACATAGGCTTAGAATCTTGATAAACTTTAAAGTGCAATTGAAAAGTTCATTTTAATTTCTTTGTCTTGTCAACCAAAAATAATCTAAAAGGTCAGTATCTAGTTTAAAGAGAGTTTATTCAAGCACAAAATGTAAGGGCAGGCTGCCCGGGAAGGTAAGATTCCAAAGAATGGAAGTCAGTGTTCTGAACTGTAGAAGATTGGATTCAGTTATAAAGATGAAGTTTAGGGAAGTTTAAAAGATGTTCAATATCTTTCTATTTAATGCTTAATGCCTAGTTACAATAATTTGATTAATTTAGTTGGTCTTTTCGAAATTTAATTTTTAATTTTTTTTTTTTTTTTCAGACAGTTTCTTGCTCTGTCACCCAGGCTGGAGTGTAATGGTGTGATCCTAGCTCACGGCAGCCTTGAATTCCCAGGATCAAGTGATTCTCCCACCTCAGCTTCTGGAGTAGCCGGGAATACAGGTATGTACCACCAAGCCTGACAAACTTTTTTTAAAAAAAATTATAGAAACAGGCCAGGCGCAGTGGCTCACGCCTGTATTCCCAGCACTTTGGGAGGCTGAGACGGGCAGATCTTGAGGCCAGGAGATTGAGACCATCCTGGCTAATACGGTGAAACCCCGTCTCTACTAAAAAAAAAAAAAAAAAAAAAAAAAATGTAGAAACAGCATGTCCCTATGCTGCCCAGGCTGATCTCAAACTCCGGTCCTCAAACAATCCTGCTGCCTCAGCCTCCCAAAATACTGGGATTACAGGTGTGAGCCCTCCACCCAGTCAAGGTGCTTTTTTTTCTTTTGGAAGGGTATATTTAACATTCCACAATGAAGATATAACCTTCACAGGGTCTTGGATGCCATTTGGTCTGAGTTATGTAGAGGACAATGAAGGAGGCAGTTAATCTATAACAAAGATCAGTGATTAAAAAGATGGGGAGGTCTGGTCTTTGGTCTGTCCTACTCATTTACAGAATAAGAACTGAGGAAGAGAGTTAACCTATAATCTAAGAAGCACAATTGCAAACATGCTATGTGACTCAGTCTCTATGGCTTAACTTCTCTTTGTTATAATACATTTAAAGAGTCCTACAATTTTCTTTTACATTTTCTCCTTTTCTTAAAATTTTTCATAGAAAGCATTGCAAAAGAAATCATGTATTTAGGGCAAAATCTCACATCACTCCAGAGTTCAGATTCTACAATCCACAGTTCAGATTCTAACTAGGAAACTAATAAAAACTCAAAAACAATGGTTAGGGCTGGAATCTAATAACAGATATCTTATAGTTTTCCTCTGAAGCAAAATATTTCCCTCTTTAGTCCCCAATTTTTACCAAATATAAATCTTAGTGAGACCAATTTACTTGCAAAGCAAGTTTTGGTGTTATACTTGGCATGATTATTTGCATAAAGTGCAACAGAAATAGTGAATGGCCATATAGGAATTTTAAAATTGGCTTTCATGGAAAATTTTTCATAAGGTATCACTTATTAGACTTTTAAAAGCCTTTCTAGCTCAAGAACCAAAGACAATGATTCACAATGAGACTGGGCCTATACAAACTGGGTGAAATGATCTTACTTTGCTATCCCAAAATATCTTGAGGTTCCTGGGCCTGTCAGAAAGTGACATTCTTTACTTACCACAAAGTCAGGAACCTTTAAGAGAACTATGTAAACAAGGTACCAGGCCAGTCTTTCCAAAGGGCTTTTTTTATCAGCTCCATAAGGTCAACTGTAATTCCTCAAAGTAGTGTAGTCAGATCTTAAAATACACCATTCCAGTCAAAGCCTTGGTAAATAAAACAAAACAAACAAACAAACAAACAAAAAAAACCAGTGTCTTCAAGTGTGTGCTGTTGCAAAAGAAAACATGTTCTTATTGAATTTATACAAATGACTGTATTTCCATAAATCAAGAATACTCACAAACAGTCCCAAAATTCTGGAGAAGTCCGTTGAAGAGAAAAGCAAACGTTTTAATTTTCCTCACAAATGTGTGCTTTACCCAATTTCTGTGAGCTATAGATCAAAAGAAGAAAGTTTTCTTGGCTCTGGAAAACATAATATAAAAAGAATCACCACTTTAAAAAAAAAGTCATAAACATTATTTTAGTCTACTATTAGTTCAATTACATGTAATTAATTATTCTGTTTGATGTTGGGTTACTAATTCTTATGAATGCATTAGCTATTTAATTAAATCATGAAACTTTTTAAACAGTTCAATTGTTTGATATTTTGTATTTAAGAGTACTTGGCAATGTCTTTTTAAATAAATTTCTATCTTAAAAAGGCAAAATTTGGACTGTAGCCAATTGCAA
This sequence comes from Homo sapiens, assembly GCF_000001405.40. Lineage (NCBI taxonomy): Eukaryota > Metazoa > Chordata > Mammalia > Primates > Hominidae > Homo > Homo sapiens. Next base: position 77,837,910 of record NC_000002.12, on the reverse strand, counting down.
ACCACTTTTTGAGAAAAATCAGAGTAAATCAATGTTTGTCTGGGGATGACAAAAGATTTAAGATAGCCATGGCTAAAGATACAATTGACAAGAAAATTTGGTTATTTATGTGGCATACAACAATTTAACATAACAATCATAATTATGACTGATAATATATACCAAAACATATGAGAATTTAGGAATATCATACAATTTTGATGCACATATTAATGTCACATTTAAATATAAACTTAACTTTAGAATTTGAAATTTGATTTGGGGAAGTATGTGAAATATCAAAAATTTAAAATGTTTAATATCAAAATAGAACCACAGGTCAATTCATTTAGCCAAAGTGATATTTCAAATATTTTAAAAAGAAAAATCCTGTACTCTTTTAGAGAGGAGACTGTTCCCCCAAAATCAAAAGATCCAATGAAATAGTATGAGCCCAACAGAATCTATCTCTCCCTCCATTATTTTTGTCAGTTTACTGACAAAAACCTGCAAATCTTTTACTATCACTTATTAATAGTACATGAAATTATTGTTCAAAGGAGAAAGCTGAATTTCATTTTATATTAGTGTGTTATCAGTACTAAGGCTAATTTTAATAAAATCTTACAAACAAATGCATCTAATCTCAATGAACTTTGACCACATAAGATTTCCACAAACCTTTTATAACCTCTTACAAAACTTTTGTATTTTTGTCTCCCTCCAACATATCAGATCAATTTATGCCCTCCCTCTCTTCATTCCTTCCTTCCTTCCTTCCCTCCCTCCCTTCCTTCTCTCTCTTCTTCCTTCCTCCCCTCCCTTCTCACCCTTCCTTCCTTCCTTCTCTCTCTCCTTCCTTCCTCCCTCCCTCCCTCTCTTCTTCCTTCCTTCCCTCCCTCCCTTCCCTCCCTCTCTTCCTCCCTTCCTACTCTCTCTTCTTCCTTCCTCCCTCCCTCTTCTTCCTTCCTTCCCTCCCTCCCTTCCTTCCTTCTCTTTCTCCTTCCTTCTTCCCTCCCTCCCTCTCTTCTTCCTTCCTTCCTTCTTTCCTTCTCTCTCTCCTTCCTTCCTCCCTCCTTCCCTCTCCTTCCTTCCCTCCCTCCCTCCCTCCTTCCCTTCCCCTTCCCTCCCCTCCCCTCCCCTGCCCTCCCTCCCTCCCTCCCTCCCTCCCTCCCTTCCTTCCTTCCTTCCTTCCTTCCGTCCTTCCTTCCTTCTTTCTCTCTCTCTCTTTCTCTCTTTCTTTCTTTCTTTTTCTCTTTCATCTCATGTGTTGTCCAGGCTGGCATCAAACTCCTGGGCTCCAGTGATCCACCTGACTCCACCTCCCAAAGTGCTCAGATTACTGGTGTGTATCACCATGCTGAGCCTAAATTCATTTAGTTATACATAACATATATATAATTTTTCCTTCATTTTGAAACAAACTTTAACCTTTAAAGTAGATAAATTTATATTGTCTCTAATAAAAACGTATTTTAATCTCTTTTTTATGAACTTGAAAAAAATTCCGTTAGCCGCGGCAAATCCAACGGGTTTGCAGCAAACTTGGTACTTGCCTCCTCGAAGGAAAGAATTTGGCTGAGGGGCATAGGGCAGAGGGAGAGATCAAGGCAACTTTTAGAGCAGGAATGAAAAGAAGTAAAGTACACTTGGAGGAGGGAAAACCAGGCAACTTGAGAGCTCCAAGTGCTTCATCTACACTTTGACTTGGGGTACTTACACACTGGCATGCTTGGGAGATTTGCATTTCTCCTCCCTTGATGTTTCCTTGAGGCAGGCTGTCTACAAGCACAGTAATCTGCCAGCTCTTGGGAAGGGCCACATGCACTGTGTTTACTGAAGTTGTGTGCGTGCTCATTTGAGGTGTTTTTCCCTTACCAGTTGAGTGTTTTTAGAGGAAGGTCATACATCAATTAAATTCCACCATTTTTCCTCTTAGTATCCATGGTTGAGCCTACTTGCCTAACTCCTGAAATCGTATCAGAAATCTGCTGATTACCAGGTTCAGATGCTTTCTATCTATCTGAGACTGCCTTTCCCTGGTATGGGCTACAACCAATTATTATTTTAAAGAGCGACTTTAACAATCACCTGATGGGCACCTGACATTCCTCAGTATGGGGGCACTCTCCTGCCCTTGCATGCCTGCCTAGCTACCTGACATTTCCCCCCTCAAGAGTCTGTGACCCAATTATTTGGGAAAATAGACAGAGATCAGTCTTCTGTAACTGCTTCCTGCTGACAAAGGGGCAGTGGCAGTTGTTCCATGGGTCTTGACCTCTTGCTAGCTGTCAGGGCAGTGTGGCTCTGTGAGTTGGTGAAAGCGGTATTCAGCCAGGTTCAAGGGAGACAGGGGCAGAATTTCACCTCTGTTGTGTCCCACTGCTGGGTATTCTAGGGGTCCTCTATAGAAGGGTGGCTCTTAAATATTGAGAGGCCAGTATCCCTCACTGAGGATTATCTGGAGCTTGATGGCCTAAAGATGCGAAGAGACAAATCACATTATTAGATTTAGAAGACACGGACCAAAAAGGAGCAAGAATAAGAGAGTAACAAGTAGGCCTAAAAAGAGAAGAAACTGGGAGAACCATTTCCAGGTTCTTTCCCAATTTGACCAACACTAAGAGGCTTGTCCCCATAAAGAGGCTTCATTTAGGAGTTGTTTGATGTTGTCGTGTGCATCTGCTGATTGATTTACCTAAAAGCAACATTCTTCATCTAAGGCTAAACAAATTCCTTCATGTGCTGCCATTAACATATCTAGTCCTCAACAATTTTGGAAGGCCATGGTTGCTAAATAGCTAATTTGTTCTTGAACAGTTACTAAAGTTTTAGCCATGGTGTCAGTGTTGTTGGCTAATTTCTTTGAGAGTTGGCTATAGGTCAAGAAGGCTTTTGTAATTCCTGCAATTCCAGGTTCTGTACCAGCTATAATGCCAAGTCCCATGAGAAGGGGAATTAACTGGATAGCCCTCCTTACCGTGGGCAAAATGGAATGCCTATAGATTGGTACTGAAAGAGAGAGATTGCCAGGGGCTGTGAAGATATGCAGGAATACATAGCCTATGGTATAAATTCCAATACAGTTAGTAGGGAGGCATTGGCAAGCTAACTGGCCACAAACATAGAAGGTTCGTTGCATTTTAAGACAGGTGAAGACGTCAAAACAAAATAAAAGCCTGACTTTTTTCAGGATAGCTAGTGGACATGGCTGACTCCTTATGTCCCCAGTCCTTGCCTAGAATTTAATGACTTTAAATCAGGCAAGTTGTACAGTTATTAAAAGTTATAGTATTGGTTTATGACCTTAAAGCATTCAGTACTCCTAAGACTCTTTAAAATTGTACTACATTACTTTCATAAATTCCATTTTATGTATCTTCTTATGACTTACACAGACTATTTATGACATGTTTGGACTTTTTGACTTGTCCTAAACATTCCTCTTTTTAAACAACCATTCATTTTAATTTAGGAGAAGAACTTACCATATGAGATGTCCTTTTATACAAAATCTCTTTTCTTTATTACCTTCCTTACCAAAATACTTATTTACTTTTATAACCTTTTAATTAGATAAAAGTCTTTTTTTTATGTTATGAAGTTATAATTTTAGTACATGTCGCTGTGTGAGTCCAGTAAAGAGGGGAGCAGACAAGGTTATCTACCTACTGTAGAAGTTATACCCAATCAAAAGATTGCTCAGGTAAATTTTTGCTACGACTTGTCAAGATAAGTGTGGGCTGTTTCTAAACCCTGAGATTGGACTTTCCAAGTTGTGGTTATTGGTTAAAGATTTTGGTATAAATAACAGATGAATTTAGAGGTTGGGAAAATATTAAGCAGGCACCCATTTTGGAAAGTATGTTTTTGCCTCAAAGGAGTATGATTCTTTTATTTTGGAGGTATGGGGTGCCATTTGCTCTCATTACGCAGCAGGATTTGGAGGACGGTGCCTCAGAGAAGATTAGCACAGAGTAGACAGCTCGTGAACCCCAAAGAGAAATTTATAATTTTACTTCCTACCTGTAGGGCTGTAGGGTTTTCCTTGGCTTTGTTCTGTCGATAATGATGTCTGATTTGGAAGCCAGCTGGAGGAGAGAGCCCCTTCAGCTCAAGGCCATCAGGGGTTGGGATTCTGTCCCAGGGCCTTTTGGACCTCAGGGGCCGTCCTGTTTCCAGTGGCCAAGCTTGTGGCAGAGGGGCCAAGTCATGCAGGGCTTTTTTCCATTTATCCCACTGGGGAAATTTGCCTTCCAGTGACCTGGCTTCTCACACTGATGATGACAGTTACCCTGGAGGGTATTCTGAGGACAACTTGAAGTGGGCTTCAGGGCTGGTAAACCAGTCAATAGTTGAGCCTGCCTTTGTCCATGTTTCTTCTTCTTCTTAGCCTTTATTTATTCTTTATTCTGCTGTCTTATAAAACACTGAGGAGGTTAATTTGAGGATTTTCTGTATAAGGGCACTGACTGGGTTCTAAGGCTGACTTTTGTAATTTTCTCCCAGTTTGTATTTAGGCCACACAGTATTACAAACGAAACCTAATTGTTGGTTTCAAGGTTTGGGGGAATCAAACTTTTCCCAGTTTTTAAGGCTATATTTGAGGGGCATGTCCTGTGGTATGGAGATGCTATTACCCATCTGCAAAGAGAAAGCAGAGGAGAAAAAAAAGAGATATCCCCTCTTATTCCCTATTATCCTTTCTTGAACAGAGCATCCTCCATTCATCCTTAGGTTTCCAGAAAGAACTGGTCTCACCAGATATGCTTAAAGGTCCCATTTCATCACAATTGTCCACTTGAGAACAGAAGAAATACCAGAATGAACAGGGGGCCCCCTATTCACCCTTGGTGTTCCAGAATGAACTTGTCTTACCCAATACCCCTAACCTTGCCTTCATCTCTGTTCTAATGGTAATCTGTTCTTTGCCTACAGTCTGGGATCAGCCTTCATCTCTGTCCTATGGGTACTTTTGTTTCTTCTGCCTGTGGTCTTGGGCCAGCCTATATCCTTGTCTCCATGACGTTAAAGTGACTCTTGTTCGGAGCATCCAAGCAACAAAATGGTTATCTCTTTTTCTCAGATTCCCATAACCCATTTTATTTAAGTAGATGAGAAACCTGTTTTTCAGGTAGGTGCCACAAATGAGCAGGACTTTCCTCCTTTTGAATATGACCTTGATGGTCTAGAAGTGCATTGAGAAAAGCATGAAAGTGATTAGAGGAACGGAGGAAAATTTGTATCTGGGGTTCCTTGTCCTCCTGGGGTAACATGCAGAACAAATGTTTAAAGGGACAGGACAATCACTTTGTTGCAGGAGATAGTGGGAGAAAGTGAGAGAGAGAGACTCATAGAAAGCTTTCATATGCTCACAAACACAGCAGCCCTTGGATTCCATAGGGTAACATTTATTTGCTCTCTTGACATAAAAGAGGACCTCTGGAGGACTTGGGGCTTGGAATACGGGTTTTCAAGTGGCAAATGAAGAATTTCCCCTCCTTCAAGAAGGGTACTGAATCAAAAAAAAGCAAGTAGGTGTGCTCCTTAAAGATCCACAGAGTGAGGCCCTATGCAGGTGGACAAACTGCTTCAAAAGCCATCAAAAACCTTAGTCCTGGAACACAACGGACAAAAAGCACATGGTAAGTCATAAGAAACTGGAAAAGCCAGGATTCCAAGTAGTGTCTGTCCTAGCAGTGAGCCAACAGACAGGGGAAGGGTTGGAGGTCATCTGAGCTAATAAAGTAAAAGCAAGTATAAATCTCAGGGCACATCAGCAAGAGAGCTTGTCTCTTGGCTGCCAGGCAAACAGCAAGAGCCATGGGAACACAAATAACAAACAAGGAGTGTGTGTTTAAGGCAGAGAAGGAAGTCACATGGCACACAAAGTGAAAGCAGAGGAAAGGCAGACTTGCCCACAAGGTGGATGGTCTGATGGGTATGTAAGTCCATTTTAGAATACAGGTAAAGAAAACAAGAGAATAGGTGGCGTGGGTTTTGGGAAAGAGCTGATTTTAGTTGAAAAAGCAGAGGAAACCCCAGACATTTCATGGTCTTAGGCTTTAGCCCTAAAACAGTTGTGAGCCTGCCATCTAAGAGAGCCATTAACATCTCAGGTCTCCTCAGTGTAGACTTCAAGGTCCTTCCCATTCCCACAAGACACCCATCATGGTGAGTGGATAGATCAGCTGGCCAGAGAAGAGCCACTGTGGCAGAGATGAATCACTCTGGGAGTTGGTCAGTAAGCAGGAGAGCAAAAGGAGAGAAAAAAACTATGTTACAGGGGTTGAACGCTTCCAGCTGAAGAAGGCAAGACATAGAAGTTTCTTGCCACTAGGGAATGTATCCATGCCACAGCACCAAAGTATTTCAGCAGCAGTGAGTCCAATGAGTCTGCAGCAAACTTTATTCTTGCCTCCTCAGAGAAAAGAAGTCATCTGAGGTACCTAAGGCAGGGTGAGAAACCAAGGGAAGTTTTAGAGCAGGAGTGAAAGTTTATTAAAAAGTTTTAGAGCAGGAATGAAAGAAAATAAAGTATACCTGGAAGAAGGCCAACCAGGCAACTTGAGAAATCCAAGTGCTCTTTCTGACCCCTGACTTGGGGTTTTTGTATATTGGCATGGTTCCAAAGTTTGTGTTTCTCCTCCTTTGATGTTTCCTTAGGGTTGGGCCATGCACAGTGGCCTGCCAGCACTTGGGAGGGGCCACATACACAGTGTGTTTACTGAAGTTGTATGCATGCTCATTTGAGGCATTTTTCCCTTACCAGTCAAGTGTTCCTAGAGGAAGGTCATATACCGGTTAAACACCACAATTTTTCTTCTTAGTGTGCACGCTTAAGACCACTCACCCAACTCCTGAGATCTTATCAGGAAGCTGCTGATCACCAACCTCAGGTAATTTCCATCTATTGTGAGACTGCTTTTTCCAGGCACTGGCTACAAGCAAGTATTCTTTAGAGACACAATTTATCAACCAACTGACCATCACCTGATGGTTACCTGACATTCCTGTGGGTGATGAGGGAGGCCCTCTCCTGCCTTGCACATGTCTGCCTGGCTACCTACTCTAACAATCCCACTTTTCTCATACAATTAATATATAGAATTGTTTTTCTTATATTTATAATCTCAATTACATGTATTAATTTTAATATTAATTCTTAGTAGTCCTAATTTTCAGTGAAAACCTTAGGAAGTAAATAATTTTGAACTATTTTATACCAGTGTAGATAAAAACCAATTCATGATTTTTAGAGATGTGTTCTCAATTTTTTTGTTTATTAACAGATCTAAACATATTTAGCTTTCCTGTACCATATAAATATAAGATGCCAAAATATATAAACTTAAACTTTTATTTAATAATGTTTCAGTATTTTAACTTACTTAGAAATGACTCAGAAATTTTATGACTACATATTAGTTAATTTACCATAACATGACTTTAAGATTTTAAATTACTGAAAAGAACTTTGAAACTATGAAAAGTTCACTTATGACCTTTTATCACATTTACATTCACTTAATTTATTCTTAACAATTATGCTTGAATAGTTCATTAAACAAAGCTAGCCATCATCTCAAGTTAATTTTTCTCTTCATAATTTTTATATTACTGTGTGTTAGGCAAGTATCATAAAAGCAAAATCCATAAAGTTAAATACATGTGGTTTTTTCTTTTATAACTTAGAAGACATAGTTGTTTTTATTAAACCAACAATATTTAACAAGTATTATTTGTGAAAGATGTAGCCAAGTCATATGAACTGAAAGGCATTTGAGCTAGTTTCTATTTTTTTGATAAAATACTTAAGTGCTTACTTTTTCTTTAAGACAATTAATTAGAAGTCTTTCATATATTTTAATAGTGAAATATCACATGCACATGACATATATAAACAGTTAGACAGAGACACTCAGATAGATGCAAATTTTATAGCTTCATAAATCCTTCCTCTGCCAGATTTCAGATTGTTTCTTTTCCCTTTACTCATCAAGTCTAAACAATTGTTAGTAGTCAGCTCTTAAATTTGCACTTTCAAAAACATGACTCAGGTGATATTTACATCCCAAAAGAACAGAACTTGGGTCCCAACACCAATATTTGCTGAAACAAAATAGGGCTTCGGTAAAGGCTTAGAGAAAACAAGATTGCCAAGAAAAATATCTTAAAAGGTGAGGCTAGCTATGTAAGTTTAAAGCCACTGTCTTCTCCGTTGTGCAGAGAGAGAGAGATGTCTTCTGTGTGTGTGAGACAGTTTTACTCCATATCCCAGGCTGAAAGGCAGTGGCATTCCATAGCTCACTGCAGCCTCGAACTTCTAGGCCGTTCATGTTCTTTGCTCACTTTTTAATGGGGTTGTTTGTTTTTCTCTTGTAAATTTGTTTTAGTTCCTTATAGATGCTGAATATTAGACCTTCATCAGATGCATAGTTTGCAAATATTTTCTTCCATTCTGTAGGTTGTCTATTTACTCTGTTGTTAGTTTCTTTGCTGTGCAGAAGCTCTTACATTTAATTAGATTCCACTTGTCAATTTATGCTTTTGTTGCAATTGCTTTTGATATCTTTGTCAGGACATCTTTTCCTGCCTGTGTCCAGGATGGTATCACCTAGGTTGTCTTCCAGAGTTTTTATAGTTTTGAGTTTAATATTTAAATCTTTAATCCATCTTGAGTTGATTTTTGTTTATAGTGTAAGGAAGGGGTCCATTTTAAATCTTCTGCATATTGCTAGCCAGTTGTCCCAATAGGATTTATTGCATAGGGAATCTTTTCCCCATTGCTTGCTTTTGTCAGTTTTGTTGAAGATTAGATGGTCATAGGTGTCAGTCTAATTTCTACACAAAGCACATTTAACACAGAGAAGTCTCCTTCAAAGAATTTGATAATCAACCTCCTGAAGGTCAAGGAAAAGGAAGGATCCTAAAAGCCACAAAAGGAAAGAGAAAAATAACATACAATGGAGCTCCAATACATTTGGCAGTAGACTTTTAAGTGGAAATGTTACAGGCCAGGAGAGAGTGGCAAGAGATATTTAAAGTACTGAAGGAAAAATCCTTTTAGCCTAGAATAATATATCTTCCAAAAATATTCTTCGATCATGAAGGATTAATAAAGACCTTCTTACACAAACAAAAGCTGTCCTACAAGCAATGCTGTTGGGAGATTTTTAGTCTGAAAGAAAAGAATGTTAATGAGCTAGAAGAAATCATCTGATGGTTAAAAAAAAAAAAAAACTCACTGGTAATTGTAAGCACATGAGAATGCACAGAATATTATAATGCTGTAATTGTTGTGTGTCAGCTACTCAAGTAGAAAGACTAAATGGTGATTTAATAAAAAATAATGACTATGATAACTTTTCAAGACATAGTACAATAAGACATAAAGAGAAACAACAAAAAGTTAGAAAGTGGGGGAAAAAATTTGTACTAGTTTTTTATGTAATCAGTGCTAATTTGTCATCATTTTGATATAATGGGTTATAGATGGTATTTTAAAGCCTCATGGTAACCTCATGGTAAACATACAATGTATATACCAAAAATTAAAAGTGAGAAACTAAATCATACCACCAGAGAAAATCACCTTCGCTAAAAGGAAGACAGGAAGGAAAGAAGGAAGAGAAGACCACAAAACAACTAGAAAACAAATAACAAAGTGGCAGAAAAAAGTCCTTACTTAATAATAACGTTGACTGTAAAGGAATTAAACTCTACAATCAAAAGACAGAATGGATGAATGGAAAACAAACACACACACACACACACACACACACACACACACAAGACCCAATGCTCTGTTGCCTACAGGAAACACACTTAACTTATAATGGTATACATGGACTGAAAATAAAGAGAAAAGATGTTCCATGTCAATGGAAACAAACAAACAAACAAAAAGCAGGAGTAGCTATTCTTATATCAGGCAACATAGATTTCAAGACAAAAATTGTAAGAGAAAACAAAGAAGATCACTATATAATAATAAAAAGGTCAATTCAGCAAGAAGATGAAATGATTATAAATATAAATGCATCCAGCACTGAAGCACCCAGAATATACAGCAAATATTATTAGAGCTAAAGAGACTTTAATAAAATAACAGCTGGAGACTTCAACACCCCACTTTCAGCATTGGACAGATTTCTCAGAGAGAAAATCAAGAAAGAACAACTGGATTTAATCTGCACTATAGAATAAATTGATCTAATCGATACTTACAGAACATTACTTCCTATGGCTGCAGAATACACATGCTTCTGAACACATAAATCATTCTCAAAGGCAGACCATATGGTAGGTCAAAAGTGAATCTTAAAACATCAAAAAATACTGAAATAGGCTAGGCGCGGTGGCTCATGCCTGTAATCCCAGCACTTTGGGAGGGTGAGGTGGGCGGATCATGAGGTCAGGAGATCAAGACCATCCTGGCTAACATGGTGAAACGTTGTCTCTACTAAAAATACAAAAAAATTAGCTGGGTATGGTGGCGGGTGCCTGTAGTCCCAGCTATTTGGGAGACTGAGGCAGGAGAATGGTGTGAACCCGGGAGGCAGAGTTTGCAGTGAGCCGAGATCACGCCACTGCACTCCAGCCTGGGTGACAGAGCGAGGCTCTGTCTCTAAAAAAAATAAAATAAAATAAAATAAAATAAAATAAAATAAAATAAAATAAAAAATAAAAATTAAATAAAAAATATTGAAAAACTAGCAAGCATCTTCTCTGGCCACAATGCAGTGAAATTAGAAACCCAAAACAAGAGGAATTTTGGAAACTATACAAATACATGGAAATTAAATAATATGCTCCTGAATGACCAGTGAGTCAATGAAGAAATTAAGAAGGAACCTGAAAATTTTCTCAAAATAAATGATAATGGAAACATGACAAAAAGAACTTAAGGGATACAGCAAAAGCAGTAGTAAGAGGGAAGTTTATAGCTATAAGTGCCTCCATCGAAAAAGGGAAAAACTTAATCTAATGATGCGCCTTAAAGAACTAGAAGAGCAAGAGCATATGAAACCCAAAATTAGTAGGAGAAAAGAAATAATAAAGATCAGAGTAATAATACATGAAACTGAAATGAAAATACACAAGATTAATGACACGTTGGTCTTTTGAAAAGTTAAATAAAATTGACAAATCCTTAGCCAGACTAATGAAGAAAAAAATAGAGAAGATAAAGCTAAATAAAATCAGAGATGAAAAAGGACACATTACAGCTACAACTGATACTACAGAAATTTAAAGAATCATTAGTGGCTACTATGAGGAACTATATGGTAATAAATTGGAATATCTAGAAGAAATGGACAAACTCCTAGACACATACAACCTACTGAATTGAACCAGGAAGAAACCCTGGGACCCAATAACTTTGCTGCTGAATTTTACCAATCATTTAAAGAGGAACTAACAGCAATCCTACTCAATCAATTACTGATTTAAAAAATCTTAAGAAAACACACCAAAAAATGAAAAAAAATTCCATGTTCATGGATTGTAAGAATTAATATTGTTAAAATGTCCATATTACCCAAAATAATGTACAGATTCAATGCAATCCCTATCAAAATTCCAATGATATTTTTCACATAAATAGAAAAACAACCCTAAAATTTATATGAAACCATAAAAGACTCAGAATAAACAAAAGTATCCTGAGCAAAAAGAACAAATTTGGGGGAATTACATTACCTGACTTCAAATTATACCACAGTGCTATAGTAACCAAAACAGCATGTTACTGGCATAAAAGCAGACTCAGACCAGTGGAAGAGAATAGAAAACCCAGAAACAAATTCACACATCTACAGTGATCTCATGTTTAAAAAGGGTGTCAAGAAGATATACTGGGGTAAAGACAGTCTCTTGAATAAATGATGCTGAGAAAACTGTATATCCATATGCAGAAGAGTGAAACTAGCCCCTTATCTCTTGTCATATGCAAAAATCAAATAAAACTAGATTGAAGACTTAAATCTAAGACCTCAACCATAAAACTACTAAAGAAAAACATTGGAGAAACTCTCCAGGACATTTGACTGGGCATAGCTTTCTTGAGTAATAACCCAAAAGCATAAGCAACCAAAGTAAAAATGGACAAATGGGATCACACTAAGTTAAAAAACCTTCTGCACAACAAAGTAAACAATCAAGAAAGTGAAGAGACAATCCACATAATGTGAGAAAATGTTTCCAAACTAACCATTTGACAAGAGGTTAATAACCAAAACATCTAATAATCTGATTTAAAATGGGCAAAAGATCTGAATAGACATTTCTCAGAAGAAGACATGCAAACGGAAAACAGTTATAATCATTGATTATCAGAGAAGTGCAAACTAAACTACAATGAGATATTGTCTCACTTCAGTTAAAATGGCTTTTATTGAAAAGGCAGACAATAACAAGTGCTGGAAAGGATGTGGAGAAAGGGAACCCTCGTACACTGTTGGTGGGAATGTAAATTAGTACAACTACCATGGAGAACAGTTTGGAGGTTCTTCAAAAAACTAAAAATATAGCTACTATATGATCCAGCAATCCTACTGTTGAGTACATACCAAAAAGAAAGAAAATCAGAATATCAGAGATACATCTGCACACTCATATTTGTTGCAGCACTGTTCACAATAGCAAAGATGTGGAAGATCCTAAGTGTCTGTGAATAGATGAATGAATAAAGAAAATGTGGTACATATATACAATGGAGTAGTATTCAGCCATAAAAAAGAATGAGATCCTGTCGTTTACAAAAACATGGAAGGAAGTGGAGGTCATTGTGTTAGGTGAAATAAGCCAGGCACAGAAAGACAAACATTGCATGTACTCACTTATTTGTGCAATCTAAAACTCAAAACAATTGAACTCCTTAAGATATAGTAGAAGGATGGTTATCAGAGGCTGGGAAGGGCAGTCAGGGGCAGTGAGGGGGAGGTGAGAATGGTTAATTGGTACATAAAAATGTTTAGAAAGAATGAATAAAACTTAGTAATTGATAGCACATGTTTACTAGAGTCAATAGTAACTTAATTGTACATTCTAAAATAACTAACAGAGTATAATTAGCTTGTTTTTAACACAGTTAATAAATGTTTGAGAGGAGGATACACCATTTCCCAAAATGTAGTTATTATGCATTGTATGCTTGTATCAAAATATCTCCTGTGCCTCATAAATACATATACCTATATACCCACAAAGATAAAAAGTAAAACATTAGAAAAAATAAACAAACAATTAAAAAATATATTTCTTACAGTTCTAGAGGCTGGGAAGTCCAATATCAATGTGGTGGCATCTTGTAAGGGCCAACTTGCTTTGTCATTCCATGGTGGAAATCCAAAGGGCAAGAGGGGACAAAAGGAAGAAGAGAAGGGGGCCAAATTCATCCTTTTATCAGGAATACACTCTGCCATATCTAATCCACTTCTGTCCTGTAATAATGGCATTATTCCATTCATAAGGGCAGAACCCTTATGACTTAATCACCTCTTTAAAGTTCCCACCTCTTAACACTGTTGCATTGGGGATTAAGAGGATTGGGGACACATTCAAACCACAGCAGTATTCAAGTACAATAAAAGAGGTACAAATCTATATTCATGAAAGTTTCTACTAGCTAGTAACAGTATTTACTTTAAGCAAAACAATTGTATGTGTGTGTGTGTATATATATATGTATATAAAATGATATATATATATATAAAACGTCTAAGATATGCAATGAGAATTATTCTTTTAAGACTTTATTCAAATAATTAGAAAGAATAAAGACCTAGTATTTTCTAGCACAACAGGGGGACTGCACTAAAAAATAATTTAATTATAAATTTAAAAATAAATAGAAAATATAATTAGATTGTCTGTAACAAAAAGGATAAATGCTTGAGGTGTTGGGTACCCCATTTACCCTGACATGATTATTATGCAGTACAACTGTAACAAAATATCTCATGTTACCCATAAACATACACAACTAGTATGTACTCACAAAAATTAAAAATTAAAATTAAAAAAATCAGGACTCCTACAGAGAACAGGTGGTCATCCTCAAAGAGAAAGTGAAATATCCCCCTTAATTAGGGAATAATCCATTGATCAAAAGACAGATAATTTATTCAGGAAATAAGACTCGGTTATAGTATGAATGTTTGCAAAGAGATAATATCAGAAAGACAATGTGTTGTCTAAAGTAAAGATTTTTCTTATGAACAGTTTAGGAGTAGAAGTGGGAAGACATAATTTAATAGCAATGTTGTTATTTTCTTCTTGATGATGAGAACCTTCTTTGAGAAGATCAAAGAGAGGTGATGGATTTCCAATAGACTTTGTCATAGACGTGCTTATGTCCTGCATCAACTTGCTCCTGATAAGAAACAGAGTTTCTATTTTTACAAAGTAAATATTTGAGACGGACATATTTTGCCTCTGTAGATTACTTATTATAAACGATCCTGGATTTATAGATGTATAGAACATAGCTGTCTGGAGAATGGGAAGTTATCCAGTATGTATTTTACAGTCATACAACTAACAGAGTGTAAAGCTGGTAAGTCCCAAAATTGAAACAGCTTCTTTTGTGAACTATGTTTTTGTGAATACATCATTCGGAAACCTAATCTGTTAATCCAATAACAAGCAGTGTCCTAATGTAAGACAAAAAATGTATTGGGAACTGTGGTTAATAATTGCCTGCTCCTCCAGAGCATATATTTTGCTTGGTTTTTGTTTGAGTCTGTGAATTATTAATCAAGTGTGGTATCAGGTAAGAATTATCATTCCTATGAGCCCGCTTTAACAATTTAACCCTTTGTGTTAACACAGAGGGTTACAACATATTTGTTACTTTAGCATCATTGATTACTATTTACCATGCATATTCATATGGACAGGCATCATGGTTGAAATACTCTTTCAATGTCCCTCCCAAATCAAAATCAGAATTCCTAGATTTCAAAAAATTTTTGGCAAGATCTCAAGCAATTAATAAGCTCCATAAAGTTTTATAACTGCTATCATGGGCTGCATTTTTAAATCTACTTTAGTTGGTTTGTAATGGTTTCATCCAAATTTTAGTTTGTACCGGAAACTTTATATGCCAGATACTGTAGAGTAAGAGGGTTCACTAAGAGAGAAATTTGTAATATTGTATACCCCAGGAGGTGACTGACAGTAAATGATTTTAATATGGGATAGTCACATCGAGGATTTAACTGATTTTGCATGAAGAAGAATCTAAGCATGCCATCTAATGTTTCATTTTAAACTTTTAAATACTTTAAATGTTGAAAAATGACTCTTTATTATAGAGAACTTAATGCAGATCAAAATTCCTGAATGTAGAGATTATAAATGTTTAAATTTTCTAGCTTTGGAAATAGTCTTTTACTTCTTGAAATCTTTCCAAAAAATTCTATGACAGTGGCAGTATTTATCAACCTTATAAAAATCACATATTTAAAAATCTAGTAATCTCATGCAGTATATTACTTGAATAGTCTCCATTTAAATGCAAATTTTAGGTTCTTTCTGTCATAAAAAGGATTTTTCAATAAAAAAGAGGTGTGTGTTTTTTAATGCTAATGGCCTGTTTATTCCACTACATGACTTGGCATTAATATCCAAGTACAGGAGGTTGGTCTTTGGGAGGGGATAAAAAAGATGGAAGCACAGGAAAAATACGTAAATCTTTTTGGGGATTGGGGGCGGATTTAATAATGACATATGAAAAAGTTTTTAAAGAGGAATTTTGAAATTGGTCTCTCTTAGAAAACCTAATTGTCTTTTATAATAAAATATAAAGTAAAATAGTCTTAGTGGCTGCAATTTCCTGTAGGGGAAAGGATTTGCAGTTTTATAAATCTATTTAATGACAGTGTAAAGAGATAGTGAACTGGGCCTGTTGAGTTCAAAATTTAAACAATTTCTTTTCTTTTTCCTAATAGCTTGTATTTTTTAAATGAAGAGTGTTTAATATGTATTGAATAAATGTTTATAGCAGGCCCCTTATGCACAAGGCTCTCTGATAGTCAGCATGACTGGATGGTCAGCTCCAGCTTTGTTCTCTCTAGTTCTATTCAGTTGAGTAAATAAATACATGCCTCACAGTTTTAGGAACTATTCCAATTCCTGCACCAATTCTAACTGAGCAGGTAATTAGAGCAGTACCTGAGTCTTCCCATTTTAATATGCTATGAGAGATATAACATAAAAATGATTACCACCAAGGCAAGGCAAAATGTTATAAGTAACCAACATGCAGAGCAAAGACAGGAAGAAAAATTGTGTTGGCTTCAGGAAACCAGTATCATTTAGACCTTGAAGAGAGGCAAAGACGTGTGTGAGGAAATGGTGAAAAAAGTATATTTTCAGTCTGGAAAAGTTAAACAAATAAAAAGATGCTAAACTAAATTTTAAGAAGTTTTACCTCGTACAATAATTTTAAAGCAATATAAAATACAGAACCAGTAAAATAAAAGTTTGTTTGAGGTCAAATTGGGGAGGGCCTCAAGTTGCAATGAACTTAATTGTAATTTGGGGGTAATAAATAAAAAAACTATAAAAGACTTCTATAGAGAAAATGCAGATATCAGAACTATATCACTTAGAAAACTTAGTAATTCAATTCTGATCACATTATCCAATGTATTTTTGTCCTGCTTTCGAATGTTGATAAAATTTATAATTATTGAAAAAGAAGGCTGTTTCCAACTCATTCTAGCTTCAGGAAAGCACTAAATTTAAGTCAAGTCTAAGAAAGTGATTTTGTGAGTCAAAAGCTGGATTCCGAACTGTGGTATCATTGTGTGCTTGCGTTTTTTTATCATCAGGTTCACTCTCCAATAAAATGTTTCCTCCCAGTTTCCTGGTGTATGACAATGGTTTGGCTAAGGCTCTCAATTGAAAATTCCCATAGATTGGCAATTTAGATCAGCTCTGCTTTGGGCCTTCAGAGCAGACCTCTCTTTCCCTTTTTATCTCTGCCTCTCTCTCTGTGTGTCTTAGGTTCATTATTGCCTTCAACAGGTTGGCATAAGTACATGCAATGAGACAAGGGATCTGAGAAGCAAATCATATCGGATCCAATAAGTTAAAGACAATTTTAGTTACAACTACAATTCTGTAGGTAAAGTCTATAGATTATAAAAAAACAAACAAACTGGCGTTTATATTAGGACAGAATTTGAAAATAAAACCTGAATGTCAGGAATTATTTCTAAGGCTGGATTAGTTAGGCAGAGCAAGTTATATCTCAGGAAAAGTAAGGAGGTTTAGGTTTTCTTTCATTTCCCAATCCCCCATCTTTTCATCTCCACCCAGGAAACTGATTTCTAGAGGCAGAGCAAAGGCATCTGAAAATAGAAATAATTTTACGATGTAGTTTTATGAGTTTTCTTAAATAAGATTTTCAGTAAAATTATTATTTCATATGATGAGTGTTCAGTTTTCAATTGCTCCTACAGTGATTTGTTCGTTTGATTGTTTCTTTTCTTCGATTTGTATATTCTGTGTTATTTTCAATGAGAATCTTGAGGCGGGTTAAGGGAGATGTGCTTAGCAGTATATGCACAAACGAGAGAAGAGGCTTTTGAATGGTACTTGGAGAACAATGTGGAGATGTTTCAAAGGTAGCGTATTTCAAATGGAAGAGGAAAGCAATCATGATTAAAGAGTTCATTCCTTAGGTCACTATTTTTTTTCTATTAACATTAACAATGCTTTTGAAACCAGAGCTAAAATTTTGGGGAAAAAAATGAATGGAAGATCAGGAGTAGAGGGACTCAAAGGGTCATTTGAGGGCTTAAAAAAAATACTTATTGTGATACAGGAAAAAAAAAAAGCTTCCATGTCTAAAAGGATGTAAGAATAGTACTTATAAAGGTTCCTGTTTGTATTAGTCAGGGTTCTCTAGAGGTACGGAGCTAGTAGGATATATGTATATATGAAAGGGAGTTTATTAAGGAGAATTGACTCACACAGTCATAAGGTAAAGTCCCACAATAGGCCGTCTGCAAGCTGAGGAGCAAGGAAGCCAGTGGTGGATCTGTCTGAGTCCCAAAACCTCAAAAGTGGAGAAGTCAACAGTGTAGCCTTTAGTTTACGGCCAAAGGCCCGAGAGTCCCTGGCAAACCAGTAGTGTAAGTCCAGGAGTCCCAGAGCTGAAGAATTTGAAGTCTGATATTTTAGGGCAGGAAGCATCCAGCATGGGAGAAAGATGAAGGCCGGAAGACTCAGCAAGTCTAGTCCTTTCGTATTCTTCCACCTGCTTTCTCCTAGCAGCACTGGCACCTGGTTAGATGGTGCCCACCCAGAGTGAAGGTGGGTCTGCCTCTCCCAGTCCACTGACTCAAAGTTAATCTTCTTTGGCAACACCCTCACAGACACACCCAGGAACAAAACTATGAATCCTTCAATCCAATCAAGTTGACACTCAATATTAACCATCACACTGTTGAAGGCACAAATAGGCAGAAAAGATGTTACTAAGACTCATTCTTCATAAGTTGTCATTAGAGAATATGTTACTTCCATAATTCAGAGATTTAAATGTAAAGTGTAGCCTTCAAATCTTAAATTCATAACACCAATCCTGGGAACTAGAAGATTAAAAAAAGAGAGTGCACTCAAAACAGGTATTTCTGCTGAAAATTCTACAATGCCTACATTGGGTAGTAAAATTTTATTCTAACACAAGACATTAAGCTAATGAGAACAACCTTGCAGAACACAATTAAAGAATTTTTGTCCAGGCCTTATAAGACTAATTTTTCTGGAGTAAATTTGTGTGAGCACACTATGCATTTACTTTGTTGACAAGAGGCATACAAACTAAATTTAGCAGCAAAGATAGCAATCTCTTAGAATTTTAGCTGTTACAGATGACATGAAAGAAATCTGAAAATGGTAGGACATTACCATGAAGAAGCTTGGCTGGCTGGGAGCAGTGGCTTACACCTGTAATCCCAGCACCTTGGGAGGCTGAGATGGGAGGATCACTGAGCCTGGGGGTTTCAGACAAGTCTGCACAACAGAGGGAGGCCCAGCCTCTACTAAAAAAAAAAAAATTACCTGGACATTGTGGAACATGCCTGTTGTCCCAGCTACCTGGGAGGCTGAAGCAGGAGTATCACTTGAGCCAAGGAGTTCAAAGATGCCGTGAGCTATGATTGTGCCACTGCACTCCACCTAGGCAGCAGAATGGACCCTGTTTCAGAAAGAAAAAAGAAAAGAAAGGAAAAGGCAAGGCAAGGCAAGGCAAGAAAAGAAAAGAAAAGAAAAAAGAAAAGAAAAGGCAGGCAGGCACAGAAGGAAAGAAAGAAAGACAGAAAGAAAGAAAAAGAAAGAAAGAGGAGAGGAGAGGAGAGGGAGGGAAGGAAGGAAGGAAAAAAGAAAGAAAGAAAAGAAAAGGAAAGAAAAGGAGGGAGGGAGGGGAGGAAGGAAGGAAGGAAGGACAGAAGGGAGGGAGGAAAGAAAAGAAAGAAAGAAGGAAAGTAAAGAAAAGAAAGGAAGAAAGAGAAAAGAAAACAAAAGAAAAGGAAAGGAAAGAAAAGAAAAGGAGGGAGGGAGGGGAGGAAGGAAGGAAAGAAGGGAGAGAGGAAAGAAAAGAAAGACAGAAAGAAGGAAAGAAAAGAAAGGAAGAAAGAAAGAGAAAGAAAGGAAAGAAAGGAAGGGGGAAGGGAGGGAGGAAAGAAGGAAGGAAGGAAAGAAGGAAGGAAGGAAGATGCTGGCTGTATCTTTAACGTACAGATGTAGATTGTAACCACTTTTATATTTCTTTTGCCACTTCTACTGAAAGAGAGAGGAGGAAACAGGGAACTTGGATAGGTAACCTAATTTTTTTACTTATTTGTGAAAATTCATACAGACTATCAGTACTTACTTTGCTCTTTATTTTGCAAAGTATATGCTCATGTTGGAAAAAATAAACATAAAGTTAGTTCTAATAATTATTCTCATGACCGTTATTACTATATATTCCATTCAGATTTCTTAGACTACGTAGCCTTAGACTTTCTTTCCTATTTCTATTTTTTAGAAGTCTCCTGAGCTTCATTTTCTTCTAAGTTTATTGGTTTCTATGGTACTGAGAATTATACTGTGATTATTTCAGTTGAAGCATATTCACTTTAAATGTTTTGCTCTAATTTTTAGTATAAACCTATTTACAAGGAGTTTGGCTCTACTTCACCTTCTGAATAAATAATAATACCATCTTGATTTCTTCACTGATCAGTGCCACTTAAGACTAAAATATTTTTCAGTCATAATATTGAGGGCTTGTGGAAAAGAATACTTTCAGTTTCCACTACATCTGGAGTACCATGTGAATGGAATCATACAGATAATAAAGTATGATATTAGAATTCATTTTATTACACTAGTGCTCAGTTTTAACTTGATAGCACTCTATGTTATGTAGGGGAAAAGGTCAGTCTATACAAAGTCTATAAATGAATATAAAAATATAAGAGAGAATAAAACAGCTCCAAAATTATTGTGTGCATCAAGATAATATGTTTCCTATTGAAGAAGATGCTAAGTGAAGTTTCTCAGTAGCTCCTCAGAAGAAAATAATAATCTGCTCAGCATCTTGTTCAGTCTTTCAAAAGAAAATTATCATTAAAACAAAAATAAGGTTATTACTTTCATATGCCTTGAAATAAAATAAGTAACATATATGCTAAATTGTAATAAAATATTTTTTTAAAAAACCTTGGTATATAAAAACAAAATAGCAATATTTTATTGTCTATGTTTTCTAACTAGAATATTACTGGGAAAGACATGCAATTATTGTTTCATTGCATTTTCTCATGCCTGATTAAGGAAGAGTTGCATTTTACACAGAACTGAAAAACAAAATCAATTACACATAACAAAGTCCAAAGCAACAGAATGTTAAAAGAGCCACTTCTATATATTGCATCTTTTATTAAATTACAGGTTGACATATAAATATTGGCATATATAGGTCTTTCATTTGGCTCTATAAACAGATCTCCATTTTACATTACCCCAGATGAACTCAGCCTTACCTGACCTCTGGTCTATGCTACTTGCTTTGGTTCTGGGTTAGAGGTCGTTCCCAAGGTCATAATGACCTTTGCTGATGTGACTCAGCATGAAAATGAGAGTGTTACTAGTGAGCAGACCATGCCATTCATCTGAAAAAGAAGATGCATCTGTAATGCCTCTCCTTCTGTGTGTTTTCCTTCTTCACTTTCCCCAAGCTTCCACTACTTTTGTTTTTCCCTCAGCCTGTCTACCCAGGATTGTACCTTCTAATAAAGTGTTAGTTTGGAAATTTACCTGATGATTTGTTTCCTGGGAAACGCTTTAAAGAAAAACTGCATAATCTATTAGTTCCCCTTAAATATCTTCTTGACAAGAAGTGCAACGTGTCTATAAAATGCTTTATTATTTCATAGCACTAAATTACAATCTTTAAAATAATTTTGGCACCTTTGTTTATATCACCTTTGAGGGATTAAAAAAAGGAAGAACAGTGTCAGCCTGTGACTGAGAGACTTTCTAAAGAATTTCATTCTATCTTCACTTGAATATATAAGTAAACAGCATTTTGAGATGGTTTGCTTTTATATGCAAGAGAAATAGCTTTGTACTGCCCAGTACTGAAATTTCAGAGAAACTTTTTTTTTTTTTTTTTTTTTTTGAGACACAGTCTTGCTCTGTCGCCCAGGCTGGAGTGCAATGGCGTGATCTCGGCTCACTGCAAACTCTGCCTCCTGGGTTCAAGCAATTCTCTGCCTCAGTCTCCCAAGTAGCTGGGATTACATGTGCCCACCACCACGCCCAGCTAATTTTTGTATTTTTTAGTAGAGACGGGGTTTCACCATCTTGAACAGGCTGGTCTTGAACTCTTGACCTTGTGATCCACCCACTTTGGCCTCTCAAAATGCTGGGATTACAATCGTGAGCCACCATGCTTATCCAAATATTTTAATTCTCTATTATTATTTGAACTCTGACATACTAGTAAAAGTTGTTGAGTGAAGAACAATTAACCATTTAATTGTTTGAGTGATTTTAGGAGAATATAAGCCAGAAAAAAAAAAAACCCTCCCTAATATTGAGAGGTGAAGCCCGCTGGGCTTCTGGGTCAGGTGGGGACTTGGTGAAATTTTCTGTCTAGCTAAAGGATTGTAAACACACCAATCAGCACTCTGTAAAATGGACCAATCAGCAGGACCTGGGTGGGGCCAAATAAGGGAATAAAAGCTGGCCACTGGAGCCAGCAGGGGCAACCTGCTGGGGTCCCCTTCTAGACTGTGGAAGCTTTGTTCTTTCACTCTTCATAATGAATCTTGCTGCTGCTCACTCTTTGGGTCTGCACTACCTTTATGAGCTGTAACACTCACTGCGAGGGTCTGCAGCTTCATTCTTGAAGTCAGCGAGACCGCTAACCCATCGGGAGGAACAAACAACTCCGGACGCGCCACCTTTAAGAGCTGTAACACTCACTGCAAAGGTCTGCGGCTTCACTCCTGAAGTCAGCAAGACCATGAACCCACCAGAAGGAAGAAACTCTGGACACATCTGAACATCTGAAGGAGCAAGCCCCGGACACACCATCTTTAAGAACTGTAACATACCGCCAGGGTCCGCGGCTTCATTCTTGAAGTCAGCGAGACCAAGAACCCACTGGAAGGAACCAATTCTGGACACAATATGAGATAAAAAACATGGCAAAATTTCATGAGATACCACGCCCCTGGCATTATCTGAAAACAAAGCATGTCAAAACTAAAAAAACAACAATTATGAAGAAAAAGAAAAAAGAAACAATAAATACAAGTGCCAAATTCTCAGGTGCTCTCAACTGCTCTTACTAGCCAAAAAGCTTAGTCTCAGAACAAGAAAAGCTGAGGACAGAAAATTGGAACATTAGGGAAGAGGCCTGAGTGTGAGGTGCAGCACCCACCAGAAAGATAGATTAACTGCACCCTAAATAAGAAAATCCTAAAAACAGTAACCGGGTATGTTAGATTTAATCACAACAAAGCTGATTTAAAAGGACAAGCACAATTTAGGGGGACAGCCTCAATCCATATAGTCTGGAGGTGATCAAAAACCAAGAGGAAGGAAGAAATGTCATTGGCCAGTGGGTGATGAAGAAAAGAATAGGGAGATTTAGGCCACTGGAAGACAAGACCACAGAGTTAGAGGATCCACAGCTTCCTCCTTACTATACAAAAAAGCAAATAAACCCTACTAAAATACATGGACTTTGCTAGACTGACAGAAGAGTGTCAGCAATTATCTAAAACACTTCATTATATTAAAAATTAACAAAACCAAAGTCAAGTCCTGCAGAGAAGTATTGCAGAAAAGCAGGAAAAATAAGTTAAAATAAGAAAAAATAATCACAAAACAGAAGAAAACTGTAATCTACATTTTAAACAATTAAATATACTCAAAAATATATTAGAATATGGAAAATGACTTTCAAACAGAAATTCCAGCACACACACACACACACACACACACACACACACACACACCAGGAAAAATATAAAAGAGCTGAACTCAGGAATAAAACCAATGAAAAAAGACAAAATAATCTCAGAATTGAAAGAATAACTTACGAGCTTCCCAGGGGAGAATCTAACTAAATTAAAACTTAATAATGGGCATGGAAGACAATTAAGCAAACCTAGAATAAAAGATGCCACAAAGAAAGAAGAAAAAAGGACCAGCAGAGAAAATAGTGAAAAATAAGTCAAAGAAGAGATAATATCTGTCTTACAGGAATTTTTGACAAAGAAAAAGATAACAATGGAACAGAGCTAATATTAAAAGCTATATCCTAAGAATATATACCAGAAATAGAAAAATATTAATATGTACAAATTGAAAGGGCTCAACGGATATTTGGAAAAATTACTAGTGTGAGAATAAATACAATTTAAAAGTTGTTGTAGGCCCCTAAAACACTTTAAGCCTTGAGAGAGTAGTAACTGTAATCTCAGTCATGTTTGGTTACAACTTCTGTGTTCAGATTATAGATTAACTAACTTTCTCATTTGTCTTGTTCTGGGCAATTACTAGAGAGAAGCAAATAATGTCAGGGACAACAACCTGCCTTTTTAATTAATGGCCCTTTTTATGTATGTTAATTCCCCTTTGTTGTCCTGCTTTGCTTAGATCAGATGACAGAAAACCTATGACTAAGAAAAATTGTTAAATGTACCCTTTCCAGAAAGAAATACTGCCTGTAACCAATCAAGTTGCTGTAACTCTGTGTTAACCTTGTATGAATAATACTGCAATCCTGTGAAAAATTCCTTATCTCTGCCTATGTAAATGAAATCTTAACTGGAACTCTGACTCCATTCCTTTAAATCTGACATTTCTGGGTGGTCCATCTTTGCAATTTGCACATGAATGAACTTTAAAAATTAGATTCTGACTCTTTTCATTATTTTACGTTGACACAAAGAGTGATAAACTCCAAAAAATATCATAGTAAAACTATTAGATTTCAAAGGTGAGAATAAGATCCTAAGAACTTGAGGCAAGAAGATCAAATAACTAACAATGGCAAAAAAAATTTACACTAGCATGCTTTTCAAAAAACCCAAGCAAGGTAGCATTTTTTTTAAGTCACTGAAGAAAATGTCAACCAATTTTTTATTTTTATTTTTAAAATTTTCTTAGAGACAGAGTGTCACTCTGTCATCCAGGCTGGAGTGCATTGGCACAATCATAGCTCACGAACTGTGAATTCCTGTTCTTAAGCTATCCTCCCTCTTCAGGATCCCAAGTAGCTGGGACTACATGTGTACACTACCATGCCTGCCTATTTTGTGAAACATATTTTATAGAGATGGAGTCTTGCTGTGTTGCCCAGGCTGCTCTGGAACTTCTGGCCTCAAGAGATACTCCTGCTTCAGCTCCCCAAAGTGCTGAGATTACAGGCATGAGTCCCAGTGTGTGGTCAAAAATTTGTTATTGTTCATATATTAGATTACAAAAAAAAGTTTCATAAGTTAAAAATAAGTATTTACAACAACAATTTCTGGTAACAATGCAAAAACTAGAATTAAATAATAATAGCAACAACAATAAAACAAAAAGGTCTATTCATTTTGAAATAAGAAAATAAATTCCAAACTTCCTTAAATCAACTTCTACTTGAAAAAGGGAATACAAACTGAAATTATACACATAAAAATAAGAAAAGAAAAATATTACATAACTGAATCTATAAAATGCATGTAAAGCATTTGTGATAAGAAAATTTATTGAACTAAACATTTATATTGATAAAAATAATAAAATTAAAATAATTATATTCTCAGTTCTGAACATCAGAATATAACAACAAATTAAGTCAAAGAGAGCACAAAAAAGAAGTAATAAAGAAGCAGATATTAAAAAGGCAGATAATTGTATTTATTTATTTATTTTTATTTTACTTTAAGTTCTGGGATACATGTGCAAAACGTGCAGGTTTGTTACATAGGTATACACGTGCCATGGTGGTTTGCTGCACCCATCAATTTGTCATCTACATTTAGTATTTCTTCCTAGCTCCCCATCCCCTGACAGGCCCTGGTGTGTGATGTTCCCCTCCCTGCGTCCATGTGTTCTCATTATTCACCTTCCACTTATGAGTGAGAATATGCAGTGTTTGGTTTTCTGTTCCTCTGTTAGTTTGCTGAAAATGATGGTTTCCAGCTTCATCCATGTCCCTGCAAAGGACATGAACTTATCCTTTTTTATGGCTATGTAGTATTCCATGTTGTATATGTGCCACATTTTCTTTATCCAGTCTATCATTGATGGGCATTTGAGTTGGTTCCAAGTCTTTGCTATTGTGAATAGTGCTGCAATAAACATATGTGTGCATGTGTCTTTATACTAGGATGATTTATAATCCTTTGGGTGTATAACCCGTAATGGGATTGCTGGGTCAAATGGTATTTCTGGTTCTAGATCCTTGAAGAATCACCACACTGTCTTCCACGATGGTTGAATTAATTTACACTCCCACCAACAGTGTAAAAGCATTCTGATTTCTCCATATCCTCTCCAGCATCTGTTGTTTCCTGACTTTTTAATGATCACCATTCTAACTGGAGTGAGATGGTATCTCATTGTGATTTTGATATGCATTTCTCTAATGACCAGTGATGATGAGCTCGTTTTCATATGTTTGTTGGATGCATAAATGTCTTCTTTTAAGAAGCGTCTATTCATATCCTTTGCCTACTTTTTGATGAGGTTTTTTTTTCTTGTAAATTTATGTAAGTTCCTTGTAGATTCTGGATATTAGCCCTTGTCAGATGGATAGATAGCAAAAATCTTCCCCCATTCTGTAGGTTGCCTGTTCACTCTGATGATCGTTTCTTTTGCTGTGCAGAAGCTCTTTAGTTTAATTAGATCCCATTTGTCAATTTTGGCTTTTGTTGGCATTGCTTTTGGTGTTTTAGTCATAAAGTCTTTGCCTATGCCTATGTCCTGAATGGTATTGCCTAGGTTTTCTTCTAGGGCTTTTTTGGTATTAGGTCTTACATTTAAGCCTTTAATCCATCTTGAGTTAATTTTTGTATAAGGTGTAAGGAAGGGGTCCAGTTTCAGTTTTTTGTATAAGATGTAAGGAAAGGGGTCCAGTTTCAGTTTTCTGCATATGGCTAACCAGTTTTCCCAACACCATTTATGAAATAGGGAATCCTTTCCCCATTGCTTGTTTTTGTCAGATTTGTCAAATATTAGATGGTTGTGGATTTGTGGCATTATTTATGAGGCCTCTGTTCTGTTCCATTGGTCTATATATCTGTTTTGGTACAAGTACCGTGCTGTTTTGGTTACTGTAGCCTTGTAGTATAGTTTGAAGTCAGGTAGTGTGATGGTTCCAGCTTTGTTCTTTTTGCTTAGGATTGTCTTGGCTCTATGGGCTCTTTTTTGGTTCCACATGAAATTTAAAGTAGTTTTCTCTATTTCTGTGAAGAAAGTCAATGGTAGTTTAACGGAAGTAGTATTGAATCTATAAACTACTTTGGGCAGTATGGCCATTTTCACTATATTGATTTTTCCTATCCATGAGCATGGGATGTTTTTCCATTTGTTTGTGTCCTCTCTTATTTCCATAAGCAGTGATTTGTAGTTCCCCTTGAAGAGGTCCTTCACATCCCTTGCACATTGATTTTGTATCCTGAGACTTTGCTGAAGTTGCTTATCAGCTTAAGGAGTTTTGGGGCTGAGACGATGGAATGTTCTAAATATACAATCATGTCATCTGCAAACAGAGACAATTTGACTTCCTCTCTTCTTTTTTGAATACCCTTTCTTTCTTTCTCTTGCCTGATTGCCCGGGCCAGAATTTCCAATACTATGTTGAATAGGAGTGGTGAGAGAGGGCATCCTAGTCTTCTGCCGATTTTCAAAGGGAATGTTTCCAGCAGAGAATTTAAAATAAAAGATATAATAAATTCAATCCCTGGTTTAGTTAAGAAAATTATTATAAATCTGTTAAGAAAATATACTCTATAAGCCAATAGCTAACTTTATCAAGAAGACAAAGCAGAGACAAAAATATACACAGTAAAAAAATAACAAGAGGAAATAATGATTAAAAAGAAGAAATCATAGATTAATTTGTAGACTTTCATGCAAATATATTTGATAACCTAAATAAAATTGATAATTTCTGCAGGAAATTCAGGTTACCAAAATTGACCCTATTGGAGTTAAAAAGCTTAAATGTACAAATTCTCATAGAGTATGTAAAGATACTTAGAACTACCCTTCCCCCAAAATGAACTAGGTCCAGATATTTTAGAGTGTAATTCTATCAATTCTTCAAACACCAGACAGTCCTAATGCTTTATTGTTCATTGCAGACTATTGAAATGGAATGAAATCTTTCTAATCATTCTTGCGATGCAAGGATAAATACAATTCAAAGAAGAAAACTTCGGACCAATTTCACTAATAAATACTGACAGAGAAATTCAAAGGAAAATATTAGGAACAGAATCTGACACCACATTAAGAAATGAAAACCAAGTGAGATTTATATCAGGAATTCAATGTTACTTTGGTTTTAGGAAATCCAGTAACAACACACACAATATGAATATACCTAAGGGAAAATATGATTATTTTTCTACATGCTGAAAAAGCCTATAACAAAATTCAACACCCATTCTTAATAAAAAACATTCATTAAACAGGAATTGAAAGTTACATTCTTAACATGATAAAAATACATTTACCTTTTTCCTAAAGCCATTGTCTTATTTTATGAGGAAACACTAGAGGCATTTTTGATAAAATTAGGAATACAGCCAGAATGTCCACTATTTCTGCCACTATTCAATATTGTGCTAAAAGTATTTGCCAGTGCAATTCAAAAACAGAAATCAATCAGATGCATAAGAATGGGTAAAGGGGAAACAAACTTATTTCTAATTGCAGAGGATATGATAGTGATAAAGGAGGTAGAAAGAAATCATTTAGGCAGGTAGTGAGGGCAAAAGAGTCCTCAGAAGAACTTCCCTCCTAACAAAAAGCAGCCCAAGAAATTATTATTATTTTTTTTCTAACAAAGAGCAGCCTGAAAAATCAAGCTGCAAACATAAATAAGGAAGCTGTAAGCTTGCACGGGCAAATGTTGGCAGCTGTGCCAATAGAAAAGGACTACTTGAGGGCCCAGCATCATGTCCACCATGGAAACGTCATCTTCCTTTTTTTTTTTTTTTTTTTTTTTTTTTTTTTTGAGATGGAGTCTCATTCTGTGCTCGGGTTGAAGTGTGGTGGTGCAATCTCGGCTCGTTGCAACCTGCACCTCCCACGTTCAAGTGATTCTCCTGCCTCAGGTTCCCGAGTAGCTGGGATTACAGTTGTGTGTCACACCATGCCCAGCTAAGTTTTGTATTTTTAGTAGAGACAGGGTTTCATCATGTTGACCAGGCTGGTCTTGAACTCCTGACCTCACGTGACCCGCCCGCCTTGGCCTCCCAGACTGCTGGGATTACAGGTGTGAGCCACTGTGTCTGGACCCATCTTCCCTTTTTGTTCCCATGTATACAGTAAGAAAGAAACGGGCAACAGGGAGCAGCTCTGGCTGAAATCCCGCCTGCATAATAAAAGACTGGGGTGGGGTCTGCCAGAGATTCACGCCCTATGCAAATGTCACACCTGGTCCTAAGCAGTTTTTCATGGCCTATGTAGATCAGACACAACCTTGCCATCAACTCATCTATAAAACCCCTTGCATTTTGCTGCAGATTGGCAACCCATTTTTCTAGGACCCCTCTCTGTAGCAAAGAGCTATTCTCTTTCTTTTGCATGTTAAATTTCTGCTCTTCACCTCACTGTTTGTTTGTCTGAGTTCTTGATCTCCATGGCTGTGAGATGAACCTCAGGTATCACCCCAGACAATGAGGCTGTATCATTAGTATACCTGGGAAACCCTAGAAAACCAATAATATAACTAACTCAAACAATAAGAGTATTCCGTGAAGCAGGGTATGAAATTAGCATACAAAAATTAACAGCCTTCATACATACAAATAAAAAACAGAGAACTGTTGACGAAAAGAGCCAAACTCTGAAGTTTGAAAAGATTTATTCTGAGCCAAATATGAGTGACCATAGCCTGTGATGGCCCCTTGACACAGCCCTTAGGAGGTCCTGAGGACATGTGCCCAAGGTGGTCGGGGTACAGGCTTGGTTTTATATATTTTAGGAAGGCATGAGTCATTGTTGGGGAAACCTCCCCCACACCACCCAGTGGGTACCCCAAGTCCGGCAGAGACAAAGGAGTTAGAGACAGAATAAGTGTTTGAAAGGTGGGTCCAGGGGACTGGAGCATGGGAGGCTTGCTCACAGCCCAGAGCTCTTGGGCTCCGCCCAATTTATTGGTTTACAAGCTCTTTGTTCTTACCGCAGATGGGAGGGGTAGGAAGGGATGAGGAAAAGGATTAATCACTGAAGGAGAAGTCCTGAGTCATTCAATAAGATGTATAGCAGTGGCGGTTTCTGTGAATTTCCTTGAGCAAAGGCATGTGTCTAAACTACTTAAGATCTTTAACTTATTGGGACTGAAACAGATGGGAGTGGGTTTCAGGAGGAGCCAAGATATTTGATTATACTCCACTGCTTCAAGGGAGTGTTATCTCCCTGAGCAACCTGTGGAATGCTGCTGAGCGGTTATGCTCTCGGGGCAGAAAGACATGTAGGAAATAAGGAGACATTTCTCCTCAGAGGCCGCCCATGGCTCCCCATGGGTGTCTCACACAGGGGAGACCAACTCATCTGGCACCTCAGAAACTCTCTTTCCCACAAGTCATCAAGCAAATACATTTAAGAAATACATTGGTCTGGTTCAGAAAGGTGAGACAACTCAAAGCCAGGTCTTCTAGGCTATAGGTAAATTTAAACATTTT
Organism: Homo sapiens; assembly: GCF_000001405.40. Taxonomy (NCBI): domain Eukaryota; kingdom Metazoa; phylum Chordata; class Mammalia; order Primates; family Hominidae; genus Homo; species Homo sapiens. The sequence goes on along the minus strand of NC_000002.12, from coordinate 77,807,500 downwards.
CTGGTTGACAATTGGTTGAGTTTATCTGAAGACCTGGGATCAATAAAAAAGAAATGTTCAGGTTAAGATAAAGGACTGTGGAGACCAAGTTTTATTGTGCCAAGGAAGCTCTCAGCAGACTTCAGAGACAGCAGATTGTAAAATGTTTTATATGAGACTTAAAAGGGTGCCTGGCTTTTAGTTGATTATCTCTTGGATCTGGAAAGGAAGGAAAACAAAGGAGAATGAGGATTCTCTACAGAATGTGCATTTTTGTCACAGGAGACTATGCCGGGTAATTTCAAGGTATGTCAGGGAAATATATTTTGGAGTGAAACATTTCGATTTTCTTCCTTGTTATGCCAGAGACAGATTGGAAAGTAAGTCACAATATACAGGGTTAAATAAAACCCATCTGATGAGAAAGTAGGGCACAACTCTCCAGACCCCTTAGATAGAAATTTGGGCAAGATAAAAAATCAGACCTTAGTCCTCAGAACATAGTGATACATAAAATCCTATTTATAGCAACAAAGAACACTAAATACTTAGGAATAAAGTTAACAACAAAATATGTCAAGCCTCTCTTTGAGAAATTTAAAAATATTCCAGATCCTGAAGACATAAAAATATATTTGAAGAAATCAAAAGATCTTAGGTAGGTTCATATGTAAAGTGACATATGAAGATTTCAGTTTCAAGTTAATTTATACATTCTATGAAATTTCAATAAAATAAAACAAACTATTTTATATTGTTAGAACTAAGTTGACACAGAAGTTTATATGGAGGGGAAAAAACATGCAAGAATTGCCAATATATTACTGAAAAAGATAAACTACAAAGAATGACTAAGCCCTACCAGCCATTAAAACACACTATAAAGCCTCTGTAATTAAAACAGCATGTTCATGGAATAGACAGACAGTATAATAGTGTTACCGACACACCAGATGTTCGGTCCAGGTCCTGCTGCTTGCAGAACAGAAAGCCAATGACTGTGATGATGAGTATTGCCAAGAAAGAAGAAGGCTTTAATCTGGTGCTGCAGCTGAGGACATAAGAGCTCAGTCTCAAACCCCTCTCCCTGACCGAATACAATTAAGAGTTCATATAGCAGGGAAGAAATGTAACTATGTGTGAGAAGACAGAAACTTGAGGGGTAAGGAAACTGAGGAGAGCAAAACCACCTGGTGATTGAACAGGTCCCAGAGACAAAAACTTCTTATCTGAGCAATTTAAAAGGGAGCAAAGACCACCAGGTGACCATCAAAAAGGCCATCCAGGCTGGGTGTGGTAGCTCACACCTGTAATCTCAACACTTTGGGAAGCCAAGGAGGGTGGATCACCTGAGGTCAGTAGGGTGGATCACCTGAGGTCAGGAGTTCGAGACCAGCCTGGCCAACATGGTGAAACCCATCGTTACTAAAAATACAAAAATTAGCCAGGCGTGGTGGCTGATGCCTGTAATCTCATCTACTCAGGAGGCTGAGGCAGGAGAATTATTGGAACCTGGGAGGCGGAGGTTGCAGTGAGCCGAGATCACGCCAATGCACTCCAGCCAGGGGGCCCAGACAACATCAAGACTCAGTCTCAAAAAAAAAAAAAAAAAAAAAAAAAAAAGCCATCCGGAGGCCAAACTCCTTATCTGGGGAATTTAGAGGTAATCAGACTTCCCTAGTATCTAAAGCTGACATCTAATTTCGGGCCTTACATCTCTGAAATGCCATGCCGAAACTAATTTTACAATCCTAAGCTCCCACCAAAAGGTCTGTAAATGCTCTTAAGGAAAATCCACAAAGGTGCGCTCAGTCCTCTTGCTGAGGCACCCCACTGCACCCTTTTGCAGCATTATTCCTTTCTAATAAACTCTCCTTTTTCAAACCTATACTGTTGTCAGAACATTCCTTTTACCAACCTGTGAGTCAACCGCTTCCTGGTGCCAGGGCTCTGACACCTCTCCTATCAGAAACAATCATCATGAATGAGGGGCCTGAAATCTCATTGTCTGAATGCAAAGATCTGGTGAGTTTCAGTTCTTTGATACTTTTTGAGAGAACTTGGGGTCCTTTCCTGAGGAAGGCACTCAGATAAAACCAATGTAGATTTCAAGCACTAAGACCAGAAGGGTCAATTTTTATGTTTATCCAAAAAAACTATCTATGGGACTATTGGGCAGGTTTCAATGGAACAGTAAGTTCAGCTTAAGATCCTAATAACTGTTGAAGAAAGAAGCTACAAAAAAGAAAAAGGATGGGCTAAAATTAGCCAGATGGTATTGAATTGAAAGCTAACATACCATTATAAACTTATTATTTTTAATAAATAGATAGAGATGAAATCTTACCAAAAACCCGAAGTAGCCTAAAGGATTTCCAAATGGCTGAAGCTGGCACAAGCTGAGCAATAAAATATTTATAATATTGGACTGTAGACCAAAAATAAAATTCTAAGGCCCCCAACCATCTGAATGGACTTCCTTTTCTGCCAGGGCTCTTAAAATTTAACCTGAAAGAATAGTTCAAGCCCTGAAGGGAAGACGGGATCAGATATGCCTCATTATACCTCTTGGCATTAACAACACAGACTTTGTCTGATAGGAATCATTTTACAACCTATTCTCCCTGAAGCCTGCCAGCAAAAAGCTTCACCCGCGTAGTAAAACTCTGGTCTTCACAACTTATTATGGCAACCCAGACATTCCCTTCTACTGATCTCAGGTTTTTAGACAAACTCAACCAATTGTCAACCAGAAAATATTTAAATTTACCTATAGTCTGGAACCTCCCTCCTCACTTTCTCCCTCACTGCCCCCCGCCAGTTTCAAATTGTCTTGCCTTTCTGGACCAAACTAATGTGTTTCTTAAATGTATTTGATTAATGTCTCCTGCCATCCTAAAATGTATGAAACCCAGCTGTACCCCGACCACCTTGGGCACATGCTCTCAGGAACTCCTGAGGGCTGTGTCACAGGCCATGGTCACTCATATTTGGCTCAGATAACATCTCTTCAAATATTTTACAGAGTTTGACTCTTTTCATCAAGATAACCATCAAATAAAATAAACGATTTTATTTGATAACCATCAAATAAAGTAAACGATTTTATTTGATAACCATCAAATAAAGTAAACGATTTTATTTGATAACCATCAAATAAAGTAAAAGATTTTATTTGATAACCATCAAATAAAGTAAACGATTTTATTTGATAACCATCAAATAAAGTAAACGATTTTATTTGATAACCATCAAATAAAGTAAACGATTTTATTTGATAACCATCAAATAAAATGAACATTTATGAATGTATATGAATACAAATAAATAGAGAAGGATTCTATCTTCTTTTTAAATGTAAAATGCAAGAGGGAAATAGAAAAATCACCATTTAGAAAGTACCACTTTAATAAGTAATGAAGACAGCATTCACTGGCCAACATTAAAATTAGTAAAATTTTAAGGAGAAATAGAATTTCAGACTCACAAAGCATGTACCCAATATATTCATTAATTACAAAGAGAATGATACTAACTTTAGAGTGGTGAAACCTGGAGAAACTACCTTGCACAAGTGATCCAAGACAACATCACCAGTAATAAGATAGATCAATATCATGATCTCTGGAATGCAAATGCACTGAGAAAACACTGCCATTTCTATGGTACTCTTGCCAAGAAAACACAATTCAGTCCATTCACGAGGAAACAGCAAACTCAAACTAAGAAACAATTGAAAAACGCAACTGATCAATGCTCTTCAAAAGTGTCAAGATCATAAAACACAAAGAATAAAAGAGGAAAATGTTATAGACTGTAGGAGACTGAAGAAAATAAAAAAGTATATGCAATGTGGGATCCTAAGTGGGATTCTGGAACGGAAATGAAATAATCGTAGTTAAAAAAAAACAGGTGAAATTTGAATAAGTTCTTTAGTTTAGTTAATACTATTATACTGATTTTAATTTTCTGGTCTTGATCATTACACAGTGGTTATACAAGATGTTAACATTTGGTGAAAATATGCAAGAGATATATGGAAACTGTCTTTACTATTTCTGCAATTTTCTGTAAGTCTAAAATTAGAACCCTCCCACAAAAGGCTTACCATCAAAATAGAAGGTAGTCTTACTCTAACAGACAGAAAATAGATGACTTACTGCTACACTGTATTACTCTTGTTTGGATGAACCTCTGAAATGCAGTATTATCTGGAGGTGGAAAATACACAGGCCAAAATCATACCCTACCCTGGAAAAAAATACAGGAAAAAAAGACAAAAATAATTAGTTCTCCACCCTTGTCTAGCTATGCCCAATAGTTATGCCTCTCTCAAAAGCTTTCCTTTTGTCCTTTTAAAAATTTTTGCTCAACTGAAATTTTAGTCATGTGTAGAAAATAAATAATTTAAGAATGTGGTTTCAATAGCCCTTTAATTAAAAATTTCGGAAACTGTTTTTCTTTATTGTGTTATTCTTGGTTCTTATGGGTTAACATAAATATTTTCTTTGATTTTTTTCTTTTTTGAATTTTGGTAAATGGCACAGCCAGGATGGATAAAAACAAGGTTGGACATTTTAAATAAATATATTAAAACCATCCCTGCACTGTAGAAGTACAAGTGTACTTATTTAACCTAGGAGTTTCTGAAAGTCATGTGTCCCTATAAGCAGGTAAAAACTGTATAAAAAAATACCAACTTATTGCCAAAATTTGTTTAAATTAATCCTCCAGAAAGGAGAACTAAAAACAATGCCTGAATATTACCAGGAGGTAGATGAAAAGAAAAGTTATGAAATGTAAATCACTTTTACAACTGTGCATGAAGAAATGCATTATAAACATTTAGGGTTAATTTAGGAAAAACTAAATCATTCAAAGACACTGGGTGACAAATTCTTATAAAAATTTGTCATGTATGAACAATAAAATGATGAAATCCAAGACTAATTGGTATAATAAAAAGAAACATTCAAATTAGTCAAAGTTTTTCTACATTTTATTTGAATTCTATTCAAACGTATTTGATAACACTAACTTAATTGTATTGTTATTGCTGTGCTTATTCTCTTTCTGAACTTAATTCTAGCTTAGCATTATCAGTTGTTAACTTAGCATGATGCCCAGCACAAAGCAGACACTCTATGTATACTTAAAGCAATAAATAGACCTGGCTCAGTGGCTCATGCCTGTAATCCCAGCACTTTGGGAGGCTGAGGCGGGCAATCACGAGGTCAGGAGATGGAGACCATCCTGGCTAACACAGTGAAACCCCATCTCTACTAAAAATACAAAAAGTTAGCCAGGCGTAGTGGTAGGCACTTGTAGTCCCAGCTACTCAGGAGGCTGAGGCAGGAGAATGGCGTGAACCCGGGAGGCGGAGCTTGCAGCGAGCTGAGATGGCACCACTGCACTCCAGCCTGGGTGACAGAGTGAGACTCTGTCTCAAAAAAAAAAAAAAAAAAAAAAAAAAAGCAGTAAATAAAAATAATATATTAGTCATTTCGGATATTTCACAATACAGTTCCTACTTCTTAAATCTTTTATTTTCCAAAACTACTGCTATTTTCTTAATAAAAATTATGTATATTCTCTGGGATAATTTGGAAAACTGAAAAAGCAAACTCAACAACCGCCTTAGACATAGCTACTACCAGTGTTTGGAAAATATGCTTTTAGTATTTACCACTTTATCTCTATATATATATCAGGTACATTAAATTTGCTTTTGCATTTACATGGCATATTGGGTATATTCTTCTTGTCATTTAAGATTTTTCTGTGATTTTATCTGTAATTATTCCACAACACTCCATTATACAGAGGTACCATATTCAAGCACATGTTTTTGATTATTTACATCACTATAAATATTAGGACATAATATATAAGTGGGCAATAAATGTTCTTGAGGCTAAAATTGAGATCAATTACAATTGTGTATTTTGAATTCATCCCACATAGAAGAATTCCTCAGTTCAATGCTGTGCACACGATAAGATTTTACTATTTATTGTCAAATTATTCTCCAGGAGTGCTGTGCATTTCCACCAGCATGGATAGGAGTTTCTGCCTCTCAGTAAAATGCATGTTTTAATGTTATTTGTAATAGATTATTTCAGTCTAACTAATATAAGCTTATTTTAAATGATATTATAGAGGAAAGCTACATAATAATATGAACCATTCAAATAATTAAGAATGTATATGAAAATATAGAAAGAGGGAATATATCTGATCCATAAAGCTCACTTATATAAGCCATTATTTTAACAGTCACTTTCATATTCTATGTAAAAGAAGTAGGAACAGTACTTAACTACTCTCCTTGTGGTAAAAAACAATAGTTGAATACATATCTACACAACTGCCACACAATTTTTAAAAAAGCCTTTAAAACTGTAAAAACAACAGCAGAAAAGGAAGTGGACACTTCAAGGAAATTTATTAATATTCCCTCCACGTTATTCAGTAACTATAATATATATATATATATATAGTAACTATGATATATATATACAGTAATATATATACAGTGACTATAATATATATAGAATGATTCCTATTATTTCATAGCTTTCCTCTATAATATCATTTAAAATAAGCTTATATTAGTGAGATCGAAATAATCTATTACAAATAATATTAAATATATTATTTTTATATATTTAAATATAATATATATAATATATCAAATATATAATATATTAAATATTAAATATATACACACATATATATATGGATGAATGAAGAAAATGCAGAATATTATTGGAATAGAACAAAATGAAATATTATTTATCCATAAAAAGAAGGAAAGCTTGTCACTTGCAACAACAAGGATGAATCTGGAGGATGTTATGCTAAATTGAATAAACCAGACACAAAAAGGCAATTACTGTGTAATCTCACATATGGAATCTACTAAAAACATCTGTGGATTTTAAATAGATTACTTTCTTACAGGGATATTTGCTACTGTTGTCATATGTATTACATCTGTGCACATTATCAATCCCATAGTACAATATTATGCTACTCTTTTTTTTCTAAAAGTTTTATAGCTTAATGTTTTACTTGCAAGTCCATGATGAATTATGAGTTAGTTTTGGTATAAAGTATGACGTTTAAGTCTACATTCATTCTTTTGGCCTATGGACATCCAAATACCCCGGAATGATTTGTGAAAAAGGATATCCTTCCTGCATTGAATATTTTTGTGTGTATGTGTCTTTGTCAAAATTTAGTTGGGCAAATTTGAGTCTACTTCTGGGTTCTCTATTCTGTTTTATTGACTTATGTGTTTATATCATTGCCAATATTGCCCCGTCTTGATTAATATAGCTATGTAAGAAGCATTAATATAGAGTGGAAGGATTTCTTCTGTTATTGTTCTTTGTCCAGATTGTTTTAGGTATATTTCATAATATACCAAAGATCTGTATATTTTATAATGGTTAGAAAAAGCTTTTGTATATGCACAAAAACCTGGCTGGAATTTTGATAAAAATTTCATTAAAACTGTAGATTAATTTGTAGAGCTTTGACATCTTTACTGTGAATCTTTGAGTCTTCCTGTCTATGAACGTAGTATGTCTTTTCATTTACTTAGGTCTTCTTTCAGTTCTTGAGCATTTTATAATTTTGAGTATATATGTATATCCTGTACATGTTTATTAGGTCTATTTCTATGTATTTCATTTCTCTGAAGCAACTGTAAGTGGTACTATATATTTAATTTTGGTTTCTACATGTTCTGTTTCAGTAGATAGAAATGCAGTTTATTTTTATTAGTTGATATTTTGCTACAGCCTTATTGAACTCTGTTATTAGTTTTGGGAGTTTGTTCTTTTGTATATTCCCATGTCTTCTGCAAAACAAAACAACACAAAACAAAAAAACAAACAAAAAAAAAGTTGTATTTTTTCCTTTCAAATATAAATGTGGGTTTTTAATTTTTTTGTTTGTTTTACCTTATTGCAGTGGGTAAGACTTTCAGTACTATGTTGAAAAAGTATAGTGAGACTGTATATCCTTGACTGGTTCTCAATCTTAGAGGTAAATAATTTAATATTTTACATTAAAGATAATGTCGTTACAGGGATTTTGTAGATGTTCTTTATCAAGTCAAAGTAGTTTTCATTCATGCCTAACTTACTGTTTTTATCATTAAAATATATTGACTTTTGTCAAATGCTTTTTCTACACCGAATAATATAATTTTTATTCTGAAGATTGTTGACATGGAAGGTAACATTGATTGATTTCAAGTGTTAAACCAACTTTACCTACCTGAAGAAAATCCCAGTTAATCATGCCGTGCAATTCTTTTTGTATATTGTTAGATTCAATTTTCTAAGTTTTGTTGAGTATTAGGATATCTAACTTCCTGAGATAACTTTATCTATATTTTTCTTTTTATATTGTCTTTGTTTGGACTGAATATCAGGATAATATTTGCTTCATAAAATGTTCCCTAATCTTCTATTTTCTGAAAGAGATTGTGTAAAATTAGTATTAATTATTCCTTAAATGTTTGACAGATTCTTCAGTTAAACCATTTAGAATCTGGAGATTTCTTTTATTGAGAAGATTTTGAATGAAAAATTCCAGTTTTTTGGTTATAGCTTCATTCATATTATCTATTTCATCTTTGATGAGTTTTTGCAGTTTTTGGATTTAAGGAATTGGTCCATTTTGTTTCTAAGTTGTCAAATTTGTGAATGTAATTTAAAAAATTATTCCTTTATGTTCCTTATAATGGTTGCAGGATCTGTAGTGATAACTCCTTTTATTCTTAATACTGGTGACTTGTTTATTCTCTATTTTTGTCAATATTACTAAATAGAGTTTAATCAATTTTATTGAATCTTTCAAAGAACCAGCATGTAGTTTCATTGATTTTCTCTATTGAGTCTCTTTAAGTCATTCTATTGATTTTTGGGTCTCATCTATATTATTTCCTTTCATTTTTTTCCCTTTGGGCTAAAATAACCAATAAAATAGATCTTCCCTTTCTAGTCACTCAATGTCATATCTTATGTCAGTGGGACATTAGATGATTGATTTGACACCTTTTCTTTTTCGTAACATAAGTATTATTACTATAAATTTTTCTCTCAGCGTGGTTTTAACTGCATCCTACATGTTTTAGTATGTTGTATTTTCATTCTCAATTACGTATTTTAAAATTTCTGAGACTATTTTAGGCATGTATTATTGATTTTGTTTGTTTTTATTTCTAAGTATCTCAAGATTTTCGTGTTATCTTATGTTTTCAATTTGTAGTTTGATTCCATTAGGCCAGAGTATAATTTCAATCTTTAACATTTGTTGAGGTTTATTTTAAGCTCCAGGATATTGTCTTTCTTGGTGAATCTTCCATGAAATTTCTTTTTTTTAAAGATGCATCCTCATGTTATTCGAGTTTTTTATAATATTAACCAGAACTGTAGTTACCTTATAATTAAAAAAATATATCTAAGAAGTTACGTGAAGTGTGAATGTCTAATCATGGCTTAATGTGTTATGCGTCTAAAGAGTTCAGCTTACTTCTAGAATCACAGTGCAGTGTCAGGAAGAAAAAAGTCCCTAGACTGAGAAAAAAGGATTTGGGATGCTGTCTTTGAACTTGAGCTCTGCCTTTTGTTACCTCTTTGATTTGGGGCAATTCATTTAAACACTTTGAAGTTTGGTTTCCTTCCCTTTAAAATAATAACTATATAGGGCTCGATGTAGAAATATTCCCTAAAAATATTGAAATATTCCTTAATACCTCTCTAAAGATAAAATGAAACTTCATGTGATAAACTAGTAAACTCTCCAAACTATATACTATTCCATTGTAAAATGTATTATTTCAGTGGGAAATGTATTTTGATGACATAAATGCAGAATTTTGAGGGGACAGGTAGAAATTGGGAGAAAGGTAGTGATTTTTTTTACCTCATTGACTTGTTTATCAAATTGTATCCTTATAGTCAAAAGTAACGTATTGAATTTGAACCCTTTATCAAATAATGGTCTGAGATTCAGAGGAAAACTAGGCACAATTCCTGCTGAAAGAGGCTCACATGGTGGGGGAGATGAAAACAGAAATAAACAAGAAACTGGCTTAATATGGTCATAGACATATGAAAAGCAGAAGGTGGTTGCAAACCAGGCAGCTAGAAGAGTAGTAACATGATTAGCCTTAATATGGGATTTCATTGAAAACTCAGAGGGAGCTCAGATCTGCCCAGGGTTGAGTCATTATTCTCATGCTGAGCACTCAGCCCCTGAAAGGGACATTACAACGAAGCACAACTTAATCCTCATATTCCAACTTTGAAACTTGAGAGTGTTAGTTCCAGAGTTTGTCCAGTTCTAGTATTTCCTCTAATTTTTGTATAATTCCTTGCTTTTTTGTTACTTTCACTAAATTATGCTTATTAGTAGAGACAAAAGGATGTGTACATTTATTACAGAAAAGGCTACAACACATACTTTTCACATATAAGTTGTTTGGTACATTTTAAATTTAATATATAAATAAACTATATAAAGAAAGTTCCTTTTTTTAAGTCAAAATTTCATCAATAAACTGATATGATAGCACATATAAAGCACCTCTATTTAAAATGTTTGCTAACTTAATCTTTTTGTTCTTTTATTGTACTTGCTGATTTACTAAACAATGAATTAGAAGGGAAACCAGTAGCTTGGGATCCTCAATCAACTCACTATGTGGCATGGGGCACAGCAAGTCTAATATTCTTTATCTAATTTCTCTACTTATGAAGCATGTTTTGTTGCTGGTGGTAGTAATAACTGTCAGGAAGATCCAGCTAAAATAACCTGCCATCTGTAAACAAATCTATAGGTATGATAAAATAAAAACTATTCCCCTCTACTTTACTAACTCCGTATCTCCATCCAGAGGTGCCAAACAGTAACTTCAAGCAATAAAACCTGCAAGAAAAACAAGTTTTGCTTCAAAGTTCATCATTCTTGTATTCATGAATGTGTTATGGCAAATACTTATTATCTATTGCTCATAAAAGAGCGTAAGTAAATAGTGTTTATTTTCTAAATTACAATATATGATACTACACTAAGTAACATGTTGATAGAAATTTGGAGAGGGTTGAGAGAAAAATAATTCTTTACTTTTTAGATGAAATTTTTGACTTAATTTAGTTTTGATTCATTTTTTTAAATAAAAAAAGGTCAGAAAATTAGATATTTATATCATATTCCCTAACTAAATATGTAAATATTTATTCTTCATTTTATTGTTGTTGACTTAGTACAAGAAGAAATTATGACTGCAAAAAAATATATTATTTAAAATGAAGTTACTAAAGAAAAATTATGTTGAGTTTTGGCAATAACTTATAGTTTTAATAAGTTATCTGTGTAAGTTATTAAAGGAACCACCCAGTACTTTTTTTCTCTCTCAATTCTTGTCAATTTTTGTAAAATACTACTTTTTGTTGCTTAAATGTTCCTTTGCTCCTTAAAAAATACCCAACAGAAGTCAAAAATTTCTACCTTTGACAATGAATATAGTTGCTATGGAAATGATTATGACTTTTGGTGTAAAAAGGATACGAAAGCTAGAGAATTTGAAATGTTAAGAAATAAATACCCTATTATCATGCAAAACTGCTTGGTAAAAAGAGACATTTAAAAAGTATATACTGAATTAATCAGAATTGTTTCTAAATAGATTTCCAAAATCCTTTTCTTGTTTTTTTGGAAAAGTTTTGTCAGCTTCAAAACTTTTAATAAAGTGCAGTAAGCAAATGGAAGCTTTGTGTATGACCACTCCACACTGACTCATGAATTACGTGTAAAGCAAAGAGGTTTTAAAAATTGAATTTTGTATAAGGTGTAAGGAAGGGATCCAGTTTCAGCTTTCTACATATGGCTAGCCAGTTTTCCCAACACCATTTATTAAATAGGGAATCCTTTCCCCATTGCTCGTTTTTCTCAGGTTTGTCAAAGATCAGATAGTTGTAGATATGCGGTGTTATTTCTGAGGCCTCTGTTCTGTTCCATTGATCTCTGTTTTGGTACCAGTACCATGCTGTTTTGGTTACTGTAGCCTTGTAGTATAGTTTGAAGTCAGGTAGTGTGATGCCTCCAGCTTTGTTCTTTTGGCTTAGGATTGACTTGGCGATGCGGGCTCTTTTTTGGTTCCATATGAACTTTAAAGTAGTTTTTTCCAATTCTGTGAAGAAAGTCATTGGTAGCTTGATGGGGATGGCATTGAATCTGTAAATTACCTTGGGCAGTATGGCCATTTTCACGATATTGATTCTTCCTACCCATGAGCATGGAATGTTCTTCCATTTGTTTGTATCATCTTTTATTTCCTTGAGCAGTGGTTTGTAGTTCTCCTTGAAGAGGTCCTTCACATCCCTTGTAAGTTGGATTCCTAGGTATTTTATTCTCTTTGAAGCAATTGTGAATGGGAGTTCACTCATGATTTGGCTCTCTGTTTGTCTGTTGTTGGTGTATAAGAATGCTTGTGATTTTTGTACATTGATTTTGTATCCTGAGACTTTGCTGAAGTTGCTTATCAGCTTAAGGAGATTTTGGGCTGGGACAGTGGGGTTTTCAAGATGGATTAAACACTTAAACGTTAGACCTAAAACCATAAAAACCCTAGAAGAAAACCTAGGCATTACCATTCAGGACATAGGCATGGGCAATGACTTCATGTCTAAAACACCAAAAGCAATGGCAACAAAAGACAAAATTGACAAATGGGATCTAATTAAACTAAAGAGCTTCTGCACAGCAAAAGAAACTACCATCAGAGTGAACAGGCAACCTACAAAATGGGAGAAAATTTTCGCAACCTACTCATCTGACAAAGTGCTAATATCCAGAATCTACAATGAACTCAAACAAATTTACAAGAAAAAAACAAACAACCCCATCAAAAAGTGGGCAAAGGACATGAACAGACACTTCTCAAAAGAAGACATTTATGCAGCCAAAAAACACATGAAAAAATGCTCATCATCACTGGCCATCAGAGAAATGCAAATGAAAACCACAATGAGATACCATCTCACACCAGTTACAATGGCAATCATTAAAAAGTCAGGAAACAACAGGTGCTGGAGAGGATGTGGAGAAATAGGAACACTTTTACACTGTTGGTGGGACTGTAAACTAGTTCAACCATTGTGGAAGTCAGTGTGGCGATTCCTCAGGGATCTAGAACTGGAAATACCATTTGACCCAGCCATCCCATTAACTGGGTATATACCCAAAGGACTATAAATCATGCTGCTATAAAGACACATGCACAAGTATGTTTACTGCGGCACTATTCACAATAGCAAAGACTTGGAACCAACCCAAATGTCCAACAATGATAGACTGGATTAAGAAAATGTGGCACATATACACCATGGAATACTATGCAGCCATAAAAAATGATGAGTTCATGTCCTTTGCAGGAACATGGATGAAATTGGAAATCATCATTCTCAGTAAACTATCGCAAGAACAAAAAACCAAACACCGCATATTCTCACTCATAGGTGGGAATTGAACAATGAGAACACACGGACACAGGAAGGGGAACATCACACTCTGGGGACTGTTGTGGGGTGGGGGGAGGCGGGAGGGATAGCATTGGGAGATATACCTAATGCTAGATGATGAGTTAGTGAGTGCAGCGCACCAGCATGGCACATGTATACATATGTAACTAACTTGCACAATGTGCACATGTACCGTAAAACTTAAAGTATAATAATAAAAAAAAATAATAAAAAAATAAAAAAAGAGAAATTTTCAGGGAGAGAAATTATAAAAAAAAATAAATAAAAATAAAAAAATAAAAAATAAATTGAATTTTTTTTCCTAATAAAAAGCTGAATACTGAGATTACCTGGCATGGTTAATACACAGTTTAAAAATAATTATTATTTTCTACTGTAGGTAATGATTTTACTTTTCCCCTTCATGTTGTCATATTTTTCTCCTTCCTATCTCAGTTAAATACATGATTAGGAAATAATGTTAATATAGTAGCTTCTTTTTAATTATTTGTGCTCAATTATAAACTGAAAAAGTAAATAGAGTCCCTTTTTATACTATTCCGAGGCACTATCTACTAAATATATTTTTGAGAATTGAAAGAATATTCATGTGTGAATGCATACACATTATTATAAGCCTTTTTATTTTATGTTTTCATTTTTTTCTTAACTATGCATAATGCATCTCTCCATGTTAGTATATAAGGATTTACCACACTGTTTCAAATGATTATAAAGTATTAAAACTACAGATACTTTGTAGTTACTTAATCAATACATGATTAAAATACACTGAGAATTTCAAAATGTAAATAGTACGCGTATGTAAAATAAACATATTACATAAGTAGATGCACATGCATATGGAAAACGAAAAGGAATTTTTTTTTTTTTTTTTTTTTTTTTAGGATTTTTAGTATTTTAATACAGCACAAATCAGTGTGTCTGGTTCATTTTAGTTCCTTCACTGCCAAACCAGGGGGCAGGGACTACAGTTTATCTGCCTTCTCTTTGTCAGTGATGACCAGGGTGTAAAGGTATTTGCTGTGTCAAACTTTAAACTTCACATTGTCCTTATTTTTCTTGATCTTGACGGATTTGGCATCCTTTCATCGGACTGTGAGCAGAAAATCCTTGATTTCCTCAATTTTCCGAGGCATGGCGACGAGGCGAACTGGGAGCTGGCACGGACCGGGACAGCGAGCAGCAACCGGGAAAAAAAAAAAAGGAATTTTTACAATCATTTTGTGAAGTCTCTGTTTATGCACATACTTTTTGAATCCATGGAAGTTATTTTAATTGGATAAGTTTCTAAATATTAAATCACTTAAGGAAAATAAATATATTTTTAGAATTTTAATTAAATTTGCAAAATCGACCTGCACAAAGACTGAAACAGTTCATGTCATTTACTGTCAGTAGTGAGAAATTTTAATATTTTGGTAAGTGTGAGGCATTTTGTTGAATGTCAGACATGAATTTGTTAATAAAACAGACGTAGGCTGGGCGCAGTGGCTCATGTCTGTAATCTCAGCACATTAGGAGGCTGAGGTAGGAGGATGGATCATTTAAGCCCAGGAGGTAGAGACTGCATTAAGTTATGATCATGCCCCTGCACTCCAGCCTGGATGACAGAGCAAGGCCCTGTCTCAAAAAACAAAACAAAACAAAACAAAACAACACAAAACAACAACTAAAAAAAATAAAATAGGCACATAATGTATACTTAAGGGAAAGGCAGCTTCATAAAAATGTCAAAAACGTTGATACAGTTACAATGGAAAAATATAAGTTATTGTTGAAATATGTTAAGAGTTCTGAAAAAAAAAGATTCTGCGATGGATCTTAGGGAATCCAATTTAAGTCTTCCATTAATGTACTATGCTTTTGTTATTATTTTTTCCTTTATGTCCTGTGAAGCTTCCCTTAGAGTCATGCTCAGTTTGCTGGAATACCCTGAGAATGTGGGAAAATTATAAAATTTCTAAAACTTTGTAATTTCAGACCCACAAACATGAGTAGTGATGACCTTCAATAAATCAGTGAAATAGCATAGTAAAGTCAAAGATTAAGTAAACTGAGCTTAACTCCTGCCACAGTTAGAGAAGTGAACATTATTTCTTTTGGTTATGTTTTTCTTCACATGGCAATATCATTTGCAATTGCTCTTCCCATAACCATGAAAATATATCCCAATGATAGGTAAATGAACACAATCAGGGGCAATGCAACTTGTGCCTCAGTGCAGAGGTGCCCACATTCAGTGATCTCATATGAACAATCATTAAAATCAGTTGGCATAATTGAGGAATGGATGTCCCTTAATCAGCAGTTTCGGATGAGAAGCCATTGATAACAGTAATGTGCTTGTCAGAAATGTGATAAGCACAAACTTATGAAAGATGTTATTTCTGAAAGATCAGTCACTATTTTAATTATTCTTGCACAGGATAAAAATAAGCAAATTTTATATTAACAAAGAAATAAATGCTAAAATTTAAAGCCCTTAGCAAGACCTACTGATTCAAATCTCAAGCATCTGTTTTTCAGTAATTATTTTAATTTCTGTATTTTACCAATATATTTTGTCCAATTAACATTTAAAATTACTTTTGGGTCAGGAAGCTTTCAAAATCTTGGTCATGATGCAATGGCTAAAGTTTCTGGTGAACTCAATATCAGTAACTATGTTGTATAACCCCAATTTAGACGTTTTGACAACGATGAATAATTCCAGTTTTTTCCAAGACAACCCTAGTCATACAAAAGGACAAATAAATGGGATTGCAGAATGTCATAGTTCAATGATGATAATAACATTAGCAAATATAATAATAACCAAATACAGTAACAACTGATATTTATTTATGATTGAAAAGGTCCAGAGTTTATGTGAAATATTGTTTTAATCAGGATAAAATAGGTTTATGTTACATTTGGATTACACACACACATGCACACACAAGCATATACACACAGAAACAAGTTCATTTCTAGCTTACATGAAATCCTTTATAGGTGTCATGAATGTAGAAAGCAGCTGACCTTCATGGAGCTGTTCAGTGGTCTGAGCTGCTGCAGTTTTGTCCTGCTGACAATGGCCACTCATGCCTCTGAAGGCGAAGAAACAGAGAATGGTGCACTAATGCCTACTGCTGTATACTTTCGTCTTGGAGAAGGCACTCTGAACTTCTGTTGTCAGCTCATTGGCTCTGCCATGTATATATGAGGAATGAAAGGAAGCAGGCACTATCTGAGGAGCGGCCATAAGCACTTTGTGTGAATTTAACGTTCGTAACAACCCAGCATAAGAAAGAAAGAAAGCTACCTCAACGAGTCAAGAAAGTTTACGATTAAAGACACGCAATTTCAGTTTTGTATCTTCTGTTGATGTCTTCACATTGAAAATGAAATTACTGCCACATATAAGTAATTAAAGAAGTATTATCCAGCAAGATCACTCATTTGAACTATGTAAATATATAAAACATATTTTTATGCCTAACAGCCTACTGAAATAGTTATAATAACAGAGCATTTAACACATACAGTAAGTGACAGTTTTGATTAAATAATATTCAGTAGATACATACATATTATAGTCATATATATAACGAAATAACACAATATTTGAAATAATTAGTAAAAATTACCTACTGAATAGCAGTTTACAAAGTACTTTCAAACCATCCTTTGGTTGATGAAAAGCAGCTAAACACAGTGATTAATAGCACAGATCTTGGAGTCTGGATTGCTTGGGGTGCATTTGGTAAACACTTAATTCTGCGTTTCTATTCTGTCTGTAAAACATCAATGATAATAGGACCTAGCTCATAAGGCCATGTGCAAATTAAATGAATGAATACATATAATGTTCTTAGAACCATGCCTGGAATATAGCAAACATACAATAAATGCTATTTTTGTAGCTATTATATAAATCTTCCAGTTGCTTCTAGGGAAGCTTCTAGTTGCTTCTAGTTAATATTATAAGATTGGCTCTTGTACTCATGAAGATATCCAGGCTCAGAAAGTGGAGTAATGAGCCCAAACATCACTTACTGTTGTACTTCCATGTCTAGAAGTAGAGGCAATAAGTAAAACTCAAGGATTAGCAGCTTTCCAAACATTTCTCTATTCAAGTCGTAAAAATCAGCAAAATTTTCATGCATGTTTTTAGTGTTTAGGTGGTGATCGTCTGGGACCTGTGGTTGCATATAAAAGACTCATGATTGAATGAAAACTAGTTTTCCATTTTTCTAATACCTCATAGGAGTTTATTCACATAATCAAATTTATAATCTATGTACTGACAAGCTCATAATGTGTCTCAGTGTAAAAATCCTCATTCACATTCTTCTTACTGTTATATTCATTTTCTGGGTTCAGGCACCGGGGTGGAGTGTGAGGAGAGGCAGTGATATGCTTTAGTAAGAATAGAATATTTTCTTAGTCATACAGCTCTAGATGCAAAATATACTTCTGTCATTAACCAGCTGAACAACAATAGAAATGGCTTTTTAAAAGTTAGCCCTCCTCTGTAGAACAAAAATTAAAATAGCTTTCCCATATGTTATTGTAGGAATGAAAAGGTAGTTTAAGTTTCCCTTGGTCAACTTAAAAATGATTCAATGTATGCATCTTGTGTTGGAACACAGATTTTCATGAATTTATGGAATGAACAAGTGAAAGTCAAACTATAATTACCCATTAAGGGAAATAATCTACTACTGTTATTAAAACAATAGAATCTTAGGAGTGTTTTATGACTCTGGCATATCTTGTCCTTTGAATGAATTAATCTAAGGTCAGTTAAAGGAAAAATAATATTTGGCTTTCTTTACTTTTTTAGTTAATGAACACAGAGGTTTCTTGAAACACCAGAGTAAATTTCAGCCAAAAAAGAGCAACTGGCTATTAGCTAATGCAATCTGCCCAATTGCAAAGTAAAATGTCTACAGAAAATCAAAAATTATGGAAATGAAAAGAGACTGTGAAAACTAAGACTAACAAATAATTTAATTTAGATTTTGGAGTCTCCATCCACTGAAAGGCATTTAGCACCAAATTTTAAAAAATGCAGAAGCCTAATTAATATATCATTGTGGGGAGCAAGAAAATATTCTGTACTTCTCCCATTTCTAACCATGCTTCGGAGACAGAGACCTGTGTTTTTATTCATTCCACTGACAGAAATTCCCCTTTCAGATGTAACCTACCTACATCTCTTATATATTTCAGATAACAATATGGCAAAAATATAATAGTTGAGGGTGCACTGAAAACTAAAAGTTATAAAATGTACCACATAAATATATACATCTACAATACGCTGCAAAACTTAAAAAATAAAAATTATTTAAAAAGACAAAAAAATAAAAATTTGAAGTGATTAACAGTATTGTTTTTGAAATGAAATTCTTGGACAAGATACTATGTTTTGTCTATAAAATGTAATACTGTACTTACCTCATAGAATTGAATGATGGATGCATTAATTTTAGATTTCCTTAATTCCCAGAAATGTGAGAATGACTTAGTCTTCACAGATTAAACTAAGTTTGCTGAATGTAGAATTCACAGTTGGTAGAGTTGAGGTTCAAAATTTTATGTGTTTTCTTTAATTGTCTTTCTATGTAATGTTGTACAGAAATCTGAGAAAACCTAATTTTGGAAAAAAATAATAATTATTAGTTTTAAATTCCCTGATTTTTGTGAATTCAGAACTGATTAAGTAAAGAGATACAAATGATGTGATACTAAAAGTTCACACATTGTGTTTGGACAAATAAATTGGTACAAGTAGATGAAGGAAATTGCTAGTGTGGCTTCAGATCCTTAAACTTTCCCTTACCTTTGGATCCAAGGATGCCAATATGTGTAATTTATTACTAAATACTCAGGAAAACATAAAAATATATGAAGAAAAATATGCTTTTGATTATGAAAGCCTGGAAATACACTTTTCATTGATAAAGAATAAATACAGCTGTCTAACAGAATAAAATGCAGCCACTAAAAATAATGACATAAAGAAAGAAATAGGTACATGGAAAACAATTCTTAATATGTTAAAAACAGTTCTTAAAACAGTATTCGTAACGTGATTCCATTTTTTTGCATGTCTTATTTTACTTTATTAAAAATTATAACGTGACATGTAAAATGTTTAAGGTAATTTTTCTAGGTATTGACCCTTAGTTTATCTATTTTCTTGTATTTTATTTCCTGTTTGATCTTATTATTTTTGAGACTGAACTCAAATAAAATAATTCAAGAAAAATAAAATCAACTTTTAAAATCTAATAGGGTGTTTTTGGATCTTTTGTGTTGTTTGTGGTATTGCTAGGCTGATAATTAATGCTCTCTAGGTTTACCAAAAAAAAAAAAAAAGGTATTTTTACTTATTTTCTTCTCTTTCTTTGAAACACCCTGTCCCCTAGCCCATAGAATTTTACACAGTTTCAAAGACATATTATTTGAGAACCGTTAAAGTAGCTGGCAAATAATATGTTTTAAAAGGACAAAAGCGATTTTCGTAAATGCAATAATCTTATATCTCATTTAGCATACCAAGTAGAGGGCTATTTTTGTGTGTATATGTGTGTAGGCTGTGTGTGTGTTTGTTTTCTAGTCTGCTCTTAGAACATTGGCCTCTTCTTGTTTACACTAAACATAAACCACTTTTATCATTAAAATGACACGTTTTTAAAAATTAAATCACTGTTTTGTTCTTTGCCTAACATTATTCCCTCAACACCACAGATAATTTGTATATCAGCTAAAAAACATGAAACTATAAAAACAAATTTCATGGTTTTTGCAGTTCTCGCCCTTTGAGAAAATATTGTTATCTTTTATAAATAAATGCAAGAGCTGTAATTTTCAGGAAGCACAATCACATGTTTAAGTTAAAGGTATCCCTTTTTACAACTTTTGACCTTTCTAATAGTCAAGGCAAGATATGTAATTGATGCATATTCTTTAATGGCTCTTAAAGAATGAGTAAAAGTGACCTTTTGATAGCAGCTCTACTTAGTGATTGTGCCAAGCCTGCAATTGGCATAATAGAATTTACAAAATGGGGCCCAGGTGTGTGAGTGTGTGTGAATGTGTGTGGTCTTTAAATACCCATAATGAAATTGAAATACTAACTCGACATAGGCTTTCTGCCAGCTGGTCTTAGACAAATAACATTCAGCTCTTTTATGGTTCACCTTCAGGTGACAGACCTTTAGATTGCAAGTTTTCTGTTTTGTTTTGTTTTGATTTTTAAATTTTTATTTAGCCACTGCATCAAATCTAGCAGTACAATGGGGTAACAACTGAATAATAAAATCAATTATATTGTGTTTCCCAGGCTTTTTTAGCACTTTTGCATTTATAAGCTCATTTATTTCTTATATCATAGAAGATAGATATTAATATATGCATAATTTTTCACACAGAATAAAACAGAGATTAACTTAATTCAGAGATGGATTTCAAGCTTAAATCTTGCATTTATACAGTCTGTTTTCTTTTCATTACAACATTTATTTTTACAAAAACATGTATGACTCTTAACAGAATATTGTATAAGGCCACAATTCTCCAGGGATATGAATATAATAAAATTTTCAGAGATGTTTATGAATTTTGCCTGGATTACAAAATTATATTTTACTTCACTAGACTTATCTATTTGGTTAACAATTTATCAGAAATATAATCACTCCACAATATGTCACGTTAGAGAGGCAAATAAAATTATATTTCCCTCAGTTTAGCTTCACAACTATTATAGATTAAAAGATATATATTTAAAAAGAAGAAATGAAGAAAGATAAAAGCCTTACCACTTCCTCACTTCTCAGTGTCTGACACAGAGGAGAAAACAAACAAAAAAACAAAGGCAACTTTAGTTTTTGCTCTGCTTTTGAAGAAAGTAAATAAGTCTGATGTTCTTTAAGCTAAAGTAGAGTGACAAATATATTAAGTGAGTCTCTCAGAAGTCTCTAATTGTTTTTGTTTCTGAGAAAATCAGTTTCTCTTCAAGATCTATTAAAAATCACCTATCAGAGAAAATTCAAAACTAAGAAAAATAGTTTATAAAAGTTAAAAATCACCTATAGAGGATTACTTCTGATTATAATGTTGGAAGATCTTTCCTTCTATGAAAATCTAAAATATCTGGATAAAATAGTCTCATCAAGGAGTATTGTTTTCAAGGAAGCATGGAATAGCTGAATTTCAGTTCATTCGTAGAGGAATGGAGAATGGCAATAAGTTATTGGGAGCAAATCTATGGTGTCAGTTCAGGTAAGCAGATGATATGGCTTGTTGAAAATTATCTAGGTTGAGGAGAGTCTGCTGGCTGAGCTATTAGCAAAAGTGGAGGGCAAGTAGAAATGAAAAGCATCTGAAAGAGTTGAAAATGCAGCAGTAATTTCCTCAATATGATCATTGTTCTTGCCCTAACAAGAAGAATTGAGAAAGCCATCAAAAGTTAAAAGCTGGTTATTTAAATAATTGGCAAAATTGATAAATCTCTAACAAGACTTATCCAGAAAAAAAGAGAGAACAAATAAATTAACATTGGTGTTGATAGAAGAATGTCATCATATATTTACAGACTTTAAAAGACACCAAGAGAATAATATGAACAACTTTAGGCCAACACAGTCGACAGCACAGATGAAAGGGGCACATTTTTGAAAAACAGCCAATCTGCAAAACTGACATAAGATGAGGTAGACAACCTCACAAGCCCTATATCTGTTAAATAAATTGAAGTAATAAATTTTAAAAGAAACCTCAAATGGTGAATATTATCAAACATTTTACGAAAAAATAATTGTACACAACTATTTTAGAAAATTGGCAGATGGAAAAATGTCCTAGCATGTTTAATCACCTACTGTAATCTTAATATTGTACCTTCCTGAGGACATTATAAAAATACAATTTATTAACTGATATAAACATAGTTGCCAAAATTTTTAAGAAAATTATCAAATTGATTTCTGCAATATTGTAAAAAGGAAAATACATTATAACAAGAGGTGATTACTTCAGAAATGCAAAGTTGGTTTGACATTTCAAAATCAACCCAGGTATTTCCTTACAGTCACAGAATGTAATTGATAGAAATTATATGATCTCAATAGATGCAGAAAAATTATTTTACAGAATTATTATCCATTCATGATAAAAACCCCTCAGCAAAGTAGCAACAAAAGGGAACTTTCTCATACTAAGAAAGAGCGTCTAGAGAAATCAACAATTATCTTCTACTTAATGGAACAACATGATTTCTTCCTAACGTTAGAAAAATGTCAAGCATATCTTCTGTCATAATTACTATTTAGCCTTTACTGGTGGTCTTTTCAGTGCAATAAGGCAATAAAAATAAATAAATAGTATAAATGGCATTAAAAAAGTGTAATTGATTTTATCAGTTGAACATGATTGTTTAAATAAAAATAAAAAGGAATCTACCCTAAGCCTACTAAGTCGAAGAAGTGAAATCAACAAAGGTACATGAAAAAAGTTTAAATGAAAAAGCAAGTGCAATTCTATATATACATATATTAAAAAATCCTTAGAAATTGAATAAAACTTTCAGTGGCAATAGCAGAAAAATAACATAAAACACAAGAAATAGATTTAATAAAATATGTGTAAAATATGCTTACTGATAAACACAAAGCATTAGTGAGAAAAAATTACTATAATCTAAATAAATAGATACACAATGCTTCTAGTTGTTAGATGTAATGTCATAAAAATGTTGTTTCCGCCAAAGTGACCTATAGAATCAGTGCAATTCGGATTAATATTCCAAATATATTTTTCGTAGAATTTCATAAAAATGAAGTAAGACTTATACAGTGATATAAAATCTATGGATTTATCACAATTATCTTGACAAAGAAGAATAAATTTGGAAGACTCCATACTATCATATTTTAAGTTCTACTATACACCTATGATAATTAAAATAGTATGAAGTTTCTGCAAGATTAGACAAATAGAGCAAAATTAGATATACATATATACAATAAATGATTATTTATAAAGTTGCCAATAAAAGCAAAGGTAATAGATATTCATACCTTTTGCTAGAAAAACTGAACCTATAGGAACAAAAATAAACAATGTTGAGCTATATTTCATACCATACAAAGGTGACAGGGATGATTGTAAATCTAAATGTTAAAGTGAAAACTGTATAGCTTCATAAAGGAAACATAGAATACACTAATTACTATGATTAAAATAAAACAACTTTTTTTCAGACAGAACTCACAAACACTGAAAATAAAGTAAAATAAACTAATTGATTCCTCTTTTTATCAGAAGAATAGGCCAGCTTCAGATTTAGAGAAAATGTTAATAATACATATATCTGACAAAAATCTTCATAAACGAAATACATAAAATAACTCCTGGCTGAGTGTGGTGGCTCACGACTGTAACCCTAGCACTTTGGGAGGCCAAGATGGGTGTATTGCTTGAACCCAGGAATTTTAGACTAGCCTGGGAAACCCCATCTCTACAAACAATACAAAAATTAGACTGGCATGGCGGAACGTTCTGTAGTCCCAGCTACTCAGGAGGTTTAAGTCGAAGGATCACCTAAGCCAGTAGAAGTTGAAGCTACAGTGAGTGGTGATCATGCCACTGCACTTCAGCCTGGGTGACAGCGTGAGAATCGGTCTCAGAAACAAAAACTACAACAACAAAATAACAACTCCAAATCCAATTTTTTAATAGGCAAAGTATGAAAATAATGTTGAAGAGACATTCCACAAGATAAGATATATGAATGGTTACCAAGGATTTGAAAAGATACCCAATATCACTACTGATTAGTGAATAGCAGCTAAGTCAATGTGAGAAATTACTAGAAACCTACTAGAATGATGAAAACTAAACCAAATGTTGAGGAAGATACACAACAACTAGAACATTGCTAGGACAAAACTCATCGGTAATTGAGTGTAAGTTTATCATAGAGCTATCATATGACATAGTAATTTAATGTCTTTCTCAATATTTATATGACTATAAAACAAAATTTATTTCACTATGAGGAAGATTGTGACTCACTGTAAAGGACTGTGAAAGGTAATCTTTGGGTTTTGGTTACACAAGTGTATTAGTTCGTTTCATGCTGCTAATAAACACTTACCTGAGACTGGAAAGAAAAAGAGGTTTAATTGGACTTACAGTTCCACATGACTGGGGAGGCCTCAGAATCATGGGGGCAGTGAAAGGCACTTCTTACATGGTGGTGGCAAGAGAAAAAGAAGAATATGCAAAAGTGGAAATTCCTGATAAACCCATCAGATCTCTTAGACTTATTCACTATGAAGAGAAAAGTATGGAAGAAACCGCTCCTTTGATTCAAATTATCTCCCACCAGGTCCCTCACACAACACTTGGGAATTATGGGAGTACAATTCAAGATGAGATTTGAATAGTGTCACGGAGCCAAACCATATCCTTCTGCACCTGGCATCTCATCTTCACATTACAAAATCAATCATGCCTTCCCAACAGTCCCACAAAGTCCAAAAATCTATAGTCCAAGGTCTCATCTCAGACAAGGCAAGTCCCTTCTGCCTGAGCCTGTAAAATCAAAAGCAAGCTAGTTATTTCCTAGATACAGTGGGGGTACAGGTATTGGGTAAATACAGCCATTATAAATGGGAGAAATTGGCCAAAACAAAGGGGCTACAGGCCCCATGCAAGTCTGAAATCCAGTGGGGCAGTCAAATCTTAAAGCTCAAAAATGATCTTTGACTTCGGGTCTCACATCTAGGTCATGTTGATGCAAGAAGTGGGTTCCCATGGTCTTAGGCAGCTCTGCCTATGTTGCTTTTCAAGGTACAGCCTACCTCCTGGCTGCTTTCACGGACTAATGTTGAGTGTCTGTGGCTTTTCCAGGCACAAGGTACAAGCTGGCAGTGTTTCTACCATTTTGGGGTCTGGAGGACGGTGGCCCTTTTCTCCTAGCTCCACTAGGTGTTCCCCCGGTAGAGACAATGTGTGGGGGATCCAACCCCACATTTTCCTATTGCACTGCCCTAACAGTGGTTCTCCATGAGAGCCCTGCCCCTGAAGCAAACTTCTGCCTGGGCATCCAGGCATTTTCGTACATCTTCTGAAATCTAGTTGGAGATTCCCAAACCTCAATTCTTAACTTCTGTGCATTTGCAGGCTCAACACCACATGGAAGCTGCCAAGGCTTGAGGCTTGCACCCTCTGAAGCCATGGCCCGAGCTCTATGTTGGCCCCTTTCAGCCATGGCTGAAGCTGCTGGGATGCAGGGCACCAAGACACTAGGCTGCACACAGCACAGGGACCCTGTGCCTGGACAACGAAACCAAATTTTCCTTCTATACCTCCATGCCTGTGATGGGAGGTGCTGGCACAAAGATCTCTGACATACCCCTGAGACATTGTCTTGGTGATTAATATTCTGCTCGTTACTTATGCAAATTTCTACAGCTGACTTGAAAAATTTCTCAGAAAATGGGATTTTCTTTTCTATCACATTATCAGGCTGCAAAATTTCCAATCTTTTATTCTCTGTTTCTCTTTTAAAACTGAATGTCTTTAACAGCACCCAAGCTACTTCTTGAATGCTTTGCTGCTTAGAAATTTCTTCCGTTAGATACCTTAAATCGTCTCTCTCAAGTTCAACATTCCACAAATCTCTGGGGAAAAATGCCTCCAGTCTCTTTGGTAAAACATAACAAGAATCACCTTTGCTCCAAATCCCAAAAAGTTCCTCATTTCCATCCGAGA
The DNA here is from genome assembly GCF_000001405.40 of Homo sapiens. NCBI lineage: Eukaryota > Metazoa > Chordata > Mammalia > Primates > Hominidae > Homo > Homo sapiens. The sequence continues at coordinate 77,781,182 of NC_000002.12, read as the reverse complement.
CCACCTCAGCCTGGATGTTATTGTCCACATCGATATCAGCATTTTAGTCAAAGCCATTCAACAAGTCTCTAGGAAGTTCCAAACTTTCCCACACTTTCCAGTCTTCTTCTGAGCCCTCCAGACTGCTACAACCTCCGCCTGTTACCCAGTTCCAAAGTTGCTTCCACATTTTCGCTACAGCAGCACTCCACTCTACTGGTACCAATTTACTGTATTAGACTGTTTTCATGCTGCTGATAAAGACATACCTGAGACTGGGGAAAAAATTAAAAAAAAAGGTTTAATTGGACTTACAGTTCCACATTGCTGGGGAGGCCTCAGAATCATGGTGGGAGGCAAAAAGTACTTTTTACATGGCAGCGGCAAGAGAAAATGATTAAGATGCAAAAGTGGAAACCTCTGATAAAACTGTCAGATCTCAGCTGGGTGCGGTGGCTCATGCCTGTAATCCCAGCACTTTGGGAGGCCGAGGCAGGTGGATCACGAGGTCAGGAGATCGACACCATCCTGGCTAACACGGTGAAACCTTGTCGCTACTAAAAATACAAAAAGTTAGCCGGGCATGGTGATGGGCGCCTGTAGTCCCAGCTACTCGGGAGGCTGAGGCGGGAGAATGGCGTGAACCCAGGAGGCAGAGCTTCCAGTGAGCTGAGATCCTGCCACTTACTCCAGCCTGGGCGACAGAGCTAGACTCCGTCTCAAAAAAAAAAAAAAAAAAAAAAATTGGTCACAGCTGGCAGCAGGGAAGGGCAGTCTCCCAGTAGATATTATAGAAAACACCTAAAACTGATGATCAGCAGCTTTCCAATAAGATCTCAGGAGTTGGGTGAGTGGGCTCAAGCATGTGCATTAAGAGGCAAAATGGCAGAGTTTAACTGGTATATCACCTTCCTCTAGAAATGTCACACTGGGAAGGGAAAAACGTCCCAAGTAAGCAGGTGTACAACTCCAGTAAACACAGCACGTGCTCCCCTCTCAAGTGTTCTCAGGCTATACTACTCATGCAGACAGCCCACCCCAAGGGAAGAATCATGGGAAGAATGCAAGATCCAAGAAACACATCAACTATACACGTCAACAAGTCAAACCATGCATTTGATCTCTTAGATTGCCCACTTAGCCCTCTTCCAAGTGTACTTTACTTCCTTTCACTCCTGCTCTAAAGCTTTTTAATAAGCTTTCACTTCTGCTCTAAAACTTGCCTTGGTGTCTTCTGCTTTATGCCCCTCAGTCGAATTCTTTCTTCCGGGGAAGCAAGAATTGAGGTTGCTGCAGACTCATACGGATTCACTGCCAGTAACTTGGGCACCTGCCAGCAATAACATATCTAGTTTCCACATGGCTCAGGTACATTCCCCAGTGGTAAGATACTTTTACACTTCACCTTCTTTGGCTGGAGGTGTTCAACCCCTGTATGCAGTTTCCTTCTGTCTTTTCACTCTCCTGCTTACTAACCAACATTTAGAACAATTTCTCTTGGGAACAAGAGGCTTGCTCCCACACCCCCTGGCTGATCTCTCAGCTCACACTGATGGGTGGCTTGTAGGGGTGGGAAGGAGCTTGAGGTCTACTTCCAGTAGAACTGAGGCACTAATGGCCCTGATGGACAGAAGGCTTGTGAGAACGGTAGAGCTAAAGCCTAAAACTGTGCTATGTCTGGGGTTTCCTCTGCTTTTTCAATTAAAATCAGCTTTCCCAAGAAACTGCACTGCTTATTTACCTGTCTTCTCTGTGTCTGTTCTATTAAGTTGGGGTGCAAAAGTAGCTGCAGTCTTTGCCATTGAAAGTCATGGCAAAAACCGCAGTTACTTTTGCACCAACATGATGAAATGGCCTTGGACACCAGCTGGACCATTTGCCTCATGGGCAAATTGCCCCTTTGCTTTCATTTCACATGACACATGACTTATACACACTCTCTGTTATTTGTGCACCTATGATTTTTACTGCACTTGCAGACAGCAAAGACATGGGCTCCTTGTGGATATCCCTAAGATTTATACTTGTTTTTATCCTACCAGCTTAGGTGATCTCCAACCCTTTCCCTGTCTGCTGGCAAATTGCCAGGCCAGTCACTAATTGTAACCTTGGTTCTGCCAGCTCCTTATGACTTACCATATGGTTTTCATTCCTGTTATGCCCCCCAGGGCCAAGTTTTCTGGTGGCTTTTAAAGCAACTTGTCTGCTTGCATTAGGGCCTCACTTTGACCCTTTAAGTTCCCACCTACTTCCTTTTCTTTGAGTTGGCACCCCTTTGGGAGGAGGGAAAATTTTTCCTTTGTAACCTGTGAGTTTTTACCCCAAGCCGCAAGTCTTCCAGAGGTTACTACATTACATCAAGAGGTTAAATAAACATTGCCTTCTTGAATGCAAGGGCTGCTGTTTTTGTGAGCACATGAAGGCTTTTCATGAGTATTCCTCTCACTTCCTCTCACTTTCTCCTGTAGCCTCCCTTTCTCTAATTACTTCCATTGTCTCAATATGCATCAAAACCTTCAAGGTCATATTTGAAGGGGGTGGAGAAGGAAGTCCAGTCCCTTGTGGCAGTTAGCTGAAAAACAGGCTTCTCCTCTACTTAAAGAACATGGGAAATGGGAATATGACAAAAAAAAAATCATTTTGTTGCTAAAATGCTTTATGTAAGAGTCACTATAAAGTTATAGAGACAAAGATATAGGCCAGCCCAAGGCTGCAGGCACAAGAAACCCATAGGAAAGAGATGAAGTGTTATGGTAGGTAGCTAGTCAGGCATGAGCAGGGCAGCAGAGCCTCCCCACCCGCTGCCACAGCCCACACCAGAATGTCAGGCAACTATAAGGTCAGATGGTTGTTAACTGTCTCTTTAAAATAATAATTTGTCACAACCAGCGCCAGGGAAGGACAATCTTCCAATAGATAGAAAACAGAAGAGTCTGGTGATCAGCAACTCCCCGAAAAGATCTCAGGAGTTGAGTGAGTGAGCTTAAGCATGCACATTAAAGGGAAGAAATGGCAGAGTTTAACTGGTATGTGAACTTTCTCTAGAAATGCCCCACTGGTAAGAGAAGAATGCCTCAAGTGAGCATGAGTACAACTCCAGTAAACACACTATGCCTGCTCCTTCCTAAGTGCTAGCAGCCACTGATCATGGAGACAGCCAACCCATAAAGGAGAATCAGGGTAAAAGTAATGCAAGACCCCAGAAGTATGCCAATGTATAAAACCCCAAGTCAAAAGGTCAAACCATGCACTTGATCTCTTAAGTTGCCCACTTGGCCTTCTTCCAAGTGTACTGTATTTCCTTTCACTCCTGCTCTAAAGCTTTTTAATAAATGTTCACTCCTGCTTTAAAACTTGTCTCGGTGTCTTCTTCTGTCTTATGCACTTCAGTCAAATTCTTTCTTCTGAGGAGGCAAGAATTGAGGTTGCTGGAGACCGGTCTGGATTCTCCACCACTAACAAGAGCAATAGGATATACCATATAGCCTAGGTGTGTAGTAGCCTATACCATCTAGGTTTGTGTAAGTACATTCTATGATGTTTGCACAATGAAAACTGATATGGTTTGGCTGTGTCCCCACCCAAATCTCATCTTGAATTCCCACATGTTGTTGGAGGGACCCGGTGGGAGGTAATTGAATCATGGGGGCAAGTCTTTTCCGTACTGTTCTCATGATAGTGAATAAGTCTCATGAGATCTGATGGTTTTAAAAAGGGGAGTTTCCCTGCACAAGCTCTCTTCTCTTGTCTGCCGCCATGGTGAGATGTGCCTTTCACCTTCCACCATGATTGTGAGGCCTCCCCAGGATGTGGGACTGTAAGTCCACCAAACCTCTTCTTTTGTAAATTGTCCAGTCTTGGCTATGTCTTTATCAGCAGCATGAAAACATACTAATACAACAACATTGCCTAATAATACATTTCTCAAAATGTATGTCTTCCGCTTACATAACTAATTGTATTTTATGTTTATTGCTTTTCCAAGTATTTTAGGGAGCACATCATTATATACTAATGCAAAGCTGATTTTCACAGGAAGTTAGTGCTGGAATGTAACCATGCATTTAATTTAAATACCAAAAGATAATTTTGTCATTCAGGTGTGTTCTTTGTCTTGTAGGAAGAATGTCTAATCAAGATGTGTAAGTGAACCCAGAAATTGATTTAGCAAGAAAAATATAGAATTAAAATATGTAAAAGGCTTGAAGTCATGTATAACAATGAATTCACAGTTGGAACTCTTCAAGGCATTGATATTTCCTGCACCCACTTCTCATAATCTTCTTCTGGATTTCCACAGGGTCAGCTTTCTCTTTTCCTCCACTCTCTTTCCTCCTTCCCTCTAGTATGTATGTATGTCTACATAGGTATGTCTACATGTGAGAGGATGTGTGTGCGTCTTTGTCTTTATGTATGTATGTGCATATGTTTATCATAACTTTAGTAAATATAAGCTTTTTGAAGTCAGAGATTTTATCCTAATTATGAGACATAGTCTTATAAAGGGACATTATCACAATGTCTGGGACATTGACTCTGTATTAAGTTTGGTGTTTGTAATTTTTGTATTTGATTGATTGTGTGTGTGTATTTAACAGGGAGATGGATAGAGCTGGAGGGTACTATCCTTAGGAAACTAACACAGGAACAGAAAGCCAAATACCATATATTCTCCCTTATAAGTGGCAGCTAAATAGCTAAATGATGAACACATGGACACATAGAGGGGAAGAACACACCCTGGGGCCTATAGGATGATGGAGGGTGGGAGGAGGGAGAGAATCAGGAAAAATAACTATGGGTACTAGATCAAATACCTGGGTGATAAAATAATCATTACAACACACCCCCATGACACAAGTTTACCTAAGTAACAAACCTCCACATGTACCCCTGAACTTAAAATAAAAGTTAAACAAACAAACAAACAAACAAAAACCTTGTAACACCTACAGAAATACAGAAGGACAAATGTAGAATACATTATACAAACAAACAGAATTTCAGATTCCAGTTCCAAGTCAGATCACCACCAGCTGGAATACCCTGGACAAATTCACCCATTCTTTGCAACAGAATGTACACATGGCTTAATGAAATGTACTGGACAGTATCTTATGTTAAGTAATTTTTGTTTGTTTTGTTTTTCAAATAAACATATTTATGATTTTGCTAAAAGAGTAGATTTTAAATGCTCTTGCCACAGAAATAAAATGCATTAACTATGTGAGCTGATAAACATGTTTATTTGCTTGATGCCAGTAACCATTTTGCTATGGATATATATATCAAATAATTTTTGTTTTAAAAAATATTATTTAATCATACTGTGTTGTATACTTTGAAGAGAGTCAATTTGAAATGTTTTCCCATCCTACAAAATTGTAACTATGTGAGGTCATGGATATGTTAATTAGCTTGATTATGGTAATCATTTCATAATGTATACATATATCAAAACATCACATTGTATGCCTTAAATATATGCCATTTTCATTTGTCAGTTATGTCTTGATAGAACTGGGAAAATGAAAAATAAAAAAGACATCACTCTCTAAGTGAAAGCAGGGCTGATTTATATGTTTCCAAATTGTTTCATTTTGAAAATTCTATATTTTCTATTTAAGTGTCATGGGCAACTGCCCAGCTGGCCAGTCCTTAATTTGACTCTTACCATATGTAACAAGATATATTCATGTTGGAGAATATATAGGGAATTATTTTCTCCTGTTTTATTCTCCCATCTTTTCTCTCATTACATCTTTTTACTTCAGGGCTTTTTAAAAACATAGTTATGGCACTTATACTACTAGTGATATTTTCATAGTAATTATAGCAATATGTGAGCACTTTTCAGGACCAAATAAAACATGTCTCCAGACTTGATTTTGATCTCATATTTCAAATTGAACTTCACGTTTCTTTTAGATATTTGTAAATATATCACTGCAATTGCAAGGTTGATGTTGGTGGTGCTTTAGTTTATGTAGCATACACTTATCATGATATCAGCTATCAGTATCTGTTAATAGATCTGTCTCGGTCCCATTGTTTGTGTTTTAGAGATGATATTTTTATTTTTATATTTTCAGTTTCCTTTTTACTCCATTTTGAAATTAATTTCAATTTATATTATAGAAGGGTTATTTAAAATTGTAAAGAAAAATTTCCAGGCTCTGTCAATTATACGTAGATTACATGAATTGCAGCTTACTAATGGATTAAGTCTTAAACATCACCTCTTTTATTCTACATATGAGTATAATTGAGTAGTGGAACTACACTGACATATCCCCACCACAAATAAATGAGAGAAATTAACGTTAAAATTTGTAAGTAAGATGCACAACTTTGACAGTTTTCAGGATTTCATGAAAACATGCTATACACATAGACACATTAGCATGTTTCATTTCCATTTAAAATCAGTCTGTTACTATCAATCTGAAAATCGGCTGAGTGAAAAATCTTTTAATATGATGAAGCTGCTCTTTCATCAGATTCTGGAAGTTACACAGAATATTGCTCTAAATCAGAGGTTGGCAAAATTTTTCTGTATATTAAATAGTTTAGTTTTATTCGGCATATAGGCTGTGTTGCAATTAGTTAAGTTTTCTGTTATATCAAAAAACTAGCTTTAGACAATACATAAACAAATGAATATAACTATGTTCCAATAGAGCTTAATTTACAAAAACAGGTGGAGAGGTAGATTTTACCTACAAGCTATAGTTTACAAACTTCTGCCTTAGATGAAGCAATGAAAGAGAAGACACAAATTATGGGAAGCTTTTAAGTTATATAAATATTAATTTGTTAAAATTATAAATTATTAAAATACTGATATAACACATAATGGAAATAATTACTTTTATAATAGGTATAAATGTCACAGTTACGTTAATGAAACAGTACTCAAGAGCTGTGAGATGGTTTGGCTGTGTCCCCACCCAAATCTCATCTTGAATTGTAACTCCCACAATTCCCACATGTTGTGGGAGAAACCCGGTGGGAGGTAACTGAACATGGAAGCAGGTTTTTCCTGTGCTGTTCTCAGGATAGTAAATAAGTATCACAAGATTTGACAGTATTAAAAACGTGAGTTTTCCTGCACAAGCTTTCTTCTCTTGTCTTCCACCATGTGAGACGTGCCTTCACCTTCTGCCATGATTGTGAGGCCTCCCCAGCCATGTGGAACTGTAAGTCCATTGAACCTCTTTCTTTTGTAATTGCCCAGTCTTGGGTATGTCTTTATCAGCAGCATGAAAACAGACTAAATTGATGCCAGGAGCGAGGTGCTGCTGAAAAGATACCTAAAAATGTGGGAGTAACTTTGGAACTAGGTAATAGGCAGAGGTTGGAACAGTTTGGAGGGCTCAGAAAAAGACAGGAAAATGTGGGAAAGTTTCAAACTTCCTAGAGTCTTGTGAATGACTTTGCCCAAAATGCTGATAATGATATGGACAATGAAATCCAGGCTAAGTTGGTTTCAGATGAAGATGAGGAACTTGTTGGGAAGTGGAGCAAAGGTGAGTCTTGTTATGTTTTACCAAAACACTGGTGGCATTTTGCCCCTGCCATAGAGAATTGTGGAACTTTGAACTTGAGAGAGATGATTTAGGGTATCTGGAGGAAGAAATTTCTAAGCGGCAAAGCATTCAAGAGGTTACTTGGGTGCTGTTAAAGGTTTTAAAAGAGAAACAGACCATAAAATATTGGAAAATGTGTAGCCTGACCATGTGGTAGAAAAGAAAATCCCATTTTCTGAGAAGAAATTCAAGTGACTGCAGAAATTTGCATAAGTAACAAGGAGCAGAATATTAATCACCAAGACAATGGAGAAAATGTCTCCAGGGCATGTCAGAGACCTTTATGGCAGCCCCTCCCATCACAGGCCTGAAGGTTTAGAAGGAAAAAGTTGTTTTGTGGGCTGAGTCCAGAGTCCCTGTGCTATGTGCAGCCTAGGGACTTGTGTCCTGAATCCCAGCAGCTTCAGCCATTGCTTAAAGGGGCCAATGTAGAGCTCAGGCCATGGCTTCAGAGGGTGGAAGCCTCAGGCCTTGGCAGCTTCCACGTGGTGTTGAGCCTGCGAGGGCACAGAAGTCAAGAATTGAGGTTTGGAAACCTCTACCTAGATTTCAGAAGATGAATGGAAATGCCTGGATGCCCAGGCTAAAGTTTGCTGCAGAGGCAGGGATCTCATGGAGAACATCTGCTATGGCAGTGAAAAAGGGAACTATGGGGTTGGAATCCCCACACAGAGTCCCTACTGGGAAACCACCTTGTGGAGCTATGAGAAGAGGGCCGCTGTCTTCCAGATCCCAGAATGGTAGATCCACTGCCAGCTTGTACCATGTCCCTGGAAAAGCCACAGACCCTCAATGCCAGCCCATGAAAGCATCCGGGAGGGAGGCTGTACCCTGCAAAGCCACAGGGGCGGAGCTGTCCAAGACCAGGGGAACTTACCTCTTGCATCAGTGTTATTGAATGTGAGACATGGAGTCAAAGCAGATAATTTTGGAGCTTTAAAATTTGCCTGCCCTGCTGGATTTCGGACCTCCATTGGGTCCATAGCCCCTTTGTTTTGGGGATGGCTGTATTTACCCAATACCTGTACCCCCATTGTATCTAGGAGGTAACTAACTTGCTTTTGATTTTACAGGCTCAGAGGTGGAAGAGACTTGCCTTGTCTCAGATGTGGCTTTGGACTGTGGACTTTTGAGTTAATGCCGAAATAAGTTAAGACTTTGGGAGACTGTTGGGAAGACATTAATGGTTTTGAAATGTGAGGACATGAGATTTGGGAGGGGCCAGAGGCAGAATGACATGGTTTGGCTGTGCCGCCCACCCAAATCTCATCTTGAATTGTATCTTCCATAATTCCTACATGTCATGGGAGGAACCCAGTGGGAGTTAATTGAATCATGGGGATGGGTCTTTTCTGTGCTGTTCTCATGATAGTAAATTAGTTTCACAAGATCTGATGTTTTTAAAAATGAGAGTTTCCCTGCACAAGCTCTCTTCTCTTGTCTGCCACCATGTAAGACATGCCTTTTACCTTCTGCCATGATTGTGGGGCCTCCCCACGTATGTACAACTGTAAGTCCATTAAACCTCCTTCTTTTGTAAATTGCCCAGTTTCTGTTATGTCTTTATCAGCAGTGTGAAAATGGACTAATACAGGCTGTAATCAGAAATGGTTTTATGTTATACTATCATTATCCTTTTACTTTTGTTTTGTGTGTGATTTTTTTGCTACTGGTCAATGAAAATTAGGATAAGCTCCATGATATTTGGATCACTGTCAGATAAAATTGCAATCTCAATTAATTAATAATATGTCAAATCTAATATAATTATAAGGCATTTAGACTTTACTTAAAGTTGTAGCTGCCATCCTTGCTTAGCTTGGACTGGAAGCAGGTTGGTCTTCTGTAGAACAAAAGAATGTGCCCAACTCCCACCCAGTTGACTCATGATTTCCATTCCATCCAGCCGTGCTAAATAGAGAGCAAGGTGAGAAAGTGGGCAAAAAAGTTCTTACTTGACCAATATTCTCATGAGGTAGCATTAAGTTCTTTGGGTATGAGAGGTATTTAATCTATTTATTTTTTTCTATAGGAAAGAAATGGAAATATAGCCTGTTAGCTGGAGATCTCAAATGTGACGTTCCTGTGAAGTGTGGAAGAGAATACTGTATCCACAGTTTTGTTGATTACCTCTGTTTTCTAAGCCTTTTGGCATCAGAGGTTGACTTTCATTCTGGTGAGGTATATCCCCCATTCTAGGTGATGACCATACCATGAACCCCTAGTCCATATCTGGTCCATGGCAATCACTCATTTTTTTTCTGAGATACTTTGGGAGATCAGACCAATCCCCACACACCTACCTCTCCCTGGCCCCATAGTTAAATCAGGCTGACCAATTCTTACTTTCTAGACTCTAGACCATGTGAAACACACAGTCTCTTATTCCCTCTAATATGAAGAGATCACTTAAAACTTCTCCAAGTTGGAGGAGGTCTCATTACAGCATCACTTTTTGCACTTGGGATAAGGGGGAAACATCAACAACTTTGACAATATTAAAATATTCTCTTTACTTGCCAACAACTTCCAATTCACTATATTTTTTTGGCAGTAAAACTGAAGAGCTTTGAAATTAGCTCAATTACATCCTTTATAAATTTTACATCCTGACTTTTCTACTCACCTTGGAGTGTGGCACTTATTGCTTTGCTGACCCAGGCACAGGGCTGAGCCTTTGAAAGGTAGTGAAATCTGTGCACATCAAAACTTTAGAGTCTGCGAATGACACTACCTGGGCAGCTGTGGATGGCAAGGCTTATATACCAGAAATGAAATTGGAAAAGTTGTGCTTTTTTTTTTTTTTGAGATGGAGTCTCGCTCTGTTGCCCAGGCTGGAGTGCAGTGGTGCAATCTTGGCTCACTGCAAGCTCACCCTCCCGGGTTCATGCTATTCTCCTGCCTCAGCCTCCTAAGTAGCTGGGACTACAGGTGCCCACCACCACGCCCGGCTAATTTTTTGTATTTTTAGTAGAGACGGGGTTTCACTGTATTAGCCAGAATGGTCTCCATCTCCTGACCTTGTGATCCGCCCACCTCGGCCTCCCAGAGTGCTGGGATTACAGGCGTGAGCCACCGCACCCAGCCGAAAAGTTGTGCTTTAACATCCAATTGCTCATGTAACATTTAATATTATCAGGAATTTGACGAATAAATTCCAGTGTCTTATTTACATATTTGGTCATCATTGAAATCTAAACATATTTTAATATTTGTCATATTTGGTAAGGCAGTCCATCTTTAACAAGGCAAGTCCACTTGTCCCTCCTTTTTGATGAACTGTGATTTCTTTAGCACCACCTGGGTTTGTTCTTCTGTTATTACAAGTTTATTGGTTTCTTCTCAGGTTCAGTCATCAGTTCCTCTTCTTTCATTTATCATTAAATATTAGAGGTCATTATAACTCAGTTCTGGACACTATTATTTCTTATAGTGTCCATTTTCTCTACAGAATCTCATCTAATTAACTCAGTTAGCATTTATAGGATGATGTGTCCAGTGTTATAATTTTAAGTCATGCATTGCTATTACAAGTGTAATTGTCTACCTAGTATGTCTTTTTTGAATATCTGAAAGGTACCTCACATTGAACATGTCAGTAACTGAATGTATGACTGACACCCACACACCCCAGTCTTCTCAATTTCTTCTTAATTTAGCAGTAATCTTTATTCATTCACAGCATCATACTCAAGTAACATAGAAAAAGCAAATCTGACTGTGTAGATTCTTTTCTTTTTTTTTTTTTTGAAACAGAGTTCCTGCTCTGTCACCCAGGCTGAAGTGCAGTGGTGTGATCTTGGCTCACTGCAACCTCCGCCTCCCGGGTTCAAGTGATTCTCCTGCCTCAGTCTTCCGAGTAGCGGGAACTACAGGTGCCTGCCACCACGCCCAACTAATTTTTTGTATTTTTGCTGGGGATGGGGTTTCACCGTGTTAGCCAGGATGGTCTTGATCTCCTGACCTCATGATCTGGCTGCCTCGGCCTCCCAGTGTGTTTGGATTACATGCATGAGCCACTGTGCCCAGCCACATTACTTTCTTAAAGCTCCTCATTATGTTCCTATTGGTCTTTAGAAATGCGCACTAACTGCCATGGCCTCCAGCTCCCTCTTCTTTTATATTAACTTCTCTAACTTTGCTGCCTAATATTCTTATTTTTATGTGTCCTCTTTCAAGACTGTATTCATTTGTTGTACATACATCATGTGCAACTGTTATGGGATCCTTGGGTTGCTTTTCTGGCCAAAACCTTTGTGACTTGTGACAGCTTTGCCTGTCTGCTCAGGCCCACTAGACTTATTTCACCCACTCAGCCTTGCAGGCTGTGCTCAGCTCATGCTACCAGCCTGGATTCCACACCTGACAAGGGAGAATTAGATGTGGAATGGCAAGGGGTGTGTGAGCGAGCATGTGCACACTGCACCCAGTCAGACATGCCACACACTGTGAGTGTGCACACTACACACAATCAGACATGCCACACAACTGTACACAGTCAGACATGCCAGCTGTTGCAGCAGGGCAGGCAGCTCCAGGTGCCAGCATGGGCGCCGGCTCTCTCCAAGGCTACAGCTGGACCAAGCACTGGGAAACACAGTGGCACCCAGAAGTTTGGAGACATCAGGAACCACAGGGCCCCAAAGACGGAGTCACAGCCCTTGCTCGGGGAGCTCCCAGGTCTGGGCTCTCCAAAGGTCTGCAGCTCTTCTCTTTTTCTCCTTGTCTGTCTGTGGTGAGCAAGAGGCATGTTTCAGGCCTGTTTGTGTTACAGCTCTTTTAGCCTTACCATTTGGTGGGTCCTGTGTTCTTGTCCTGTGATCAGGAAGAATGAGGTACATAGACAAGGAAGGTTGAGCAAGACAAAGCAGAACTTTGTTGAGCAATGGAACCGCTTACAGGAGGCCCGCAGTGGGGAGCTCCTTTCCATAGCCAGGATACACCATCAAATATGTTCAGCTCCTAGCAGAGAGGGCAGCTGCTCTCTGCAGTTGGCTGTCCCAATGAGTGTTCAGCTCTCAGTGGAGAGGGTAGTTCCTCTCTGCAGCTAAGCCTGGGTTTTTTTGTTTTTTTGTTTCTGAGACGGAGTCTCACTTGCTCTGTTGCCCAGACTGGAGTGCACTGGCATGATCTCAGCTCACCACAACCTCTGCCTCTCCGGTTCAAGCGATTCTCCTGCCTCAGCCTCCCAAGTAGCTGGGAATACAGGTGCACACCATCAGGCCCAGCTAATTTTTGTATTGTTAGTAGGGGTCTCACTATGTTGGCCAGGCTGGTCTTGAACTCCTGATCTCGTGAACCATCCACCTCAGCTTCCCAAAGTTCTGGGGTTACAGGTGTGAGCCACTGCACCCGACCAAGCCTGGGGTTCTTATGGGCCTCAGAGAGGAGAAAAAACATGCTGATTGGTTCATGGGCAGCCATGGGTGGGTGAGAAAACGGCAGGACAAATGGACTCCACTCTGCGGGAGTGGCAACCCAGTCCCCAGCCTTCAGGCCCTCCTGGGGACACACCCTTTTTTGCCCAGGAGCCTGTCTGCCTCCTGCCACCATCGATGATGCCCAGGCTGCTCGTGCCTAGGGACACCTGCAGGCCAGCAGCAAGCTGCCCTCAGAACCCCTTCTGTTCCCCAAACCCTTGTGCTTCTTGGCATCCAAAGTCCAGAGGGTACCAAGGCAGCAGGGGGCCAATGTGTCAGCACCGCCCTGAGTGTGCACACACCTAGCTGGGGTGTGACAGTGCCTGGGCTTAGCCCCAACCCTGCTCCAAGATTGAAGTGGGTGCCAGGAGCAGGAAGAGGCCAATTCAGAAGGAGGAGAAATCCCCAAGCCTGTGGGGCAGGGTGGGGGGCTTCCCAGGCTCCCAAGGGAGCAGACTGCAGAGAGACCTGGGTCCTGCACCTGCGAGGTGCCTCCTCGCAGCTTCAGGGGGTGGGAGGGCTCCAGGTGCTCACTGGGCTCCTCTCTGCCCACCGCTTTTTTCCTTACTGTGCTGCTCCCCTGCCAGCAGGTGACTCGGCTTTGGCCCCATTTTGGCAGCCACCAGGGTGGTGGGCTCCAAGATGGCTCCTGCTTGTGCTTGGCTCTCACTGGTTTCATGGAGTTTGGCACCCCACGGGGTCCAGCTCCACCTCCTTCCTGCACCACCTCCTTCCTGCACCCTCCTCACAGCAGCAGCAGGCAAGAGCCTCAATGTGGGGGCAGGGCCCAGATCTGCAGAGGCTCTGGGCCTGGAGGCAGTCCCTGCCCGGCCCTGTGAAGGTGGAGGTGGGGCAATTGGCTGCTCCTGTAGCTGCTCCTGCCCCCACCACTTGCACCCCTTCACTGTATCCAGCATAGCAGCAGTGGCCATTCCAGACAGGCTGTGGCTGCCTTCAGAACCCTCATGTGATTCCACATCTGTCTAGATCTTCTATCCTTAACCTCCTTTATCTAGTTATAGGATAATTATTAAAACAAGGTCTTAGTTCAAATAGTACATTCTTGAAGGTCAGGTCTCATTTTATATGCTCTTCAATCTAACTTCTGATTAATTTTTTCCTAACACCTATCAAAATACTTTTGACTGATTTTTTTCCATAATTCTTTTATTTTTTTTTTTGAGATAGAGTTTCAATCTTGTCACCCAGGCTGTAATGCAATGGTGCAATCTCTGCTCACTGCAACCTCTGTCTCCTGGGTTCAAGTGATTCTCCTGCCTCAATCTCCTGAGTAGCTGGGATTACAGATGCCCGCCACCATGCCTGGCTAATTTTTGCATTTTTAGTAGAGATAGAGTTTCACCATGTTGGCCAGGCTGGTCTCGAACTCCTGACGTCACGTGATCCACCCTCCTTGGCCTCCCAAAGTGCTGAGATAACAGGTGTGAGTCACTGCGCCCTGCCTGATTTTTTCCATAATTTTTGTTACCCCTAAAGGTTCTATGAAAATGGAGACTTACTATTTTATTCACCACTGAAATTTTAATAGCTAACCTATTGCTTGGTTAAAAAATAGCAGACTATTTTTGAATGAATAAATAAACATGTTTCTACAACATGTAATGAAATTAATAAAAAACGAAGTGTGATTTTTATACTTTTATTATCAGGGTAAATTATGTAAAAATAATAAACAATGACTTAGAAAACTGAGGGCAATTAATCTTTCCTAGCAAGAGTAAAATTATTTCAATATAATTAAGTTACAAAGGAAAAGAAAAATAAAAAATAATAGCATGTTCCTAAATAGTGAATAATTATGTAAAATATTAATATATTTTTTAAAATATGAAAAACTTAAGTAGCTATTTCTAAAATACTTGAGAAAAGTTAAATTTATTTACAACAGAAAGGCTAAAATTAACCCTTTCTTGTTTTCAAATATATTTTTTCTGTGTATTTAAAAACCGTGTAATATAAAAAATTTAAGAAATAATAAGTAAATACTTTGGTGGACTATATATAAATAAATATGCATATAAATATTTTTGTCCCATTGCAGTATTTTCTTTTCTTTAATCATCCACTCTGCAAGGATTGCTAGTGTAGTATTAAAAATTATACAGTATTAAAATATCTGTCCATTATACAGCATTAAATATCTGTGTAATAGACACAGATATTTAAATACTAGGTTTTATTACAAAGTATTGTAGGTTTTATTGCAAAGATGTTATGTCTAATGTATCTATTTTAAGCATGATGCTTGCTGTAGGTTTTTGACTGATAAATTTTATTAAAACAAGGAAAAACATCTCTGTGCCTATGTTAATAATACACAGCATGAATAGAACATAGTCTGTCATGCCATATAATATGCATGTAATGTGCATGTATATATTCAAACCATTCAAACATATGTGCATGTATGTATACATCATATTAATTAATGTTTCATGATATATATGACACATTTTCATACACACTGTATATACTTATATTTACTCATACACACTGTATATACATATATATACCTATATATTCACTTATATAGGTATATATATAAGTAAAATCTAATTGTATATAATAATTCTATGTGTTAGCATATTGTATACAGTTTCCTAATACTATATAGTGCTTTACAGTTTTAAATTGTCCTAAACAAAAAGAACAGTATATTTTTCTTTTCATAAACTCTCTTTGCCCAGTTGTGATATCTCAATTATACTAGACTTATAAAATGATGTGGGTATGTTTTATTTCCCCAATATCTGATAAAGTTTATGTAAGATTAGAATGATAATTTCCTTGGATGTACTATAGAACCCATCTGTATAAACCAGATAGATGTGTTTTCTACATAGAATTTTTAAAATATAGGTTTAATTTTCTTCATTGTTTAGGAGAAAGATTTGCTAAGTGTGTGTAAGTCAGAATTTCAAAAATTTAATAAAATGGCCAGGTGCAGTGGCTCACGCCTGTAAGCCCAGCACTTTGGGAGGCCAAGGCAGGCAGATCACCTGAGGTCAGGCGTTCAAGACCAGCCTGACCGATATGGTGAAAGTCCGTCCCTACTAAAAATACAAAAAAATTAACCAGACATGGTGGCAGGCGCCTGTAGTCCCAGCCACTCTGGAGGCTGAGACAGAAGAATTGCTTGAATCCAGGAGGCGGAGGTTGCAGTGAGCCGAGATCGCGCCACTGCACTCCTGTCTAGGCAACAGAGCGAGACTTTGTATCAAAACAAATAAACAAAAAATCAATAAGACATATTTTCATTTTGAAATTATATGGGAAAATTGATTCTGCTTCAATGAAATAGAAAGTGGTATCCAGTGAAAATTAAGAAGCAATACAAATAAGGAAGCAGATACTCTTATTCTTAGGTATATGCTCTATCTCTGTGTGGATAAAGAATGGTGGATACAGAATTTTTATGCTGTGCACATGACATCACTGTTAGCTGAAAAGAGATGTCTGCTGGAGAAGAAACAACAAACCAAACCAAACTAAACTAAGCAATGCTGGAGAATTATTTAATAAACATATATTTTATTAATAATATGGTACCTGGTGTCAAAATTATGTTATTTAAATATATCTCTATGATTTTGTAGGGTCAAAAAAAGGTGGTTTTTCACATGTTCTCACTTATATGTAGGAACTAAATGATAAGAACACATAGACACATAGAGAGAAACAACACATGTTGGAGAGTGGGAAGACAAAGAGGATCAGGAAAAATAACTAATGGGTACTAGACTTAATACCTGGATGATGAAATAATCTGTATAACAAACACCCATGACACAAGTTTACCTATATAACAAACCTGCGCATGTACCCAGAACTTAAAAGTTAAAAAAGGAGGTTTTCAATAATACAATTTGCTTACAGAAATAATTTTCAAACCAATGTATTTCCATTGTTCAAAGCAGAATCCAAATTTTGTTTTGCTTTGTTTTTTACATTACCCAAATATGACTTATGTATCTTTGTTTTAATTCTATATTCAGTTTTCTTTTGCAAGTTTCTACAGCAGACACTTACAAGAGCACATCAAATGTTTTAATGCAATTATTAATTCAATAACTTTATTCTTGTCCCAAATTGTATCATAATAGTACACCACTTTAAGATAAACCCTAATTCTTTAGGTTAAATGAGTAATCAGAATATTTTAGTTCTATTTTATTTTTGTCTCTCGAACAAGCTAGACATCATTATTATTATCTTATAAAGTTAATGTTTATTTAAATTTACCAACATGTTTCTCAACTTCTTCATTCAGTATTTCCCTGCTCATCTTGGGCTTTTCTTCTGCGATAATTTTCTTCTTTCCAGAGTCTGTTCTTTGGAAATTATTTTAAGAGAGACTCATTGATGGGAAATTCTGTTTTTTAATTTATCTAAAAATGTCTTTATTCAACTGATTTTTAAATTATTTCTAGATACAGATTTTGAGATTGAATATCATTTATTTTCCTCAATTTGAATGTAGAAACCCAATAGTTTTGAGTTTCTCTTGTGTCTATTGAGAAATTATCCTTCAAGCTAATTGTCTTCTTTCTCTTGTGGAATTTGTGTTTACATGTATCTTTCCAGCTGCTTTCAATAATTTTTAGCCATATGTGTGTATATGCATATGTGTGTGTGTGTATGTGTGTGTGTGTGTTCTGTATTCTGTTACAGTTATGCCAGCACTAAGAAACCTTCTTTTGATTATCACTAAGAATTTATAAGCATCATTATGTTGAATATTGTCTTTTGCCACTTTATTTTTTTCTCCTTCTGAAACCTCTAGTAAGAAATGAATAAATGTCTCTTTTTTTCATATTTTTCCAAACTTCTCTGAAAGAACTTAACCTGCATCTGGAAAGAATAATGCCATCCAGAATAAGCAAGGCATATACACCAAAGACAAGATGAAAAGCAACTTGAATGTTTAAAAGTTACATTATTGAAGGACATTCCCAATAACACAACCAGTGTTTTTTGGGACCTAACAAATGAAATCTACAAACTATTCAAGGGCAAATCACTGGTGAGACTAGATTTAGTTGCCTAAAATCTTAAATGCAAAAAATAGATAAAAGTACAAAACAAAAAATATGAAAGTGTGAGGAAAGATCAGAGATTGGAAGTAACATCCAGAGGACTTAGCACATATACAATAATAAATATGAAGGAAGATAATAGAATAGACGAGATTATACAAAAGCAAAGAAATGTTCCCTGAGTTATAAAAAGCCCCGAAACTGCAGCCTGAATTGCCTCACCTACGCCAGGAAAAATTATGAGAAAAGACATGTATCTCAGTATCGTCTGTAAAATCCCTTAAGTCTTGTGAAAATTAAAAGTTTTGCATGCCTCTTGAAAGAAAGATGAATGATTTTCATAGGTAAAGCATCTGCTGCTTTGGACTCATCTGCAAAATGAGATATTGAAAACTATGGAGTAGATGCTATAGCATGCGAAAAAAGAGCCTTGTGACCATGGACACAAAGCAAGGTAGACATAGGTATTTGGGGACGTGCAAGAATTTTAAAAATGCTGTCATCCACAAAAAGATCTAAAGAAATACTTTAAAAATTAATCTTTTTTAAAAAGAACAAGAATGTAACATTAATACAGAAATAACTGAAGAGGAAGTAGTGGAATCAGTAAACCCACCAAAAAATGCATGAAATAGTGAAAACATCTTTGAATTCCACAAGGAAACACCAACAAAACCGTATGTTGTCAGAGGTCAGAAGCATAACTGAAAGCATTCTAAAGGCCTACAGAGAGGCATAAATAGGAAGATGAGGGAAAGAATGGTAAAAACATTATAAAAGGATCATTGTATTAATCCAATTTTTGTTGCTTATAATAGAATATCTGAAATGGTAATTTCTGTAGAAAATAAATGTATTTTTACAGTTTTGAGGCTCAAAGTCCAAGGTTGAGGGGCTAACCCTGCTGAGAACCTTTTTGCTAGTGGAGACTCAAGGGGTTCTGAGCAGGTGCAGGGCATCACATGGCAAGGGGGCCGAATGTGCTAACATGCTAGCTCAGGGCTCTCTTCCCCATCCTTTAAAGCTACCAGTTCTCCTCTTATGATAAGTTTTTAATTCATTAACTCACTAATCCATTAAGCCACAAATGGAATAATCCATTCAGAGCTTTCATGATCACCTCTTAAAGGCCCCACCTCTCAACACTGCCACATTGGGAATTAAGTTTCAATATGAATTTTAGAGGCGACATCCAAACCATAGCAGTCATCCTGTTGGGGTTTAGTAATTAAAAGGGAAACCGTGTGTTACCATCAGAAAAAAAAAGTTTGGGTTAACTTCAAAATTGTAGTAGAAAAATAATTTCTGTTTCTGAGTTTTGAGCACTAAGAAAAAAACGTAACTTCCATTTTTTCTGAAAGGTAATGTGTCATATTTATCAAATTTAAATATACTTGATGCAGCAATTCCATCTTCAGATATTTATTTTTATGATAAAATTCCACAGATAAATGTTTATCAGATGTTCATCAAAGAAGTTTTTAAACCACTATAAATGCTTAGTGATAAGAGATTGATGAAATAAATTATAGTGTATTGCAAATGTAGTTTCTATAAAGTATGATGCTAAAAATAATTTGCTGACTTTAAAAAGCCTCTCTGATGATAACACAGCTTATGACATAGTACTACGTCCTTCCTACAAATATCTATGTATGCATTAAAAAATGACCAGAGAAATAGATGAGTAAATAGTTTCAGAGATCTTTCGTTTAATCTATTTCTGGTCAGTTTCCCTTATGTTTCTATATCATATCATAATAGATCATAATAGATCATAATAGATCATAATGTTCATCCATAGTTTGAAAGTTTAAAACAATTTTAACTTAGAAATCAATGGGAAGAATATTATGATATAAAAAGAATTATATGATGCATAATTACACAAATATTATTCATAACTTGTTATCAATTAGTCAACAGTAAAACAGTATTTCATTAACTCACATTGAAAATTGAGAAAGTATTAATCCAGAAAGAAGCTGAGTATACTTTTTTATTATAATAAACTTTCCAAATTTGTAGCAAATGAGTAGAAAATGTATTCAAATTACAAATGAAAGAGGGGGATTATTATTAACTTAGTATGTGCTAAAATTCACCAGCGCAGCCATCTGGGCCTGGGCTTTTGTTTGTGGTCATTGTTTTCAATTATCTTATTATTTACTAATTCTAAATTTTCTCCAGTAAATATGTATTACTAACAACATATTTTAAAATTGTTAATTTATACATTTAACAAATTTATTAAACTAATATTTAATAAAAATATTAAAGAGTCACAAGTAATAAAGCTAAAATTCAATTGACAAATTAGGAAAAGCTCACTCCAGTAATCTTAACATTTTGGGAGGCCAAGGCAGGACAATTTCTTGAGGCCAGGAGTTTGAGACCAGCCTGGGCAACGTAGCAAAACCCTGTCTCTACAGAAAATTTAAACAATTAGCCAGGCATGGTGGTACACACTTGTAGTTCCAGCTACCAGGGAAGCTGAGGTGGGAGAATCACCTGAGCCCAGGAGTTCAAGGCTGCAGTAAGCCATGATCACACCACTGCACTCCAGCCTGGGCAAAAGAGCAAGATCCCATCTCTAAAAAACAGGAAGAAAAAGAAATGTGAGGTATTTTGCAAATAAATTGACAGTTTGGACTAACATTTTCTTTTTCAGTTTACTTGTACTTTACTCTTTCTTTTTGTTCCAGTTCATCTGAGGTCCTCAAATTGATTCAAATTCAATTAGAGAAATTTTTTTATTGAGAGCCTACTATTTGTTAGTCTATCAAATGATGACTAGAATAAAGCGATGAATAAAGACTGCTGACTTAAACATGATTCAAGTTCATTTAACCATATTTTCATGAGGTAAATTTTCCTCCAACTTTAAATAAAAAAAAATTTCCCATCGTATAAATTTTTCAGCATTACACCACCACCATCACCACCATAACAACAAAACCTGTCTAGGTACATTAGGTATTTTAATATTAAATAGCAATTTGCTTTAGGTATTTTAATATGAAATAGCAATTTGCTTTGTACTTAAATGGAAGATGAATCTCCAATTCTGTAAATGTAAAAAAGAATAAGATCATAGGAAATGTAGACATCTGCATTTACTTAGAGATGGAATCAAAATTAGGTCCTTCTGAGAGCCTCTAAGGCTGAACTGTACTGAAACAGCTCATGGCAATTTACCATTTTAGTATTCACCCTATGATGTATAAATACATCACAAGCATGGCAAGAGGAATCTCTAGAATCTAAAATAATGTATTTTGCTTTTGATGATATGCTTTTGCTGTTCACATTGTCCATTTAAGTCATATAATTTGGTAAATTTTTAGATGTCTTTTTTTTTTCTTTTTTTTTATTATACTTTAAGTTTTAGGGTACATGTGCACATTGTGCAGGTTAGTTACATATGTATACATGTGACATGCTGGTGCACTGAACCCACTAACTCGTCATCTAGCATTAGGTATATCTCCCAATGCTATCCCTCCCCCCTCCCCCCACCCCGCCACAGTCCCCAGAGTGTGATATTCCCCTTCCTGTGTCCATGTGATCTCATTGTTCAGTTCCACCTATGAGTGAGAATATGCGGTGTTTGGTTTTTTGTTCTTGTGATAGTTTACTGAGAATGATGTTTTCCAGTTTCATCCATGTCCCTACAGAGGACATGAACTCATCATTTTTTATGGCTGCATAGTATTCCATGGTGTATATGTGCCACATTTTCTTAATCCAGTCTATTGTTGTTGGACATTTGGGTTGGTTCCAAGTCTTTGCTATTGTGAATAATACCACAATAAACATATGTGTGCATGTGTCTTTATAGCAGCATGATTTATAGTCCTTTGGGTATATACACAGTAATGGGATGGCTGGGTCAAATGGTATTTGCAGTTCTAGATCCCTGAGGAATCGCCACACTGACTTCCACAAGGGTTGAACTAGTTTACAGTCCCACCAACAGTGTAGAAGTGTTCCTATTTCTCCACATCCTCTCCAGCACCTGTTGTTTCCTGACTTTTTAATGATTGCCATTCTAACTGGTGTGAGATGGTATCTCATTGTGGTTTTGATTTGCATTTCTCTGATGGCCAGTGATGATGAGCGTTTTTTCATGTGTCTTTTGGCTGTATAAATATCTTCTTTTGAGAAGTGTCTGTGCATGTCCTTTGCCCACTTTTTGATGGGGTTGTTTGTTTTTTTCTTGTAAATTTGTTTGAGTTCATTGTAGATTCTGGATATTAGCCCTTTGTCACATAAGTAGGTTGCGAAAATTTTCTCCCATTTGCAGGTTGCCTGTTCACTCTGACGGTAGTTTCTTTTGCTGTGCAGAAGCTCTTTAGTTGAATTAGATCCCATTTGTCAATTTTGTCTTTTGTTGCCATTGCTTTTGGTGTTTTAGACATGAAGTCCTTGCCCATGCCTATGTCCTGAATGGTAATGCCTAGGTTTTCTTCTAGGGTTTTTATGGTTTTAGGTCTAACATTTAAGTCTTTAATCCATCTTGAATTGATTTTTGTATAAGGTGTAAGGAAGGGATCCAGTTTCAGCTTTCTACATATGGCTAGCCAGTTTTCCCAGCACCATTTATTAAATAGGGAATCCTTTCCCCATTGCTTGTTTTTGTCAGGTTTGTCAAAGATCAGATAGTTGTAGATATGCGGCATTATTTCTGAGGGCTCTGTTCTGTTCCATTGATCTATATCTCTGTTTTGGTACCAGTACCATGCTGTTTTGGTTACTGTAGCCTTGTAGTATAGTTCGACGTCAGGTAGTGTGATGCCTCCAGGTTTGTTCTTTTGGCTTAGGATTGACTTGGCAATGCGGGCTCTTTTTTGGTTCCATATGAACTTTAAAGTAGTTTTTTCCAGTTCTGTGAAGAAAGGCATTGGTAGCTTGATGGGGATGGCATTGAATCTGTAAATTACCTTGGGCAGTATGGCCATTTTCATGATATTGATTCTTCCTACCCATGAGCATGGAATGTTCTTCCATTTGTTTGTATCCTCTTTTATTTCCTTGAGCAGTGGTTTGTAGTTCTCCTTGAAGAGGTCCTTCACATCCCTTGTAAGTTGGATTCCTAGGTA
This sequence comes from Homo sapiens, assembly GCF_000001405.40. Taxonomy (NCBI): domain Eukaryota; kingdom Metazoa; phylum Chordata; class Mammalia; order Primates; family Hominidae; genus Homo; species Homo sapiens. The sequence goes on along the minus strand of NC_000002.12, from coordinate 77,758,035 downwards.
TTTTATTCTCTTTGTAGCAATTGTGAATGGGAGTTCACTCATGATTTGGCTCTCTGCTTGTCTGTTGTTGGTGTATAAGAATGCTTGTGATTTTTGCACATTGATTTTGTATCCTGAGTTTGCTGAAGTTGCTAATCAGCTTAAGGAGATTTTGGGCTGAGACAATGTGGTTTTCTAGATATACAATCATGTCGTCTGCAAACAGGGACAATTTGACTTCCTCTTTTCCTAATTGAATACCCTTTATTTCCTTCTCCTGCCTCATTGCCCTGGCCAGAACTTCCAACACTATGTTGAATAGGAGTGGTGAGAGAGGGCATCCCTGTCTTGTGCCAGTTTTCAAAAGGAATGCTTCCGGTTTTTGCCCATTCAGTATGATATTGGCTGTGGGTTTGTCATAGATAGCTCTTATTATTTTGAGATCCGTCCCATCAATACCTAATTTATTGAGAGTTTTTAGCATGAAGGGTTGTTGAATTTTGTCAAAGGCTTTTTCTGCATCTATTGTGATAATCATGTGGTTTTTGTCTTTGGCTCTGTTTATATGCTGGATTACATTTATTGATTTGCGTCTATTGAACCAGCCTTGCATCCCAGGGATGAAGCCCACTTGATCATCGTGGATAAGCTTTTTGATGTGCTGCTGGATTCGGTTTGCCAGTATTTTATTGAGGATTTTTGCATCAATGTTCATCAAGGATATTGGTCTAAAATTCTCTTTTTTTGTTGTGTCTCTGCCTGGCTTTGGTATCAGAATGATGCTGGCCTCATAAAATGAGTTAGGGAGGATTCCCTCTTTTTCTATTGATTGGAATAGTTTCAGAAGGAATGGTACCAGTTCCTCCTTGTACCTCTGGTAGAATTCAGCTGTGAATCCGTCTGGTCCTGGACTCTTTTTGGTTGGTAAGCTATTGATTATTGCCACAATTTCAGCTCCTGTTATTGGTCTATTCAGAGATTCAACTTCTTCCTGGTTTAGTCTTGGGAGAGTGTATGTGTCGAGGAATTTATCCATTTCTTCTAGATTTTCTAGTTTATTTGCATAGAGGTGTTTGTAGTATTCTCTGATGGTAGTTTGTATTTCTGTGGGATCGGTGGTGATATCCCCTTTATCATTTTTTATTGCATCTATTTGATTCTTCTCTCTTTTTTTCCTTATTAGTCTTGCTAGCGGTCTATCAATTTTGTTGATCCTTTCAAAAAATCAGCTCCTGGATTCATTGATTTTTTGAAAGGTTTTTTGTGTCTCTATTTCCTTCAGTTCTGCTCTGATTTTAGTTTTTCTTGCCTTCTGCTAGCTTTTGAATGTGTTTGCTCTTGCTTTTCTAGTTCTTTTAATTGTGATGTTAGGGTGTCAATTTTGGATCTTTCCTGCTTTCTCTTGTGGGCATTTAGTGCTATAAATTTCCCTCCACACACGGCTTTGAATGTGTCCCAGAGATTCTGGTATGTTGTGTGTTTGTTCTCATTGGTTTCAAAGAACATCTTTATTTGTGCCTTCATTTCGTTATGTAGCCAGTAGTCATTCAGGAGCAGGTTGTTCAGTTTCCATGTAGTTGAGCGGTTTTGAGTGAGATTCTTACTCCTGAGTTCTAGTTTGATTGCACTGTGATCTGAGAGATAGTTTGTTATAATTTCTGTTCTTTCACATTTGCTGAGGAGAGCTTTACTTCCAAGTATGTGGTCAATGTTGGAATAGGTGTGGTGTGGTGCTGAAAAAAATGTATATTCTGTTGATTTTGGGTGGAGAGTTCTGTAGATGTCTATTAGGTCTGCTTGGTGCAGAGCTGAGTTCAATTCCTGGGTATCCTTGTCGACTTTCTGTCTCGTTGATCTGTCTAATGTTGACAGTGGGGTGTTAAAGTCTCCCATTATTAATGTGTGGGAGTCTAAGTCTCTTTGTAGGTCACTCAGGACTTGCTTTATGAATCTGGGTGCTCCTGTATTGGGTGCATATATATTTAGGATAGTTAGCTCTTCTTGTTGAATTGATCCCTTTACCATTATGTAATGGCCTTCTTTGTCTCTTTTGATCTTTGTTGGTTTAAAGTCTGTTTTATCAGAGACTAGGATTGCAACCCCTGCCTTTTTTTGTTTTCCATTTGCTTGGTAGATCTTCCTCCATCCTTTTATTTTGAGCCTATGTGTGTCTCTGCACGTGAGATGGGTTTCCTGAATACAGCACACTGATGGGTCTTGACTCTTTATCCAATTTGCCAGTCTGTGTCTTTTAATTGGAGCATTTACTCCATTTACATTTAAAGTTAATATTGTTATGTGTGAATTTGATCCTGTCATTATGATGTTAGCTGGTTATTTTGCTCATTAGTTGATGCAGTTTCTTCCTAGTCTTGATGGTCTTTACATTTTGGCATGACTTTGCAGCGGCTGGTACCGGTTGTTCCTTTCCATGTTTAGCGCTTCCTTCAGGAGCTCTTTTAGGTTTTAGGGCAGGCCTGGTGGTGACAAAATCTCTCGGCATTTGCTTGTCTGTAAAGTATTTTATTTCTCCTTCACTTATGAAGCTTAGTTTGGCTAGATATGAAATTCTGGGTTGAAAATTCTTTTCTTTAAGAATGGTGAATATTGGCCCCCACTCTATTCTGGCTTGTAGGGTTTCTGCCGAGAGATCAGCTGTTAGTCTGATGGGCTTCCCTTTGAGGGTAACCTGACCTTTCTCTCTGGCTGCCCTTAACATTTTTTCCTTCATTTCAACTTTGGTGAATCTGACAATTATGTGTCTTGGAGTTGCTCTTCTCGAGGAGTATCTTTGTGGTGTTCTCTGTATTTCCTGAATCTGAATGTTGGCCTGCCTTGCTAGATTGGGGAAGTTCTCCTGGATAATATCCTGCAGAGTGTTTTCCAACTTGGTTCCATTCTCCCCATCACTTTCAGGTACACCAATCAGACGTAGATTTGGTCTTTTCACATAGTCCCATATTTCTTGGAGGCTTTGCTCATTTCTTTTTATTTGCTTTTCCTCTAAACTTCCCTTCTCGCTTCATTTCATTCATTTCATCTTCCATTGCTGATACCCTTTCTTCCAGTTGATCACATCGGCCCCTGAGGCTTCTGCATTCTTCACGTAGTTCTCGAGCCTTGGTTTTCAGCTCCATTAGCTCCTTTAAGCACTTCTCTGTATTGGTTATTCTAGTTATACATTCTTCTAAATTTTTTTCAAAGTTTTCAACTTCTTCGCCTTTGGTTTGAATGTCCTCCTGTAGCTCAGAGTAATTTGATCATCTGAAGCCTTCTTCTCTCAGCTTGTCAAAGTCATTCTCCATCCAGCTTTGTTCCGTTGCTGGTGAGGAACTGCGTTCCTTTGGAGGAGGAGAGCTGCTCTGCTTTTTAGAGTTTCCAGTTTTTCTTTTCTGTTTTTTCCCCATCTTTGTGGTTTTATCTACTTTGGTCTTTGATGATGGTGATGTACAGATGTGTTTTTGGTGTGGATGTCCTTTCTGTTTGTTAGTTTTCCTTCTAACAGACAGGACCCTCAGCTGCAGGTCTGTTGGAGTACCCTGCCGTGTGAGGTGTCAGTGTGCCCCTATTGGGGGGTGTCTCCCAGTTAGGCTGCTCAGGGGTCAGGGACCCACTTGAGGAGGCAGTCTGCCCGTTCTCAGATCTCCAGCTGCGTGCTGGGAGAACCACTGCTGTCTTCAAAGCTGTCAGACAGGGACATTTAAGTCTGCAGAGGTTACTGCTGTCTTTTTGTTTGTCTGTGCCCTGCCCCCAGAGGTGGAGCCTACAGAGGCAGGCAGGCCTCCTTGAGCTGTGGTGGGCTCCGCCCAGTTCGAGCTTCCCAGCTGCTTTGTTTACCTAATCAAGCCCGTACAATGTCGGGCGCCCCTCCCCCAGCCTCGCTGCCGCCTTGCAGTTTGATCTCAGACTGCTGTGCTAGCAATCAGCGAGACTCCGTGGGCGTAGGACCCTCCAAGCCAGGTGCAGGATATAATCCCATGGTGCGCCATTTTTTAAGCCCGTCGGAAAAGCGCAGTATTCGGGTGGGAGTGACCCGATTTTACAGGTGCTGTCTGTCACCCCTTTCTTTGACTCGGAAAGGGAACTCCCTGACCCCTTGCGCTTCCCAAGTGAGGCAATGCCTTGCCCTGCTTCGGCTCGCGCACGGTGCGCGCACTCACTGACCTGCGCCCACTGTCTGGCACTCCCTAGTGAGATGAACCTGGTACCTCAGATGGAAATGCAGAAATCACGGTCTTCTGCGTCGCTCACGCTGGGAGCTGTAGACGGGAGCTGTTCCTATTCCAGATGTCTTTTTTTTACTTCAAAATTATGTTTATTGGTGAGTGAGTTTGACTTTTGTGATAAAGCTCCTTGTTAAAATATTTTTAATATTAAATGATCGCTTCAGTCATAATTTCATGGTTAGAGCATTCACTGAAAGACGTTTAAACTTATTTACTTTCCCTTCAATCTCACATATTCATAGTTAAAAATTTTAGGTTCTATGTAGTAGGCTCCTGTAGTGACCTTTTGAGAGACTTTTGAAAAAAAAAATTTCATGTGGTCTTTAAATTTTATTTGAAGAAATCATTTATATTGTAAAGGCATATAAAATATAAGAAATTATTAAATACTTAAAAATGGAAAAATCACACATGCACAGAGTGTCAGGTTATTCTTACTTTCTAGAATGGCTTCCTCAATGTAAAATTTTTGGTTTTGATTTGAAGCTAAAAAAACAAATTCTAAAATTCTCCAACCCTGTGAAACATTCACAAATTAACACAATGTCAATTTTTTGAATCGTGTTAGAGAAAATCCAATAATCTACAAATTTAATCTTCATAGATTTAACAAATATGGAATTGGTTTGCTAGTGCTTTTGAGTCATAGGCTGACTTCTATCATATAAATATTTCACTTAAAATGATAAAAACATCAGGATGCAGAATCTACTTTGTTTTAGATGTTTTGAAAATCATCATTCAAATCATAAAGCTATTTTTAAATTATAGGCTCATATTTATCTACTTTTATAAAGAAGTTTTTAATATAAATATACCTTAGATTTAACTGTATGATTATGCCTTTCAATTCATTCGACTGTTATTTAAACTACATACTTTGGGCAATTACAACCCTCAGGAATTCTACTTTCTGTCAAGATGGAATAATATGGGTAAATTTATTCTGAAATGATGGAAAACAGATGAAATGATAAAGCAGTGGCCTATAAGACACTGGAAATCAGGCCACAAGGAACAGTGATTTCTGAGAGATGGCAAACAAATAAGGTGAGCCTATGATAAACGCAGCTTGAGAACGTTTCTAGGCTGAGGATTGAGGTGCCCAGGAGGATACTGGTGGACCCCTGAAACTGAAGAGATAGATCTGAGAGTCCAAGAGACTTAGGTGGCAAAAATTCACGGGATGGAGGACTGGATAAAATAGTGCTGTACAGAGAGAGGATTCCAGAGATCTGCAGAGGTTCCCCTTTGAGTATTTAGCTGACTACTGATGAGTGCAATTATGTGAGAAAATTAGCCAAGGATGGAGAAAGAACCTACCTGAAAAGATGAGAGGTAACAGTGCCCCGTACTCACACAGGTCCAAGAATAGTGCCTCTCCCCACCATAAAGTGAGAAACTTCATGATTCACAGGAAATTGTGTAGAGTGCAGACTGGTTGTACCTTAGTAGTGGGAAATGAGGGGAATAATCAGACTCAAATTGAATACTTGCTCAGGTCCTGACAGATTTTAAAAGTAAAACCCAGAAGGATGAAACTGTTTTCAAGTAACTGTACTGCATATCAGAAAAAAATCCCCAAAATAGGAATACAATACCATCTCCAGGAATACAAGTATTTATCAACCAGAGAACTGTACTACATGAAATGTTAAAGGAAGTCCTTTAAACAGAAGGAAAATGACACTAGATAAAAATATTGATTTACACAAAGAAATAAAGAGTGCTGGAAGTGGTGGCTACCTAAGTAAATATACAAGATTTTTTTCTTACGATTTAAATATCTTAAAGTTAAGTGATCCTTTAAACAAAATTAATGACAATGCAATAGGGAGTTTATATCCATAAAAATAAAATATACGACTACAATGGCACAAAGAACAGGAGAACAAAATGAGAGTATATTATTGTGAGGTTCTTACACTGTATGTGAAGTGATGTAATATCACTTGAAGGTAGAATCTAAAAAGTGACAGGTGTTTAGTATAAACCACAAAACATGCACTGAAATAACAAAAAAAGAATTACAGCTAACACGGGAGATGAAATGGAATCCCAGAAAGAAATTTATTTGAAATAAGGCAGATGAAGAGGATAGGTGAACAAAGTAAGATGGGGAAACTGCAGAACAAATAGGAAGATGATTAACTTAAACCTAAGGATATCAATCATCACATTAAATGTAAGTAATCTGACTACCTTAAATAAAAACAGAATATGAGATTGCATTTGTTAAAAAAAGCAAAATCCCACTTTATGCTGCCTAAAACACACATTAAGTATACAGAAACAACGCTAACACAAATTTTAAAAACTCTGTAATGACTATATTAATATCAAAGTAAATTTCATAGCAAAGAATATTACTGAAGACAAAAAAGTTTATTTCATAATACTAAAGGTTCAATTCAAGAGGACATACCAATCCTAAATATTTATGTACCAAATAAGTGAGATTCAAAATACAAGAGCTTACAGAACTCAAAGATAAATAGATAAATCCACATTTATAGTTGGAAGTTTGAATACTTTCCTCTTGATAAATGATGTAAAAAGTAAATAAAAAACAGTAAGAAAATAAATGATCTGAACAACACTCAACAAATGTGACCTAATTGCCATTTATAGGATACCACACTCAACAAAAAGGGTAGTATATATTCTTTTGAAGATCACATGGAACATTTACAGAGAAGATCATATTCTGGACTGTTGATAATTTCTAAGTATATTTAGAATAAATCACATTATATGAATAATGTTCCCTGGCAACAAAGGAATAAAATTGGAAATCAAAAACAGAAAGATTGCAGGAAAATCTGCAACTATTTGGAAACTAACACACCCATAAATGAAAGATGAAATAAAAGTGGAAATTAGAAATTCTTGTGAACTGAAAGAAAAAAAGCCACAACATACCGAAATTTGTGAATTGCCAACAGAACAGTAGTAATGTGGAATTCATGCCACTGAAAACCACTATTAGAAAAGAACAAAGGTTTCAAATCAGCATCTACCTTAAGAAATTTAAAAAAGAACAAATGTAACCAAAGTAAACAGGAAAAGGAAAAAAAGGTCAGAGAGAAAATCAGGGATATACAAAATAAACAACAATAAAAAAATAGAGACAAACTATTATATAGCACAAGTTGGTTTTTTGAAGAGCAATGCGCCTGTAGTCCCAGCTGCTCGGGAGGCTGAGGCAGGAGAATGGCGTGAACCCGGGAGGTGGAGCTTGCAGTGAAACGAGATTGTGCCACTGCACTCCAGCCTGGGCGTTGGAGCCAGACTCCGTCTCAAAAAAAAAAAAAAAAAAAAAAAAATTGACATTAAAAATACTATTTAAAATAGCATTAAAATGTGAAATAGAGATAAATCTGACAAAAGATATGGAAGACCTGTACAGTGACAACTATAAAACATTTGATGAGATTAAATAATGTCTAACTAAATAGAGGAAGGTATTATGTTCATGGGTAAGAAGATCCAATATTAAGTTGTTCCTTCTCCAAAGTTTTCTGTAAGTTCAATGTAATCCAAATAAAAATTTTAGCAGATACATTTTTTTAATTGATGAATTCTAAAATCCATATAGAAATACAGTGGACCTAGAATAACAAAAACAACTTTGAAAACATAGAACAAAGTTGGAGAGCTCACACTGTGTGATGTCAATAGTTATTATAAAGTCACGGTAAACAAGGCAGTGTGGTAGCATGTCGAGTTCTGTAAAATAGATCAGTAGAACAGAATGAACATTCCAGAAACAGACTCACACATATATGGGCAAATGATATTTGAAAAAGATACTTCTGTTGTTCACTCTTGTTAAATAAAAAGAAGGAAGGAATTTTGGACTCTTTTTTTTTTTTTTTTTTTTTTTTTTTTGAGACGGAGTCTCGCTCTGTCGCCCAGGCTGGAGTGCAGTGGCGGGACCTCGGCTCACTGCAAGCTCCGCCTCCCGGGTTCACGCCATTCTCCTGCCTCAGCCTCCCAAGTAGCTGGGACTACAGGCGCCCGCCACTACGCCCGGCTAATTTTTTGTATTTTTAGTAGAGACGGGGTTTCACCGTTTTAGCCGGGATGGTCTCGATCTCCTGACCTCGTGATCCGCCCGCCTCGGCCTCCCAAAGTGCTGGGATTACAGGCGTGAGCCACCGCGCCCGGCCAGGAATTTTGGACTCTTATTTGAATCAGATCTGCTGTGACTTTTCAAATTTGTTCCTTCTAACCTCATTGTACTCCATAGTGAGGGTGTATCATACGCATTAATACCTTTTTTTACTGTTTTTTAATAACCTTTATTATTTTACTGATTATGAAAATAATACATGTTCTTCACCGAAAATATGAATAATGCAGAAAATTAAGAATATAAGGCTCATCTATAATCCTGCCACATAAAGATAACCACTGTAATTTTATTATTATTATTATTATTACACTTTAAGTTCTAGGGTACATGTGCACAACATGCAGATTTGTTATGTAGGTATGCATGTGCCATGTTGGTATGCTGCACCCATTAACTCATCGTTTACATTAGGTATTTCTCCTAACGCTATCCCTCCCCCATCCCCCTGCCCCCCAACAGGCCCCGGTGTGTGATGTCCCTCCAATCCGTGTCTATGTGTTCTCATCATTCAACTCCCACTTATGAGTGAGAACATGGGGTGTTTGGTTTTCTGTCCTTGTGGTATTTTGCTGAGAATGATGGTTTCAGTTTCATCCATGTCCCTACAAAGGATATGACCTCATCCTGTTTTATGTCTGCATAGTATTTCATGGTGTATATGTGCCACATTTTCTTTATCCAGTCTATTTTTGATGGATATTTGGGTTGGTTCCAAGTCTTTGCTATTGTGAATAGTACCACGATAAATGTTAAATTGAATATAATTGTGAAAATTGGGGAAAAAATTGTACAGATTTTAACACAATAACATCCTTGAAAACTAAATCCACAAAAGAATCTGTTAGAACCAGAGAAACCTTCATCATTGTCACTTGAAATGACATTCCTGCCTACCTTTTAAAAGGGAATTATTAGCCTGATCATTATGGTAAAACAAGCAAACATAAACGTGTTTGTTTTCCTTTAGAGTTTTACACACAGTTTATCTTCGCTGAATTTTTGAAACACGCAAACTTGAAATTAAACAGTGTGCATTATTTTTGTTTCTGGTTTCTTTTGCTCAGAATTATGTTTGTGAGGTTCAGTCATGTTTTTTAGGCCTAGTTTGTTAATTTTTCAGTATTGATAAGTTATGTTTTTCTAGCATATTGCTATTCCATTTACATTTTCAATTTTATTGGCACAAGTATTTTCATAATATGCATTTTTAGTTCTTTAGTATCTGCTACAACTAGGTGGATATTCTAATTCCTTTCTTGAATTATTTGTTTACTTTCTTTTTTGTGATCATTCTTATTATTTATTTTATTAATTTTTGGATCTCTTGGAACTGACTCTAGTTTTCTTAATCCTCTGTGTTGTGCCTTTGTTTTTGTTTTGTTTTTTTTTTCCCAAGCTTTTGGAGGATTTCCTTAGCTATTCTTTTTTATGTCAGGAAGATATGGAATACATACACTGAAATTTCTTTAATTTTGTTTCCAATTTAATTTTAAATCATGAAGAATGCTTATAGTTTAAACTTTTGAGAATCCTTAATCATCAAACAAACATCAGTGACAGAATTTTGCTTTTCCTAGGATGACACTGATGCTTTACTAGCCAAGTGCTAGGCAAGGGCAGTAGTGCTGGTCTTTTTGGCTTGCTTCTCCTGGTGCGGAGCAACATCCCTATGGGGGAGTTGGGGTGAGGGAGACGAATGCCCCGCTATTCTTAGGTAGAGGGAGGGAGCTCACAATCTCCAGACTACACTCATTTGGAACGTGGAGCTTGAGGGGATAAGAAATGCCAGTGTCTTGCCCTTTCCTGGGAGATTCCACAGCCTTTGCCTGGGAACTGGGGGGTGAAGGGAGCGTAATATTCTTAGCCATACCCATTCAGAGTGGGGCTTTGATCACACTGACCTGAGAGTAGGAGGCAAAAATGGGTATGGCTCAAGTGCCACAGACTCTCACTCCTCTTTCTAAGATTTAGTAGATTTCCTTGAACAAATGTTTCTTCATTTGATATATGCCCTTAGTGTTGCAGGACTTTCTCCTTAGTTCAGCTAAAACTGGGTTCTTGTCACATGACTGGGAAAGACTAGACTCACGGACACATAGAAGGTTGAGGAGCATAATTTTTGGACGAAAAGGGAAAAAAAAAAAAACGCAGCAAAGTGAGATGGAGTCCTCCTAGTAGGCCCTCCACCTCACAGATTGAATCCCAGGTCACCACACAGGAATTGAAGAGGCCAGGTCTCTCAAACTCTATCATTAGATCGCCTGTCTTTACAATTAGAAATTGAAGAGGCCAGGTCTCCTGTCTCTATCTCCTATCTCCTGTCTAAATTAGGACAAAATTTCCAAAGACTTTTATATGTGTATATTGTATATAGATATAAACCTATAACAAAATTTATATATGTATACTAATTTTTCCAGTTATGATTGCTTCACTAGGGAGCATATCCACAGAGAGCCTCATGCTGTCATTCTGCAAGTTGTCTTTCATATTTTTTCTTTCTGTTCATTTATGCATTTATATTGTTGCCTATCTGCTTCCCCCCAAATAAGTATATCCTTTAAAATAGAGGTCATCAAATTACTTCCTATACATGAAATCTGTCCCACTGCCTGAGTTTGTAAATATTTATTGTAGTACAGTCATCACCATGTGCTTATATATAGTCTATGCCTGCCTTTGTTAGGTTTGTATCACTACATCAGAGATAAGCAGTTGTAACAAAAGCCACATGTCCACAAAGCCAAAATATTTGCCATCCTGCCGTTTACAGAAAAACATTTGCCAACTCTGCTTTAGAGTATTCGAGTATTCATATTTCCCATCCTTCTCTTGATTTTTTTCAACTTCTGGTTTTAGATGATATATTTTTCAACTTTCAGTTCTATACATATATTTGACATTTCTTTACAGCATTACATTTAATAATACACATGTTTTATAATAATTTTCTAATATTAATTCTTGTTACCCTCATCATATTGCCTGCTTTTTTTATTTAAAAAAAAGGATTTTTTATTTGTTGGTTAGAACATTTTTTTCAAGAACTTTCCTTATGTTAATTGTATGGATGCTACCTCTTTAAATTCTTCCATAACTACAAATTCTTTCTTTTTCCCTGACAGGTGAAACTATTGTAACTGGAAAGAAGATTTTTGGGTCTCTGTACCTTACTTTGAATAGTTTATATGTTGCTCTTCACTTTTAGTCTTCTTCTAAAGGATAAGTCTATTGTTAAATTTTCTTTCTCTATTAAGATATTTATCCTCTACTAATAAGATCATTTTCTTTAATCTCGGAATTCAAGAATTTCACTATTGACAATTATTAATATTAATATTGAATTTTAATTTTGTTATTCAATATTGATATTGAATTTCATTTTTCTTTTAGTCTTTCCCAGGCCTTACAGAAGCCCTCCAGTCTGAAGACTCAATTACTTATTTATATAATGAATATTTTTCTCTACTAATTGAGTCAATCTGTCTCTCTAATTTTCTGTTTTATGGAAAGCCTATGTGCTCCATGTTACAGTTCATGTAAATTTACATCAAGTTGCTATCTTTTGCTCATTTTTTCACATCTTTTCAGTTTTGTTATGAATATTAAAGTATTTCTTCCACAAGAAATTCCAGAAGACTAATTGGTTCTTAGTAGTTACCAACAAACTTCTACTTTGTGTATTAAATTTTTAAATTCAATAGACCAGGCTTAATGGCTCATGCCTGTAATCCCAGCACTTTGAGAGCACAAGGTGAACAGATCTCTCAAGTCCAAGAGTTCAACACCACCCTGGGCAACATGGAAAAAACCTAATCTTTACCAAATAAAAAAATACATGTTTTTTGACATATATATTATATATATTATATAGTATATATAAAATATATATAATATATATATACTATATAATATAATATATTATATATATAAATATATATATATAAATATATTATATAAATATATAATATAAATATATAATAAAAAATAAATATATATATTAATATTTATATTATATATATTAGTATATAATATAAATATATAATATTTATATATGATATATCATATATAAATATATCATATGTTATATATTATATAGATATAATCAAAATTCTTGATTCAGGTTCTTGAAAATATTTTATCTGTTAATTTAATCTTCTTAAAAACCTCTTTATGATTCTTTCTATTTAAATTTCCCATGTAGATTGCCAAGTTCTACTTCAATGGGAACTCCTGTTCTTTACATTCACCTTCATCTTTTTCTTGGTGACCTGCATTCACCTAAGTTCAGCAGTACTCAACATTGGCTGCACATTGGAATCAACTGTGGTGTTTTTGAAATTACGCTTTATCGGTTTCCAAAAGGGCTTGTAGAGCATGGAATTGTCCCGGTGAGATGCCCTTCAATGAGCTGTCAAGGTTGAGTTCTACTACTCGACTTGGTTGTTGGTTTCGCTTCATTATGGTTTGGTATACTCTCTACCCTTGTCTCTCTTACCTGTTAACTGAACAAAAATTATGACATTGGAAGCTAGAGCATAAACATTGGATCAAAAGTTAGAAGACTCATGCTGAGATATTGCATAGCCATAAATTGAAAAAAACTAAGCTCCCCAAATCATAATTGCCCTTAGATCATAAACCTGAAAAATTGACTTTTTAAAAAATTAAAATATAACTCATATAATACACAGTAAATTTTGGTTTCATTTTACAGATCCTTTACCAGTATCTTAAATAAAATAAATACTTACAGGGGCTAAACTCTATCCCAAGCAGGATGGTGGTAGTGGGGACAAGTGAAAGAGGGTGGGAAAAATGTCCTCAGATGCCCTCCATATTTTCTTGGGCAAGTGCTAGTTCTCCTCTACTTACATGTCTTTTTTTCTGTGTAAATCACAATTGGGCATGATGCCTACACTACCTCATTCATAAATCTGAATATTTTTAGATTAAGAATAAGAGGGTTTAAAATAATTTGCTAATATCAACTTCTCTCTAAGTGTTTGAGTCCATGTAGCCCAAATAACCTCTGTCTCTAATATACTCTACAATTCTAGTTGGCTTATCCAAAGAGAATTTCACTGTTAATATGAATCTTGAGGTAAATCATTTTCCTCTTCTATGCTACTCTGAACTTTGTCTCATTGAACTAAAATAAAGCCACTAATTTTGACAATTATCCATATACTTTTTTCTGTAATTGTGCAGTTTGTGACCGCATATCTTTTCTTGATAATACAAGTTACATGACACTGGGGTCAGCACCTTATTCTTCTTCATAATCTCTTTGAACCCTGGCATTAGGTTAGACAAATGACATATATTATATTAATATGACATTTTTATCATTAAACTAGTTATATGCATATACTGTAAGAAGATGAAAACATCATAGAAGCATAAAACTCAGAAAATCTACTGTATTCCCATTCTTCAAAGGAATAATTTATAAACAGTTAAACATATTAATTTATAGTTAGTTTTCTATTGGTACGCTGTCTTCTATTGAATATATCATTTACTTTTTAGGAATGAGGTCATTCTATAAATACTCTTCAGCAGTTTACTGTCTGTCACCAATAAAAAATCTTAAGCATTTTTGATGTTAGTATACATTTTTGTAATTAATTTATTATAAGAGCTAAATAATTTCATTGCTATTTGTGATTTAATAGAAATATCCTTATACTATGAGGCTTAAGTGAAATTTACAATTCTATATACAAGCAGGGTGTTTAACATTATACATTTAATATAAAGATAGACAAATATTGGGGAAAGTGTATTGTCATATTTTAGGGTTAAAACTGAGCTAAGTATGAAAATTTTTCCTTCTGATCACCTGTTTTCTTCATCCTTCTCTTTAGAATCTTTCTCCTCCCTTCTTTGTGGTTCCTGAACTGATAAAAATGAGCTGCATTTGCTTACTTTATTGGAATACAGTCCTCCCATAACAAGACTAAGTGAAAGAGAACATGTTTTCCAGGGGAAGAAAGCATGGACTACGGCGTAAGTCTAGCTTCAGTCTAGGCGTAAGAGTAGAAATCATTTTCTATTTGTTCCTGATTAGCTTAGCTCTCTAGAGCATTAAAACAGAGATTTCAGGAGTAAATAAGGCTGAAGATCAACAGCTCAGGCATATATGATACTCTGCTATAGCCCTAAAAACTTAATTAGAAATTAATTATTGGAGGTTGACCTCATATATTTACATCTTCTCAATTTAATAATAAAAGAGTTTATATTCCCAAGGACAAAGAGAACTGGAGGAAAGGCCACAGTGGATCTGATATTTCAACAAAATTTGAAGACTAAAAGGGAAGTAGAAGAGTGGTAAACTGATTTAGGAAGCTAAGTTATTATCTGAGTGACTGCAGTGTGGAATGCCAATGAGCTAAAAGCCAATTGTGTCAGAGAGCCTTCTATAGTTTTACGGGAAGAAATTGAGTATGGCAAAAGGCTGGGATTGGAAAGAAAGACTCGTCAAAAATCTGAGTACAGTGCAGTTAGAATCTCCAGATACTATATATCATTGGGAGTCAACCAGCAATACCCATTTTCTACATGGTAGAGAACACGGTATAGTCTGTGAGTAATTTGAATGTGAGATACTTCAGATGCAGAAGCACAGGCCACTCCAGAAGTCTGAAGTAAGTTACCTGTTGAAAACTGAAGGATTGATTAAAAACCGATGCATCAACTGTGGCACATTTACCTCTTCCTGGGTCCAGCTTTTGCAGAGCAAATGGGTAGGTTTATACCTTATAAACAAGAGAAAGGCAAAAGAAATTCCCAGGTACACAAAAGGTCACCAGCTCAAGGCACCGACAAGTTTACTGTGATCCTTGAGGAATGAGTTCTGTAAGAAGATCTCCATGTATGAATGGGAGAAGTGTGAAGAACATTAAATAGCTATATGTTTGGTGGGTGTACCTTTGGCAACATTTTTGACACACATATGGCCGATCTATTAGAGCATTTGGAATAAAATAAAAGTAGAAACCCTATTTAGAAAAAATAAAAAGAAATAACTGCAAGAAGAAACAAACAATTTAAAGGGGTTAATTTTGAGAATTGGGGTTGAAGTAGATATAGAGGCATTGGCAAGTTGTTTTTCATTGTAAGTATTTTTAGGCTTTATTTTATCTTTTTTAATTATGGGCTTATACTACTTTAACAAAGTACTTTTAAAAATAATATTTAGGAATTTGGAGATAAGACAAACATTAGTTTACCAATTGTTCCCTTCAATTGTTGGCTTCATTTATAACTTGCCTTTGTTAACAGATCATTCATAAAATCATACATATTTAAATACCTATATGATTGAGTTAATTATTTGAATAAGACATATTATCGGGAAAATATGAAACCTTTTTTATACCATTTACATAACAGGACTGGACAACAGAAAAAAGTTGAAAGATAAAAAAGTAATAAGTTAAAATACTTTTGGTGAAAGTGAAAGAAATTAAAAGGAAACAGGTAAAATAAAGTTGCTTTTTTAAAGATAGGGTCTTGCTCTCTTGCCCAGGCCAGACTGCTGTGGCACAGTCATAGCTTACTGCAGCCCCAAACTGCTGGGCTGAAGTGATTCTCCAGCTTCAGCCTCCCAAGGAGCTGGGACTACAGGCACAGGCCACCAAACCTGGCTAATTTTTAAACATTTTTTGTTTTGATAGAGATGGGGTCTTGTTATATTGCTTAGGCTGGTCTCAAACTCCTGGTCTCCAGTGATCCTCCTCCCTCAGTCCCTGAAAGTGCTGGGATTATAGGTGTGACCCACTGCACCTGGCCTAAAGTTGCTTTTAAAGAAGTGGATGTCTGTAACAGAGCAGAAGCAGAATAAAGCACAGCAAAGAAATGGAAACCTTAACGCATGAATAATTTGAATTTTTAGGTTTTCAAATAAATTATAATCTGTAGTGGGTGCTACACAGCAAAAACGTAAATTTGTAACTCTCAGATAAAAACACTAATACATGCTGTTAAAAATATTGTCCTGGAATCATAATTTATCTTGTACCTTCTGGCTGAAACAGGCAAGGTACTCATCAAGACTGTTTCTTCTTTCTCACAGGGAGCTAAACAACATTTACCAGCCTACCACAGAGTTATGGGGGAGAAGGTTATATGACCAAGATTTAGACAACAAAAAGTGATCAGAAGGTATGTGCTTTATTTCTAGTCTGTCCATAAAATCTTCCATATGTTTTCCTCTAAACTCCTTTTCTTTTGCTTGATACTAATGATCACTGAACTCATGGAAGCCCTTTGTAGTAGATGGCAGAACTCCAAATGAAGGAAGCCTGGATACAAATATCATATCACCATTGCTTTGAGAAACATCAATCAGAGACATTTATTTTTACTCTGTATGATCAAAAAATAAATTTCCATCCCATTTGAGCCATTACACAGTTTTGGCCTGTGTGTTACAATAACAAATTATTTTAACTAATACATTACTTATATAAAATTAGTGAGATGTAGCAGCAGGTAAAATAGTGGTGTCAAAATAGGCAAATGACTCTCTCCAATTGAGATCTCCCGTGGGAGAGTATGCAAGAAGACTGAAGTGGAAGAGGGTGTGCTCTCAATTTGCCAAAAATAATCCAATTAAACCACTAAGAAACATTATGAAAAGGGAGATTTCTGGATTAAACATGATTTTTTAAAATGTACATTGGTAAATTGTTCTCAAGAATGGTTGTATCATGTAATATTCCTACCTGGAATTATAATGTTATGTGATTGGTCTTTCTTTCCCTTAACTTTAATAGTTCTTTATTAGTTCTTTCTCTTCTGGTGCTTATTATCTTTTTCTTATTAATGCATGAGGATATTTTGTATGGTAAGGAATTATATTAATAAATGTTATGTACCATATATACTAATATATATAATATATATTTTTATTAGTTTATTATTTTTATATAAATATATATATATTATATATATATATATATTTTTTTTTTTTTTTTTTTTTGAGACAGGGCCTTACTCTGTCACCCAGGCTGGAGTGCACTGGCATCATAATGGCTCCCTGCAGCCTTGACTTCCCAGGCTCAAGTAATCCTCCTACCTCAGCCTCCCAAGTAGCTGGGACTACAGGCAAGCACCACCATGCCTGGCTACTTTTTAAAAATTGTTTGTAGAAACAGGGTCTCGTTGTGTTGCCCAGGCTGTTCTAGAACTCCTGGCCCCAGGAGATTATCCCGTCTCGGCCTCCCAAAGTGTTGGGATTACAGGCGGGAGCCACTATGCCTAGACTACATTTCCTAAAACTATTCAAAAATCCAATTTTTATATAATACTCAGTATTTGAACAACCATCTTTAGAGTAATATATTAACCTTCCATGGCCCTGGATTTTCTTGCTATAGAAGAATAAGTGCCCTTCAGAGTGTCTGTGCATGATTGTTTATACCAACCTTCAATGCGAGCTGGCATTGTCAAGGCATTCGTATATGCAAACATCCATGAGAACACACTTTTAGAAATCCAACCTCAAACCAGTTTGGGGAAATATCATATACAGAAATGATCTCTGGCACACATTGAGTAGCTATGACTTTTTTTAAATATTTATTTATTTAGAGACAGAATATCACTCTGTTGCCCAGGCTGGAGTGCAGTGGCACAATCTTGGCTCACTGCAGCCTCCGCCTCCTGAGTTCAAGCAATTCTCCTGCTTCAGCCACCTGAGTACCTGGGATTACAGGCGTGCACCATCATGCTCGGCTAATTTTTGTAGTTTTAGTAGAGAGAGGGTTTCACCATCTTGGCCAGCTGATCTTGGACTCCTGGCTTCAAGTGATCTGCCCCGTTTGGCCTCCCAAAGTGCTGGGATTAAAGGTGTGAGCCACCCCACCCAGCCAGCTATGACATTTTAATAACTTGAAATTGAAAATAATTATTACTTACAGGCATCCTGAGTACCTTTCACACATTTTTGTTTTTGAAATTTGACATGATAAGTAGAAAAAGGTAGTTTAAAATTAACTGTATCTAATTAACAACTAATGTGGCTTTAAGCCTCTTACAATCTTATGTGGGATTACTATTATAATTTCTATATTTGTAGTCCTCCTAATTTTCTAAGTGTTTCTGTAATTATGATTCAACTTGCTTCTCATAGCAGCCTAATAAAAAGAGATTATTTCTTCTAATTTATAGATTAGATTAAGAAAAGGAGACTTATTTTTCTAAGTTAATATAGCCAAGTGAATCTCTATGTCAAACCACTATCTCCTTCTCCTTTCTCTTCAAAGATCATTTTCATCAATGTTCCTTCATAAATGTTCTTCAGAACATACTTTCCACAAGATAATGTATAATAAAATGTTCAATGTTATTTAGAGAAAATATGCCCAAAATGCTAAAAGCTTAAGAAATTCTACTGTAATTAGAATGTATATATATTGATTTTCTTTAAATAGAATTCTCCAAAATGATTCTATTACAGAACTTACTTTTCATGTAATACCTATTTATATTTTAGGAATATAACTTTAAATCCTAAACGTACAGAATTCTGAATGCTTGTATTTCAAAAGATTTTGTTCCTCTTTAAGTGTTGTGGATCATTTCTAAATATCAGAAAATGAAATCTCCCCTAGATATTTACTCTTGTAATATAATATGCTTACTCTTATAACTATTGATCTGGGGTAGTTCTAACATGTCTCCATCTTATATAGAATTTTACTCTAAATTTAACTGCAGGCTTGGCAATTATTTGTGTAAAATAAATTAGCAAATATTCATATTTATCTTCATTTATCTATTCATGTTTTAAAAATGTTTTATCACGTGGCAAGTTTTTTGGTAATCACCTGGAGGTAAATCGTGAACAAAAGTGAACAAAAGATACACAAACCATGCACTTTAGAGTTATAAATATTGTGTAGGAACAGATATGGATTGCTCACAGTTGTTAAGTGTTTACTAAGGACCAATGGGCATTCTATATACTATATATATATAAAACCTTACTTAATTTTTCAACCTAGTTAGCTATGTTTTATTTTTATGCTCTGTAAAGGAAAGATCCCAAAGGTTAGATAATTTTTGGACAAGGTCACAGAGACGGGTAATGGCAGAACCAATATTTGAGGCCAGAATATGTCTCTGAATATTAATAAATGCTACAAATAATTAGATGAACAATATTTAAGAATTTAAGCAATCTGAACATACAGATAAAAATATATTTAAACAATTTATATTTGACAACTCTTACCTAAAACAGAGCCAGAGGGTCTCTACAGGGTCAGAGTTTCATGGTATCCCCGTCTTATTCAGAAAGAACTGTAAATTCTGCTTATGGTTCTGTTTTTATAACATTAATAACACCGGTGTCATCCTGTGACACTAAAATAGTAATAAAAGCTGTAATATTCTGGAAGTAAAACATGGTTATAAACAGTTATATGTGTTGTAAAGGAAAGAACAGGGTGCTATGACAGTTTATAATAGGGGTCAGCTAATCCAACCATGGACTATGTCAGTAGAGTTGCAATTTGATATGTGATTAAGATTTAACTGGGTCCAGAGATGGGGGCAAGCATTGCACCGAGAGGAACCAAAAGAGCAAACCTCTGTGACAGGATTGAAGGAACATGGTGTGTTCAAGGAACTGAATGAGGATCGGGAGTTAAAGCATAGTGAGGAAAAGGAAAATTAGTTGGAAATGAGTAATAAGAGGGTCTACCTAAACAACAAACTGAGAGAGACTCCCTAAAATAAGATGATATTTATTCAGGAATGGACATTGCAATGGGAATACATGTGCCATAGTAAACCATGTGCATATTCAGGAAGGTAAAGGAAGACAAAGGTTTTTAAAGGAAAAATGAGGATTATAAAGTTTTTTGAGATAATTATTCTTGGCTTCAAGGATCAAGAGCATAGGTGGCACCAGTTCAAGGTTTGATAGGTAGTTGTTGGGCAGATGTTCTTGCTGAAGTATTTCTTTTTGTGCAGGTTGAGATGGCCTTTGTACAAGGTTTCAGTTTTTGTAAAGTGTTTTTTGATAATTCTTGTTGTCAGGCATTTCTGCATGTAAACCATTCTCTTCATAGCCTTCCTTGGCAACATTTGTCAGGGTTTCTTAAAAAGTGGTGACTCTACTTTGATTCTGACAGCGTTCACAAGAGAAAGAATGGATCTCCTCCAGGCAAATCTTTTGGACCATGAATTTAGCTATGATAGCAAATGCAACAAGATGTGATTGCAGAGTTTAAAGCTGTATAACATAATCAGCTACATTTCATGAAAGATCATCCTGGCTGCTATGTAGCAAATGAATCCGGAGAGACCCAAGGCAGGAAACACAAGCCCAGTTGGTGGGCTGCTCAAAATTTAAAGGAAAGACCGTACTAATCTGTGCAGTAGATGGTGCTCATAAAAGAAGGGAGAGATGGCTCAATGCAGAATATATCCTGGATGTGTATTTTCATGTAGGAGGATGAAGGAAAATGATGTGTCAAGATCTCTAGCATTTTAATCAGGTATAACAAGTAGAATTTACCCCGTGAGAATACCAAGGGAGTGAAATGTTTGTGATGAGAGAAAAAAAATAATTTTAGACTTTCTAAGTATGAGAAAAACGTATAACACATATAGGAATATGTAAGTAAAGCATCTGAATATAGACGCTTGAAAAGAGAGGTCTGGGTTCGATGTGAAATTTGAGAAATATCTGCATTTGGTTATTTTTGTAAAGAGTTGGGAGTACATGAGATTGGTGTGTACAGAGGGAGTGCAGAATGGTAAAGCACAGGTAAGAATCTGTGAAATATTAACTTAGTTTCATGTAGGCAATGATAAGGGTGGCCAAAAGTTTAATGTCAGAAAAGTATTAACTTCGATTAAATGCTGTTAAGAGGCCAATCATGCCCATTAAATTTAACAGTGGGTACCATACTA
Source organism: Homo sapiens (assembly GCF_000001405.40). Taxonomy (NCBI): domain Eukaryota; kingdom Metazoa; phylum Chordata; class Mammalia; order Primates; family Hominidae; genus Homo; species Homo sapiens. The sequence continues at coordinate 77,736,756 of NC_000002.12, read as the reverse complement.
GTGACTTCCTGCAGACATTTTATGTAATGTTGTAATAGTGATCATACCACATTGAGTTAAAGAGCACATTGATTGGTGGAGAAAGACTGAAAGACAGAAAGGAGGAAACTTTCCATTTGAGTGAGAACATTGTCTATTCAAAGGTAGTAAGAGCTAGAACATATTGGGTATCTTGCAAGGTCAAAAGATGGCACTGTTTCTTTGGATTTTAAGCTTCGTTTAGTTTTTAATTTATATTTATTACTTTGAACATACAGAAGAAAATAGGCAATTATAACCTGTATCTAAGTACCCTATACTGGAATAAAAGAAATGCTACAATTTACTTCTGATAAACTTTTCTGTTAAAAAAATATTGCTAAGTTTCCACTCCACCTCATATTTTTTTCTCCTTTTCTCCAAAGAGGACTTACCTTACGTAAAGTATGTGTGAATGTGAATCAAAAACGCAAGTTTTGCATTTTTAGTTTACATGAGCTTTAAGATAAATATAGAATTTTGTTGTATGCTTTATCATTTATAAAAACTTTCATATTCTCAGTTACACACTGAGAATGTGTGTGTGTGTGTGTGTGTGAATTTAATCTATATATATACAGTTGACCCTTGGGCAACATGGGTTTGAACTATAAGGTCCACTTTTATGTGGATTTTTAAAAATAAAGTGTTTGCCCTGTGATATGTTTTGGCTCTGTTTCCCCAACCAAATCTCATCTAGAATTGTAATCCTTACATGTCAAGGGAGCGGCCTGTAATCACCAGGTGTTGAGCAAGGGCGGTGATTGGATCACTGGAGTTGTTCCCTCAGGCTGTTCTTATGATAGTGAGTTCTCATGATATCTGATGTTTTTATAAGTGTTTGGAAGTTTCTCCTTCTCACTCTCTTGCCTGCCACCTTGTGAAGAAGGTGAGGAAGGTGCCTGCTTCTGCTTCCTCCATGATTGTAAGTTTTCTGAGGCCTCGCCAGCAATAGGGAACTGTGAGTCAATTAAACCTCCTTTGTTTATAAATTACCCAGTCTCAGGGAAGTTCTTTACAGCAGTGTGAAAACAGACCAATGCATCCTGTATCCACAGGTTTCACATCTGCCACCAAACACTGATAGAAAATACAGTATTAGCGGGATGCAAAATCTGCCTACATGGAGAACCAACCATTTAGATACAGGTTCTCTAAGGGGGCCTGCGGACATTGAGTATATATGAATTTTGGGATATGCAAGTGTTCTGAGACCAGTTTTCCATTTATAAAGAAGGGTGATTGTATATGGATTATGTATAACTTTCCCAAGACTTAATTTTAATTTGGTTTTTAAATAAATGATGATGTGAAATCATCACCATCATCCTAATCATAAGCAGTACTTATACAATACTTACCATACAGTAACAGGCACTGCTTTAAGTACTTTGCATATATTAATACATTTATTATTAATGAGAGGTGACAGCGTGCTGGCAGCCCTTGCAGCCCTCCCTCGCTCTGGGCGCCTCCTCTGCCTTGGCACCCACTCTGGCCACTCTTGAGGAGCCCTTCAGCCCACCACTGCACTGTGGGAGCCCCTTTCTGGGCTGGCCAAGGCCGAAGCCGGCTCCCTCAGCTTGCGGGGAGGTGTGGAGGGAGAGGCGCCAGCGGGAACCGGGGCCACGTGCTTGGCGCTTGGGGCCAGCGCGAGTTCCCGGTGGGCGTGGGATCGGCAGCCCCGCACTCTGAGCACCCCGCAGTCCGAGCGGCCGGCCGGCCCGCAAGCCCTGGGCAGTGAGGGGCTTAGCACCTGGGCCAGCATCTGTTGTGCTGGATTTCTCCCCTTGCCTTAGCTGCCTCCCCGCGGGCAGGGCTTGGGACCTGCAGCCCTCCATGCCTGAGCCTCCCCCAAGCCGTGGGTTCCTGTGCGGCCCGAGTCTCCCCGACCAGCACCGCTCCCTGCTCCAGGGCCACAGTGCCCAGTCCCGTCGACCGCCCAAGGGCTGAGGAGTGCTGGCGCATGGCGTGGGACTCGCAGGCAGCTCCACCTGCGGCCCCGGTGCCGGATCCACTGGGTGAAGCCAGCTGGGCTCCTGAGTCTGGTGGGGACTTGGAGAATCTTTATGTCTAGCTAACGGATTGTAAGTACACCAATCAGCACTCCGTATCTAGCTCAAGGTTTGCGGACACACCAATCAGCACCCTGTGTCTAGCTCATGGTTTGTGAATGCACCAATCGGCATTCTGTATCTAGCTCAAGGTTTGTAAATGCACCAATCAGCACTCTGTGTCTAGCTCAGGGTTTGTGAATACACCAATTGACACTCTGTATCTAACTAATCTAGTGGGGACATGGAGAACTTTTGTGTCTAGCTCAGGGATTGTAAACGCACCAATCAGCACCCTGTCAAAATGGACCAATCAGCTCTCTGTAAAATGGACCAAAAAGCAGGTTGTGGGTGGGGGCCAGATAAGAGAATAAAAGCAGGCTGTGGGTGCCAGCAGTGGCAACCCGCTGGGGCCCCCTTCCACACAGTGGAAGCTTTGTTCTTTTGCTCTTTGCAATAAATCTTGCTACTGCTCACTCTTTGGGTCCACGCTGCCTTTATGAGCTGTAACACTCACGGCAAAGGTCTGCAGCTTCACTCCTGAAGCCAGCGAGACCACAAACCCACCGGGAGGAATGAACAACTCCAGACGCGCTGCGTTAAGAGCTGTTACACTCACTGCGAAGGTCTGCAGCTTCACTCCTGAGCCAGCGAGACCACGAACCCAAGAGAAGGAAGCAACTCCAAACACATCTGAACATCAGAAGGAACAAACTCCGGATACGCCACCTTTAAAAACTGTAACACTCACCGCGAGGGTCCACAGCTTCATTCTTGAAGTCAGTGAGACCAAGAACCCACCAATTCCGGACACATTAATATCAGCCCTAAGTAGTTTATACTATTTATAGTATAAATTAATGCCATTGTATAAATGAGGAAATAGAGGCACTAAACTTTAAATCTCATCCTTGTTTTGTAGATGATAAATGATGCAGTCTGGATTTCATTGAGAGAGTCTAGCTCAGACTTAGTGCCGAGTCCTCTGCTGCAAGGGCTCACAACTTCACTTACTACTAGAGCTTCATTTACTTTCTTTTCTCATACATGGAAATGGAAGTACATCCAGAAAGTAATCTGGAAGAAGTGGACTAATAGCAGAATGAGAAGAAATGCACTACATTTTTTAAACAACAATTGAGGAAAGTATCCTGAGTTGTTGATTGTGCAGAACCACATAGAATTATCAGGGACTCCTGACCATTTCTCAATGTGTCTTCATGATGAAAACAGGCTTTTAGGTGATATTGAGCTTGGGCTGAGAACCAGGGAAGTTCTGCTCTCTACATTTCCTCAAAAGGAAAGAATGAACGAATGGATTTTAAAAAGGTTTTCTTGGATAATGATGTCACCATCAGTGATGAAAAGGGCCACTTCACAGCATGAAATTAGATTCTTTCGATTGGACAGAAGGTTACATAGTTCAGCTAATGTCACTAGTAGCTACTTGCCAGTTAAGGGGCTTTTTCATTCCTAAGAAATCTGTGCTAAGACAAGTTTGTATTTTTTCTTTCTCCATCTTGCCAAAGAGCTTCAGCTAAGTTTCTACATGCTTTAATGTATAAATTAGGAACTTAAATTAGTCTTGCCAAGTATATCTATGGTTTCTTTCTACCAATCTGAAACTTTGTTGTGATGTTCCAAAAATCTTAAAGAAACAAGAGTATAACATAAGAATGCTGGTGTTTATTTAAAGAAAATGATTACCATTTTACTTTTTTTGTTTCTTTAAAAACTTTTTAAAACATTATTCCAATTAAGAAAATGTATGCCAAACAACCTGTTTCATGTATAGTGAAGAGAAGACACTGTCAAAAAAGGCAAGTATTTTCACTTTAACGCCCATATATTCACTCCTACCTGAAGCTTAAATGGGAGCTCTAACATGGGCAGAATGTTGTTCTGAATGCCGTTCCTGCTTTTGCATTTAAGGACTAACATTTTGAGAATGTTTAGAAGCTGGGGAACCCTTTAAACAACATAATGAAAATAACAGCAAATAAAAATGTTGATCATATTAATAACAGAGGTTGCATTCCAAAGAGGTGTTTTTGCATACTTTGACTCTTATACTAGGAAAATTGAGACGTGGCAATACATTTCCCATTGATAAAAACCGTAAACATTTTATTCTGTAAAGTTATTCAGTTCAATCAGTGAAGCATGCACCTTAATCAAGTACAGTGAATGGGGAAAACACACAAATTGCAACAGTAAAGTTTGTTTCTTGAGTTGTAGAGCAATCTAAAATTATGAGCAAACCAGACGTGTATGAAATTATGCAACATTTTAATCAATTGTGCCCTGAAATGCCTTGTCAAGAGAGTAGACAAATCATTAAAATCTGCAACTCATTTATAGAATAGTTCATATTGATCATTTGATTATTGTCTTGATTACCAGTGGGTAACTACACATCAAAATTCATCCTATTTACTTCTAACTTTATATCTACTAAAAATCCCAACCAAAGAACCATGCCAATAAATTATCATATAATTATATATGACATAAATGTGAGGTGAAATTATATATATGATATATAATTATATTTTATACATGTACATATAATTATATATCATATTATATATGAGATACATATATATCTCATATATATGTATATAAACACACACACACCAATATCTACATTTCCTTAAAAAAAAGAATAAATGATAAATGAATGGATTTAAATTAGCTCTTCCTGGGTAATGATGTCAGCCTCAGTGATTAATATACATATATATGTGTGTGTGTGTGTATATATATATATATACACACACACACACACACACACACACACACACACACACTTTTCAAAAACCTCATACATTCCAGAGTTCATCATTAACTACCTCTGGGACCCAGGTAACACACGAAAAGATAATCAAGTAAATGCTGACTGATTTTGAATGTAGCCTTGAATTCTGCAAATATCCCATAAGTCAGGAGAAAAATAAATGAATTCTACATTTTTTAGCTGTGTAACTACACACGATTTCCCGATCCTATTCTTAAGCTAGACCTACAAAAGATTTCTCCGTGACTTCATCAATTTGCAAAAGGATTCAAGGTTGTCTCAGATTCTTTTCTTTTCCTTTCTTTTTTTATGGTTGGGAAATGAGGTTCTCCATTTTTTTTTACATGAAGCTCTTAGGGGAGTTGAGCCTTCTTCCTGTTATAATGTAAAGTCAATAATTTTATCTAATCATAGACTTTATAATAGAATAATTATAAATGTGAGGTGAAAAAGCATGACTCTTCCTTTGCTGTATCTTGCTGTTTATTGTTCCTCCATCCCAGCTAACATTTGTATCACTATTCTCACTGTTCTTTTATTTCTAATTCTTCACATTTCCAATTTAGATGATAATCACAGATTACTCTCCCATACTCTCCCATATCTCCCATGATTCATTACACAAGTACATAATTCACAAATATATACACCCACATGCATAAACACACACTTTTCGTGGTGGATTAACTTCCAAAAATGTCAATAATATGATTAGAGCTATGAATCACAAAGTACGTAGAAGGGCCTTTAATTTTAATATAACATGCTTTGTAGGTTGCCGTTTGGTGCCAAGCCACCCACAGGCCCTCATTCAAAAAGTATAAAAACAAGGTAGAAATATAAAAAGAGAAGTAAAAGTACAATGACGTAAAAAGAACAGTGTGAGGATGTGGAAGTGGGGTGGAGGGAAATAAACAAAAATATGTAAAACCATATCTGAAACACTTTGTACAATATGTAGACTCAAATTTTATCAACCGATGATACATTATGGTGCTTGATTACCAATGGGTAACTACACATCAAAATTCATCCTATTTATTTCTAACTTTATATCTACTTAAAATCCCAACCAAAGAACCATGCCAATAAATTATCATATATAGATGATATTATCGTATACATGATATCATATATATGATAGAAAGGCAAGACTCCTTAAGTCTTGCCTTTCTAAATGTTATAGCAATAAAATTTCTAGGAACTAGTAGTCAAATCAATGTGAGCTTTATAGGATGACCTCATGTTCGGCAGCAAGCTAGTGCTCTGGAAATATATGAAAATAAAGCACCGCTTCACTTATTTTTAAATATTGAAGGTAGAATGAGATGGTATAGATGGCGAAAAGGCAGTCCAATAACCTTCCTGGCTTTCCTGGACATAAATCACAGTTTTCTCTAATATTGAGTAATGAAAATGTTAGGTATCTTAAAACAGGCATTGTATATGAAACAGAAAAGTTTCTTGCTGTCATTTATACTGTGTGTCAGGTCCTGTGGATTTGCAATGGGTGATCTAAAGAAGCATAATCTATCGGAGAAATATATCTATAAAAAACGGAGGGACATGGTAAAAAACTGTAATTGAGTAGTTGCAAGAAAATTATTATCTTGAGCTAAAGGCTTTTAGAAAAATTTAGTTTGGATCACTAGACATATTTTAACCACATTAATGAGGTATCTGATTTAGCTCAAGTATTGTTAATAATATTTGCAAAGACTCAAATTAAGAAGTCGTTTGGTAAGTTAAAAGAATGGACATTAGGTTAGTGTGGCTGGACATTCATTATAGTTAGAAATAATGTGCAGAAGCTGATTATGAGCAATTCTGTAAGTCATATCCAAAAGCCCTAAAATTGGGAGAAAAATCATGCATTCAAGATTCTGTTCTCCTATAAGTATGTGATCTAGTGTATAAGCTAATTTCCTATATTAGTTTAAGATAGTTTATTCTTATTATTCACTTTAGGTAAGTTTTTATCATGGATATACATCCACTCTTATCAAACTTCTATTATCTATCTAGCCATCAGTTGTTTACTTTTTTCCCTTTAATGGTTTAACATAATGAATTGAGTTGATAGGTTTTCTAATGTTGAATCACCCTTCAACTTCTGGTCGTGATATGTACTTCTGCTCACCTGGAGTAAATATTCTAATGTATTATTTTGTATGCTTTGATCTATAGGGTGACTGAGAGTGCTGTTTTTTCTCTAATATCTATTTTATCATTATCGGTTCAGTAATAAAACCTAACACTTTAGCTGAGGATGACACATACGTGGAGACTGCATCTCTCACCCTTCTATGTAACTAATATTGGTCAGGTGACTGTGTTTTAGCAAATGATAGAGGAGAAGCGGTATGTGCACACAGGTTATGGCCTTTGAAGGAAGCTGCTCACTCTTCCTGACTTTATTCCTAATTCTCCTACTTTGGAATTTGGATATAGTCATAGTAGTGACTTATTACTGACCATGTGTGCAAAGTAACTTAGGAGATGAAAGCATAAGGAACAAAGAAATCTGAGTCCCTGGATGACCTAGGGAATCAGAAGCGTCCTGTCTTCTTTTACAACCTACGTATGGAAAACTTGTACTAAGGGAAAAGGGAAACTTTAAAAAGCGATTTCCTTTCTCTCTACTTGATAGTAACTTATATACCATACAAATTATCTGGTTTTAAAAAGTTTGATAAAATTTAGCTATAGAAACATGTAGCACTAACTTAAGGATAGATCTCCCTTTACTTTCCTTTAAAAATACTTTTATCAAAAATCAAATCTGAAAAAAAGATATTTATAACACACATGAATTTCACTTTAAGACTAAACACAGATCAAGGGCCTCATTGTAGAAATTGACTCCTCCATGTCCTCTTTCCCCATCTCTTCTGGGCTCACCTCATATTCAAGCCAACAATACTCTTACCTGAAATTATTTGCTTATCACTCTCCTTTTTTTCCCTTTAAATTTCAAATGAATACGTATATATTTTTAGTATATGTATTATTTATTACCGCAGGCTTTGAAAATTTATATACATTAAATAATGCCAAATGTATTCTGCAAGTTTATATTTATTCAACATCATATTAATGAAGTTCAGGCATGATGTTGTGTTTCTTCACTTTCAGTGCCATTTGTATAAAAATTCCATAATTTTGATTTTTTTCACATATTTATTCATATATATAGTGAAAGTTTTCTGTTATGAACACTTTGTATATCCTAGAACATATATACCAAATTTTTCGGAAGTATATTAATAACAGTAGCATTCCTGAGGGTCATAGAATGTGGATATATTTGGTTTTGTAAAATAATAGCTAATTATTACTGTAATGGAGCAATTTACAATTTCAGCAGCCATAGTGTAGACATAAGTACCAATACTCGGCCTTCATTGTTAAATGTTTTAATATTTCCCAATCTTGTGAATATAAATAATATCTTATTTGTTTATTTGTATTTCTCTATATGTTAATGGTTAATTTTTTAATGCATTTTCTGTCACTTCATGTATCTTTCTATAAAGCACACAGTCAAGCTTTTTGCCTACTTTTCAAGCCTTTAAAAATATTCAGGAAATACATTCTTCGTCATGTTTATGTGCTGTTAACTTATCACAGTTTGTGGATTCCTTATTTATTTTCTTTAACATCTAAGACCTTAATTTTAAGGTGTTTGAATGATCAATCATTTCCTTTATAGTCTGTACTAACTGTGTTTTATTTAGAATAATTTAGACCTTTCTCCCTTCAGGAAGAAAGACCAGAGCATTTTTCCTTCAGCTTCTAAAAATCTTGACAGATGACATGTCACTCAGCTGAATCTCCACTTTCCCTCCCCCATGGCCTCCACCATCCACACCGCATGGAGTTTTTTGTTGGGTGCAGAAAACAGTATTAGTCCTTTCTCAAGGTGCTATAAATAACTTCCCTGAGCCTGAGTAATTTTTAAAGCAAAGAGGTTTAATTGACTCACAGTTCCACATGGTTGGGGAGGCCTCAGGAAACTTATAATCATGGCAGAACGGGAAGCAGGTACCTTCTTCACAGGTTGGCAGGAAAGAGAAGATTGAAGGAGGAACTTCAAAACACTTATAAAAACCATCAAATCTGGGTACTAACTCACTATCGTGAGAACAGCATGGGTGAAACTGCCTCCATGATCAAATCACTTTCCTTCCTTGACACATGAAGGTTACACTTTGAGATATGATTTGGGTGGGGACACAGAGCCAAACCATACCAAAAACCATCTCCACAAAAGTTTTCTTTCTTCCTTTGAGCCATATTGTGTATATCAACTTGTCATTGTGGTGACAGGAAGGGACGGCCCCTTGCCCCATATTAGGACATTTTGGTAGGGCCATCTCAGTCCCAAAGCTCCCACTGGGATTTGCTGAGGTCTATGTTAGAACTGTATCAAAATTCTGTAACACAGTTTTTTCCTCTGACCAATCCTGCTTCCTTAATTGGTAACTAACAATAGTATTCCTTAATCTATATAATTAAAATAAAGGTGAATAATCAGAATGTTGAGGGTTATCAGCCATGCCAATTAAAAATTAAAATCACTGTCTTGAGTGAAATCTCAGACTCCAAAGCTATTGACTGAAAGAGAGGGCAGATTCCCATGGGAAGATGAGGTGGGGTTCCCTTGCAACAATATAAAATGATTATTTAATAATAATTCCCCAAGCCCTACCTTAAAGAATCCTATTCAGGCAATCATACACAAGGAAAGGGGAATACTCAGATATTTTGAGAACTGTTAAATAGAGAGTGCATATAGACATGGACATTTGAGGAGAGAAAATATCATTATAGTTCCTTGATAGAGCAGGATTATGTGAGACAGGTTACAGATGGAGTTCCAGCCAAGGTGTGGTTAACATTGGGTTTACTGGGTTTACTATGTTCACAGACCCATCATGGGTCATTTCCCTGGTCTTGAATTGTATATTTGAAATAGATATATTTCACAGTTGAATCAATAATTAATAATCAAATTGGTTTTGTAAACTGTAAGGGCTGCCATAGTGAGAAAAGCCAAATAGAATCCTCTAACATAATGATGCCCTCATTGCTCCCAGCAATGGTAGTAGATCAGAATCAGTAGTACATAAGGGTAATGACAGAGAATAGGGACATCTTTAAAGACTCAAGGGATTAGGAGTCATGATCTCCATTATAACTCCATTTAATTTACCAGTATGGATGCTAAAAAAAATGGAATAATACAAAATCAACCAAGAAGTAACCCCAATTAAACCCACTGTTGCAGATATGCTACCTTTGCCAAGTCAGATAGGAAACCATTGTGGAAGACAGCATGACGATTCCTCAAGGATCTAGAACTAGAAATACCGTTTGACCCAGCCATCCCATTACTGGATATATACCCAAAGGTTTATAAATCATGCTACTGTAAAGACACATGCACACATATGTTTATTGTGGCACTATTCACAATAGCAAAAACTTGGAACCAACCCAAAAATCCATCAGTGACAAACTGGATTAAGAAAACGTGGCACATATACATCATGGAATATTATGCAGCCATAAAAAAGGATGAGTTCATGTCCTTTTCAGGGACATGGATGAAGCTGGAAACCATCATTCTCAGCAAACTACCACAAAGAGAGAAAACCAAACACCACATGTTCTCACTCATAGGTAGGAACTGAACAATGAGAATACTTGGACACAGGGCAGGCAACATCACACACCAGGGACTGTTGGGGAGTAGGGGGCTGGGGGAGGGATAGCATTAGGATAAATACCTAATGTAAATGACGAGTTAATGGGTGCAGCAAACCAACATGGCACATGTATACCTATGTATCAAACCTGCACTTTGTGCACGTGTACCCTGAACTTACAGTATAATAATAAAGAAAACTAAGACTAAGTGTGAACAATTAAATTATTATTCAGTCTCACAGAGCCAGAAAGTGGAAGAATCAGCATTTGAACCAAAATGCATGGACACAAAGGTATACGTTCTTAATTACTTTGAAACAGAGCTCATATACCATAGATTGCTTCCTTATTCTATCATCAGCTGTTCACTGGCCCATCACTTAGCCATGGAGATATCTTACTGGTAAGAGGAAATTTTAATGATGTTTGGTAAAAGGGGACCAATTTAGTCCAATTATTAAATATCCCAGTAAAGATCTTAAGCCAAAAAACATATATTTGTCCTTTTTGGCTTTCCAACCTCTTTGTATTGAAGACAAAATTACCTAAAAAGGCAGGGAACAGGTGGTTGGAGTCTGGCCTTTCTCTGTAAAAGCCATTATGGATTAGATTTTACATCACCTTACCCTCTGAGAATGCTGGTCAAAGATCATTTGTGGCAAATGTGACAGAAATAAGGGCCCAATGATATGACAGTAAATGGGTGTGGCAGCTTGAACAATGCACAAAACCTAATCAGCATTTCTTGCAATAGAATTTTAGCTTGGCTGTGTTTCTTTTGGTGCTCGCATTCATTGGATTTGAAATATGATTATGTGAGCTAATTAATGTATTTATAAATCCCTTTTTTCTTTTTTCCCTTCCCTTTTCTCCCCTTTTCCCCTCCCTTTCTTCCTTTCCCTTCTCCCTTCCCTTCCATCTTCCTTTTTTCCCTTCCCTTCCCTTCATTCATTCCCTCTTCCCTTGCCTTCCCTCTTCCCTTGCCTTCCCTCCCTTCCTTCCCTTCCCTCCCTTCCTTCCCTTCCCTCCCTTCCTTCCTTTCCCTCTTCCCTTCCTTTCCCTCTTCCCTTCCCTTCCCTTCCCTTCCCTCCCCTCCCCTCCCCTCCCTTCCCCTTCCTTCCCTCCCCTCCCCTCCCTTCCCTCCCCTCCCCTCCCTTCCCCTGCCTTCCCCTGCCTTCTCTTACTTCATTGTTTCTTCTTTCTTTATTCACTTAAATTTATTTGAACTGGATCTTGTTGTTTGCACATAAGAAAGACAATTACTTGATCACCATGTGGCACAAAGTCCAAATGGAAGGCAAGGCTTTTGCCTGTACAAGCCAACTACTGCAATAGAAATAAAGGGCATAAAAATTCAACAACTCTATATTGGGCTGGTGTAATTTTATTAATACTTACACAACTATCAAAGCCCGATTCAATATATTTGATGGACTGTTGTTAGTAGTTGTTTTCAGAAAATGAAATTTAAAGTACCATTAATTCTGTTATAATTTAAGAGGAAAAGAAGCCAAAACTTTGGTGAGCAGGATGCTGTCAATAATTTGTCATGTTACAATCACCCTGCAGAATCACTACAAAAAATGCAGAAAATACTATCTTCAGCACTTCCTGAGAAACACAGTGTGGGAGTGAGCTACAGACCTCTTCAAAGCATTTCAATGACCATTCTCGGTTATTGGCAATCAAAATGGGCTTCATGATTTCGGGAAACTTAGGAAGATTCAAGAAAGACAAATAACAATGAGTGGCATTTAAATGAAAGATGCAAAGTTAAGCTAAAATTATCATTGGAATGGTTTTGTCTGTAGATATATTCAACAATGGCTAATATAATGTAGAAATAAACAGGTAGTCTATGTAGGTAATTATTATTTTAAAATTGAAAAATATTACAATAGTTGAAAATATGATTGACCTGAGCCCCAATAGTATGCAGGTGGTATTAAGAATGTAGGCAAAGTTATAACCTTGAGCCCCATAAGGACTATCTAAAAGATCCATATGTAGTTTAGTTCCCAGCAGCCTCCCTAAATAACTGCACAACATTCTGGTCCCACCAGTGCAGTCCTCATGCCAAAGCAGAATTAGACAAGGGTCCGCTGTAATAGTATTCTTTTGAAACAGGAAACATTTGAGTGGCAGGTAGTACAAATGTATTCCTTTATTAAACTTTTAGTTGGTTTCTACCACTGTCAGTCTGCTAAATTGCTTTGCACGTGTCACATGCTTTGGATGACCCTACATGACAAGCTCTCACTTGCTACACAAGGGAAATTAAGAGTGGTCACAGCGTGCTTTTCCTTCATTACAAATGCTTGCATCAATTCGATTTTTACTGCTTTCTATTTTCTCTTTCTATTCAGGATAAACTTTGCATTAACTCTCCCTGGTTAACTCTATCTGATGTCCCTCAGTTGAACTACTTTTCCTAATTCAAAACTGAAACAAGACCTATTTCTTTGAGTAAATAGTCTTGTCTTTGATTCTTTACCTCTAAGTTTCAATAGAATTTCTTTTAACCATACCAACCTGGGACAATCACAACCCACTTAGTGCCAAGCAATCTTGTTTTATTAGTCATCCTGCTTGGGAAAAGTTAGGCTTTTTAGATAGTGCATCCCTTCCTACCCCACCAGCCCACTCCCCATAATTTGATGCTTGTTTTCTTCATTATAGAATAATTGTGTGTCTTCTTATTTACATAGAGTATAGTTGGTGGCTGAATATAATAATGTCTCTGAAAGTACTTCCTATTCCTTAAATCACAAAGAGATAGAAATAGTTTTTATATTAATCTTCAAATATACTTCCCATTTTTATATTATTGTAATTTTTATACAAATCTTTTCTAAATTTTGCTTTATTATCTCATTCATGTCTCCTACAATGCCTTTGATGTAGCTTTTCTATATCTCTGTTTCACAAGAAAATAAAATGAAAAATCTGACCTGGGTTAAAAGTAGTGATAAAGTTAGTATGAAAACAGCTCCCAGATTCAAAATTAGTGGGACAAATTATTCCCCAGTTCTTGATCACTTTCATCAGACTATAGTCTCACATTTATTCCAAACTATGCTCTTATGACATCATATTGGCTCCCATCAAACTGATTTTTAAAATATTTTTAAGTTCAGGGATACATGTGCAGTCTTGTTATATAGGTAAACATGTGTCACGGGGGTTTTCTGTACAGATTATTTCATCACCCAAGTATGAAGCCTAGTACCCATTAGTTATTTTTTGTGATCTTGTCCCTCCTCCAACCCTTCACCCTCTGATAGACCCCAGTATATGTTGTTCCTCTATGTGTCCATGTTTCTCATCATTTAGCTCCCACTTATAAGTGAGAACATGCGGTATTTGGTTTTCTGTTTGCTAAGTATAATGGCTTCCAGCTCCATCCATGTTCCTGCAAAGGACAAGATCTTCTTATTTTTTTTATGGTAGCATAGCATTTAATGGTATATATGTATCACATTTTCTTTATCCAGTCTATCATTGATGGGCATTTGCGTTGATTTCATATCTTTGTTATTGTGAATAGTACTCAATGAACATATGCGTGCATGTGTCTTTATAAAACAACAACTTATATTCTTTTGTGTATATACCCAGTAATGGGATTGCTGTGTCAAACGGTATTTCTGTCTTTAGGTCTTTGAGGAATTGCCACACACACTCACAGACAGGAAAAATTAATATCGTTCAAATGGCCATACTGCCCAAAGCAATTTATAGATTTAAAGTTCTTTCTATTAAACTACAATTGACATTCTTTACAGAACTAGAAAAAAACTATTTTAAAATTCATATGAAACCAAAAAGGAGACCAAACAGCCAAGGCAATTTTGAGCAAAAAGAACATGATGTTATAGGCATCATGCTACCAGACTTTGAACTACAGAAACCAAAACAGCATGGTATTGATACAATAACAGACAAATAGACCAATGGAACAGAAGAGAGAACTCAGAAATAAGACTGCACGCCTACAACCATTTGACCTTTGTAACAAACCTTACAAAAACAAGCAATGGGGAAAGGATTCCCTTTTCAGTAAATGGTCATGGGATAACTGGCTAGCCACATGCAGAAAATTGAAACCGGACTCCTTCCTTACACCATATACAAAAATTAACTCAAGATGGATTAAAGTCTGAAGTGTAAAAGCCAAAACTATAAACATCCTGGAAAACAACCTAGGAGATACCATTCAAGATATAGGCTTGGGCAAAGATTTCATGACAAAGATGCCAAAAGCAATTGCAACAAAAGCAAAACTTGACAAATGGGATCAAATTAAACTAAAGAACTTCTGCACAGAAAACTGAATTGCTTATAGGGTTTGAACATAGCATAGGTTTCCCTGCCTCAGCAAATTTGTTCAACACAATATTTACCATGTCAATATCTTTCCATTCACCATTGTCATCTCCACTCTCATGTTCTTTCCTGATCTGTTGTGCCAAATGTGAGCTCATTCTTCCCAGGTCTCTAGGTCTTTGAATTTTCATTAAGGCATTGACCACACTCTGCTTTATGTTAGGATTGTTGTTGAATCTGTCTCCTTCCCACATTCTTGTAAGTTCTCTGAGGGCAGGGTCTACACTTAAAAATTTCTACATCCTCTACAAAGCATACCATGGCCATGGCAGGAACAATTAACATTTTGAACTGAATAAAATCAAGGAGTGATTTAGAGTAATATACCGGAATGCATCTTTTAGAAAGGCTATTACAAAGTTTATAACTCAGCCAGGAAAACTCTTAAACCTAAATTATCAAGGTGAGATTGATTTCATTAGACCCAGAGCAAAATTATGACTGAAAATAGAAAGATATTACATGTTCTGGAGATACCATCAGAGTCAGGAGCTTTGCTGTTAACCCATTGCTACTCTGGGATTTAGGTGGCAGAAACATTTAGCTGTAGGCTATTTCCTTCTACTCAGCATGTGACCATGTCCTCACTACAGCTCCTCCCGGACATCCACGATATAACCAATTCTAAATCTATCCATTGCAAGATTTTTGTTTTTTTTCCTCCAAAATGTTTTTACTTTATCTTAGCAGTTAGAAAAACACAGATAAGGACCGTAACTGCTCCTTTGAGTGGGTGTTGTGAGAGACATTTTCCATATATTGATGAAGCAATGAAATACTATTTTATCTTCTAATGAAAAGTTCCAAAGTATTTTTTAGAACCACTTCAAACCTTTTTATTTTTGGTGGCAAAAGATATCCCTCTGATTTAGGCTATTTCACTTGCTTTTTAATTTTACCATTGTTGACCAGACCCTGACTAGTTTACGGATCTTAAAAAGCATCAAATCTTGAATACTACTTCCATGAAAATCCGTGCAAATAGAACTTACAACAGACTTCCAGACTACTTCCATTGTCAAGGCCCAGTAATTGACAACTCTCCAGACCCCTTTAAACAGGGGATTAGGCTGTGTTCACACAGGTGAGGAGTAAAGATGTCAACTCTTCGCCCTGTATTTTCCTATCTAGATAGAAGGATGAATGAGAAATGAAATCGAAACCTCATAAATAATAAACAGCAATTTTATAACTTCTGTAAAGAGTACTGAATTAAAGGGAATATTACAAGCATTTAAAATATTTCTGGTAGCTATGTCCTTGAGAACACTATATTTATCCTTTCTGAAATAGCTGAGCATATGAATTTCACATCCCATACCTCTGAGACTTGAGAATTACGGGGATAAGTTGTTTTGTAGCTATGTTTATAATGGCCAGCTAATATCTCTTGCTTGGTAGTTGATCTGTTACCATATTAAAAATCTATACTCATAAACTGCTCTGTGGAATGTGTTTTAGCATTAACTGTTTGATAAGCAATTTCGTCATGGTTATGATGATGTTGATTAAAATGAAGTAGAAATATAAGACCCTATAAGAACTTATTTCAACTCTTGGGAAAAAAGGGCTTGAAGTTACCAAGGTAACTTGGGCAGGCATTTTCAAAACACAAATATGATTCTCTTTCTTTATTGAGTCAAAACGTAATGATATATATATTTTAAAACGGTAACTGATTGAGTATATGCATATCAACAAATACTTATTATAATATTACATTTCTGCATGATAGAAAAACTAAAAGTCCATAAACTAAAAATACCAAGACATTGACATCAATTATTTCTTAGGGGTATAATCTACTTCATTTTCATTGTTTGTGCTTTTTTGTATTTCCCCATATCTTCCAATAAATTAAAATAAGATTTAATATGAATTATGGGAGACTTTTATTTATTTGTGCTCAGAAAACTGTGGACCTAGAACCAAATATAGACCACCGCTTGTTTTGTAAATAAAGCTTTATTAAAGTACAGGTATGCCCATTTATGCCTATTTGTTTACCCACTGTCTAAGGGTGTTTTCATACTATAAAAACAAATTTGAGTAGTTGTTAAAGAGACCATATGGCCAGCAAATCTTCAAATACTTATTATCTGGCCCCTTACAGAAAAAAGTTTGCTTAACCCTACTTTATACAATGTTTTTCAACTCACCCTGTGTAGGATAGTCCAGAGAACAGTTTATAGGCCAACAATTTCTTAAAATCATAGTCTTACTTTTATAAAGAAAAAAGATATTTCCTAGGATTGAGTTGTTACACAGCCAGTTTAAATTCACAGGTGGAAGAATATGTCAACAGATGCAAAACTTTGATTCCTGTTACATTTTGGTAAGCTATTTCAACAGTCATTTTTATTTAGTTAAAAATATTTTTATTACAATTCAAGCTTAAATAAGCTCTGTGTCTGTCTGTTATGATACTTTCATTTTCTGGCCTTTCTTCTGAATCCCTTTCTGAATAAAAAACAGATGGGATTCCAGAACTAGAGAAACTGTATGAATATTTGAGTTATACTTATTTTAAAAAAAGCAGAAAAAAAGTATATAGATATTTTAAAATTAAATAAATAACCTAGAAATTTAACGTCTTGCATGCAAACCCTTTATGATGAAAGTTGTCGAACCATTGTTTTGCTTGTATATAATTTGATCGTATAGTTACAACATATGTGATTAAGCAATGTAAATGCATTCTCTTTCAACAAGTGGATTATGCAGATACCTGGCACACAGCAATACACCAAAGGTAGATAAAACTAATAACGTTGGATAGATCAAATTGAACCAGGGAAGATGTTCAATACTTTATTCTGAGTCTACAACATTGTTATAGATGGGCCACAAAGTTGATTAAGATTTCGCCCAGGCAACATAGAATGGGAGGTTTCTTCAGTCATAGAGTTTGTTGTTCGCAAGCTGAAATAGATCCATTGCCCAGAAGCGTGAATGTTCTTAGTACAAATCCAGGCAAGGATTTCCTTAGGAAGCTTCATAAAGAGGACACTGAGTGATTGAGAGCCCCCTCCACCTCATTCATGCTGTAGCAAGAAGAAGAAACTTTAGAGCATTACATTATAAGTTGATGATATCACATAACAAAGGACAATTCTTTTATGTATTTATTTATTTTAGTAAAATAATGTTCTAATGAGTAGCCTACTCAGATCTAAGGTAGGAATAAATGTTAGAATAATTAAAAATAAGTTAATGGATTATTTAGCTGGTCAAAGAAGCTGCCATATATATTATACATATAACACATACACGTAAAATATCATAGGTAATATGCATGTTTTAATATAAGTAGATGTACACACCCATAAAATTTTCTCAAAATTTTTCTTCATGTATTGAGTGAAAATGAACCCACAAAACTCAAATAACAACATTGTTAGGAATGGATTTCTTCTACTTAGAACTGGCTGATTTATTTCTTTAACTGTGTTTTCTGGAGTCTAAAATAGTCATGTTACTTCTTTAATAAGCTACAATTTTAAACAGTTATGCACCTCAGTCTATTACAATAGTCTATCAGATTACTGATTTTTCTCCTCTTTATTAAATGTATTAAATGTTTTAAGGTTTTAGTCTTCAAATATCCATTTATAATTTTAAGGTGGAGCTGATGACAAGTTTGAAGACCCCTTGCTACCACTAAGTAATAGTACGCTAAAATCATAAGGGCAGGCCGAGGAGATATAATTAACCTCAAATATGAGAGAAGGCACCTGTGATATAATTATGATACATGTTGCCACCTTTAATTTAGAGTTAGTATATGTGTAAGGATTTATTGAAAACCTTAAATTATCTAATAAAAGTGTATCAAGTATTTCTTGTAAGCTTCCCAGTAACCAAATAAATACAAATTAAGAAGGAAATGCCGTGTTTGAGCTATTAAATTACAATGTTTCATTCATTTTTTGATGCTAATTTTTTCACCAGTGAAAGCGTGTAGGAATTCTTAGAGCATGCTCTTAAAACTATTATTGAATACAAAACTTCTGGATGATAGTTTGGTCATATATATCAAAGCACTACCTTGAAGCAATTAACTTGTAGGAGTTCATACACAAAAATAATAGCAGGGGTGTGCCAAGATTTAAACACAGGGATATGCTCACTTATCAATCAGTTCCAGTAAGCAAAATAGAGTGGATTTAGTAGAAAGAATTGGCTACGCAAGTAATGGAAGAACTGAGATGTCAGTTGGGGAATTGTTAATATAAGGTTGACAAGAGCAGGAGTCTCTGCTACGCTAGGATAAAAGGAAGCAGGCTCAGTACCCAGAAATTGACATCATTTGGTAAAAGCAAGAACCATGGTGAGGTTTTTCAGTGGGAGCTGGAGCCTCAGAGAAGATGAAGCTGGTACCAGAGAT
The DNA here is from genome assembly GCF_000001405.40 of Homo sapiens. Classification (NCBI taxonomy): domain Eukaryota; kingdom Metazoa; phylum Chordata; class Mammalia; order Primates; family Hominidae; genus Homo; species Homo sapiens. Next base: position 77,717,402 of record NC_000002.12, on the reverse strand, counting down.
ACCACTCAAGGCAGAGAAAAATAAAGAATACCCTCTCTTTTTCCTGCCTTCCATAGTCTCCTTTATCAAACCAGCCAGAAGACAGCTGCCCTAGGAACCCACTCAGATAGCCAGCAGGAGGCTGCACCACTGTGTTTAATTAAAAGTATAATTAAACTGTTGACAAGAGCAGGAATCGCTACCACCCTAGGATGGAGGGACAAAGGAAGCAGATTCATATATTACCTCCTCCTACCTTCATTTTCTCCCTTCCTCTCCCTCCCTTTTCTTCTCTCACTCACTCCCAAAAACTGAGAAAATAAATTATCAGACACATATTTAACAAAGAAGTTGTTTTGTTTGGTGTGTGCTGATGAAGATGGGGGTTACAGTTTAAATGGGGTTGATGAGAAGTCTGTGATCTCAACACATAAAACATAATTATTATACTTAGATTTGAAGCTTTCAGCAAGTGACAAGAAGAAATTATCTTGGTAAAATTAAAATATATATATTAACAGCATGTTGAAAACACCACACATTAAATATCATACACGCTTCAGTTTGAATTTGGCAATTTTGTTTATACAAAACTTAAAAGCCTATATAATTTGGATTTTATAATTTCAGAGATTCAGGTGTACACATATTTTTAAGGGCTATCTATCTATCTATGTGTATATAAATCCTGTATATTTAAAGGGATTTAGCAGGACAAAACTGTGCAATTAAAAGCTTATTCCTGGTTGACTTGAAGATAGAGAAACAAGGAAAAAATTAACACATTCTCAATGCTATACGGTTTTATTAAGGAAAAAGCAGAAGTTTGGTTATGAAAAGTAAAAAAGAAAGAGAAAGATACAGGCAGCCTTAGTAATGGCTATATTGACAGGCAGTGGTATTGAGGAAATAATCCTTTTATGGGAATAAATGTTTTCTGAAGGTTTTATGCTGAAAAACTGCAACCCTTCCCAAAAGTTTGTTATCAGTATGTCTTTTAAAGAGCTTTTGAGAAGTTCCTTAACTTACTATTGCAAAGACATCTTCCCTCCAGGATATCACATGCATCTCTCTGCCTGAATGCCAGGGAGTCTCCTCTCACCTCCTACACACATTAAACTCCACCCAACCTGGCTGTCATGAAGCCTTCTTCCCATGATGCTCACAAACTCTCTCTCAAAAATGGTCTTCAGTGGTGCTCTGGGCAAAAGACAGCCTTCAATTTTATGTAAGGGGTGTGATACTCCCAACTCCCAAATAGTGAGAAGTATTTTTCCTTTCTGCAATGCAGGTTTAAAAAAAATGATTAAAATTATCCATAAAATATTTTGAATTCTGAGTCTATGGTCTTATTTTCCATAATAGTGAGAAGATGTAAGCTTGGGGAAGGGGACATTAAGGTAATATATTCATGTTTTGTCACACCAAGTTTTATTATTTTAATGATGTATCCAAGTGGAGAGGTCTTATTTGAAAATAGGGCTATAGAACTAGATTAAAAGTTAAATCTATGATGAATATTTGATTCAATAATATCATAATTGAACTGTGTGAAATAATTCAGAATTCCTGATTATTGTTAAAAATAAATTAGATACTTATTTGCTCAGGACACTTAAGCATTGTTCATTGTAAAGAGCTGTTAATAAAATGTGTTTGTATAATCACAATCTTTGCTAAAAAAGTTTTAAAGAAGAGACAGCACATATACACTTCAACTTTGCAACTTAGGACATACTATAAGTTATTGCTAGTTTCTTCCAATATCTTTTACTATAGAAAAAATTTAGTTTTTTGTGCTTTTTTCTCTTGCTAGAGTCAAGAGCAGTATTTTTATTGGAAGTTGTGAGATACATGAAATGAAATAAATCTTAGTTCTCAAATGGAATATCCATATTAAAATTTAATCTTTTAATATCATTATTAAAATTTTTCTTTATTGATGTTAAAAGAAGGAATGCCACAACATTTCACTGGGGCAGAAAGGAATACTTTTAAATCCAAAAACTACCCAGAAAGACAGATGGCTCATTTTGGAAACATAAAAATTGTAATTATTTTTATTTCTTAGATAATTTGGCATTTTTAGAATATAGAATTTTGAAATATAAATTTAAAAATTATATTATTTGTACATTTTCTATATTGTCTTGACTCATGATTCATCTCTACATATTTTGGGAAAGGAATTGAATTAGATCTCACTTTCCTGATATTATAAATCTCTGCTGTTAGCACATTAGAAGTGAGATATAAATTTATTTATCTGCATGCTTAAAAAATATAAAAAGATTACGACATTTTATATTTCACCTTGCTTTTACATGTAAGGCAAATATATGTTCAATAGATCGTCTTTAAATTATAAAGTTTTAATTAATTAGAGTTTTCTGGAGAAACATATTATTTGACATGTAAATAATGAGCATTTTACAATTGAGATTTAATTCATCTTCCTGGATCATAGACACTACATTTATTTTGTATTCACTACCTTCCATCTTTTCCTAAAGATTTTCCTTAGTCATACAAGGGACTAAGCAATACAAAATATGTACCATTATAAAATTTTACTTCTATATGTTAATGGTTTACTATAAGCACAATTGAAACAAGGGATAGCATATCATTTACTACGTCACCTGGTATTTAATTGCTTAAAACTTATTCAAAATTATAAAATATATAGAATTTTTGGAATAAAAATAAAATTTGAATTTGAACCATATTTTAGTAAAAACAATCTGTTCTTGAGAACTGCCTCTTTTGATATGCAGCAAGTTTATTATTACTTGAATGTAGCTAAGTTGTAGAAAAGTATTTCATTTTGCTTTGATGTAAGAGTGATATTGTAAGTCAATATATTATAAAATTTTAGTAAGTATTTATACTTACCTAGGAAATCTCAAGGTAAAACTAACAGTGAGTATATATTTTAAATATAAGTGTTACTGTACACCTATTTTGTTTGTTAATTATATGAAAAAATAATTTGTAATTGAGATGATAAATAACACTGGAAGAAACAGTAGAAGGGTTTGTCGTGGTCTCCAAGGCCCTGTATAATCTGATCCCAACTTACCTTTAAAATCTTATACAACCCTCACATTATCTCACTGTGCCCTGGACTCATTGACTTTCCTCATGCTCTTTCATCATGCCACACTCATTCCTGTTACCAGGCCCCAGTTCATTACATGTGATTTAGCAGATGACTTTACACTTTGCCCTTAATCTAGTTTCAATGCTAGAATAAAAGAAACTATGCATATTTCCTCATTGTTTTCAAATGTAGCTACAAATGTAGTCACCCACACATACATATATATGTATCATACCTACACACAAACACACACAAAAATACTTTAGATTCAATAACTCCTAAGTTCAGTTGTTTTGTAATAAAAATAAATTATGTGTCTAGTTTCTTCATAAAAAATGTTTTTCTATTCAAGAAATAGAAAAAGAGTGTTGATGAGAAGAGTCATACTCTGTAAAATATTTGAAGATATTTATTCTAAGCCAAATATGAATGACCCATGACCCATGACACAGCCCTTCAGAGACCCTGAGAACATGTGCCCCAGGTGACTGGGGCAAGTACAGCCTAGTTTTATACATTTTAGGGAGACAAAAGACATCAATCAATACATGTAAGGTGTACCTTGGTTTGGTCTGGAAACGCAGGACAACTGGAAGTGGGGGGATTTCAGGTCATAAGTAGATTCAAAGATTTTCTCATTGGCAGTTGGTTGAAAGAGTCAAGTAACTGCCTAAAGACTTAGATTCAATAGAAAGGAATGTCTGTGTTAAGATAAAGGGGTTGTGGAGACCAAGGTTTTATCATGCAGATGAAGCATCCAGGTAGCTGACTTCAGAGATTAGATTGTAAATATTTATCAGACTTAAAGAGTCCGTTCTATCAGTAATTCTAAATGAGAGGAGGTTATAATAAGGCATGTCCAGCTCCCCTTTGCCATTATGTCCTGAACTAGTTTTTCAGGTTAACTTTGGAATGCCCTTTGAGGAGAAAAGAGGGCCTTTCCAATGTCTGGGCAGCTTAGAATTTTATTTTTGGTTTACACTGGTATTATATACTTAATTCATTTTGTTGTTATTAAATCATATCAAAATAAATAATGCTTATTAATATACAATATTTTAACTCCATATAATCAGCTGAATTCAATTTGATAATTAAGTTTAGATCTTATTATACAAGTGAAAACTATGTTTTCTAAGTTTCATGTTGTGAGGCCATTAGCAAATGTATTAGTGCCAAAATGTTTGTGATGAGATATCCTAAGTTTGAATTATTAAGCCACTAAAAGTTTCATGCACGGAAACAAGTTCCTAAACTTAAAATTAATCAGAGCATAGAAAGAAGTTCTCAAAACATTCAGTATTATTAATAGTTATAATACAACTTTCTAATAATGACAGTGCTGTGAATGAAAGCAATAGACCCATAATTTATAAGAATATTGATTTTTAAATAGCAATGTATGTAAGTAAATGTTATTAAACAACACATTAACAAAATAAGTTATCATCCTCAAAGAATGAAATATCCTAGAAATTCAAGGTTCAATAACTGGAAATATAATACATAATTTACTTAGTCAGCATATTTTTATTCAGCACCTACTATGTGCCTGGCACAATTAAATGTCTATGGGGGCTGAGGTGGGCAGATCACAAGGTCAGGAGTACAAGACCAGTCTGTCCAACATAGTGAAACCCTGTCTCTACTGAAAATACAAAAATTAGCTGGGCGTGGTGTCATGCACCTGTAGTCTCAGCTACCCAGGAGTCTGAGGCAGGAGAATTGCTTGAACCTGGAAGCCGAAGGTTGCAGTGAGCCAAGACCACGCCATTTCACTCCAGCCTAGGTGACAGAGTGAGATTCCATCTCAAAAAAAAAAAAAAAAAAAAAAAAAAAGGGCTATGGAATACAATAGGTACAAAATTACCTACCCTCATGAAACCTACATTTTAGATAAGGGAGAGGGAAAATGATATTTAGCACAATATTTGATTTGTTTAGTAGGTTAGAAGGAGATAAGTGCTTTCAAAAAATAGAAGAGAATGAGGGATTGAAATTATTCATATTGCTCAATTTGATAAGAACATTGATAGATAAAATCTAAGAAACAATACTGAAAGGACTTTGGAAGATGAGATATCTATCTCAAATATTAGGGACCTTGGGAAAAAAGAAATACAATGATAATTTTCTATCATAAAAATATCTGCAGCTGAAATTAACAATCAATAGAATCAGTTTCCATTGTGTGTGTGTGATCTACAGTTTTTCTATTTTTTTGTCCTGACAATTTATCATAATATATATTTTTTCCTGTGTGTTCATCTTGGATTGAATTTCAGTTCTTTTTCAGCTGGTATAATTGTTTTCCATCTTTTTATTTTCAATCTTATATTTATTCATTCATTTAATAAATATGTCTTGAAAGCCTACCAAATTCCAGGCACAATAATTTTACTTAGAAATGTCAATGCATAAAACAGACACAAACAATAATCATCATTAATAACTGAATCATAAAATATTAGAATGATCAGAGTTATGGAAAATAATACAGGGATGTAGAACTCATAGAATGCGGTGTAAAATATGTTGATCAGAATAAGCCCATTGAGGAGGTAACATTTTAGCAAAGATTTAAGGAGGCTAGGAAATTTTCCATGATGATATCTGGAGTAAAATTTTACTAGACTGGGGAAATATGCAGGTCTATAGACAAGATGGTGCATAGTGTGTTTGAAAAGAAACGGAGACAAAGTGTGTGAGTAGTGAGCATGTAATGGGGAGTAGTAAAATGTAAGCTCTAAGAAAATAAGGGCAGTGGAGTCTTGCACAAGTCCTTGTGTGCTACTGTGTGTATTTTGTCTTTTAACTTGAGCAAGATGCAGAACCGTTAGGTGATTTTAAATGAAGGAAAAGCAAAATCAGGTTTATATGTTAAAAGGATCATTCTGTTATTTTTAGGTATGGACTGAAGAGGAAATTGTTAGAGATAAGCAAACAAGAATTTATTGCAAAAATAAACATTACCTGAGAGATGATGATGTGTGGGAAGTACCAAGATGTTAATTCAATGTCTAAGAAATAATATGATTATATTGTGAGGGTAGATGAACCAGTATTTCCTGGAATAGTGGATTTGTTATGTGATGAAAAATGATCAGATATTAAGATAGGACAGTTAGAATATGTGTTGTCATAAGCTCAGATAAGAAGATCATGCATGGAATAAATTTGAGAGGCAAAAACAAAAAGTTCAACTTGGATTTGAAATGGCAATGTTTGTTAGGTTTCCAACTGGAGATGTTGAGAAGAAAGCTGGGTATGAATCTAGGGTTAGAAAATAAACATGAGCTTTCAGTGTAAATTAGGGAGTGAGCAGAATTTAGGTGGTTTTTAGAGATCACAGAAGGAGTTAATGTAGTTAAATCAGAGGAGAGAATCAAGGACTGAATCATGGGAGTGAATCTTGAGACAGAATCCTTAACATTGACAAAGAAGAAAAGTTGTTTAAGAAGAAAAAATAAGTAAGGTAGAAACACAACCACATGAGTGTGGCATATTAGAAATCAGATATAAAAATGAGGAAAGCATGATAACATTTTACCAATGGTTCAAATAAGACTACTTAAAATTAGCCATTTAATGTAGTAATTGAAAGGTTATGGATGACCTGGGTATGAACAATGGAATGGTGGAAGAAAAGCCTGATTTGAATGGGTTTAGGAGAAAATTAGAATACAAGTATTAGAAACAATGAGTAAAGAAATTTATCCTTAAAAGTTTTCCTGCAGACAGGAGCATAGAAGTGGAACATAACCTGGTAGAAAGGTAGAAAAATATTGCCATATTAATACTGTATAAAATTGGAAAAATAGCATAGCTCTATTTTGATGGAAATTATATAATAAAGAGGAAAAATTAACAAAGTATGAGACAGGAAAGAATCTTTGGAGCCACTTCTTTAAGTTACTGAGAAGGGATGAGATCTAGTATATAAGTGGAGATATTGGCTTCATATAGAGCACAGATGGTTCACTATAGTAACAGGTGGGAAGGTAGATAATTTGGGTACAGATGGTGGAGGGTTCGTAAATGAAGTTGTGGGAGTTTGTGGAAGTTTTCTTCTGATTATTTCATTTTTTTTCAGTAAAGTAAGAAAAGTTCATCAGCTGAGAGTAAGCATGGAGAACATGTATTATAGGATTTTAAGATATGGAAAGGTAAAATAATTATCTAGGGAAATGATAAAATATATGGTTAGAAAAATATGGTATAGTGTACATTTAGAGACCACTTCATGATCGTGGTCATGAGTTAAAGTGGGAATGTCAATATGACTTTTTTTTCCCATAGCCACATTCAGTTACATGGGTGTGGGTGTGGAGTAGGCTGAATTATATTTAATCAGAGTTGTGATTTTAGGAAGTGAGCATGATGATGCATGAGCCAATCTGAGAGTGGTGAAATGGAGGGTGTTTTCATGGAAGTGATTATGATGCTGGACCATGGAAGTTAAGTTCAGTATATAGAAAAGAATCAGGATGGTGAAAAGGTAGTGAGATAAATAGATCGGTGGTGTTAGTGGGAAAAGGATTTTGTTAAGACAGTAGAAGATGTGAGAAAAATATATATGGGTTTGTGGACATGAGTGAGATGCACCAAATGAAATTTGTGGAAGGATTATAGTAACTGGAGAATGACAATTCTATGATATGACGTTGAGAACATATGGTCGAAAGTGATTGATGGACACCACCATTTAAGGAGAGTTGAAGGAAATGAGAGACTAGAGTGTTGGGAGGATCACCCATGTGTATTATCAAAACCACTGAGAATAAAGGTAGGAGTCATATTAGAAAGACAGTGATCCAGAAACAAATTCTTGAGAAATTAAGAAGAATGACTCAATGATAGTTAACGACAACACTGAAGGGAAGTCTAACGCCAGGCTTTTAGGTAGCACAATATTTTAGTTGGACTAAAATTATTGGGCATATTTTAACGCCCCTCCCCAATCTCTCATTATCTGAATATCCTTTTACTAGCTCCCACCCCCGCTCCATTTCTCTTCTTTCTTTTTAACAAAAATAAACTTACCAGAGTTTAGCTTTATTCCCCACCCAAAACTTTGACTGTATCCTGGATTATTTTATGCTTTTAATCTTTGAGTATCTTATCCTAAATTTTTTAATGTGGGTCTTTGTGCGGTAAAGACTCTGAGGGCTTGAATGTTTGTGCATATTTGGGGTATACGATAACATTTGAATGGTGATTTGACTAAATATAGAACTGCAGAATAATGTGCATTTCTTGAATACTTTAAAACTATCATTTTATTATTTTTTTACATCTAGCATAGTGTTCAAAATTCTTTTATAAATCTGGATATTGTTCTTCTGTAGTTGATGTATATTGTCTCTTTAAACTTGGAATTAAATTTGTCTGCTGTAGTCTTTTACAATAATACAATGTATATAGGTCGAATTTTGCCTTATCCCTCCTATTTGTAATTCTATGAGCACATTCAATCTGTAATTTTCCATCGGTTTTTAATTCGGAAAAAAGTGTCACTATGTCTTCAGATATTCCCCGTTTTAATTTATATTTCTCTTCTTCTGAGGTAGCTATTATGCACACTGTGTCACGGCTATCTCTCTTCTCTATATTCTATGGGGTTTATAAATTTGTTTTCATTTCTTCATTATTTTATATTGCCTACCATTTTGCCTCTACTCTCATTTTTTAAATGTAGCGTTCTGAAGGCATTGCAATGTCCTTAGGAATGTCACTTTCATCTCCCTAGCTATTGTCGGCCTAAGGAGTTTTGTCAGCAAATATCTTCTGGGCAGCTCTAGTTTTATCCCAAGTTTGTACTGACTAATTTTCTCTTATTTTCTTAAGACTTAAGTCTGTGTGTTTGTGTGAAAAGAGAGAGACTGTTATATTTTATCAAGCATTTTCAGGTGTTCTGTAGCTGGAGAAATTTTCAGAATATATAGTCTGCTATTTTTCTTAGGTCTGTAAATCCCACTTACGTCTAACTTTTAGTATTGCGGATGAGAAGTTGAGTCCTATGTTGGTATTTTTTTTTCTTTTATACATAATTCTTTTTTATAAACTCTCCTCTCTTATATATTTTTCTTTATCATATGAATTCATAAATTCCAGCAAGATACAAGTGAATTTTTTTTAAGTTAGTATATCTGACACTCAAACTTTTCAATCTGAAAATCTAAGTTTGTCATGCTAGGGACTTTATTCTTTCATCCATTTCTTCTATTTATGATTTCTTCATCTCTAACCAACTATTTCCTTCAATAACTGCTAATTTAAAAATATAATTTCTTATTTTCTATTTTCTTCAGTGGTTGCTCACTTGTGTTTTCATATCATCTAGATCAATATTCCTTTAAAAAATATTTTACCTGTGCTATAACACAGGTGAGCCATTTAGATTTTTCACTGCGTCTATTCTTTTGTCACAAAATAAACAAATGCAGTCTGTAAAATTTCTGTGTCATCTTTTAGAAGATTATTTTCCAAGACATATTCTTCTGTATCTTTCCAGAAGAGTTTCTTTTTCTGGTTCTGCAGTGTTCGTTCCCATGACCCTAAAATATAATTTGTTATGGTTGTTGTTTTAATTCTTTAAATTAATCTTCTACTGTTATCTTCATCTTACCTTGCAAAGCAGCAACTTAATGATCACAATCCTCAGGTTAATTTTCAGTTTTTGAATAGTTTTCTCCTAGTGACCCTCTATTTTCCAGAAATGGAAAGTTCTATACTTCCACTGCCTGTTTTGTTGTTGTTATTTTAATACTCTGAATAAATCAAATGTTTCAAAAATAGTAATCAAAACCATGTACTTTACTATGCTTGCTCCTCCCAGAGCTTCCCAAACAGTACCTTTGGGTTCTTTAAATCTGTGAGTTTGAGGAGACACTATCTCTTGAAGCAAGAGATCATATATGCTAGTTGTGGTACAGGCAGAAGGCTATCAGATTCTGGCTCCTCATTCAAGAGGCTCAGAAGCTGTTTCCTTAGTAGTGCTGTACCAGGTTTCCTGGATTCTTCAATGTGTATATAGGCAGTGCCGGAGATAGAAGTAATTCTCACTTTTACCAGTGATCTGCTTTATAAGATGTTTACAGAACAGCTTCTTCTTAATTGGTATATTTTGAGTATGGAGTTTCTTCAAGTGCTTGCTAATAAATTATAATTTGGGGGTGGTTTGATGAGTTGTTGCAAAGATTATTTTATATTCATAATCTCTTTACAGATATTGTCATTAGAAAATGAAATCAACTACACTAGGGACAACTATTCCGATCTCTTTTGCAGAGAAGTCATAATTTTATTTCTTCTGTGCAGATATACCTGATCTTTGCTTTAGAATCCAACTGATTCATTAGGGGATTAGAAATCATAGACCTGTTTTTATTTAAACTTCTATGTAATAACTATGTCTTCTATTATTATAATATTTGAATTTTTTAAATGGCTTATGTTTTAAAAGGTCTTTTATTTTTCATATTTAGGAGTCAAATAATCGACTTTTTAAAAGTTAATATAAAAGGACTGAATACATTTTTGTGGAAAACCCATGCCAGGGATGTTTTCTAATGCCACAGGAATCATAGTCAGAAATTTTAAGGTAAATTTTTTAAGGTAAAATAATATGATATTTTATATTTATTTAGAACTTTTTATTTTATTGAGTAAAAAGTATATATGTAAAATTAGAGCTGCACTGTTCTGCAAAACATGGTTTGTTTGGTTTTGTTTTGGGGGACTTCTAAGTACACAAGTGGTAAAAATGGTGGAAAGGGAGAGTAAAGCTGTAGATGGTGGAATGAAAAGGCATTAACGTTTCTTTGCTACAGTGCTGTCATCCCCATTTACAATTTACTTTTGATTTGTACCAAGCACATTTAGCACAAGTACTCTTCCTTTATTCTCTTTGCCAGATTTCATGCAGGTTCTGATGATTGAATTAAGACATTTTTCACAGTAGAGTACAATGACAGACAAGTATTTATGTAGGTGTATGTGTATTCAAAACAAAAGAAAAACAAAAAGAAGCATCAGCGATGTCCTCAGGATGAAAGAGGGTTGCCTAGGCACTGACTGCTGTTCTCTCATCATCATTTCTGCTGCCTAACAGTCTAACAGTCAGAGACTTAGAATATGTGCCAGCGGATTCTGTTTAACCGGCAGACACAGTAATAAAACATAAAAGTAAAAGAAAGTGATTTTTTTGCAAGTCTAGAAAAGCTAAGAATTAGTGAGATTGACACTGAGTTTTGGCTTCAAATTAACTCACAAAGTCAACAAATAAATAAATATATTCATTACACATATAACAAATACACACACACCATATTTGTTCCTTAAGGAGATTTAGAAGTTTTTGAATAGTGTTACTTTCATTCTAAAGATACTTTTCCCTCATTCCTGATCTACCACACTTAATTTGATTTCAAAATAGCTTCTTATTGATTTTAAAACAGGTTTAAAAAAATCACAGTGATTATAAAATAGAATGGAATGAATATAATATGGTCTTTAACTTAAATCATAGTCATTTGCATACTTAAAGATAATTTGTTTCAAACCCCACAATATTTTGTATCATTAAATGCAAAATATAAACTGCATCATGGTTATAGGAATAAGTGCTGTGATAGCAATCTTACTACTGTCATTGTCCATCTGAACAATGAGTTTGTAAATGCATTAGATGTTGAATTATGTTCCAGTTAGCTATGGCTTTACAAGTGTCTCCAAAACTTTGTGGCCTTAACCAACAAACATATTATTTTATTTCATTATTTTGTGGCGAAGAATTAGGGTATAGATCTCAGGGGAATCTTTTTGTTCCAACACAGCATTGGTAGGGGTCACTGAATGGTGTTTAGCTTGCGGTCTGGATGGTCCAAGATGGCTTCACTCATATGTATGGAAGTTTAGTAGGGACAGATGGAAGATTGGGCTCAGTTGAGCCCTTCTTTTTCTCCATTCAGTCTCTGGAACCCTGACATGATCTCTACAGTAGGGTTGCTGTCCTTCTTACATGGTAGCTGAAGGAACCAAGAGCAAGTGTTTCTAGAAACTCAGCCAGGAGCTGTAAACCTTTATATGACTCAACCTTGAAATCTCAAAGTAACATTACTGCCACATTACACTGGTCAAGCATGTCTCTAAGGCCAGCCCAAATCAAGGAAAGGGGCATTAAACCTCACCTCTCAGTAGGATGATTGTCAGTGTATTTGAGGCCATGTTTAATATGCCACAGCTGTGTTTGATCCTTTATGCCTAGCTCCTATCCAGGACATCCTACATAAATAAATAGCTTTTTGTTTCTAACATTAAGAAACTTTTGAAAAAATAATAGTTTCTGGGAATAAAGTCCTGATGGCACTTCTAGGAATCAAAGGAATTCATAAGATTAAATACCTAACCTTTCCTCTGGAGGATGAGAACATTTTTGTGCAAAGCAGAAAGGTTTCCAAATTATGAGGTAGAAGAAACTAGAGAGGAAGTGAATAGAAAAGCAGTTGTCATGGTGAATCTGAAAGACATAATGGAAGGAGAGAGTGAAGAGGTAAATTAAGATATCATGAGATTAAACTCAGCAGTAGCAGAAAATTAGATTCAAACCTACTCATCTGCTGCTTGGAAACTGTAGCCAATTCATTTTTTAAAGAAAGAATTTCTTTCCTAAGCAGGACCCATGGTTGTAGAGCTTGGTTACAGCTAGGTTATGCATTTCATCTGTTCTTTGTTAATAATAATGTAATTTTGTAAATTTTACTTAAAGGCTTAATATTTTTGAGTTGTAATTTATATTGTCTTTATGAAAGCAAAACTAGACAATGGATGGAGAAGTTGACAAATCACCATGCAGATTTCAGCTTCCGAGTCCAAAGTGCTTTGGATAAGATGGCCTCACTAACAAGATGGAGTTTGGTAGTGGTGCATTTTGTAGTGGTACATAGGGTCAGAACAGAGTGGTATATGATGGTCAAAAAAGAGGATAAAATATAATTTGGATATTTGTCCCCTCCAAATCTCATGTTAAAATGTAATCCCCAGTGCTGGAGGTTGGGCCTGGTGGGAGGTGTTTAGGTCATGGAGATGGATCTTTCTTGAATGGCTTGGTGCCTTCCCCACAGCAATGAGTATGCATGAGCTCTGGTTGTTAAAAAGAGTCTGGGACAGCCTCACTTGCTCTCCTGCTCCCTTTCTTGCCATGTGACACACCAGCTCCCCCTTTGTCTTCTGCTATGATTAGAAGATTCCTGAGGCCCTGACTAGAAGCAGATGCTGAGGTCATGCTTTTTATACAGTCTGCAGAACTGTGAGCCAAAATAAACCTCTTTTCTTTATCAACTACTCAGTCTCAGGTATTCTGTTACAGCAAAACAAAATGCACAATTACAGGGTCGCTTGAAGGGAACAGATTCTAGAAATGGGGTATTAGAAAGTGTCAGAAACCACATACATTTCTTTAGCTATTTGGCAATCGGTGATATTAAAGTCAAAAATAGAAATAAAATGTATATTTTTTTTCCTGTAAGCCTCAAAAATCATGTGTCATAAACATTGTAATCCGCCACCCAAACTGTTGTTTTCTTGTTTACCAATATGTAGACTACTGAGGTGGCCAAAAAAGGGTACCCAAACTCCAACTGTTGGCCTAGAGATATGGCACATGATGAAGGCTTTCCCAGATTAGAAGCAGAGACACTTCAGTTGAATTTAGCTGCAATAAACTTGAAGTGACCGGGACACACTCAGAAACACTTTTTTGGAAATTGATGTCACTGGAGACATTCAAAGCGTCACGTCTTAAAATATGTGTCCAATCAGCTGGTATAATAATTATTAATAGAACATTGTGTGAGAAGTTTATGTATCTTCCAAATTATTAATTTGGGTAAAACGTTTCTGTATATAATCCTAATATTTAGTTGAGTTATCCACCATGTGTCCAGTACCATACTAGGTATAATGCACTGGATATATTTTACATACCTAAATTCTGGTGGAGACTTTTTTCTGTCCTGGTTAATGAAATTATTCTTAGAGAAGAATTAACTTTATTGGGTCTATGACGGGGTTTCACCGTGTTGCCCAAGTTGGTATCGAACTCCTGAGCTCAAGTAATCTGCCCTCTTTGGCCTCCCAAAATGCTGGGATTACAGGTGTGAGCCACTGTGCCCAGTCAAAGCAGTATAAATTAAATGCATTTTATAAAACATTTATCAAATGATTGCCTTGAATTTTGATGGAGTTTGAAAAGTAGTGTTGAACAATATAGACATATAAAGGTTAAGAAGGTTAAGAATCATCATGCAGACAAGAAAGATCACAAAATTAAAGAATTACCAAGGATATATTTTTAATAGTAGCATATAAAAATTTTCTTTATGGAATATAATATTGCTTATTTTACTTCTTTCAGAAGGATTAAGCAGCACAGGGATAGGTGTCCAGCTCAATTTCTTCTCTTGTGAATACTTAATTATATGACTGTCTTAATGTTTTTTTAAAATAATTTCAAATTTTATTCTAGGTTAAGGGGGGGTACATGTGCAAGTTTGTCAAATGAGTATATTGCGTGATGCTGAGGTTTGAGGTACGAATGATTCCATCAGCCAGGTAGTAAACATAATACCCAATAGTTAGTTAGTTTTTCAACCCTTGGCCCCTCCTGCTCTCCCTTCTCTTTCTAGTAGTCCTCAGTGTTTACTGTTGCCATTTTTATGTCCATGAGTACCTGATGTTTAGCTTCCGCTTATAAGTGAGAACATGTGGTATTTGACTCTCTGTTCCTGTGTTAATTTGCTGAGGATAATGGTCTTCAGCTGCCTCCTCATTGTTGCAAAGGACATGATTTTGTCTTTCACATGGCTGCACACCGTCTTAACTTGTAAAAACAATTTATAATTTTCAAATTGCCTACATGCTTCTTAATTAACACATTCAAAGCAAACATTTAATAGACCTCTTTCTGATTTAATATATAAGAAAACAGACACTATCCTACTATCTAGCCCTAACAGGCCCATTTTCTCCAAATGCTTTCCCATCCAAAGCTTGGATTGTTAAGTGGATGAGAGTTGCTGTCATTTAAAAAATATAGATGTAAAGATGCGAGAATAGGAGATCATTAGTCTGGATCTTCACTTATAGTAAAAAAATTCAATAAACAGTAGAAGATTCTGCTTTACATTACTAGTTTTAGTTTCAACTTTAAAGACTACAAAAGACAATTTAAGTGGGCCTGTAATAGTTTCTGTTGAGACATGTGTTTTGGAGAAAGAACGAATGTTGGATAACATGGTCTGTTTATCAACCATGACTAGCCAGGAATTCTTTTATATATGCAATATTAGAAAAAAAACAAAAACAATTCTAAATTCATAGTTGAAGCCTGAATTTTATGGTCCATAATAAATTTGTCAAAAGTAAAAATGGGGCTAAAGAGGATATGTAAAGAATCTATGATTAAATGTTTTGGTTCTTAAGAGAGTTAGAATTAGCGCGAGTGAGAAACAACTCCTAGGAATTGTGTTGCATTCTTTGCAAAGTGCTTTAATTGGGACATAAATAAATCAGAGTGAATTCCAAATAGAGAGCTGGGAGACAGTGAAGACACCCAAAGCTATGACATGTGCAAGGTATTATTTAACTGGGGTGTTTATGTTTTGGAAGAGATCCATAAAATGGCACAAGAAATATTTCCTCAAATACTTGAAAAGAAGGGTCCTATGTGACTCCAGAGTCATAGTAAGGATGAAAGAATGGAAGCTTCAGAGAAAAATATTTCTCCTCAGTCAAAGGAAAAACTGCATACAAATAAAAGCTATTCAAAACAAGATGCACCTATGGTGAATGCCATAGTAAGGGTATAAGCACACAATATTATGTTTGGACCTTAAGGAGAGAATGAAGCAACAACTAGAGAATAACACTAGGCAACTTAGAATGTTCTAATCCCTCTTTATGCTATTTGGTTAAATGGTATACTCAAAATTACAGGCCTCATTTATTTAAGGTTGATTTTTAAAATGTGGTGGAAAATGCTGCCAGAACAATTGAGTGTTGTGTACCTTATGTAAGTTTTCATTTTACATGATTTTTAATCCATAGTTTGTAACCTTCGTAGGTAAGGAAATAATTTAGCAGCTAAGAAGAGCATTTTCAAATAAATTAGGTAAAAGAGGTAAAATTGCAAAAATGAAATTTCATCCAACAAGGATCAATATTGCTTTGCAAATCTTTTGTTTGAACATCTTAATGTGTATGTACATGCACACACACACACACACACACGTGCAAGTACTCTGTAATGACATAAAGTGTGCTTTTCACTGTCAACCATGTTCTAAAACTTTTTGGAAACAGTGTCTGAGACCATGATTCCATATATATTTTATCTAATTTTGATTGCATTGGATAATGAGAATAAAAGTAATATTATTGTAAATCAGTGGCCAATTGCCTAATTTTTGTCAATAAATTAATTTTAATTACTTTTATTTACAATTACCATAATTCCATTTTAGTAGTCTTCTTCCATAGTGTTTCACCCTTGAAAGTGACTGCCATTTCTTTCTTTGAGATTAGATTAAGACTCTTTGAAACAAAGGAGTGTTTAGGGACTGATGTTGCAAACAAGAATAGTTAAACTCCTGAGTCCAGTGCTCATTTAATATTGAGGTTTAATTCTAAAGTAAGCTAAGGGGAGTTGGTGGGAAAATGAGTTTTAGAACTGGGCATATCTGGATTCAAATATTGGCACTTATATTTTGTTTAACCTAAGACAAATTATTTCATTTTTCTGATCTCAACCTTTCTATATCTAAAATGAAGATTATGTTTTTCAGAGTTTGATTTTTATGCAATGTTCCTCCCCTAAATCTAACTTCATAGTACACATTCAGGTTACAGAGAACACTAGAGCGATTACACTTTATAGTGAAGTCTTCAGTTATAAAAGAGAAAAGAATGAGAGAGAGGAGAAGGAAAGAAAGAAAGAAGAAAGAGAAAGAAGGAAGGAAGGAAGAAAGAAAGAGAAAGAGAGAGGGAGGGAGGGAGGGAGGGAAGGAAGGAAAGAAGGAAGGCGCTGTCAAAATTCTTTTCATTTGTTTATTGTCTGTATGTGTTATCTTTATGGAGAAGAACATTCCATCTATTTAGGAAACCCTCTCCTTCCCAGGGTATTTGAATCCAGAATAGGGAATTCAAGAATTGGAAAGGAATCAAGAAAGGCGGATCTTGTTTCACAGCCAAAATTTGATTGGGGTAAATGGGATTCTTGCTAAGACTTCCCACAGGACCCCAAGGTAGAATGCCAGCTAAGAATTTGGGACAGAAGGGCTATATAAGAATTAAGAGCATTATTTTGACTAATGACAGCCATGTCATGCCTACTCGAGAATCCTAAATTTTGTTTCAGGTGGAAATTTAGTGTTCCGAGTCTTAAGAACAAGTCCCCAAAACTCTTAAGCAAGGTTCCCAAAGCAAATATTATTTGTAATGGTCCATTTCTTTATCTTGGCCAACAGATTATGACTAAAGTAGTTGACATTTACAGACCTTAGATATAAGGCTGACTACTACATTTTGATTATAATAGAACAACTTCAATTAAGATGCACACACACACACACACACACACACACACAAAGGTGTGGTTATATTTAATGATATTTTGGATCCAGCTTCAAATGGCTCATGAGAACCAATTTTTAAATTTTCAGAAAAGTTTTTGAAAGTGGTTGTTAAACACAGCCAGTTTTAAAAATTAAATTGCATAATGTACATTTTGTAAATCCTTTTAAAGAGATAAATGCTTAAAATACTCAAATTCATCACTTTTTAATTAGCTTAATCTATTTCACTATTAACTATACTCTTGAGGTTATTATTCTGTTGTTTTAGTATATTTATAAATACAATGGTGTGATACTTCACATCATTTTCCCAATGTTCATTGATATCATGCCATTAACTTGAAATAGATATTGTTGGAAATATTTACACCACAGATACTGGCAGGCACTATAAATCAAGGCTTTGTTGTTGTTTTTAGAAGCATCAGTTGTTAAACATGGCCATTACGCTCATGGATTGTGTCAAAAAATTTCAAAAGTATTGGTGACATACATTTGTCTAGGAGGCCCAAAAAACCAAATTCCTACCTATGTTAACTTCATTATTATGCTCCACCACAAGGGACATCAGCCCTTTTAGAGGGAAGGTCTGAAGCTTCTTTTTCTAGGGACAGCTGAAGGCCACAGTATATGCAGTTAGCCCTTTCCACTGCCTGAGAGTCATGAAGAAACCGTTCCACGTTTTTTTGTTTGTTTGTTTGTTTGTTTTTTGTTTTGTTTTGTTTTTGAGACAGAGTCTCGCTCTGTCCCCCAGGCTGGGGTGCAGTGGCTCCATCTCGGCTCACTGCAAGCTCTGCCTCCCGGGTTCATGCCATTCTCCTGCCTCAGCCTCCCGAGTAGATGGGTCTATAGGTGCCCGCCACCACGCTCGGCTAATTTTTTGTATTTTTAGTAGACACGGGATTTCACCGTGTTAGCCAGGATGGTCTCGATCTCCTGACCTCGTGATCCACCTTCTTCGGCCTCCCAAAGTGCTGGGATTACAGGTGTGAGCCACCGCGCCCGGCCTCTATGTTTTTTAGATAAGACAAGAACAACTTGAGACATTGTGAATAATTCTTGAAACAATTAATATAAAGCATTTATTTTGAAATAATTAACATTTTTTTGTTTTACCAATGTGATTTTGTTTTTCTTCAAGCTGAATAATTTGCTCTGTACAAGTATAATTTAATACCCAAACATGTAATGGAAAATAAATTTTCATTAGATTGCCACTGGATCATTGTTGATCTATAGCAATGCCTTTTCTTTTACTTCTCCACTCTTCACGGCAAACTTCCACTACAAACAATAACTGTCCTAATGCTGAAATTCAATGAAAAGACCAGTGTGTAATAATGTATGAAAATCATGAATCAACAACGGGGACTCTACTGACAGCTTCATAACCAAGTACGGAACACATCGATCTTTATGCTAGCTAGAGTTCTATTGCTGCATCAAGTAGGAGTTCATATATAGGGGTTTTCTCTCTACTAAGATGGATATAAAAAATGTATATTACCAAGATACAGTGAAAAGTTAAGGGTTTTTTTTTCAGACTAGAGGGTAAAAGAAAGAAAATCACTGTATAGCTGCGGAAGTAAGAGCCTATGGCAAATTGCCTGCTGTGTCCTCTGTGGATAGAGTTCTTAATACAATTTATTCTGTTATCATTTCTTTGGAAAAATATATTATCTTGAGGTGTAAGACATTTGAAGATCTGTCTTGTTCAGATGCTGTATTTTAGTAGATGGACTTTTTTTTTCTATTAGAGCATATTGTCTATTCTCTTCCTGTGGATGCCATCAAGATATTTCTTTTTTAATAGACATTTTTTAGACAGTTTTAGGTTCACAGCAATATTGAGCAGAAGGTACAGAGATTTCCCATATACTATCTTTCCCCACAAATGCATAACCTCATCCATTATCAATATCTCCCACTAGAGTGGTACGTTTGTTACAACTAATGAGTCTAAGTTGACACATCATCACCCAAAGTCCATATTTTACATTAGTCTTCACTCTTGGTATTGTATATTCTATAGGTTCTTGAATTTTGCAATGCTTTATAAACTCTGTTTCTAAAAAAGCCAAATTATTTTGTGCAGATTCTACTGTGGGGTATATGACTATGAGTGAATTTAAAATTTTAGTAAGTGCACTGAGAAATCGATTTGCCACCTAATCTTTTCTCTAGCAATAAACCATTATTCAAAATGTGGCAGGGACTCCGGCACTTGCCTCAGAAATGAGAACTGTCAGCAAAATTGTTATTTATGTTTAGTAAAAATCAATGTAGTTTGAAGCACTCTGAAGAGAATTACAGGTGGATTAAAAGTCAATTATAAGAATCAGAATCTTCACTAACTTAACGTTCTCCAGACTTTGGTATTCTTTTCTTAACTTCACATTTACATACATTTTTATTCCTCCGTACTTTCTCTTATGATTGTTGATGTCTTGTATAGGTTACTCCATTTTGTAGAAAGATTAATTAAACACTTCATTTTTGGGAGAATCTCAAGCTCAAGTTCAGACCAAGATAGCATATCATACTCCTGTGATATTTGGAACTTATCTTCAAAATAGGAAGGAAAGGTAAAGTTATCCTTTCAATGTTGGCATAACCTATTATGATAAATAACTGTTTTTTCACTTCTGAGGTTGGTTTTTAGTAAGTCAGTATGCAGATAATATGTTTTATTTAGCTTTGTTTTACTTGTAGGTATATTTCACTGTAGGTTCTTAACTTCCATAATAGAAAGATATGTTCTGTGAGGAAAATATGAGGTTGTCTGAAGTCAGAAAAACTACAAGAGCCTGAGATATGAATTCTAATCAAGTGATTCATTAAAGCAGTTCTCCAAAGAAAAGGGGAAAGGTGAAAGCTAAGTAAGCATGTAGACTTCCCTCAGCCTGCTCGTGTGTGGTGAAACTCTGGAGCATGACTTATATTCATGGAGTTAGTCTTCTCTTTGAGTCAAAAAGACTCCCTTTCTACTCCCAAGTTAATTAATCAATCACTGGCTGTGTGCTATAGGTCGTAATTGCCCAAGAATGATTTTTTGAAGAAGGGCAGCTGTTAGCTGCTAGTATGCAGCACCCACGGGGTCTAGACAATGGGTGCACCAGCAGGATAAAAGGGAGTCTAAATGGGCCATCAAGAGAAAACATTAGAGATATTTAGAAAATTAACTAATAAACATATATATTTACGTTAATTATATATATATAATAAAAATATTTGATGCCTATAGTCCAATTACAGTGTGAAGCTTTATTTTTGCCTAATTACCATTTTGATTTAAATTTATCTGAATCAGAATGTTTATAGACCCGATGTGACCAGGCACTGCTTTCTAAATTCCTATAGTATTATACTTATTTACCCCACACATTTTTATTTTAGCCCCCTTGGATCCTGAAGGCATCTGAATCTGCCAAATGGAGTATAGTTGTATTGGAGCAACTTAATTGCAACAGCCTAGGATGGTTATCTCAAAACTAGGGTAGGGTGAGGCTAGGGCTAGAATACTTATCTCAAAACTATTCAGTCTTCAGTCAACTCTCCGTGCTACCACTTTTCAAATCTTCAGTTTTACATCATAAAATCAGTATTGAAGAGCTGCAAGGGCTTAAAACTACCTAATTTTATAAATAAAATAAGTTATAAACAGTGCTTAACCCATGATGAATGAAGATATAGAATGGATATATATTTGTATATAACATTATTGTTGTTAATTTTGCTAATCTTGTCTTTATTTCTATCCAAGCAGCCTAAGACAAAACTAAAGCACAGAAAGAAGTTATTAGCCTAGAATTTTTCAAGTAGTGAGAAAAGAATCAGGACTTGATTAACAAATCTGGGATCAACACGTCCAACTAGATCAACAAACTGAACCTGATCACCAAGACACATTTTCTTTTCTACAATTTCTAGTGTGAGTCCTTACAATCAATACTTTTTCTATTCTACAACTGAAATTTTTCCAAGACTAGAACTGAAAGAATACCCACTTTCAGAGCTCTCCTCTGCATTGAAAGCCATGAGGCCTAATCATTCTCTGTGATTCTTAATGCTTGGCCTAGAGTAGAACTGTCCTTGCTGCATTCCTTCAAGTACTAGGTTCTGCTTATTGTCTTAATGTCAGAAATGCTTTTTCCATTCCCTTAAATTTCTGTTAATAAGCCCTCTCCTCAGTCATTGTCCGTGATTATGTGCTGTGGTGAAAGAATGCCATTAGAGGAATGAGCAAGTGAAGTGCTGGTGAAAGTGGGCATCTACTAATGGTAACAGCTGAGTTTTTTACCCTTTTTGATACAAGTGGTTTCAAGACCTGTTAAGTAGTGGCCTAAATAAGCAGACAACAGGCATAGATTTGTCTACTCTATTTTCCTTCAAATTTGAAAATTTCTTTGACTCTCACCCATTGATCTCCCTTGTGCCTTGATTTCAGTTGAGACAACATCATGTGCTCTCTTCCAATTTCCAGAGCATTAATTCCTTTTCATTCTCTCTATGTCTCTTTTTTTTTTCTTTTTTAAAGACAGCTCTCTTGGCTCACATGTAATCTTAACATTTTTTTTTCAAGTATTTTCTGATCCTGTGCCTTTGCACTGTGACTTTCTAATTTTCCCTATATATGTGATTGCTTTTGTATGTCCTACTCTTTAATGCCTGCCTCCCAAAAGAGGAAAAAGAGAAAAATGAGGAAGGTGAAAAGGCACTGGTCTTTTAAATCCCGTGGAAGTTATTTTGGCTTCAGAGGGAGTGGCTTGCAACAATGTGAAGAGGTACAACAGCAATGACTGACTCCTTCTGTTTCTGCCCCTCCAGGATTAGAAGCAGAAATCAGTGAGCAAAACACTGATGGCTGACATTTGGAGAACAGTGTCCTTATTACTCACTTTTGATCCCACAAGATGCATGTATAATGCTCCAGGAATATGTGCATAGTTGCCTACCATAGGGGTGGGAGGCAGAGGATGGGTGGCTGTTGCCAAGCTAAAACTAAAATTGACCAAAATTAGCCACAATTTACTGTCCAAGCCACCTTCTGGACATTGAATGCCTTCAATAGATTCCAAAGTTCAAAAATAGTCACATCAGACAATCCTGCCAGTGTAATTGTTTGTCTGAGTTGAGAGATGGATTCCTGGTATATCCTACTCCAAATTTTCCCAGAATTTTCTATGCTCTTATTTTTATCTTTATTTATTCATTTTCTCAGCTTTTTCTTATTCATTATATCTACAATTCTTTGCCAAATTATTTGTTATTATTATTATTAGTCTTTTTTTAGAATAAAAATGCACACACAAAAAATTATTAGAAAAGAAAAAGTTGTTCCAAGATCTCAGCTTGGTCACTGCAGTCATCCTCCACACAAACATTGAGAGACATTTTTAATTTTATTGAAACTGGTGAATAAACCTGTATCTCTAAATAATGGTTTATAATATTTGTTAATGTTCATCTTCATTAGTTATCGACTGTTCATTTAATATTGATGATTTGTTCTATCCATTGCTATCTTTTTTTACCCTGCAGACTCTCTTCCAGGGAACTCTACGATCTGTAGATCAGCTGTGGCTATAGGACTCTTATTCACTTTTTTCTGGAATTAGTGCCACTGTTTACTGATTATCCATGGCTTTCCCTTTATTTTCACATCGTTTTGCATGCAATAACATAACATGAATCTCAAAAGCATCATGCTAAGTGAATCAACCCAGATACAAAAGACTAAATACTTTATTATTTTATTTATATGACATTCAAAGAATGGCAAAGCTATACAAAGGCCAGAAAACAGATTGGTATTTGATACTGTCTGGGAGATGGAAGGTGATTAACTGTAAAGAGGCGTAGTGAAAATATTTGAGGTGATGAAATGTTTTATGTTTTGAATTTGGTTATGGTTAAACAACTGTACACATATGTCAATATTCATTGAGTGGTATCATTTAAAAAGATGAATTATTTTATGCTATTAATATTCAATTTCAAATAATGGGTTTTTAAAAAAAATTCCGTTATTGTCAGTTTACGATATTATTACAAATATCTCCAAATTTTCAATATCTTAAATAGATATTTATTTTGTCGCCTGTAAAGTTTGAGTTGGTATAATATTTCTCTTTAACAAAGGCAGCAAAGGCAGTCAAACCTGCTACCCTCAACCTCAGAGGGTTGAATATGACTACTCTAGCTTATGCCCAAATTCAATGAGTAGCAAAAAGGAGGAAAAAAACTAAACCTATTTATTTTAGGAACCATACCCATTTATTTTAGGCACCTATCAGAATTGTATTTGACATTTCCTATTGACCTGATGTGTAAATAAGCAAAGATAACCCAAAGGAGAACAAAACACAAACTATATATTTAGAGTTTGCAAGGGAGTCAGCCACTGATGCCTGCATTTGGCACAGAGTCAAAGGCAGGTAGATGAGAAAACTTTACAGTTAAAAAAAATGGAGAGGATTCAGATATAATCAGTTTGTATATTTTTTGCTATAGGAAAGTTGGAGCCAGGCTAACTAGAAGTGAGTGTCTTATGTGATTTGTTTGGTTGGAGCCAGGCTAACTAGAATTGAGTGTCTCATGTGATTTATTTGAAAACCATATTTGGTTTTCTTTGATTGGCCCTGAGTTGGATTCAGGGGCAAAATTATGCAAGCGAACAATTGATGACCCAGTCCTGATAGTTCTCAGACAATTGCTCCAGATTTTGTGGTTCAGCTTCTCAAATGCAGATTTGGTGCTTCAGAGTTCTATTGTCATATATTGGCAGGCCATTGTCTACTTGTGTAGTCGGTCTAATAAGCAATTGGTCACATGGCAATACTTTCATAAAACGGAGACTAGGCAATGTATTTTGTTTTTCTGGTTGGGTATCGTCAAGCCAAATGTATATTTTTATACAAAATGTGAACCCCCAGACTCGCACTTCATTACAGCCAAACATTTGTGTATATATTTGTTCCCATGCAAAGAATACACTCAATCATACCCTAAGAGATATCATCCAATGTACAAACAGATTATCACTTACAATCTAAAGTTTTGGATCTCTGAGTTATATACTGTTCCCTGTATGTCTATATATAATTCCCTCTTAATGAGGATGTCCATAAATTAAATACATATTCAATATACAGTAGTTGAGTAGGAGCAGAATAATTGCAATTCAATTTTCCATCAAGGAGAATGAGAAACACGTCACTGTCACCATTGAATAAAATGACCAAATCTTGTAATGAAGAAATTGCTAGGAGTCCCATACTCCAGAAGTAGAATATGTTCTAAGTTCCTTGGATAGCCCACCTTCATACCACTGGTTATGCTTTCTGAGTGCTATGTAGTCAACCTTAACCTAGTGCAAAGTTTTTCCTTTTACATTATCTTCTCTGGCCCATCTGAAGGAGGCATTAAAAGAATATAACCTTCGTGGAATCAGATTTTCCAACTTGCAATCTACTAGTCAGTTTGAGGATCTCGCTGAGGTTATTTCAGGGGTCTAACAACCATAGGATTGCTCAAGCAAACTAGTACTTGGGGCAATATAATCTCTTCAAAACTTTAGTAGGTTTCTGTCTGTTGAATTCTGAATAATTCTGGGGCAATGATATTTAGAAATAGTTTCTAAGCCTAAAATATCTAGTCTTTTATGTACTTGTCTTGTGCTCTGTCCATGAGAGTCTCTCTGAACTTAATCACACATAACTTGGGGCCATTTGAAACAATAGGTTTCAGTGAAGAGAAAAAGACGTTCTTTTCATCTATCCTGCTTGGCTGGCTCTCACTATCCGGTAGAAAACAATTACTGGGAGATGTTTCGAAAAGGCTTAAGGGCACAGTCTTATTTTTTGAGAGCCATCTCTTATAACAGCTTTATTTTAGGGATAGGTTTTTTCCCATTTTTATAGAGTTCAGTCATCTTGAAGTTCAAGCTATAGCCAAAGAGCATCCCTAACAGAGGTGTGTGCAGAAAAAACTTACCTAATGCCTACATTTAAATTAAATTCATCCTGTTTTATAAGACTTTTGTAAAAGCAGAGAAAATAGTAGCCATATGCATTAGATTCTTATTTAAAAATTATTAATTTACTTTGGTAAAAGCAGAGATAATAGTAGCCATATGCATTAAAATTTTCATTTAAAAAAGTTATTTCCTCTAGAATTTTAAGCTCTATTGCTATATAGTTTACCTTAGAAGGTATTGTACTCTCTACAGAAACCACCAGAATTCTAGACTGTGTTATTTAGTCCTTGATGTCCAGTACTTCACTGCTAAGCCATGTTACATATTTAAATATTTAAGATTTTGCTAGGTCATGTCACACTTCTAGACATTAAATTCTGTGTAGGATAAGACAGCATTTCAATTGATATAGAAGAAACACAAAATTAACAA
Source organism: Homo sapiens (assembly GCF_000001405.40). NCBI lineage: Eukaryota > Metazoa > Chordata > Mammalia > Primates > Hominidae > Homo > Homo sapiens. The sequence goes on along the minus strand of NC_000002.12, from coordinate 77,691,277 downwards.
TGATGTAAACATATGCATTTATATGATTTTCACATATAGTTGAAGCTTATAGATTGAATTTTTATGTTGAAATTTGACATGGTCCTAGGCTCCCTGTAGCTTGTTGCTTTTTTCTATTCTCAATTTGTGGCTTCCATTTCACATACACGATGACTGTTGCAGTGTTTGCTACCATTCCAACCAGTAAGCATAAAGGAAAGTCAAGCAGTGACCATTCAAAGGCATAATCATAAGTTGTATATTGTCTAGATCTTGCTTATATGTTGATACTTGGCTGGAACAAAATCTAGGAGATATATTTATTCTGGCATAGAAGTTTACTGCATGTGATTCAAACTATTAAAGAAAGTTTATGAGATAAAAGGAAAATAATACTAGGTGAGGACTAAGATACACGTAAAGGAATTATGAGCAGTAGGAATGATAAATATGTGGGTAAAAACTTTTTAAAAAATATCTAATTTATTTAAAAGATAATTGAATGTTTCAAACCAAAAATAATAACAATGATACACTGTGAGGTATAAGATGCATTTAGAAATAAAATCTATGAAAATAATATCCCAAGATAGAGAAAAGGAGTTAAAAAAAGTGTATTTTCATAAAGCCTTTTCCACATATATATAGAATTATATGATACTATTTAATTATAGACAGTAATAAGTTAAACATGCATATACAATCCCTACAACAATCCAAAATAGAGATAAATATGTAAAATGAACAACATAATCAGCTATTATAAAAATAATCAAATAATAGAAAAAGCAGGAAAATGAAGAAACATTGGATATCTTTCCCATTTTTATGAATTTTATTGGAGAAAAGTTCCCACCCAGTGTAATAAATGAGATAAAATGGATAACATGTTCAGCTATTATAGAAATAATTAACTAATGCAGAAAGCAGGAAAATGAAGATATATTGGATACCTTTCCAATTTTTATGAATTTTTATTCAAGAAAAGTCCTCACCCAGTGCTATAAGGGGTGCTTAAGACTCCAATAGGAAAGCTATTGTCTCAACTGACTTGAATAACCAGAGTATGTAAATCCAGATAACTGCCACAACTGGAAAAAGAGGAGGAAAATTTCTTTAGAAACAGAGCAACAGAAGGCCACTTCTTTCGTAACTATAAACTAGATCTAAATATTGGTCAGGTCTGCAAAATTCAAATTCCCAGAGAATGCTCCAAGTAACACAGCTAAGGCTAAAAGAAAAGAAAAGATTTCTGCTGCTTTCCATCACAGGAGAGACAGATATCTTATTGCAAGTACTGACAAGTTATCTTCCTATTAAAACAAACAATATTAAAAAAATAGAAACAGGTCACCTCAGAAGAGCAAAACAGAATCCAGTCTCTACAATGTATCATTTACAATGCCTAGGAAAAATCTAAAAGTATTAGATAGGTAGGGAAAAATATAACCCTATCTTAGTCCATTTGTGTTGCTATAGCAAAAGACCATCAACTGGGTAGCTTACAAACAAAAGAAATGTCTTTCTCACATATCTAAAGGCTAGGAAGTCCAATGTCATCATACCAGCAGAATCAGTATCTGGAGAAGGCCTGCTTTTGGTTCAGAGCTAAATTTTATTTCTGCGACTTCACTGGGTGAAGGAGCAAGATATCTCCCTGAGTTCTCCTTTACAAGCAGAGCAATCCCATTCTTTAGGGCTCCATTATCATGACCTAATCACATGCCAAGGTCCCACCTCCTAATACTATCACCCTGGGGTTAGAATTGCAACATATGAGTTTTGGGAATCATAAATATCTAGACCATAGCAGACCTACATTGCAAAAAATAGGGGCAATCAACTGCAATATACATTGAGATGAATTAAATATTGGCTTAACAGAAAAAATTATAAAGTAGCTACTATAGTAATGATAAATGACATAAATGAAAACATGTTCATAATAAATGAAAATATATAATTTAGCCAAAATAAGATTTTTTAAACCAAAAGCAAATTATATTTAAAAAACAAAATTTCTAAAATTAAAAACAAATACTGAATGAACTGATTGTCATAATAAACATGATAGAAAGAAGAGTCAGCAAATGTAAAGACAAATTAATAGAAATATCTGATTTAAGAGCATAGAGGGACCATTAGGGAGAAAAATGATGAATCTTTGTGATCTGTGGGACTATATCAAGAAGTTTATCATATCATTTTAAGGGTTTAAGAGGTTTATCATATCAATTTAAGAGCAGTGTACTTGATATCCTAGAGAAAGAGAAGAGATATTTGTGGAATAACAACATATTTGATGACTTTTTTTTAGAAGACTTAAAAAGGCAAAAATTTCCAAATATGCTAAAAGATATTAATTTATAGACATAATAAGTTTAGAGAACCCCAAGCACATATAATATAACGGAACATTTAAGGTATGTTGAAAAAATCGTATAAGCAGCTAGAAAAATATGACATTAAATAAAGAAAACAGCATTATGAATTATTACTGACTTCCTTTTAGAAAAGTTATGAACCAGAAAACAGTGGAAGTCAAATAACAATATGGTAGGCATAATAGAAAACATATAACAAATCACACAAAATATAAAGATACCAAACAATCCAATTAAAATGAGAGCTTATCAGGATGATAAGACAATTATATGCTGATCATAAAATATTCACTTTATAGTTAAAATTAAAATTTAAGATGCACTATGCAAACACCACTTATAGAAAGCTAATGTCTTCACATTAATATCCGACAAAATACACTTTAAGATGGTGAGTGCTGCCACTCACCGTCTTAAAGTAGTGCTTCATAATTTAAAAATAGTAAATTTGTTTAAAAGATATGACAATGCCAATGAAGACAAAACCAATAAAGATATTCAGAATCCATGATGCAGAAACTCACAAATATATTTAGAGATTTTTAACATCTATTTCTCAGTAATTGATATAATAGACAAAAATAAAGACAAAACTGATTTAAACAACTTTATAACCTAACAGATATTTATAAAAACTATACTCAAAAAGGATAAGATCAAGGGTTTTTTTTTTTTTTTTTTTTTTTTGGAGACAGAATTTTGCTCTGTCATCCAGGATGAATTATGGTGGTGCAATAGATAAACATTTTTTTCAAGCATACATGGATCATTTAATGAGATGGAACATATGTTGAGTGATTCTTTTAAAAGTCTCAGGAAATATCAAAGATTTGAAGTTATATAGAGTTTGGTTTCTCATTACCAGGAATTTAAATAGAAACCAATAACAAAAATATATCTGGAAAATTTCAGAACAATTTGAAAAATAAGAAACACACTTTTACATAACTAACTAATCAAAGAGGAAGTCAGAAGGATATTTAGAAAATATTTCAAACTGAAAAAGATTTTTAAATATCTTATTAAAACGTGTGGGGTACAAATTCCTTCTATATGCTTAGAAAAATTATAAATCTTGAGTGCTTGTATTAGAAAGGAAGGAAGGTTTAAAACGCATGCCTTAAATATTCACCCAAACTTTTAGAAAAGAAAGTTATATCCAAAAAAATAGATAGAGAAAATGTATCAAACCAAAATTTTGCTCTTTGGATAGATAAATGAAAAGGAAAAGCCACTAGACAATCGGATGAGGAAAAAAGAAAAAACACAAATTGACAATATCTGTAATACAACAGGGCACATTGTAGTTGATCCTATTTATACATCTAGATATCTCTAAATTAGAATCAGCATATTAAGTTCTCAAAACCAAGTATTGCCTATAGCCTGTTTTTGTGAAAAAAAAAAAAAATTGTACTAGAACATAGCCACATCCATTTATTTTTGTGTTCTCTATGGCTACTTTCACATTACAACAGATTTGAAGAGTTATGTCAGAGACTACACTAACTGAGAAGCCTAAAATATTTCCAATCTGGCCTCTTACAGAAGAAAAGTTTGCTACCCTCTACTACAAGTATTACAACAATAAAAAGGAAAAAGTATCAATAAATCTTTGTCAAATTTGACATTCTTGATGAAATGTGCAAAGGCTTTAAATAATATAAACTACAGTATAACTGAAGAAACATAAAACCAGAATAACACTATGTCTGTTAAATAAATTAAATTAATAAATAAAAATCTTCCAAAAAAGAAAAATCCCGGGCTAATTACCTTCATTGGTAAATTATATAAAATATTTCAAGAAAAAATAATACTTTTACACAAAATTTTTCCAAAAAATTAGTGGAAAATACCTAAAACTCATTTTAGGAATTCATCATTGTAGACCATATTATGTCAAAACTTTAAAAATACAGAGGAGTACACCTTAAACATAATGCAAAGATTTTTTTATAGAAGTTTAACGATCAAATCTGGCAACATAAAAAAGATTTTATTCCAGGAATGAAATATTGGTTTAGCATTCAAAATCAATTAAGGTATTTTCTCCACATTGCTATAATTTAAAAAAATCTATGGTCATCTTAAGAAGTGCAGAAAAAGCTTTTGACAAAATTAAAAATTTATTCGTTATAAATATTTTCAGAAAAATATAAATAGCTTTATAAAGGCTATCTATAAAAATTCCACAGTAAGGATCATACATAATGGTAGAAAATTGATTATTCCTTCCTAATTTTTGAAGAACGAAAATACATTTGCCTTCAGTACTTCCAATTAACATTCTACTAGAGACCGTAGCTAATATATTTAAGCAAGAAAAAACGTTTAAAAATATACTGATTGGAAATAAAGGAGCGTAACACATTTGTTTACAAATGACTATTTATGTAGAAAATCCTAAGAAAGATATTAAAAATGTAAGAGCAAATATGGAAATTTAATACGGCCTCCAATACAAAGTCAATACATAGTAGGAATAAACCTTTGAAAAAAAATTTTTAAATACAATTTTAATTAACATTGCACAACATTAAATAGATAGGGATAACTTCTATGTTGCTAGTAACTTAAACCTGAAACAAATGTTTAAGCTAAGTCTGTTTATTTTGGAACTGACAGTGTAACTAAGATTTCCACTTATTAATTTCCACGTGCAATGCAATGTTTATTAAATTTATGTAGGAAAAATGTGTTGATTGGAAGGTTATATTTTATACTTATAAATTTTACTAAATTCCACAGCAACCAGAGCAATTATTTCTCAATTAAACCAAGAACGGTTTTACATTTAGGGGGACAAGCATTTTTTCCCCGATGATTATAAATGATAATAATAATCAAACTCACTTTTTTAATTGTTTTAACATATTCCACATTAATGGACTATAGTGTGATTCCTGGAGCAGCAGCTGTAGTATTATTTGTCATTTTGTTGAAATGCAACTTCTTGGGCCCTATATCAGATGCTCATAAATGTTTGAGAATGACTGCTCCTTAGATAATGCTCCTTAGATAATGATAACACATTAACTGCACAAGCATTGACAGCTCATACAACTTCACTCTTGGTATTTGACTGCCCCGTATATTCTCCCTGAAATCTGTTTCTCCTGCAGTCTTCCTCTTTCACTTAGTGGCAGCACTATTATTCCTGTTGCTTTCTCTCCCTCTTATTATAAATATATATGCAGGTTGATGCAGAATTGGTGCTTATTAAATATTTTTGAATGAATGAAAGAATACCGAGACCCAAGGTGATTATGTCACCTGCTCAATTTCGCAAAGTGTATTAGTAACTTTTTATAGTCTTAATATTATTGTTCAAATAAATGAGCTTCAGTAGCTAAAATTTAAGTGCCTACTGTGAATCAGGCACTGCTCTAAGATCTCTGTATGTACATTTGGGTTTTAAACTTGAAAGAACTTGATGTGAGAGGTACTATTATTATACCTGCTTTATAAACAAGGACATTGATATATAAAAAATGTATAAATTGACTAAGATAAAGAAGCTAAGAATTATGGAGCCAGAAATTCATCGCAGGTCATTTGATTATAGAGTCTATGTATTAATACTTAACTGCTTTATTTATGTATTGTTTCATAAAAAATAACCCCCAAACTTAAGAACTTATTCAACAAGCATTTGTTATATCACAATTTGTCTGAATTAAGAATCCAGGCACTATTTAGCTGCGCACCTGTGATTCAGAATTCTCATAAAGCTACAGTTAAGGTCTTTGCCAGGGTTGTGATTATTTAAAGTCTCCAGTGGGGGTGGAATTCTCTTATAAGATCACTTGTTTGGCTGTTGGCTGCCCTCCGGTTGTTACTGGCAGTTAGCCAGAAAGATAAGCTTTTTGGCACATGTGCCTCTCTCTGTAGGGCTGTTTATAGCATGTATTTTAATTTAGGATCCTTACGATAGAGAGTATTCTTTCAACGATTTGGCAAGACACAAGATGAAAATAAAAATTTTATTACTTAGAGGTCTTGAGATTTACACTGCATGCTGGAGGCCACTCGAAGAGATCAGGGAGTGTGGAGAGAGAGAGAGAGAGAGAGAGAGAGAACCCTATCAGCCAATGCCTTTATTGGATCCAGGACCTTATCTAGATAGGTTACCCACAGGGAGTTCTAAGTGGTGGGTTTAAAGCAAGCAAACATAAGTTTTAGAGTTCCAGGACGTAGTGCTGTGACTGACAGGTAGTCACTGTGACATATCTGTACAGTCCATGTGAGGTCTGAGGGTCAGTGGGGTCAGTCAGGTAGGCTATGTCTAGCTGTCCCATAGGGAAGTAGAAGTGGTCACCAGGGAGCAGTTGTATCAGGCAAATATGTGGACCAATCACATTTGGGAACTGAGGGTGGATGTGGTTAAAGAACTGGAAACTGTCAAGTGTGACTGAGTCCTGCTTCTAGTATGAGAAAGTTAGATTTATATTCAAAATGGATGCTGGGCCAAAATAAAATTATGAGAATTCACTAAAACATACCTTCCTCTTTTCCTTAGAATCAGGGTTTTGACAGAGAGAAAGAGTGAGAGACAGATGAACAGAGAGAGAGACAGATAGACAGAAAGAGAGAAAGGGAGAGAAAAAGAAAAAAGAGAGAGAGTAAAATAGGGCCTAGTAGAGAAAAAGTCACAATCCCTTTATAATCAGTCTTGGAAGTAACATCTCTTTTTTCATATTGCATTCATTTGAAGTGAGTTACATGGTCTAGTCCATGCTCAAGAGGAAGGGATTCCACAATGACAAGATTTGGGGATTGGTTGGGGGCCATTTAGAAGCTGTATATCATAGTAACATCCTTTCTGGATGGACAGATGAATGAACGAATTAATTTTAAGATGTAGCAAGACTAGTGAAACAATGTCATGCTTACCATGCATTCTTACAATAATGGTTACATTTGAGTCATAAGCGTACATAAATCTTTAATCCTGAATTTTTTATAAAATTGCAGGGTGTATTTTTTGTTTGTCTGTAGCAAAAAACAAAGCTCATTACATTATTGATCTTTTAGGTCTTAAGGCCTTTGTGGTAATCTAAGCATCTACTTGTGAATGCATTTTATGTGTCAGTGGTCATTATTTATAAGTGACTGAGAAAGTCTGCTAACTATAAATCTGGTTCATTTATGGGACTCTCATGGCAGCAGGTCTAAGACAGAAATAACTTTTATCCAAAATGTTTTGTTTTATTGGTTCTAAATTTTCCTACCATTTATTTGATTCAGTGACCTCTTGTTTTCAAATGATGAGGCAATCAATTATGTTTAGTATTTTTGTTAGTTACCAGGTAGGTCCAGCAATTAAACCCAATTGTAGAGTGATTTAATTTCAATGGGAGGAATGTTTTTTGCTGTTTCTCTCAGCCAGTAATCTCCACTCTCAATCCTACACCCCGGGTGCTAAAAGGTTTTTAGCCACCTAAAGGTTAGGTGCATTTGAGCAAAAATATTTCCATATTTATGTTCTTAGGCAGCGGTCCCCAACCCCTGGGCCAGGGACCTGTACCAGTCCATGGCCTGTTAGGAATGGGGCCGCAAAGCCGGAGGTGAGCAGTGGGGAGCAAGCATTACTGCCTGAGCTCTGTCTCCTCTTAGATCAGTGGTGGCATCAGAGTCTCACAGGAGCATGAACCCTATTGTGAACCATGCATGTGAGGTATCTAGGTTGGGTGCTCCTTATGAGAATATAATTCCTGTTGATCTGAGGTGGAACAGTTTCATCCCCAAACTGTACTCCGTGCCCCATCTGTGGAAAAATTGTCTTCCACAAAGCTGGTCCCTGGTGCCAAAAAGGCTGTGGACCACTGTTCTTAGGTATCTGAATGATGAAAATCCAATCGTGACCACTGGAGCAGTGAAAAATATCTTCATTATTATCTTAATAAGGTCCTGTTCTAATATATAACTGCATCACTAATGTGAAAGATAAGAGAATGAGATCTGCAGTGTATATGCCACTAAATAAATTGTAGAGACTCAAAAAATATTACTTAACCTCACTTTTATTAAAAGTGATTGATACAAATTAAGGCCTGTGGGATCAAAATTAAAAAAAAAAACAAGTTATTTTGTATTAGGTTGGTGCAGAAGTAATTGCAGTCTAATCGGAAGTATGTAGAAAACACTTAGAAGTGTAAGTGTTTAAAGTATAAAATAGATAAGAATTAATCCACTTGTGCACAGACAGATTATTGTTGTATGAGGACAATCATGGGAGATGCTTTGAATGTGGAATGAAAGGATTAAGCTGTGAGGCAATAATTTGCCTCAAATATCACTTTTAAATATTAAATGCTATGTAATGGAGTTTTATAGGAAAAGGTATATTTGATAGCTACATTGTGATTCAAGTGTAAAGGTAGTATTATTTTCTGGCATAACATGTCACAGAAATAATACGATCACTTTCTGAAAAATAAAACAATTACAGATATATGTGTTATGGTCTGTTCCCCATAACACATTTGTGCCCCCGTCACCAAATTCATATTCTGAAATTTGAACCCCCAGTGTGATGATAATAGAAGGTGAAGACTTTGGGTGGATATTAGGTCATAAGGGTCAAATCCTCATGACTGTGATTAGTGCCCCTATAAAAGAGAACACAGAGAATTAACTAGACCCTTTCACCATGTAAGTGTGCAGTAAGAAGATGTCATCTATGAGAAATGGGTGCTCCCAGACACTGAATCTGCCAGTGCCTCAGTCTTTGACTTCTCAGCCTCCAGAACTGTGAGAAATAAATATGTGTTGCTTATAAACCATCCAGTATATGCCATTTTTGTTACAGCAGCCCAACTGGCCTAAGACAGTGTGTAAAGAATTACAAAGAAAGGTCCATTCCACTTGGACATGGACTGTAATGAACAACTTATAAAAAGGGAAACCAGAGCATTTTAATAATGAATTAGTAAGCTTTTAATGAGTTAGTAAGATTAGTCCTAAACTGAGAGAGTTCTGAGTAGAAATGTAGAGCCATTTTCTGATGTAAGAAGTTGTTCTGTAATTAGAAAATTATAGTTAGTTGGTTTTAAGAAAAGATTTGGGGTGAAAAATTAAATTATTAATTTATGTGTGTGTAACAGAACTTTCTCTCAATTCATATAACACAGAAAGGCAATCTCTTGACTCCTTTCCTCAGATACTGTAATAGAATCAAAAATAAAAAACAAGATAAAGGTCTTTTGTAAATTCAGGCATATTGAAGTCATCCTATGTGCCCTGAACACTTCAGTCAAGTAGAAGATTTGTGGGAAAACAATGACTCAAGGAAAGGAGATTGCCCTTATTTGGAAAAGGCAGAGAGGTCCATGAGAATTCAGGAAAAAAGTACGCAGAGGACCTTCACTCTTTTCACCAGCAACGGTTCTGAAAGATAGAAAGATGTCGGGAGGAATATGTGTTTTGTGTGCATATGGAGGTATAGAAATTTAAGAACCTGCCTCAAGAAAGATTCAGAGAAGAGATGCAATGTTTTGTATTTTTAGAAGTAGGGGCTTGAGTTTGAGCAAAGAGAATATTTGGCACAAATGTGATAAACCAGGAAAGAGAAGACTGTGTTAACTATCTACTACTGCATAGCTTATTATCACAAGTCTTTGTATCTTAAAGAAACAAGCATTTATTATCTCAATTTCTGAGGATCAGGAATTCATGCATGGCTTTTGGGCACCTTTGGCTCAAAGGCTCTCCTGAATTTGCTGTGCGGTTGCCAGTTGGGGTTGTGATCTTATCTGAAGATTCATTTCAAAGGAGGTGGTGGAGGGACCTTCTTCTAAACTCACTCATGTGCTTTTTGGTGGACCTCAACACCACCACCCTGTGGATTACTCCACAAGACTCTGCCTCACATCATGAAAGCTGGCTATCTGCAGAGTGAGCCATTCAAGAGACCATCTGAGACTGCCTCACATCATGAAAGCTGGCTATCCACAGAGTGAGCCATTCAAGAGACCATCTGAGAGAGAGTACCCAAGATGTAAAACACAGTCTTTTCATAGCCTATAATTTTGAAAGTGAAATAGTTTCTCAGAATTATTTTGAAGCCAGTCTACGTCACACTTAAGGTAAAGATGGGATGACCTAAGGCTGTGAATACTAGGAGGCGGGAATTATTAGGGTTTATCTCAGAGGGTGCCTACCACAGGGTAGTTTCAGATACTTTACCAGCAAAAACTACAAGTATGGAATTTTCCACTTGTCCAAAGGGATGAAAGATTGAAGACCCAGGTAATTTAAAGATAAAAGCAACGATTTTTCAAACTTTGTGCTTTTGAGATTAGCATTCATAATGTTACAAAAAGAGGAATAAATGTCAATGGCTCTATAAGTGAGGTCTCTACTATTTTCAATAGTTTTGACAAACTTAATGGCACAAACAAAAAATAGTGAATCAGGAGCAATGTGAAGCCATTAACATCCCACTCTCAAGAGGCAAAGGGATGAGGTCCTGAGATAATATAACAATATTAAGATCTTATTTGATTTTTTCATTCTCTCTCTCTTTCTCTCTCATGTGTAAAGTAAGTAGAGTTTTCCAGAGACTACATAATGTATGATATCACAACATACCGAAAGCAGAAGTAGATCTAATAAATCAGCATGTCTTATATTAAGTCAGGCATTAAATAAATTATAAAAATATAAAACAATGCCATTCTTTGTATCTGTAATGAGTATTGCAAGTGAACAAAATAAATTTTTCAAATATAAATCCAGCATAAAATAAAAGATAACCTAGCACAGAAGGAGGCAAAACAAAATGAAAGAAAACAAGGAAAAAGAGCAAAATAACAGAAAAGGCCAGCTAGTGATTGATAGAGACAGGAGGCAGACAAATCCCAAGGCAGATAGGGATGAGTTCCCCGTGAAATCCATCCTTCAAGCTGGAAACTGTGCTGGGTAAATCTTTGGATTGGATTGAGGACCCACCTTCCTGTTTTGTGTGCTTTCCTCTGATTGATCCCCATTTTTCACCTATTTTACCTATTTTTTTTTTCTTTTCAGATAGTGACTCGCTGTGTGGCCCAGGTTGGAGTGCGGTGGTGGGACCTCGGCTCACTGCAACCTCCACTTCCCGGGTACAAGCGTTTCTCATGCCTCAGCCTTCCGAGTAGCTGGGATTACAGGCACGTGCCAACATGCCTAGCTAATTTTTTGTATTTTTAGTAGAGATGAAGTTTCACCGTGTTTGCCAGGGTGGCCTCGAACTCCTGACCTCAGGTGATCCACTATCCTCGGCCTCTCAAAATGCTGGGATTACAGGCATGAGCCACTGCACCCAGCCGCCTAATTGGTTTTCTATGTTGTCATGCCCACCTTTGAGTGGTGTCTTTGCTTTAACCTTTTTTGCGTACTCACAAACCAATCAGCACACACTCCCTATTCAGCCCACAAAAAACCCTGGGCTGAGCCATATTGGGGAACTTTCCTGTCTTTGGGTAGGAGAACCAACCCCCACATCCTCTCTTTTTTCCTGAGAGCTTTCCTTTCACTTAATAAATTCTACTCCACTCACTCTTTGATGTCCACTTGTCTAATTCTTCCTGGTTGTGAGACAAGAATCTGAACTAGCTGAGCTAAGGAACAAAAATTGTGCATCACTAGTAGAATTATCCCAGGTAGTAGAATTATTCTGAAGATAAAAAACAAAATATAAACATTTTATTAAATAATTGGAAGGCTTAAAATTGGCATTTCAGACGTGAAAAGGAAACAATATAAAAAACACAAAAGATAGGTTTGAGAGCAGTTGATAAGGAAATTAATGATCTAGCAGGTATGTTAGAATAAAATATGTAGAATCAAACATAGTAAAGAAAAGGACAGAAAATATTGTAGAGTGCAAAGGTTAATGAAAAGTCTTACATAAAATTACGGGCTCAAGAAAGTAGAGCAAGAACAAGGAAGATATGCTTCTAAATGAATTAAACTGTTAATTGAAAGGGAAACATGAATCCAAAGCAGAAAAACACAGAAAGCAATTCAAAACCTGATGACACAGAGAGGAATTGCAGAAACATAGAGTAAAAGAGAAAAATATCATGGACAGTCAGGGGAAAAACACATTTCCTTTAAAAGAACACCTTTAGACTCTTAACTTGCTAAATGAAACAATGTAAGTGAAAAGACAATAGAATTATAACTTCTATGCACTGAAAGAAAATAATTTCTAATCTTCAATCCCATATACAGTTAAAACTTCACAAGTGAAGATAATACAAAAACCTTTTTAGATCACTGAAAACTGAAGTAATTCACTAAGACAGAACCCACACTCATGGTTACCTTTGAAACAAAAATGAAATGGTATTAAGTGGTAGTTTATAGATTTAGGAAGTAATAAGAAACACAAAGTTGTATTCCAGTGGGTAAATTTAAATGAATATTTACAATGTAGCATAATAATAGCAATAACAATGTTTTTGGGAGTCATAGCATATACTAAAATGTATTATAAAAATAGCATGGAAGTTGGAAGGGAGAAATAAATGGAGTTACAATTTTAGAAGGTCTTCATTTTGCTGTAAATTGAGGCAAATATTAATTCATGTTATAGTTTAATACATCATGAATGCATGTTGTAAATGTTAGGATACTCTAAATGCCAACAGAAAATAGAAACTTTCTGCCAGCAGAGGGGGAAAAATGGAATAAAGGAATATGATTATGAAATCAATAGAAAATGCATAGTGAAATGATACATTTAAGTGAAGTATAATTTAAATATATTCATAGGATGTGAACTTTTTTGTAAACTGCATGTAGTTATTTTATTTAGTTTTGATTACTACTGTTCTTATGTTGTTCCCCAAATTATCCAGAATTGAATCTGTTGTATTAGAGGTAATATAAAATAATTATATCGGGTGGAGAAATCAGAAACTGACAGCAAAAACCACTTTATACATTTGACATAATATTTATAATCATGCATGGTATACTATATAACATAATTTTAAGTTTAATATTTATGCATTCTAATTTCAATAAATATTATGAACAAAATTATGAAGATAAATTATTCAATAAAAGATAAATTTGACACACATATAAAAATGATTGATGGCATTATTATGTAAATAGTCCTACACAAATTAAAAGAAAAAGAATGCTAACAGGCAATTCAAAAATGAAAAATTGAACTAATAAAATTAAAGACTATAAAAATTAAATGAGATAGTATGTGGTGTACTTGAACCTCAAAGACATTTGGATTGTTTCTTCTTTCTAATTAAGATTGTTTTATGAATCAGGTGAAAGAGGGTCTCCAGCAACTCCACTTAAGAGTTTAAACTTACACAAATTTTCCTGAGTGCAATTTAGGGACACTTATCAGAAACCCTCAAAGTAATTGCACTTTTTGGCTCAATAATTCCTCTTTTAGGTATTTACCCTAAAGAAGCAGAGGTAGTATTTACAAGGATTTCTGCGTCAGAATGTTCATTGACCAATAATTTTCAAAACATTCTAAATATGTTTAGAATGATTCAACTATAGAGAATAAAATCATTTGATTTTAGTATATTGGGAGCATAGAGTTTCATTCAGTTTTGTATGTACTTTTAAAGGAATAACTAGTAATTGTAGAAAATTATAGTATATTGTCAGTTTGGGTAGAATGCCAAAGTGAAATAAAACACATTTTCAATTTTGTAACAAATACAAGTATAAATATTTTAATAAAAGCTCTCAAAGGATATATACATATGTGTAACAATCATTTTGGGGGTGTTAGATTTATTGTTAATTTTGTCTTTATTTTACTTACATTTTCCACATTTTATAATTGGAACCATGTTATAAGTCATTAAATAAAAAATGTCAGTTGACAATTATTGTGATTAATCATTAAAGTAAAGTGACGCTCAGTCTGCTAAGTCACTGTTGTGTTGGAAGTATTATGCACTGGCTTCTAAAAAAGCCCATTTCTGCATCTTTTCCTAATGCTATGTTCCGAGATCTCATGTCAGTAGCTTGAAATTGGCCACTGGGAATTTTTACACCATGAAAATCTGAAAACACCATAAATCTGGCTTTTTATTATACAAAGCTAGTTACTAAACATTTACCATCAGACCTCAGTACTAAGAAAAAAAAAAGATATTTCAGAAAATATATTTGTAAACAATTCACAATTCTTCTGAAAGAGATAGATGTATACACATTTATTTCTTCAAAAATAATAACATTTATATTTAAATAACAGCTAGCAAACATTCTTTCTGTGACTCTTATTTCATGGTATTCTTGTCATCTTACTTTACATTTAAGCTAAGTTATTATTTTCATTTATTCTTCAGTCATTTTTGTTTACTGCTTACCCTCATATAATTATGCAAAAGACCCTAGTAGGATTCACACCTCTAGCAGTCAATATTTATGAAGTAAACAGATACTAGAGCAATAGCTATAGGTTTGGTTCCACATTATAACATAGCAAAGTGAGAGATATATAAATATAACACATATTAATAAAACTACATCTTGCTGGGAGAAACTCAGGCTTTTAAAATCACAGGTGTTAATGAGACCATACCTGCTGAGAATGAGAGAAGCTGAACATCTTATGTAGATATATGGATATAATACCCACTGTGAACTTTGTGTCAATGTTAGCCAGTCCTATAAATGAAGATTCATAAACTATGCAGAGAAAAGAAATGTATTTTAAAGCTTCTATTTGTAATATGGCTTAAAAAGTATTTTTGTGGAGTTTGAATGCCTGATTTTTTTATACTTTTTCCTAAAAAATAAGCTTATTTTTTGAATTATTAATAATCTCATAATCTGGTGTTACTCAAAGTATAGTTCATAGAAGAACAACATCAATCTCATCTTGAAGCTTGTGAGAAGCATAGCTTCTCAGGTCAGTGCAGAACTCCTGAAACAGAGGCTCTGTTTTAACAAGATGCCATCATATGTATGAACATTAAAGTTTGTGAAGTGACACTCTAATCGATACTCATTGTTACCTTAGTAGATAGTTTCTTTTATTTGTTTTAAAATCAAGCTAGTTTATAAATCAACTATTTTAAATGAATGTGATTGATGTTACCTTATTCAGGTAATTATTATTTTACTATAAAATTGTAAGAAACTATGGCATCCATATGCTGTATACAACACTGTTCTTTTAAATGTCATTTTATAGAGTCATATTTAGCCAAATCTGCGTTATAGAGCTATGCGAATTTATTATACTATTACATTTATTATACTATCTGGAATGGTAAAAAGTTCCATTTCTTTCAAGATTTGATTTTATTTGTATTATTGTGCTAATGCTAGCTAGATATCTATTTTTGCCAGGTTTATTATAGAAACTACTTTGTATGCCTTTGGAAAAATAAAATGAGTTTGTCGATAAAAGCTGCTGACATACATTAGTTAATAGAAATTTTTTCATTTAAATTTATTAGTATGTAGATTTCTGATATATTTGAAATATTTGTTTTTCTAAATTCTCCAAATCAATATATTAGAGGCATATAATTGGCTTTGATAATCAATATCCAGTTTAGAAAAATTTATTAAACCTGTTATGGGTATCATAAGTTTTTTCAACCATGCTCCAAAAAAAAAAAAAAAAGCCAAAACCAAAAACAATAAGCTTGTTTTATTAGGTTTGGCACTAAGGATGCTACATGTGATCATCCCACATAGGAAGACTGAGATTCCACACAGAATCTTGCCATGTATTTTATTATTTTGGAAAGCATCTAAGGAATGGAATGCAGATATCTTGAATGCAATTTCAAGCAAATGACTATGGTGTAATCCTGTGACTTTTATGACTTTACAGACACCAAGAAGATCATAAATTACTGGATCTGGCATGTAAATAATCTTGCAGATAGGGTTCCCTGAATTCCTTCTATAATCCCAGATGATTTTTAGTACATTCTTGGGGGATGGCATAAGTCTTCTAGGTCTTGATTGAATGTCATACACTCTAAACTAGAGAACATGTCCTTTCAGTCTTTGCTAACTTAAGACTGTCTTTAATAATGTTCATTATAGTATTGTTTACAATAGGAAAACTTTTAAATAACATACATTTTCTAATATATTAGATAGAAAAATTACATATGGCACGTTTTTGCATGGGGGTAACCAGCTGTAAAAATATATATAAATGTTTGTTGACATAATAACCTATTTATATTATTTTAGTATATTGTTCTATCTGGAAGAATATAAACCAAACTTTTAAAAGTGATGATATCTGGTAAAAATACAAATGATTGTTTTTACTATTTAATCATCTTTTTTCTGATTACTAATTTAAAAAGTATTTCATAATATGTTCTATAAAATAAATACTAATTTCAAATTTAGAATTTCTTGCACGTTTTATGTAAAATATCACAAAATTGTTAATGTTTATATGTTTTGTGGTTAATGTTAAAAAACTATTTATTCACTCATCAATAGAAGGTATACAATTAATTCAAAGCCGTATAAGTTGATTCAGCCTTCCATTGTAATATGAATCAATAACTAAATCAATCAAGACATCCATGTAAAGAAATAGTATATAATCTTTAAGAAAAAAAATGTAGCTGTGCTCCCTTTCTCTGTTGGAGTTTCTCTGTTCTAATGTCAATAACTTAGACATGTTTGACAATAGAAAACAATTAAACAATAAATCCAGATAGAATGTGTGATTACACTGCAGAAATGTGAGTTCAATTTTTCATGAAAGGAGCTTTGTTCTACACATAATACTTTTGTGTGTTAACAAATTATAAAATTGAATATAAAATAATAACATACATGGTGAATATTAAAGTTTACTTTTTATATATGTTTAATATTTTGTATCAATGACTTGTCTAAGAATATTTCCCACTGATTTTAATATTACTTCTGTGTTTTGAAGAGAATAGGAAAGAGTATTTATGAGTTGCACAACTGACAGAACAATAATAGATTTGAGCATTTGAAAAGAGGTTTATTTTCAAATAACTCCTATGGAGCAAACCACATTACTTGAGTAGAAATATGAAATAACTAGAACTGTATTTAAAAAGTCATCACTTGGTACAATTTCATGTAAGTTATACAAAAGATGAGTATCTCAAGATTTATTCTGATTTTACAAGTATGTAATTTTTCAATTTTTACAGGGTTATATATTCATTTAACATATTTGGTAGATATCAAACCAAAACCTATTTTTTCATGTATCATGCACTTTCTTACACATTGTAGATTCTCTTGTCATCTCTTAATCTTTCTTTCATGACCTTCTAGATTATTCTGGCATAATATACTATTTAATGGTGTAATTTATCATTGTAATGAATTGATTCTCTGTGTGATTCCCACTGGATATATAGTGGCAGAAAACCAATTGGCATGACTATGTTTCTTTATATGACAGAAAAGAATAATAACTATCGTTTAGAGGTAGCATTAGGCATTGTGAGACAGCAGAGGCAGCATTTTATAAAAAGTTTGGTTCCTATTTTAATATTCGGCATATTTCACTAACACTACAAAGAATGATTCTGCAAAAAAGGGTAATATAAGATAATTCAGTAATGCATTTTTCATTCTTTTAACATGTGGATTGAACACTAATCATGAAAAAGGCATGGCAATTCTTAATATGCAGGTTATTAAGAATAAAACTGTCATCTCTCACAGAATATTCACAGTGAATATACGACCCACAGCAATTATAATGATCAAGATTTTTAAAGTTAAATATAATAAGAAAGAGATAAAATTAGCATGGTGGACATTTGGAAGAGAAGATAATGTCTTTTTTCTTATGGAGGAGGGATGTAAATTCCAATAACGTAACTTTTCTATGTAGGTAAAAAGGATTTCCTATAAGAGGAAAAACAAAGTAAGCTTTGAAGAAGATATAAAATATAATAAATTCTATTGTTAAATAAACCATCCTGTGACTTTTGCTTTTAGATTTCAGGAACCACTGTAGCTTTCATAATTAGAGGTTTGATTATTTGTTGTACAACTTGATTGCTACATTCTGTATCCTAGGTCTCATGTGTTCCACATTAAAATGTTTTATAATTAAAATACAGCATCTCCATGTTGTATAATTAATTATAAATTCCAACCACAAAAGGAACAGAAACATGGCTTTCCTCAAAATGAAATGCCTATCTGACATGTGAAAAACAGTTCAGTGCATGAGGTTAAGGCTGATGTTAACTTTCTCACACAGCCGGTTACCTGCATTAATTATCAAGATTGTGAGTGGCACTTTCATTTAAAGTGAATTGTAATAACACTTTTTGAGTCACTAGGCAGATACATGAAGTGATTCAGTGTTTCAATAAAGCAGTCACAAAAATAGGTGATTTTAAAAAATAGTAATCATAAAAGTATACTTTGAGTTCATATTTCTTATCTTTTTTTAAACTTTGTTAATAGAGGAATGGTGAAGAAATATCAATGAAATTTGGCTAAGGTTTCTTGAGTCAGCAAAAATCCCAATTTATGTATCTTTATGCAGTTGGGGGAAGACCCCAAACTTATTACAAGAACCAACAAATTTTGCTAAACATAAAGGAAATAATACACTGATTACAAAATTAAATGTAACTTTCCAAATATTTTTCAAACTTACTGGTTACTTCCTTACCTGTCCCAGAGAAGATGAGGACATTTTCACTCCAACTGGCTTTAAAATTCCTAAATGAAAACCATTCAATTTGTAATTGTTATCAAATAATTACCACAATATCTGTTAGAAAACAGTTTGGGCATACATTTGTGTAGCCATAACAAAAATAAATAATATTCAAGGACTAAAGTCACTTTTCACATATTGAAAATATTGGGTTCAATTATGACAAAGCTTAAGGTTCTTAGTAATGTCTCTAATCAAATAAAGATAATTTAGGTAATAGAGACTCAATGCTTCTGTTGATTACATAAAAATACATTTCCCAAGTCATTAATATAGAGGAAGTATTATGTCTCAATAGGCTTTATCCTCTGTCTTTAATTAATTGTTATTATTCTCCAATGTGCTGGGTGTACTTTTCTGATAGACTAGGAAGGGGACAAATTTAGGATCCCAGTGGCAAGAGTGAAAACTCCAGAGATCATGGACAGTAATCTAAGATCAAGTCTACAATAGAAGTCAATTTCTCAAGTTTAATTTCCAGAAAATGTACAAGAATTGAATTAGAGGGCCAGATTCTTACGCTATTAGTTAGGTGTTGCTTGATCTGTTGGAGGAATACAGGCAAGAATCCAAAAGTGAATTGCATTGCAAGACAGAAATAAGGACATAGCCAAGGCAACATAATAACTTTAAACTCTTTTATTCAACTGGCAACTCTCAGAGAGGGTAAATTATATTTCAGATATTTTGTATCCCCAGGAAATTGTTCTGTAATTGTCATGAATTATATATTTAATATTTGGTACATGGTTATCACTAAGTACCTGAGAAAATAAAAATGACAGTCTAATGTTGAGCCAAATAGAGAGAGGTGCCAGAATACAAATGACACAGAGAAATGTGTCTGTGTCTTTACCTCAGTTAATCCAACATAAATTAGAGGTAGATATCAAAAGAAGACTAATAACACACAGGGTGAGAAATTGGTCAAAAGAGGGAAATTTTTAAGTTTGGGTCACAATAGATATTATTCTTGTTATTCTTTATAAGACTCAGGATTCCATTTCTCTACTTTTCCTTAATTCATATTTCTTGTACTTTGTAGATATTTTAACTTTAACATATTTACTTTTTTCTTTCTTGTTATACAAATTCTATTGTAACAACACACACAAAAATAAAAGTAAACCCAATGCAAAGCCACGGTCAACATGTGGTTCACCTAGATATTTTATATTAATATGAAATACTGATTTATGCACACACATGTGAGCATATACAGACTTGCACAGACGTACATTGAGAGAAGATAATTTTGATTTGCTACCTATTTTTACACTTGACTATGTATTAGAGATCATGACATTATCAGGTTTTAATGGGCTCACAGTTCTCCATTGTATGGAGGAAATATGACTCTTTAATAGAGGGTTAGCATCTTGTATAGTTCTAATTTTTGCTCCTATAAACATAACTTATAAAGATCCCTGTAACTGTGTCATACTTTTATTATTTATTTAGGATTAATTCATTGAAAGGAATAGTTTAGTAAAACAAATGCACATTCCATTTGCTAAATGTTTTTAAAAGTTAGCAAGTAGACATCCAGAAAATTTGCGAATTTTTGTTTCTTAAAAATATGTAGGATAGTGCCTATATCAGTTCATTGTAGTCACTGCTGGATATTGCAACATATTTTTAGTTTTGATTATTGAACAGAAAAATGTGACAGCTTGTCATTTTAAAAAATGTATTAATTTGACAATGTATTGATGTGCAATGCTTCTTTAGATGCTTATTAATTATTCAAATTATTTATTTTAGAGATTACTTTCAGTGAACTTTTATCCATTTTTCTACCGGTTAAATTTTTATTGACTTGTAAGAGCTCTTTATGAAATAGTAATGCTTTTTATTTGCATTTATTATAATTTTTAAAAAATTATTTGCTTTTTAATATTAATTGTTACATATTTAAATAGGTTCCTAAATTGTCTCCACTTTTAGTGTCACAACTAGGCAGTTCTTCTCCAGCCAAACTTTTATACATGTTTACATATAATATTCTATATTTGTAATAATTCTCTTACCACATATATATATATACTTGCTATGAAATAAATTTAGTTTTCAGTAAATGTGGGGGAGGAATCTAACTTTAAATTTCCCTGAATCGTTAGAAAGTTGCATCAAAGTCATTCATTCAGTGAATAATCTATTTTTATCTCCTCTAATTGAGTATTTGTAAATATTTTTTGAATTATTAAATCAAAATGTATATTGAGATTTTGATAGAAATTCTGTTCAATCAACACATTAGTGGGTTTTCTCTTATAAAAATATCATCAGGGTAATAACAATTTGTTTTCTACATTGGCCTCTCAAAAAAGTTCTGTGCCATAAGCTTACTATTTTGTGCGTATCACATTAATGCTATTCATTTAAACGTGAACAGTTCTCTTCAATAGAATAATCATATCACCAGCAAATAGAAGTATATGTTGATTTTCTTTCAATAATCACAACACTTATTTTTGTTTTCTTGTCAAGTTTCACTTGTTAGAATTTCCGGAAACAAATGTTAAACCATTTATATGCCTGAAAAAATTGTTTTTTGAATTTTAAATGTTAATGTGGATGCCTCACAGTAAAATCAACTCAACGCTTGTGTGGTATACGTATATATAGAGATGTTTATATACTTTTATATAATTTTTAAATCACTATCAAGACAATCATTAAATTTTTCACTCTGTACCATTCACAGAATAATTGTATTTATATTTATAAGCTGAAATGTTCATGAAATGAATTCATCTTCAGAAGAGCTTACTAAATTCTTAATATAAAATGAATTCAATTTCCCAGCTTTGTAATAAAGTTTCCCCCGATATTCCTAAATAACATCTTGTTGTGTTTTCTTCTCATCGATATTGTGGTGGTTGTTTTCTGTGCTCCATCAGATTTTGGAATCAAATAGAATAAGAAGTTTTATATAATCTGGGACCCATTAAGTATCATAAATTAGTTAATATAAAAGGATTTGAAAAAAAATCTTTAAAATGTGTGGGACTCAAAATTTGGAGTAAGGAGAATTTCTTTGCATTAGATTTTCTTTTTCTGGAGTCATGGTCTTCAGGTTTTTTTACTTATTAAGTCACAACTTCACATTTTCCCAGAGAATTATAATGTTGGGTGATTCTCTAACTTAATTTGAAAAAAATGGTCTTCGCTTTTAAAATAAAATAACCTGGCAAAAAAGTATCTTTTTAAAATCCTTATGCTGCGTGTTTCATGTTTTTTTACTAAACATGTTAGGAATGGCAGATTATTGGTCTTTTTAATGACACAGCTTTATTAAAAATACTTTAAAAAGTTTTATAAATGTATAATGTAAATACTATAAAATTCACCTTTTATAAGCAAACAGCTCAATTGTTTTCACAAATATTTGTTACACAATGATAACTACAATCCAGTTTTAGAGTACTTTCTTCACTTTAAACAAATACCTTAATGCCTATTTACAGTCAGTATCCTTTCTACTCCCAGACCAGGAAATCACAGGCCTATGTATTCTTTATATATTTCTCTTTTCTGGACATTTCATAAAAAGGAAAAATCCAATATGTAATTTTTTTGTGTCTGGCTGCAGACTGTGTATATCTTCAAATTTCTTCCTCTTTCAAGAATATTTTTGGCTAGATTATTTTTGTTTTCACAAGAACTTTTGAACTAAAAGTTGGGCTCCTCTGGGATTTGAACCAGGACCTCTTGCACCCTAAGTGAGAATCATAGCCCTAGACCAACCAGCCACACTCACAAGAACTTCTTAATGGCTTTTCAGTTTCTATTTTAAAGCCAGCTTAGATTTTGATTGGGATTGCCTTAGCTCTATAGATCATTTTGGGGAGAATTGGAATATTAAGAATATTCTGTTTCAACCAAGGAGCATGGTCTCTATTTACTTTGGTCTTCTTTAATATCTATGAGCAATATTGTGTGGTTTTTAATGTAAATATCTTGCACATATTTTGATAAATCTGGTTTCTTATATTTCAGGTTTTAATGCTATTACAAATGGTAGGTTTTTTGCTTCAGAATTTTATTCCATTTTCTTTTTCGGTTACTCAATTTGTTGGCATATAATTTTTCATAGCAGTCTCTTACTGTCATTTTTTATTTCTGTGGCATCAATTATGTCTTCTCTTTCAACTCTGCTTTTATTCATTTGAGCCTTATCTATTTTTTTTAGTCTAGCCAAAGGTTTGTCAATTTTGTTGGTCTTTTAAAAAAAACTAATTTTCATTTTTTTATCATTTTATTTGTCTCTATTTTATTTATTGCTATACTAAGCTTTAATATTTCCTTCTTCATTTGTCTTGGACTTATTTTGTTTTTCTGGTTCCTTGAGGTGTAAAGTTAGGTTACTGGTTTGATAACTCTCTTCGTTTTTAACATAGAGATTTATTACCATAAACATTTCTCTTACTACTACTTTTGCTGCATCTCATAAGTTTTGGTGAATTGTGTTTCAGTTTTAGTTGGTCTCAAGATGTTTTTTAATTTCCCATTGGATTTCTTTTTGACTCTGGTTGTTCAAGAATGTGTTGTCAATTGCAACGTATTTGTGAATCTTCCAGTCTTTCTTCTGCTATCAATCTCTAGTTTCATTCCATATGTATTAGAAAATTTACTTGGTATGATTACTATCTACTTAAATGTGTTAAAACATATTTTGTTGCCAAATGTGATATATTCTAAATAATGTTCTATGTGCATTTGAAAAGAATGTGTATTCTGCTGTTGTTGGGTGGCATGTTCTCTATATGTGTCTTTGGTTAATTTGATCTAGAGTTTTGTTCAAGTTAAATGTTACTTTTTTGTTTTTCTGTCTAGTTGTTTTATCCATTATTAAGAATGGAATATTGAAATATGCTACTACTGTTGTCTTGCTATTTGTTTTTTTAGTTTTATCAATGTTTGCTTTATATATTTTTGTGCTCTGATGTTGGATGCATGTATATTTATAATAGTTATATCTTTCTTGTGAATTGGCCCATTTATCATTATATAATGTTCTTCTTGTCTCTTGTGACATGTTTTGGCTTAAAGTCTTTTTTGTCTGATATCATTATGGCCATTCTGGCTGTTTTTGTTTACTGAATATATATTTTTTCATTCTTTCATAGTTAGGCTATGTGTGATTTTAAAAACAAAGTGAGCCAAGGCCAGGTGCGATTATTCATGCCTGTAATCCCATACTTTGGGTGGCTGAAGCAGGTGGATCATCTGAGCTCAGGGGTTTGAGACCAGCTTGGGTTGGGCAACGTGACAAAACCCCATCTCTACAAAAAAATATGAAAATTAGCCAGGCATGGTGACGAACACCTGTGACCTCAGCTACTCGGGATGCTGAAGTAGGAGGATGACTTGAGCTTGGAGGTCAAGGCTGCGGTAAGCCATGATTGCACCACTGCACTCCAGCCTGGATGACAGAGTGAGACCTGTATCAACACAAAAAACAAACAAAAGAACAAAATGAGTCTCTTGTAGAGAGACTTATAGTTTATAGTTGGATGTTGTTTTATATGTATGTTTAAATACAGTCACTTCCTCTCATTATAATCTTACTTACACAAGACAAGGAGCCATTGTGGGTATGCTCTCAGATGGTCAGGTGGCCAAAACGGGATGGAGTTGAAATGCCAGAAATTCCTTCATATAATGTAGAAGGATGAATCCAGTGATTTAGGGAGTAGAAATGTTGGATGATTTACCAAGGATTCACTGAATGAATCTAGTTATGCCCCATAAGAAAGCAGGCAGCATAACGTATTTGCCAAAGCTTTAAAAAAAATTTTTGTGTGTGAGTAGTGTAGTTCTTGTTCTTTGTATGATGGTTGAATAATTGATTTTGGAGCAAATTACTAGAGCTCGGTCATGAACTTACTGGAGTCTCTGTGAGATTAATCCAAACAAAAGTTCACTTATTATTCAACCCCCTTGACTTCTACTTTAACTGATGGATTAGAAAGATGCTCTGAGTTACCCAAGAATTGAGTTAACAAAGAGCTAGTGTCTAATAATTTTTGAAAGCTCTGGGAATTTTTTTTTACTCCATGAGTCCAGTCATCTTATAAAAAACCTCTGTTTATACCTTTAGGCATCCTAAGAATATTTAGAGTAAACAGCTGTGGAATATTTTAGAGACCTTCATTACTATCAATTTCCATCTTAATTTGAGAGTATCTAGGGCTGAAAATTGAATCAGACTTGGAACTAAATGAAAGATAATGAATGTCTGTCTTACCTCTCAGATTAAGCTCCCATTGCCAAAAGCAGTTTTTTGTTGTTATTGTTGTAGTTGTTGTTGCTTCCAATTATAGAAATAAAATTAGACTGTAATTTATTTTAATGTATTTTCTGTCCTAGTAGCACAAGGATCAATTAATAATTGCCGGTGATCACTTGGATAAAATCAGTTTAACCCCTGGAACCTACTACACTGTATGCTAACTGCTAAAATTCTGGCCTTTAATCTTTCAAACTCTACATTCACATCATCCGTTGAGAAATGATAATAAGTATTTATGTTACATAATCTCCCACTTAATCCACAGCTGACAAATTGCAATCACTACAGTTTTCCCTCAGTAAAACCTCAGGAATAAATTGTCCTCCATCCCCTTTGGCGAGGCTTACCTGAGATTGAGTTAATGGGTTAAAGTATAAACCAAATCTGACACCTCTAAAGGTTTTGGATGCGTTCCTCAACATTAAACTTGAATTCCTAGTGTCTCAACCCTTTTTAATGTTGTCCTTGTCCACTATTGAATCTAGTTTGGACTTTCCCAACTGAGCAAGGACACAGAAATATTTCTAGCCAGTTGAGCTGAAATGCATAATGCAGTATCTCTAATAAATGTACCATCTTGACAAATTTGACTTGATTCAAAATTTTCTTTTTTAGCCCTACTTTATCACATTTAAATTTTATTTTGCATGTATATTATTTGGGTACTCTTCATAAAATTCATCAAAATATAATTCTTACAGTATGTGGATTTTTTTTCTTTGCCTTAATTTTTATTTAACGAGTCATTTGATTTGTGTTCAGAGGTCTGATGGCAAGGAAAGGTAGTAGATGTGAGACATGCGAGGGAATAAGCATCCCCTTCCTCAGATACTATTATCTCTGAAAAAGGGAGAGTGTGATTCATCAGACAGTGAAGGAGAAACTATGTCTCCAGACAAAAGAGCTCTGGGAATTTTGGACTTAAGTACTTAAAATCATATAATTGCTTAAGCATTCCTATTTTAGTTTTTTGAGTCTTAATCATTCTCAAGTAATATATAACTTTTACATAGGAGATCTGAAAAGATTGTGAATTCATCATTGTAATTCAACAACTCACAGGCTGTAACTTTGACTGTAGTTGACCACTTCAGTCTTGTGCCTTTAAGATAAAAAAAACGTTGGTTTAAGGAAGTAATAGAAACTTGTTTGTCCTTTAATCACACATAGAGCCAAGTTATTATCTTATTTTATTTACTTAAGCTGTACAGCAGAGATAAACACAACTAATTTACTCTTGAATGTATATATTTTTCATTGCCTTAGTGTCAAAAGGCACTTCATTCTACTTAGTTAGAGGAAATATTTTAAGTTATCTTTTCCCTCTGAATGCCATGGTGAGTAAGGATGAGGGAGTCAATCGTATAAGTGAAATTTATTCAAGATCTTTACATTTCTATATTTTCATGTTTCTTCCTTTTTTTAAACAGCAATCTTATTTTCTAATTGAAACAAGTTATCACTACCTACAAACTCTATCAGATGATAGAAGTTCTTAATTTGTCTCCTTGAGGGTTTGTTGCTTGCAATCATTTCTTAAAGTTTCAAATACTTTTTAAGTCAAGATTAAGTTGCAAAAAATAGAAACAATGCTAGTATATTAAAGTAGAAAGCAATTTAATACCAAATATCAGATTTTTTACACAATCTTCAGAAGAGCTGGATAAATATTCTCTATCTTGAAATGACTTTCAGATTAACATTGCCAGCCTGATCCAAGAGGGCTGTTGTTACTTTGCTATAACTAAAAAGATGGAAATAAGGAAGATCCTTCTGAACATATTGACCCAAGAACACACCATTTTATCCATGATCTAAATATCAAGATATCTGCTACTATTATAAGTAGCTAAACCACCATCTAGTTCTAGGGAGGATCTTTGTGTCCTACCTTTGAAACTCAAGAAAATTCATTACTTCCTCAACAGTGCAGCAGAAGATAAATATCTGCAAAAAAAAAAAAAAAAAAAAAAAACAAAAACAAACAAAAAAAACAACCAAAGTCTCCTCCTTAATCATATCCAAGCTTTTAGCTATAAGATTGTCTGGAAAAATCCATTTTTGAGTTATCCTCCTCCTTCAGTATAGATGGACACTGGAGGAAGGGTGGAAAAGACTCTGAGAGCCATTCAACCATATATCCCAATTGCTGGATTTTCCTAAGGGGGCATATTATTCCATTACTTTATATCGCGAATTCCGGTGAGACTTTGGATTGGAACATCTAAAGAAAATTTTGATATATTATTATTATTGTTGGTTGTTGCATAGGGTAATTCATTACACAATTTGGGAAAAATTGTCTCCTCACATGTTGTGATGTTGAACCCAGATTAAATCCACAAAACCTTCTCTTTCTATGATGAGAATAAGCCATTGGGAAATTCCTTTGCTGACCCTATGGATGAGAGATAAACATGGCAATACTTGCACATGACTCCCAGCTTTCTCTAGAGACATGTTTAATAATGTTTATGTCTGCACAGTTTATTACTGTCAAAAACTGGAAATAACCCAAATTTCCATCATCAATAGATTAATAAATACATTGTGGTATATTCATAAAATGGATTGTTATATAGCTATAAAATAAACTAAATGGAATAGCATGCAATAGCATGGATGGATCACATAAATATAATATTGAGTGAAAGATGACACACCTACAACAATCCATACTAAATAATTACATCTATTAATATATCAACTTCAAAGAACAAATCTAAATGATGATCTTTAGACATTTACATATTACATGAAAAAAATCTATCTTTATATCTATCTTAATTAAAATGTCAAGATAGTAATTACCTTGGATTATATAGACAGGAAGGAATTTTGGAGGAAAACATGAAGTGGGGAGTTTTGGGGTGCTGACAATGCTGTCTTGACCTGCCTTATGGATACATAAATGTCCATGTTGTGATAATTCGTTGACCTGTAAAATTCAGTATATGTACTTGTTTTGTATGGATAAATTATTTTGTGGTTAAAAACAGTCAATAAAATCAACAGTATTGTGTACAGCAAATTGAAGAGGAATTAACTATCCTCAAGCCAAACAGCAAGAAAAATAAAACATATTTTTAAAAGAAAATAATCAGCTTTAAAATACTAGCCTCACAGAAAACTAAGAGATTTTATATATTTGAACAAGAAGAACCAGTAGCGAGAAGAGGGGATAGAGAGAAAGTGAGAGGGGAGAATGCTCTTGAAGCTGTTCCTTGAAAATAAATAGACAAGAATTGACAAGTATAACTGTATAACTAGTTACCATATTAATTATATTAAAAAACTGAGTTCTTTTAGAAAATAGTTCAATACAACAAATATAAAAATTACGAGAAACTTGAGAGGTTAATAATTAATCCAATGTTTTAATATCCATTTATTATTTATGGGAAAATCCAACAAGAGGGATATAAGACAACATCCATGCACAAATACAAATGCATAATTAAAAAACATATGCCAAAGCTTATAAAAAACACGGAAAGACACCAAAGTATCTTTCAAAATTATTAACATTAATTTGAAATAAACACATTAATATGTCCACAAAAAATATTAAACTCAAAAGATAATCAGGAAGTACTGGATGTCGTACAATAGGAGACCACATTTACATGAGAATGAAGTGATGGCAGTTTGTAGACTGTTTACCTGAAATACACCATGTGAAAACGGTGGATCACTGCCTTCAAATTCTAAGAGTAAATATTTTAACTTAGTATCCCATAGCTGGACAAACTTTTGGTCAAGACGAGGCAAAATAAACGCTTTTGGCAAGTGAGGACTCATAAAGTTTATATCCCGTATATTCATTCTAAAAAATAATTACTTAAATCTAAGAAAAGAGAAGACATGGATATAAGAAATATGATGAGAAAAGTAAGTACTAAAACATATAATTAGGACTAAGTTGCAGAGAATTCACTTGAGAAATTTAAAGCAACTATTAAGGATTCCCAAAATAGAAAAAATCGTAATGTTTAAGTGAATAAACTTCCTCTTTTCCCCCTAAAATATACAGACAGAAGAAACAAAAATGGCCAAGGGAATTTTAATAAAAACTGTGGCTAAGGATATTTTAAGCAAATTTCAATATCAACAGAAGCAGAATCTATAATATTAAAATTGAAAACAAAATTATACATAATAGCATTAAACAAATTATAATAGCATTTTAACAAGATTTACATAAAATCCAACAGATTAACAACAAAATTCTTTATGCACCCTGAGTGATAACATTAAATCATAATGTTGAAACTATTCAATATAAAAGGACAACAGATAATTTCAGTGGGCATATTTAACAAACCCACTTTCAGATACAGGTAAACTAAGTCAAGAAAATGAAGTTAGGGCAGCTATAGAAATTAAGAAAGGTATAAGCATACATGGACAAATTTTGACATATGAGAATGTTGTAATTGAACTTGCCAATGAAATGAAATATCTTTAGTGTTCACTATAGCACTTTGCATGCTGAAGACTGATTCTTGCTTCATATTCTGTTCCAATAATTGATCCGACCATTTCTGAGATTGTATCAAACTATTGCAATGATTGTGGTTTCAAAGTGGTTTAAGAGTAGCCAATGTAAATTAGCCACTATTCTTTTAAATTAAGATTTTCATTGTTGGCTCTGCATCATTCTTATATTCTCAAATTCCAAAGGTGATCAAATTTGTGATGATGAAGAGAATTTGATCTTTAAACTTCTAAATATAAAAAAAGGTTTATGATAATATTGAGTTGTCCTGTCCATCTCTTTAACTTGTTTTTTGCCTCTCACTAAACTTGACTATTTGTTTAGTTTTTGGTTTCCTCATTGATTATGGAGGGGCTTCCATCTCAGCTGCATTCCCTAACCAATTTTAGGCTGGAACTTCCTCCAGTCTGGGCCATTCTTTCTCGTCTGCTTGCTCTTTCTCATAAATATGCTGAAAGCTCTTGTCTATTATAGCTCACCATCACTGCTTCTTGCTTATGTGAATTACTTTCCCTTACCTTGCTTTACAAAAAGTAAATGCAGTGATTGGAAGTTGAGACATAAGTTTATTTCTCCATATTTAATTGAAATTCACTGTGTTTAAATATTCTAATTTGTATTTTGCATTAGAAACCCAGCTGTGGGAATCTTCCTGGGAGAAAAGTAAGCTAGCTGACTGACTTAATTTATTTTCATTTGGGTATATACATTTAGAGCAGCAAGCAAGATTGTGATGAGTTGCTATATAACAATATAAACTTTTGTATTTTAGTTCTTCTTGTAGCAGGATGAGCCACAGACAAGAACCCCTCAGACACCAAGTTGTGGAAGGAAAGGGCTTTATTCAGCTGGGAGCATCGGTGGACTCACGTCTCTAAAAACCGAGCTCTCCAAGTGAGCAATTCCTGTCCCTTTTAAGGGCTTACAACTCTAAGAGGGTCCGCGTGAGAGGGTTGTGATCGATTGAGCAAGCAGGGGGTATGTGACTTGGGACTGCATGCACCGGTAATCAGAACAGAACAGAACAGGACACGGATTTTCACAGTGCTTTTCCATACAATGTCTGGTATCTATAGATAACATAACCGGTTAGGTCAGGGGTCAAACTTTAACCAGGCCCAGGGCATGGCATTGGGCTGTCTGCCTGTGGATTTCATTTCTGCCTTTTAGTTTTTACTTCTTCTTTCTTTGGAGGCAGAAATTGGGCATAAGACAATATGAGGGGTGGTCTCCTCCCTTATTCTAATAGTTTTGATTCTAATCAAATGATTTTTTGAAACTCATATTAAAGCTGACAAAGAATCTAATTTAAAACTATTCCTTCTAGAAAATATTATAAAGAATGCTGGTAAAGTATAAAAAAAGTATTGTTTTCCACAAAAAACAAAAATGTGCCTGGAAAGGCTTAAAGTAATAGAACAAATAAAAATATATTTTCTTTCTGTCTCTACAATTATATGTAACTTAAACTTTACTTATTAAAGAGTCCTAAGAAACATATTATTCACTAAAGGGTAGATAGTTTTACTGAAGCAGATATCTCAATTAATTTCATTTGTATCATTTAAGTTAAATATTTTCTGAGGCGTCTGAGGAAGAGAGAGGATATATGGATTTAGCTGGTCAATGTTTGCAAAGGATACAAAAATTGATTCTTCTCACTAAGCACCTCCAGATAATTTATCATTATTCCATTTTATATGTACATGAGAAGAAAAGGGCTAAAGTTGACCAGAAAAAGAACAACACAAAGTGGTGATTCTAGCCCACAGCTGCTCTGAATTTTTCTGAGTTAGAAATGTCAAATGAGTGAATTAATTAATTCTCATGCACATAAAAATTGACATAGGCTAAATGTTGTCCTGTGAAATTTACTTGTTTTTGGAAACAACGCTCAATTATCCCATGTAATGCAATGGCATTACCAAGATGGAAGCCCTTTTATGCTTATCTGTGATAAAAAAAAATGTCAGAAATAGCCATGATCTGTTAGTAAAGTAAGAATTTTATTTTAGCCAATTCTTTCAAATGACTTTGTGGCTGCATCTAATTAATCATAACAAATATGACACAAGATGGAATAATCTGATTTGTCCAGTTAATTGGAGGCTGCCTCAGTCATCTTTGTGGTGAGAAAATCATAAGACTTTTAAAGGATGTTGCATGGTCCATCGCTATGCAAGGTGAACTGTTTTCCTCTCAAATCTATGACATGTGTCCATGTATTTGTTTCTGGTCTAAAATGGTCCATTCTCTACAGAATATTTAGAAGCATTGATAAGCTACTTATTTTCCATACTTAATTTATCTTACTACTTCCTCAGTAACTATATACATCTTTATCACTCTCCAGTTCCACCCAAATTCATCTCCTTGTAAAGGCTTTCCCGTTAGTTGCAGGTCTTTCTTTCAGTTCTCTTAAATTTACCTGCATTTATCTTCTATCACCTTCATTTGTTGAGATTCAATGTGACTCTGTATTCTGTTTCTTTTTATCACAGCTTTCCAGGCAAATAGGAAAAATATAGAGATTGTGATTTATACTTTTTATCCATCGTGACGCCTAGCCCAGTTCTACATGCATATGAGGCTCATAAAATATCAAAAGTAAATTAGTAAGATTTAAAACTAGCATTTTTCATTAAACATAGCGCCTTTGAGTTTGGCTTATTTTACAACCTCTAGTATATATACAGCTGTAAATAATTAAGTCACATTCATAAATGCTACCACTATATACCTCTACAAAAATATAATAAAAATCCTTATTTTTTCTTCCTAAAATTTTTAAAATAGTGAGCTACATAAGACATTATTAATACCTATTTTGCTCTTTGAAAATCAGCATATTTCTACAAAGCTGAGAGAACTACAATAAACAAATGAAGAGGCTTGTAATTCTCTTTTATTTTTTTCTAAGCCCTTTGTTGTGAATTTGATAGTAAATAAATTTAGTAAATTTTTCCTATGGCTTAACACTAGATACAGCCTATGATATTCAGTGGACACATCCTCTTATTTCTTCATTGATTTATTCATTAAGCTATTTAATTAATAGCTGCAGATTATATACTTACTATGTGCCAAGGCCTCTATTAAACTGTAATAATAAAATGAGAGAGATGAGATGCCTACGTCCACAAACATTACGGCATATGAAGAAAAACAGATACAATTACGGTAGAACTTGGTGGGTGCTACAAGATAAGATGCTTGAGATGCTTTAATAACCCATAGTTTACCCTGGTATGTCTGAGGTTGATGATCTCCTCAAGTAAGCCATTTGAGCTAAGATATAAAGAAATTAGACCTTGGAAGAGAGAATCAGCTATGTAAAGACTCAGAATCCACCAAGACTCTTGGAAACTTTGTGAAAATAAAAATAATTTAGTAGGTCTGTAAGTGAAATGTGTGGGGGATGTAGAAATATGTGACTGGAGAAGCATCTTTGTAAGTGATGTGAAGGTATTTGTGAGAGGTGAAGCCAGCTGGGCTTCTGAGTTGGGTGGGGACTTGGAGAACTTTTCTGTCTAGCCAAAGGTTTGTAAACACACCAATCAGCACTCTGTATCTAGCTAAAGGTTTGTAAACGCACCAATCAGCACTCTGTAAAAATGCACCAATCAGCACTCTGTGTCTAGCTAAAGGTTTGTAAACGCACCAATCAGCACTCTGTAAAAACGCGCCAATCAGCACTCTGTGTCTAGCTAAAGGTTTGTAAATGTACCAATCAGCACTCTGTAAAAATGCACCAGTCAGTGCTCTGTGTCTAGCTAAAGCTTTGTTATTTCACTCTTCACAACAAATCTTGCTGCTGCTCACTCTTTGGGTCCCCTCTACCTTTATGAGCTGTAACACTCACTGGGAAGGTCTGCGGCTTCACTCCTGAAGTCAGCAAGACCACGAACCCACCTGGAGGAACAAACAACTCCGGATGCACCACCTTTAAGAGCTGTAACACTCACTGTGAAGGTCTGCAGCTTCACTCCTGAAGTTAGCAACACCACGAACCCACCGGAAGGAACAAACTCAGGACACATCTGAACATCTGAAGGAGCAAACTCCAGACACACCATCTTTAAGAACTGTAACACTCACTGCGAGGGACTGCGGCTTCATTCTTGAAGTTAACGAGACCAAGAACACACTGGAAGGAACCAATTCTGGACACATTTGGACATTATCCAGGAGGAAATGGTGCACCAGTGAAAAGTCTGCATCAGAGGTATTTTTATGATTAAACTCAAAGCATGACATTAGGATTCTTGACTTTGGAACCAGCTAGCATGGATTCCAGTCTCAGAACTAACACTGGGATTTGTTAATTTATGGCAAGTAAGAACCTTTGCATGCCTCCATTTGCTTATTGTAAAATTAGAGAGTTGTAACAATACCTCTCATAGAATCATTTGGAGACTGAAATGAGTTAATGTTTGATGCTTAGAAAAGTGGCACATGTATAGTGTTAAATCAATATTAAATATTAATATTATTTGGAACATTTAGTTTTATTAAAGAATTGAGAATCGATAGAATCGGGAAACTCAGAGAAAGATCAACTAAAGCAATATTAATGTAAACGAAACAAACAAAGAGTGGCAGACCCTGATTCCACCAGGAGTCCCACTGATTCCATTAAATTGGAAGCTGAGGCTGCCCCTTGTCACTTTAATCTCTCATACCACTGACAGAACAGGCAACCAAAGAAATTACTATACTACCTGAGGTGTTTTATTTGCACTATTAAGAGTAAATAACAGAACTATGGATGAGTCCTAGTACAACTCTAGGGTGCATTATTGTATCTAGGAGCCAAAGTGTCGGGGAGACTATAGTAAAACAGTATCATTAAGGATTAGATCTTGGAAAACTGAAGGTTTGACTATACCCACTAGGTAAAGAATCCCAGTGAAACAATTTCATTGAATGAGAAGAAAACCTATAGTAGGTAGTAGAAGAAAAGAGTAAAAAACCCAATAATAGCCTTAGGACCACTTGAAGAAACAAAGGCTGTAGGATCTACCTTTATGACTTTTTAAAAGTATTTGTATTCATTTGTATAGTAAAAAGGGACACATTATTTAAGGCCATTTTTGAATAATTGCTTTTTATTCACAACATTTTCATCAAAATGAGTCAGTCTTTCCCAAATAGAACCCAATATCCTTAGATTTTTCTTACAACACTAGTGCATTCCTGTAAATTAGTTCTACCAATCCAGCATGCATTTTTGAGGCTTGGATTAAGAGGTAAATAAGCAAGGAATGGGAACTGATCTTTTGACAAGTGTAGTTGCTATGGTAGTAAACTGTTTAAGGGCAGCATATGGAGAAAAGAGGGATGGCATCAGATTTGTATTTCAAAAGGATAACTTTGGTTGCAGCATAAAGAACGCGTTGCAGAAGAGGTAAAAGAGTGTATGAAGTTGGAATAGTAAGAAAGAAAATCACTGTAGTAATCTTAGGCAAGAGATGATGGTGATTTGGACTAGGGTTAGGATGGTGATTCAGCAGAGGAACATGCTCATTAGAAATGTCCTGCAGATAAAGCTGGAAAAGCACCTTAATGAACTGCCTAGGAGTAGTGAGGGCAGCATGGGGCTAGAAATGAGGAATCAAAGGCCTAAGCTTATCTAGATAAGTAGCACATGGAATGACTACTCTTGTGAGCATACTTTACTGACTATTTTTAAGTTATACGCTGCTATAGTTGTTGCTGGGGTATTAGTCTGTTATCATTCTGCTATGAAAAAATACCCAAGACTGGTAATTTATAAAGAAAAGATGTTTAATTGACTCACAGTTCTGTGTGGCTGGGGAGGCCTCAGGAAACTTACCATTATGGCAGAATGCTCCTCTTCACAGAGAAGCAGAGATAAATGAGAGCCAAGCAAAGGGGAAAGCTCCTTATAAAACCATCAGATCTCATGAGAACTCACTATCACCAGAACAGCATGGGGGAAACACCATCATGATTCGATTACCTCTTACCGGGTCCCTTCCACAACACATGGGGATTATGGGAACTACAATTCAAGATGAGATTTGGGTGGGGACACAGTCAAACAATAACAGTGGTGAATAAAAAATAAATAAGAGAAAGCCTTATGAAAATAATTCACTGAGAAAAGTAGAGAAATTATTGTCAAAAAGTGCTGGGATTTTTTTTTTCTCCCTAAAACCAATGACACAGTTCTCTTCCAAAACCTCTTTGGGTATGCGTATAGATAAATTCCTTGGAGACAAGGTTTCCTTAAGAGTCATTTTTTAAAAACTGAAGTGCAAATAGAAACAAAATACTATATATCATTGTTTCCTCTGAGCTTTTCCATGGATAATTTTTTTGTCTTCAAGTGAATTACCTAACTTTGAAATGAGTTATATTAGTCAAGTAAGATGTTAATTTTGCAATTAAGAAATTAGATAATTAACCCTATTTTTCAATGTCAGTAAGAATGCAGGCTCTTCTTCTCAATCTGACAGGCATAAACTAATTATGAGGAGAGATTATTAGAGCAGGTGCTGACCCATGGAAAGTCATTTACTCTTCCTATGAATGTCAGAAATTAGTAATTTCTATATATACTTTTTCTGACTTTATGATTTAGTGTATGGGAAAATTACTTTTGTTGGTAGAGAAAATAAATTGTAGTTTAACAGAGTCTATTTGTTATATTACCTTGTTTACCATGATTTCAGCTCTTTTTTTTTTTTTTAGATGGAATTTCGCTCTTGTTGCCCAGGCTGACGTGCAATGAATGGTGCAATCTCAGCTCACTGCAACCTCTGCCTTCTGGGTTCAAGTGATTCTCGTGCCTCAGACTCCCAAGTAGCTAGGATTACAGGTGACTGCCACCACGCTCAGCTAAATTTTGTATTTTTAGTAGAGATGGGGTTTCACCATGTTGGCCAGGCTGGTCTCGAACTCCTGACCTCGTGATCCGCCTGCCTCATCCTCCTAAAGTCCTGGGATTACAGGCATGAGCCACCGCACCCTGTCGATTTCAGCTCTTTCTGAATGAATTTATTACTGTGTTCTAAAGAAAACTAAATAGAAGGGATTATGAGGGTAATTTTAAAGATGTAAAATAGAGACTTCTCTTAAAAGAGCATTAATATTCACATAAAATATGTGCATCTACATTTAAATTTGGGAGATTGGTTTTGATTATAAAACTCAAGTATTCTTATTTTTATCATTACAAAAATTCCAGTGAGCAAATTATAAAATTGTCTTTAAAGATTACATTGGTTATTTTCTTGACATAAATCTACTTATGCATTGGCAAACACCCCATTATGAAATGCTTGAGCTTCAACATATTTAAGTTAATCATAAGTATGCATTATAAATCCATTAAAACTGTACTTTAAATTTAAAGTGCTTATAGTACAGTTTTATTTTGGTTTGGTTTTGATTTTCCAAATTTAGTTTTTCCATGTCTCAGTTTAGACCCCCTTTGCCCTCCATTGTAAAAGCACATATCTCTACTTTGTATGTTAAAATTCATAGAGAAGATTTGAGTGCACTCTGCAAATGGTGTACAAGATAATTTACAGTGTTCAGTTTCAAAGATAATTGTAAATATATTAATAAAATATTTTCTTATTAAATTATTAATTTAAATTTAATTATACAAGGTATTAAATTAAAATCATAAATAATGACTTCAAGACTTTAATAGGCTCTTAAAATTTAGGCAAGTTTTTATTAGTGGTTAAAAAATAGTATTACATGCTTCATTTTACTGATTTTTCTTCCACTTTTCGTGTTTCTTCCTACCTGCTTGCCAATCTATTTCAAATTGAATGCTATTAGCA
The DNA here is from genome assembly GCF_000001405.40 of Homo sapiens. Lineage (NCBI taxonomy): Eukaryota > Metazoa > Chordata > Mammalia > Primates > Hominidae > Homo > Homo sapiens. Next base: position 77,653,605 of record NC_000002.12, on the reverse strand, counting down.
TTGAAAAAGACCTGGCTATTATATTGATAAAATGCCTTATGCTGTAAATTTCTGTTCACTTATTTATTGACATATTTAAAAAAAACTATTTTTTCTACACCTTGATACAATCATTTTTTCATCTTGCCCTGAAGCAGAAATACATATTGTCGGTGACTGGCTATCACACCTACGAAGTTTCATGCCAGTAATGCCAATAGTCTGTATATTGCCTTTTGCTCTAAGACATGCTATGTAATGGACAGATGAGATGGTGGCTTTTATTGTACCAAGCATTGGTTTGGACTGAGATGATCTTTACCAGTACAATATAGATTTTGGCATTAGATATTTCAGTAGTTAATTTTGAATCATGATAGGCTTGACCCAACTAATCTTGATTTTTTATTCTAAATATGGTACAGTAATGTTTTCCTTTGTTAGCCTTTTGAATGAGAAAGGAATAAAAATGAAAAATTGTTTTTCATATATTCAACAAAAATGTCAAACATTAGTATTCCACATTCAAGAACATGCAATGCAAAGTCTGATTACAGAGGGAGAGAAAGTAAGAAAGAAGCAGGAGGTAGGGAAATAAGTCTAAGTAAAATGGAATTTGGAGGGTACTGGGTGTTGGATCAACTAGTTTTGGAACTGTCAGAAAAAAAAGTAGTTCTAGTAAGGCAATTGCATTAATCTTCTCAAGAAGAAGAGCTCAGTCATAAAGCACCTGACTTTAGAGTCAGTCTGCCTAAACTTTTCACATAGTAGCAATGTTATTTTGAATAACTTAAGTAATTCTTGTGCATCTTATTTCTATTTCTTCTGTAATGGGGATAATATTGGTCCAGATGAAAAAGTTGTTTCAAGAAAGAAATGAGTTAGGATCTATGATGATGATGATGATGATGATGATGATGATGATGATGACAATGATGATCTAAGTTTCTGTGAGTCTAGATTAATGGCACAAACTCCAAGATCTATCGAGTAATTATTTATATTGCTCCTGCCTAGGTCATCTGAATATCCAGGCACAACCCAGGCATACTAGACCTTGATCACACTGGAAGTGCGTGACCATGGGGATGTGGTGTGTAAAGCAAGAAAACATAGGGACAGAAATACAACACTGGAGAGATCACTTGATGTCATTTCTGATGGCTTTTATCCATCCTGCCCAAATAAAATAAACAAATTACCCTGCTACTTTACAATGCTATTAAATTTTTTTTTTAATTTTATACTTGGTTTGTATTTAGCTGGATTGCTCTAGTGTTCCTCTGATCTAAACTAGCTGCTTCTGCACTTTTTCTAACTAACCCATTAATATGCTAGTAAACTAATAACCAACATTTATATAAGGCTCTATATTTAAAATGCTTTCACATTAATTATCTCACTAAATTCAGTTTATCCTACTCCACAGAGACAACCTGGTATTTCTAAAGTATAGCTTCTATAGAATCATTACTGAGTTTTTCCATTATTCCTATTTTATATTTATGAAGGTTATTACTGTTAGGTTTTTAAAAGAATCCTTTCGATAGTAACTTAAGTTTTCACTGAAAAGTTAGGAAATAAAAAATATAACCTAAAAAATACCTATAATGGTAATAACAAACAATTAGTTCTCAATGTTTATGTCTCATCTATACGTTTTATCTATTGAAATTAGATTTTTGCAGGGTATGCAGCAATCATTTCTGCTAATGGTAAACAGCTCAAGTAACAGCACTTACTGTATAATCTAATATTTACCACTTATTTTAAAACTTTAACATTATCGCAGTCTGCATTTGGATGATTTCCTGGATCCCTATTTCTGAAATTATTTTTGTCTCTTATAAAATTCATTTTGAATCTGAGTATCAGAAAGTTTTAATTATTAAAGCCAGTAACATGTATCAATCACTTAAAAAAAAGTGTTCCTCTATGACTCATTTAGTTTATATTTCTGGCTATTTCTCATATGAATATATTTTCATTGTTAAAGAGATAGTCAATGAATATTTGCATATAGCTATGTGGATAGCTAAATAGATAGATAGATAGATGGATAGATAATAGATACATAGACAGAAATATAGATACAGACATGTGCATGTGTGTGGTAACTTTTATACAAAGTTAGGTCTATATATTTCCAGTTGGTATTTAAATTTTAGGAAATGCATTTTTTCCTTGTGATTAATTTCAGTTTGTTTTAAAGATAAATAAACTACTCCTTTCCAAAGTCAAATATATATAACAAGATATATTCTCTTCTAGAATCTATCTAAAGTTTACACTGGAAAATATTGATCTACGTCTATCTATCTATCTATCTATCTATCTATCTATCTATCATCTATCATCTATATTATATTGTGAATAAGCTGTTAACTTCAGCCCTGTTTGTAAAAGACTGAAAACAATCCAAATAGCCATTACTTGAAACTGATTGAAATAAACTGTAGTATGTATACAAAGGGAATACTAGGTAGTTAGAAAGGAAATTAATGCCTCTTTATACTAATATATGTATTTTTAAATGGAAAAAGAAAGTTGCACAACATGTACACATTTGGGTTCAGTGCAACCAGACACTGGTAAGAAGAGATCAGCTAGAAAAGTTGATAATTTGTTGAAGGCCAAGTGTTCACTGGCAAAACAGTATAAAAATACTTGAGAGTGTGGAAATGAATTTTCTCCCACTTTCTACACATTCTTGCAGGCTGTTTCTCCATGCACAAATCTCACTTCACACTCACAGAAAATACTGGAAAAACCCTAAGAAGTGTTCATCATGGAGCACAACTACAGGAGGATAATAGCAGCTGTGCAGGAGGGGCAGGAAACTACCTGAATCTGTCTTTCCTGTATCTCTTGTGAACTAAAACTTTAACCTATGGTGGAAAAGGCAGCAAGGAATGCTTCCTCTTTATCACTCTCCCCTTTTTTCAGGGCACGTACAAAGCATTTGCTATACATAAAATTTGTAAAGGGATGAGTGCAAAGTACAAATGTGCTTAATCCATGCATGAATAGGGATGGGTTAAAGGAATTGCTGGAAGGTATTGGTGAACACTTTTTGAAGCTGGGAGAAGACAACAGGGACACAGAGACAGGAGTAAGTGCTTAATCTAAAACTGTATATGGAAGCAGAGCAGGCAAATAGCAAACATTATATCCACTGATACCCAGAGAGAAGTACCTGCCTAAGGCTGATCCTTAATCAGAATAGCTAAAAAATACATTCCACCAACTGTATAAAGCATTCTTGACATAACTAACTCCATCTTAGAGAAATACCTCATTTTATATTTCATAGGGGACTTTCCCAACAAGGATAAGATATTTTGCTTAATAAACAAATAGAATAAATAAAAACAAATAGAATAAATAAAGACATCTAACCAGATAAGGTCACAAACAAGTACATTCTGCAACGATCAGTTCTCACCAGAAGACTCCATAACCATAAAAGAGCAAGCCTTTCAACAGCTCAAAATGACCTTCTTAACTGACACCATCTTACAGTCACTTGTGATAAGAACTCTTCAGCTTCTGCTGCCAAAGGCTCTGCCACATCAAAGACTCTGGAATATTCCTTGCAAGACCTAAGGACAGCCCTGGCCCAGACCAGGACTCCTTTTGTCTTCACTTTCCATGGACTAGTTTGTTAATCCTTTCTCCTATCTCTTTTTCTCTTGATGTTAATTCTTACTTTGTTTGTTGTGGAATGTTTAATCTACAACATTTTTATATTGATTAAGTGTAATACTATGTATGGTTCACAATATTGATTTACTCGTGGAGTGGCTTGACCTGTGTGCCCACAGCTTTGACTACCAAGTGAATAAAAAGTACTAAGAAAAATTTCCTCCTTGGGAACTATATGTAGCTTGTGGCTTTTGTGATTAAACTAACATCAGTAAAAGTCTGACATTGTAAAAAGACACAAACATGCATAGACCTGGTTATCTCTAACCTTACACCTCTCATGACACCAACCAAGCTAAAAAAATCTCAAGTAACAAACAACAGCAGAACACCACTGGCAAACCTACGAAGAGCCCAGTAAGACCTACCATACTTCCAAATTCCAGCACAAAATATACGGTAGCCCCTTACAGAATGGTGAAGGAATAATCTGAAAATTCATCCCACCACCAAGGCAATAAAAACACTGGCAAAAATTGTCAAGCTTTTTCAGAGCTTAGAAAATTAACCAAAGACTTAGGAAATCTGAGGAGGACTTAAAAAAAAAAACATAGTTGAGCACAACTCTCTCTTGAGTATGTCTACACTTCCTTTTCTTGAGTGTGTACTTTTTGCTTTGCAATAAATCTCCTTACTTTCATGAGAAAAAAAAAAAGGTGAATCTTGGTAAGAACAAAAAACTTTGTGAAGTTTTAATCTTATTACCATCCTTCTTTTCTCAGCTTTATGATAATTTTAAAAACCAACAGTTTCACAATTAAAGTAACTATGAAAGGTTGTGGGCTAGCAGTTACTTAAAAGAGCATAATAGATTTGAAGCTACCTATAAACCCCATCCCTAAAGAGCTGTGAGTATTTGACCTGTTTGGCAGTTCTCTGGGAAATCTCTCTATTAGGCTTTTCTTTATTTAGCCTGACTCAGAACTTACTCATGGAGAACAACCTTTCCCTATGGCATTTATAAAAAATAATCAGCAGCAATTGTTTAAACCTGCAGCTAACCAAGCATGTACGTTAGTGGCCTTATCTGACAAAAAAATATATGTTCTAAATAATTCATTAAGAAAAGACACTAAACAAATAGTCACAATAACAACAACAATAACAAAAACAAGCCCTGGGAATGAAGTGAAATGACTTCCAGAGTTTTTTGTATATTATTTTCAAAGTCCAATTTTTTAACTAAAAATTACATGGAAAGGTATAGGAAAGTATTACTACTAGAATTTGTTTCTAAAAAATCCTAGACATTATGATTGCTAGACAAACACTTTAAATCAGCTATTACAAATATGACCATTGTGATGGTTCGTTTACGTATCCAGTTGGCTAGGTTCTAATATAAGTTATTTGATCAACACTAATCTTAAGCTATTTTGTAATGTAGCTAATATTGACAATCAATTGACTTTACGTAAAGGAGATTATCCTTAATAATGTGTGTGAAACTCTTCTATTCAGTTGAAAATTCTTAAGAGCAAAGTTGCACCTCTAGACTGCAAGATTAACTCTTGCCTGAGTTTCCAGCCTGCCAATTTGTCCTATAAATTTCAACCTCATCAGCCCCCACAGTTACAGTGCATTTCTTTTTTTTTTTTTTATACTTTAAGTTTTAGGGTACATGTGCACATTGTGCAGGTTAGTTACATATGTATACATGTGCCATGCTGGTGCGCTGCACCCACTAACTCGTCATCTAGCATTAGGTATATCTCCCAATGCTATCCCTCCCCCCTCCCCCCACCCCGCCACAGTCCCCAGAGTGTGATATTCCCCTTCCTGTGTCCATGTGATCTCATTGTTCAATTCCCACCTGTGAGTGAGAATATGCGGTGTTTGGTTTTTTGTTCTTGCGATAGTTTACTGAGAATGATGATTTCCAATTTCATCCATGCCCCTACAAAGGACATGAACTCATCATTTTTTATGGCTGTATAGCATTCCATGGTGTATATGTGCCACATTTTCTTAATCCAGTGTATCATTGTTGGACATTTGGGTTGGTTCCAAGTCTTTGCTATTGTGAATAATGCCGCAATAAACATACGTGTGCATGTGTCTTTATAGCAGCATGACTTATAGTCCTTTGGGTATATACCCAGTAATGGGATGGCTGGGTCAAATGGTATTTCCAGTTCTAGATCCCTGAGGAATTGCCACACTGACTTCCACAATGGTTGAACTAGTTTACAGTCCCACCAACAGTGTAAAAGTGTTCCTATTTCTCCACATCCTCTCCAGCACCTGTTGTTTCCTGACTTTTTAATGATTGCCATTCTAACTGGTGTGAGATGGTATCTCATTGTGGTTTTGATTTGCATTTCTCTGATGGCCAGTGATGATGAGCATTTTTTCATGTGTTTTTTGGCTGCATAAATGTCTTCTTTTGAGAAGTGTCTGTTCATGTCCTTCGCCCACTTTTTGATGGGGTTGTTTGTTTTTTTCTTGTAAATTTGTTTGAGTTCATTGTAGATTCTGGATATTAGCCCTTTGTCAGATGAGTAGGTTGCGAAAATTTTCTCCCATTTTGTAGGTTGCCTGTTCACTCTGATGGTAGTTTCTTTTGCTGTGCAGAAGCTTTTTAGTTTAATTAGATCCCATTTGTCAATTTTGTCTTTTGTTGCCATTGCTTTTGGTGTTTTAGACATGAAGTCCTTGCCCATGCCTATGTCCTGAATGGTACTGCCTAGGTTTTCTTCTAGGGTTTTTATGGTTTTAGGTCTAACGTTTAAGTCTTTAATCCATCTTGAATTGATTTTTGTATAAGGTGTAAGGAAGGGATCCAGTTTCAGCTTTCTACATATGGCTAGCCAGTTTTCCCAGCACCATTTATTAAATAGGGAATCCTTTCCCCATTGCTTGTTTTTGTCAGGTTTGTCAAAGATCAGATAGTTGTAGATATGTGGCGTTATTTCTGAGGGCTCTGTTCTGTCCCATTGATCTATATCTCTGTTTTGGTACCAGTACCATGCTGTTTTGGTTACCGTAGCCTTGTAGTATAGTTTGAAGTCAGGTAGTGTGATGCCTCCAACTTTGTTCTTTTGGCTTAGGATTGACTTGGCAATGGGACATATTTCAAAATAATAAGAGCTATCTATGACAAACCCACAGCCAATATCATACTGAATGGGCAAAAACTGGAAGCATTCCCTTTGAAAACTGGCACAAGACAGGGATGCCCTCTCTCACCACTCCTATTCAACATAGTGTTGGAAGTTCTGGCCAGGGCAATTAGGCAGGAGAAGGAAATAAAGGGTATTCAATTAGGAAAAGAGGAAGTCAAATTGTCCCTGTTTGCAGACGACATGATTGTATATCTAGAAAACCCCATTGTCTCAGCCCAAAATCTCCTTCAGCTGATAAGCAACTTCAGCAAAGTCTCAGGATACAAAATCAATGTACAAGAATCACAAGCATTCTTATACACCAACAACAGACAAACAGAGAGCCAAATCACGAGTGAACTCCCATTCACAATTGCTTCAAAGAGAATAAAATACCTAGGAATCCAACTTACAAGGGATGTGAAGGACCTCTTCAAGGAGAACTACAAACCGCTGCTCAAGGAAATAAAAGAGGATACAAACAAATGGAAGAACATTCCATGCTCATGAGTAGGAAGAATCAATATTGTGAAAATGGCCATACTGCCCAAGGTAATTTACAGATTCAATGCCATCCCCATCAAGCTACCAATGCCTTTCTTCACAGAATTGGAAAAAACTACTTTAAAGTTCATATGGAACCAAAAAAGTGCATTTCTTTTTATATCCTTACATGCTATTAGTTCTGTTTCTCTAGAGAATCTTTAGAGATATAGACATAAAATTGAAAGTAACCATTGCCATGTCTATGGAATTAAGGCATAGTGTGAGAACAATGTCTTACCAAATAGAATACAAAAAAAGTAGAATGTGTGTGTATGTGTGTGCATGTATATATGTGTATGTATATGTGTATATGTATAAATATTACATATATGTATAATACAACAAAAATAATAAGTTCTAGAGTTGAAAATTAGAATAACTCAAATGAAGAATTCACTAGAGTGGTTCAAAGGAAGATTTGATCTGGTAGAAGAAAGTATTAGCAAATTTGAAAAAGGAACCATTAACATTATCTGCTGTAAGGAGTCGATGGGAAAAGAATAAAGAAAAATGAACAAATTCTCAAAGGTCTGTGAAATAACGTCAAGTCTACCAACATTCACATAATGAGATCTTAGAAGCTCAATGAACTCCAAATACGGAAAATTGACACTAAAGATAAGACATTCTACAGTGATAAAAGTGTCACCTTATCAAGAAGATTAACAGTTATAAAAAAATGCATCTCTCAACAGAGCTCCAAAATAAATAAAGCATAAAGTGGGAGAATTGAAAGACAGATTATTCAACAATAGTAGTTAGAAACTTCACTTACTTTCAACAATTGATAGAATGACTATTCAGAAGATCAGCTAGAAAATAGAAGCCTTGGCCAGGCACGGTGGCTCACGCCTGTAATCCCAGCACTTTGGGAGGCCAAGACGGGTGGATTACCTGAGGTCAGGAGTTCAGGACCATCCTGGCCAACATGGTGAAACCCTGTCTCTATTAAAATATACAAAAAAAAAAAAAAATTACCCAGGAGTAGTGGCAGTGCCTGTAATCCCAGCTACTCAGGAGGCTGAGACAGGAGAATTGCTTGAACCTGGGAGGCGGAGGTTACAGTGAGCTGAGACTGCACCACTGCACTCCAGCCTGGGTGACAAGAGGAAAACTCCATCTCAAAAAATAAATAAATAAATAAAATAAAAAAGAAAATGGAAGCCTTGATCAATATCATAAACCTAGTACATGTAACAGGCATCTAAAAAATATTACGTTCACAATAGCAGAATACACATTCTTCTCAAGGGCACATTAAAAATATTTTAGAATAGGCCAAATGATCGTATATAAAACAAGTCTCAATAAATTTAAGGAATAAAAATCACATGAAATATATTCACTAACAACAATGAAATGAAACTGGTTATTAATAATAGAAAAATAACATTTGGGAAAGTTACCAATATATGGAAATTAAACAACACTCTGCCCCCAAATAGCTAATAGAACAAAAAAGAGATCACAGAAAAAATTATAAAAGATACATAAAAAAGAAAAACACAACATACCAAATTTTATTTAATTCATTTAACTCAATGCCTTGATATGATTTGCTAGCTGGAAATAACTGTATTTTAAAAACATATCTCAAATAAATAAGAAAAACTTCCACCTTAGGGAACTAGAAAAAGAGCAAAGTAAACCAAAGCAAGCAGAAGGAAGAAAATAAAAATAATTAGAGTGTATATAATGAAAGAGAGGATAGAAAAAAATTGAAAATAAAGAATAGAAAAATAGAGAATTTGTCAAAATAAAGAACATCAACAAATATTTAAAGTATATTTTAAAGTATTCATAAACTGACAAACTTATAGCTAGATTGATCAAGTTAAAAAGACAGGAGGCCAGGTATGGTGGCTCACACCTGTAATCCCAGCATTTTAAGAGGCCAAGGTAGGTGGATCACTTGAACCCAGGTGTTTGAGACTGGCCTGAGCAACATAATAAGACCCTATCTTACCAAAACACTTCAAAAACATTAGCCAGTTATGTTAATTAAAACATTAGCCAGGTGCACACAGGTGATGTGCACCTTTGACCCCAGCTACTTGGGAGGCTGAAATAGGAGGATCACATGAGCCCAGGAGGTTGAGGCTGCAGTGAGCCCTGACTGTTTCTCCAGCCTGGGCAACAGAGCATGATCCTGCTCACCCCCAACACAAAAAGACAGGGAATTCAAATTACTAAAATCAGCAGTGCTCAGAATGAAGACTAAATAAATAAATACAGCAGTAAAAAAGGGGTAATTACTACTGATCTTAGAGAATTAAAAAAGACTGTAAAGGAATACCATTAACATACCAATTGTGTGCTAATAGGCAACCTAGATGAAATTGACAAATTTATAGACATAAACTACTGAGCCCAATAAGATGTAACAGTGTATTGCTGCTGAGTAAAATATAACAAGCAAATAGATTGAATTAGTATTTAAGAAAAAAAAACTATTCAAAAAGAAAATCCAAGGTCAAGATGTCTTTATTTGTTAATTCTAGCAAATATTTAAAGAGGAATGAGACAAAAAATTATGCAAACTCTTCCCCAAAAATAGAAGAGAAAGGGACTTCAGATGGTTGACTGGAGGCATACAATACCTCCTTCACAAAGAAGAACCAAAACAACAAGTAAGTAATCACACTTCAAATAGAGCATCTGAAAGAACACTGAATGTAACAGAAAATTGACAGGAAACACCTGAATCATGGAAGGAGAAAGAAGGTAGGTAGCCAACTTCGCTGTAATTGGCTGGGAGCCTAGAGAGGTTCCCCATGCAAAGAAAGGGAAATTGAGCGATACCTGGCAGTTTACATTCCCACCATGCACTCCTGCAACCCTAGCCATAAAGTAATCCCTAGCAGGCCCTGAGAATAACCTGGAGACTGTATTATGGCTTTTCTCCAGAGAAGGAGCTCGCACCAGGTCTCACATACCTCCCAGGGCCTAAGCAGTTGCAACACACTGCCATTTTGAAAGCCAGTCTGCATGAGACGGCATTCTTCCATAGAGCCAAATAACCCTTACATCTCCACATCCCTGGAGCCCCACTGCCATTTCTCTCAAATTCACCCAATGGGCTCCAATTGTGTGGCACTAGTCAGACCAGGCAGAATGGCAAGGTCTTCAGCAATCTAGTAAACACAGGGTACTGTACCTTGAGAAATGGGCAGTGCAGTGCACAAAGGAGGCTTATGCCAGGACAAAAGGAGCCAAAGTGTGTCCTAGAACCTGAGAATAGTTACCTGGGACAGCTGGCACAGACAGCAACCTGCACTCCCAGCAGTGGTGGTATCACACAGACACTCTGAGGTCATGCTCTGCTGCTGCCCTTCACAGCCACTACTGCTACCACTGAGAGCTGAAGTATACACCCCAGAGCTTTACAATTATATGCCTGTGGCTGCAGTTATTGTCAGCAATTTTACTCTCCAATCGGGGGAGAGCCACAGCTCACTTGCATGTGCCCTGTGGATAGGCTTCCCCTTGCCCACCACTGCTGCTGCTGCAGCCACTTAAGCACTCCTCCAGGGGGCTGAGATATCACCCTGCCCTCTCCATCACAGCCTGCCTGGCCTGACATTGACCTCCACTGAGTGCCTGAGCATACAGTTCAGGGACTTGGGGATTACTCCACCCTGTGCATGCACCACTGGCATCATGCACTCCCCCAGAGAGCCAGAGAATAGGCTTATTTAGTCTACTGCTAACACCACAGCTGGCACCCACCCAAATGTGCCACCTGGGAGAATGAGGACTGGCTCAAAGCCCATTGCAGTACTACTAACACCATTATTTGACTTCATGGCCCAAAAGTTGTCCTGCCGCCTCTACTGCCATTGCCAATGTTACCCAAAGTACCAAGAACCAGTTCATTCACCTTACCCACTGCTTCAATTGCTGGCACCAGAGAAAGAGACCTGGTGGCTCCAGATTTAGCCCATTTGGACCCACTAACACCAGTGCCTGAGTACACCAACATGAGTCCTAAAGGCAAGCACGCTAAGCCCACAACTGCCACCACTGAGGCCCAAAGACTGACCAACCTGATGTCTCCATTCCCAGCAAAACCTCACCCAAATTACTACTAACAACTATAGCCTAAGACACTAAGGGAATCACAGACACTAGTTAGAACACTTAGAGTTGAAAAAATGATATGGTGACTACACTACTGCATGCACCAGAATCAAAACTAAAATGTCCTACCCAATAAACACCAAGATGCATATTTAGAAAAAATTCTTCCCTTATGAAAGCCAATGCAAAAAATTTGAAGAAGTAACTCTTATACCAGATGCACAGGTATTAATGCAAGAACACAACAAACATGAAATAAAGGAAATATAATACCTCCAAAGAAACAGAATAATTATCCAGCAGCAGATACCAATGAAAAAGAAATGTATAAATCCCAGAAAAAGAATTCAAAATAATGTTATTAAAGAAGTTCAGTGAGACAAATACAACACCAATAAAAAATAAATCAGAAAAACAATAGAAGATATTACTGAGGAATTCACCAGGGAGCTAGAGATCATTAAAAAATATAAACTCTAGAACTGAAGAATTCAAAAAGTAAAATGAGCAAACTCTTTGCAGACTTCAACATTAGACTAGAACAAGCAAAAGAACAAATTTTAGAACTTGAAGACCGATCTTTTGAAATGACCCAATAAGATATAAAGAAAAAATAATTAAAAAGAATGAACAAAACCTATATGACATATACAACACCACAAAGCAATCAAATATACAAATTTTGTTCCAGAAAGTGAAGGGACTAAAGGAACATAAAAAACCTACTTAATGAAATAATAGCCAAAAAGTTCCCAAGTCTACCATGAGATTTAGCCATCCAGATACTGGAAGCTCAGAGATCTCAAAATGCATGCAATCCAAAAATCTCTTCTCCATGGCACATTATACTCAAGCTGTTCAAAGTAAGAAAGAGAGGAATAGATAGATGAGAGAGATGGAGAGAGAGAGAATTCTAAAACAAAGCAAGAGAAAACTGTTTAGTCACATATAAGGGAAACCAATTCAGATTAATAGTGGAATTGTCAGTAAAAATCTTACAGGATAGGAGAGAATGGAATGATATTTTCAAAGTGCCAGAAAAAAAAAGACTGTCGGCCAAGAATACTATACCCAACAAAGTTTTACTTCAGAAACAAAGGAGAAATAAAGTTTTTCTTAGACAAGCAAAAGCTAAGCAATTTATAACCACTAGACTGGCCCTATAAGAAATTCTTAAGGGTGTCCTACACCTGGAGGTGAAAGAATTATCTACCATCATAAAAACACTTGAAAGTATAAAACTCACTGATACAGCAAACACAGAAATGAAGTGACAGGATTTATATGTTCCTGCTACAGAAAGCCACAATAATAAACAATAAGAGACAAAGAAAGCAACAAAGGATATACAATTCAATCAGGCAACAATGAACATAATGACAGGAATAAATCCTAACATATTAATAATATGTTAACATATTAATAATAACCTAACATAATAATAACCTTGGGTTTAAATGGACTAAATTTTCCACTTAAAATGCACAGACTAGCTGAACGGATTTAAAAAACAGAAAACACCACCAAAAAAAAGCACAAAAAAAACTCACAAGACCCAATTATATGTTGCCAACAAGAAACTCATTTAATCTATAAGAACACATTTAGACTGCAAGAAAAGGGATATATATGCTTCCACATAAAGAGAAACCAAAAGTGAGAAAAACTAGCTATATTTATACCAGAAGAAAAACATACTTTAAGTTAAAAATAGCAAAAAAAAAAAAAAAGATAATGAAGGTTATTATATAATAATGTATTGACCTATAAGGGAGCAATTCAACAAGAGGGTATAATAATTATAAATATGTATGCACCCAGCACTGGAGCACATAGATCTATAAAGAATATTAGTAGATCTAAAGGGAGAAATAGACTCAATACAATAATAGTTGAGGACTTCAACACTCTGTGCTTAACAAGAGAAAAATCATCTAGACAGAAAATAAGCAAAGAAACATTAAATTTCAGCCACATTTTAGAACAAATGGGCCTAACAGGCATATACGGAATGTTTTCTCCAAAGCTGCAGAATATGCATTCTTCTCATCAGTACACGAAAAATTATTCAGGATAGAATCTTATATTAGGAAACAAAACAAGTCTGGACACATTTCTAAAACTCAAAACCATATCAAATATCTTCTCAGACCACAATGGAATAAAACTAGAAATCAATAACAAGAGGGATTTTGGAAACTGTACAAATATATGAAATTTTAAAAAATAGTCTTGAACACTCACTGGTAAATGAAAAGATTAAAAATATTTTGAAACAAACGAAAAGGGAAACAAACCTATGAAATATTGCCAAAGCTGTTCTAAGAGAGAAGTTTATAGCAATAAATGCATACATCAAAAAAGTAGAAACATTTCAAATAAAGAATATAACAATGCACCTCAAGGAACTGGAAAAGTAAAATGAAACCAAACCCCAAATTAGTAGAATTAAAAAAAAAATAATAATCAGAGAAGAACTAAATAAATTAAAGAGTAAAAAATAGAAATGACAAAATGAAAAATTGTTTTATTTAAAGATAATGTTGCTACACTAACCAAGGAAAAAAGGAAGAAGACTCAAATAAACAAAATCAGAAATGAAACACTAGATATAACAACTGATACCACAGAAATACAAATGATAATCATAGACTATTATAAGCAACTATATACTAACAAACTGGAAAACCTAGAGGAAATGAATAAATTCCTGAACACATACAACCTATCAAAACCGAATTGAGAAGAAATAGAAAACCTGAACAAACCAGTACAAGATTGAATCAGTAATAAAATGTTTTCCAACAAAGTAAAGCCTAGTATCAGATGGCTGTGCTGACAAATTCTACAAAACTACAAATAATAATTAACAACAACTTTTCTCAAACTATTCAAACAAAATTGAAAAGGAGGCAGTTCTTCCTAGCTCGTGCTATGAGGCCATCATTACCTTGAAATCAAAAGCAGACAAGAACACAATAATAAAAAGAAGAACTTAAAAAACCACAAGCTAATATCCCTAATTAACATAGACACAAAAATCCTCAGCAAAATACATGCAGACGAAATCTAACAACATGTCAAAAAGATAATACACCATGATGAAATATTTATCTTAGCGATGCAAGACTTGTTAGACATATTCAAATACATAAATGTGATACATCACATCAATAGAATGATAGACAAAAACCATACGATCACATCTCTATATGATAAAAACTTTCAAGAAACTAGACATAGAAGAAACATACCTCAAAATAATAAAGGCCATAAATGATAAACCTACGGCTAATAAGATGCTAAATGGAGAAAAGCTGAAAGCCTTTTCTCTAATAACTGGAAAGGACAAGGATGTCCACTTTCACCGCTCTTATCTGACATAGTACCAGAATTCCTAGTCAGAGCAACCAGGCAAGATAAAGAAATAAAAGACATCCAAATTGGAAAAGAGGAAGTCGCATTGTTTCTCAGCAGACGACATGATCTTATATTTAGAAAGATCTGAAGACTCCATGATAATATCTTAGTAATCATAAACAAATTCAATAAAGTTGAGGGATACAAAATCAGCATACAAAAATCAGTAGGGTTTCTATAAACCAATAATGAATTAGCTGATATCAGGAAGGCATTTTATGTAGCTATAAAAATCTATAAATAAATTTAACAAAGGAAGTGGGGTTAGTATGTTTGCATTGCTATAAGGTGCTACCTGAGGTTGAATAATTTATAAAGACAAAAATGTTCATTTGGTTCTTCAGGCTGTACAAGAAGCATAGTGCCAGGATTAGCTTCTGGTGAGGGAATCAGGAAGTTTCCACTCTTCCACTCTTGGGAGAAGGGGGAGGGGGACAGGCATTACATGGTAAAAGAGGAAGAAAGAGAGGGAGGAGGGAGTTGCCAGGCTCTCTCTCTCTTTTTATTTTTTTATTTTTTATTTTTGTTTTTTTTTTTACAGTGAGACTTTGCAAAAACTAAGACTGAGAACTCACCCACTGTCATGAGAATGGCACCAAGCCATTCATGAGGGGTCCACCGCCATGACCCAAACACCACTCATCAGGTTCCACCCCCAACATTGGGGATCAAATTTCAACATGAGATTTGGAGGTGTCAAATATCCAAATTCTATCAGAGGTAAAAAATAAAAAAATAATTAAAAAAAATTTAAAAAACTTCTAAAAGGAAAACTAAAAAACACTGATGAAAAAAATTTGAACATGACACAAACAAATGGAAATACATATCATGCTCATAGATCAGAAGAATTAATATTGTTAAAATGACCATACTACCTTAATAAATCTACAGATTCAGTATAATCCCTAGGAAAATACCAATGCCATTTTTCACAGAAATAGAAATAAAAAATTCTGAAAAGTGTATGAAACTAAAACAGAGTCCAAATAGCCAGAACAATCTTGAGCAGAAAAGAACAAAGCTAGAAGCATCACACTACCTGACTTCAAAATATATTACAAGGTTGTATTCACCAAAACAACATGCTATTGGTATAAAAATAGACACCTAGACCAATGGAACAAAATAGAGAATCCAAAAATAAATACATGTATTCAGAGCTGACTGATTTTCAAAATAGGCACCAAGAACATTCATTGCAGAATAGATACCTTCTTCAGATATCTTCTTCAATAAATAGTGCTGAGAAAACAGAATATTCATATACAGAAGAAAGAAACCAGACTCTTATCTCTCACATACACAAAATCAACTCAAAATGATATAATGATGTAAACATAAGATCTAAAACTATCCAATGACTACTAGAAGAAAATAGAGAAAACATTTCAGAATATTGGTCTAGGAAAATTTATGGCGAAAACATCAAAGTACAGGCAATAAAAGCAAAAATATACAAATGGGAATATATTAAACTAGAAAGCCTCTGCACAGCAAAACAAACAACCAATAGAGTAAAGAGATAACCTGTTAAGTGAAAGAAAATATTTTCAAACTATATATTCATCAAGGAACTAATATCCAGAATGTACAAGGAACTCAGAAGAACTCCACAGCAAAATAACTAATAATCCCATTAAAAAATGGGCACAAGACAGAAGCATTTCTCGAAAAAAGCATGCAAATAGCTAACATGTATATTTAAAAATGCTCAGTATCACTAATCATTGGGGAAATGTAAATGAAAACTGTGATGAGATATCGTCTTACTCTAGTTAGAATGACCATTATCAAAAATACACACACACACAAAAACAGATTCTAGAAGATGTAGAAAAAGGGAATTCTTATACACTGTTGGTGGGAATGCAAATTAGTAGAGCCAGTATGGAGATTTCTCCAAACAAAACAAAACAAAAAAGCAAAAAACAAAAACACCTGAAAAGAGAACTACCATATGATCCAGTATTCCCACTACTGGATATTTGTATAAAACAAGAAAATCAGTACATCAAAGGAATAACTGCACCACCGTGTTTATTGCAGCACTATTTACAATAGTAAAGATGTGTGATTAATCTACATGACCATCAATGGATAAATGAAAAAAGAAAATGTGGTATATATAGACAATTTAATACTACTCAGCCATTAAGAAGAATAAAATACTGTCATTTACAGCAACATGAATGAAACTGGAGGTCATTATGTCAAGTGAAATAAGCCAGGTGGATAAAGACAAGTATCTCATGTTCTTACTCATATGTGGGAACTAAAAAAAAAAAAATTATCTTTTGGAGGTACAAGAAGCATAGTGCTTCTTGTACCTCCAAAAGAGAATAGATGGAGAGTTACCAGAGGATAGAAAGGGTGTGTGTGTCATGGGGAAGGGATTAAGAGAGGTTGGTTAATGGGTATAAATGTAAAGTTAAATAGAAATAATAAGTTCCAGTGTTCACTACCAGAATAGTGAACTATAACTACAGTTAACAGCAATGTTTCGCATATTCAAAATAGCTGGAGGAGATGACTTGAAATGTTCCTAACACATAGAAATAAATACTTGAGGTGATGGATATCCTAAATACCCTGATTTGATCATTATGCATTATATATATATACATATATATCAAATTCTTAAAACTTACCGAAAAGCAATATAAAAACCCCCCCAAATTTAGCCATATTAATTTTATACTATGGCCAAGTACATACGAAAATCAATCCATTTAAAATACCATATAAATATAATAAAAGACAGATCAAACCCATATGATCATGTCAATAGGTGCAGAAAATGTATTTGACAAAATCTAAACACATTAATGCTGAAAGTACTCAAGAACCTAGGAAGAAGGGAATTTTCTCACTATGACAAAAGGCCTCTATGATAAACTCTGACCTAACATCACTGAAAGACTTAAAGCATTCCTTCTAAGATCAGAAACAAAACTACGTTATCTGCTTTGGACACTTCTGTTCAATATTTTACTAAAGGTTTATCCAGAGAAATATGCAGCAAATACAGATAAATAACATTAATATTAGAATGAAATAAGTAAAACTATTTACAGATGACATAATCTTGTATATAACAAATTCTAAAAAAAAAGAAAAAAATAGAAAATTGTTAGAACTAATAAATGAGCCAGAAAAGTTACAGAATACATGATAAATACACAAAAATTAATTATGGTTATATACACTAACAGTGAACTGTGCAAAATAAAATTAAACAGTGCAACTTAAAATAGCATCAAATAAAATAGAATATCTAGAAATAAATTTAATTAAAAAAGGAAATAATACATGCAACAGAAACTGCAAAATATTACTAAAAGAAATAAAGAAGACTTAAATAAATAGAAGGACATTCTGTGTCAACAGATCAGAAAACCAGATATTATTAAGATGGCAATGCTCCATAAATTGAGTTAAAGATTCAGCACAATCCATATCAAAATTATTTTTGCTTTTTTGGGAGAAGTTGACAAACTGATCCTAAAGTATAGATAGAAACACAAGGAAAACACAATAGACAAAAATGTTTGAAAAGGAACAAGGTCAAAGGATGCACACCTTCTTTTTCACAACTATTAATTAGCCATAAACATGACAGTGAGATACTGGCATATGGATAAACATATATCAATCAATAGAATAGGAGTGGCAGTGCAAGATAAACCTATTAATATTTGGTCAATTCATTTTCAACAAGGGTACAAGACAATTCAGTGTATAAAAGAATAGTCTGGCTGGGCCTGGTGGCTCACGCCAGTAATCCCTACATTTTGGGAAGCTGAGGCAGGTGGAGGATCACCTGAGGTCAGGAGTCCAAGAACAGCCTGGCCAACATGGTGAAACCCCGTCTCTACTAAAAATACAAAAATTAGCTAGGCGCAGTTGTGTACACCTGTAATCCCAGCTACTCAGTAGGTTAAGGCAGGAGAATCACTTGAACCTGGGAGGTGGAGGTTGCAGTGAGCCGAGATTGTGCCACTGTACTCTTGACTGAGAGACAGAGCGAGACTCCCTCTCAGTAAAAAAGAATAGTCTTTTCCATAAATGATGCTGGGACTACTGGATGGCCACACGTGAAAGAATGAAGTGGAATCCTACATTGCACAATATGTAAAAATAGACTTGAAATAGACCAAAGACCCAATTATAAGAGCTAAAACCATAAAACTCTTACATAGAACATTGTTATACATTTTAATTACCTTAGATTAGATAATAGTTTCTTAGATATGACACCAAAAACAAGATAAAAATAGACATGTAGTTCATAACAGTTTTTTGAAAAAGTTTTGCTGTTTAAAGGTCACCATTACTAAAGTAAAAAGACAAATTAAGAAGTGAGAAAAAATATTTGCAAATTATATGTCTGACAAGAAACTTGTGCAGAGAATATTAGGAGCTCTAACTACTCAATAATACAAAGAAAAATAGCCCAATTTAAAATGGGCAAAGATCATGGATTTGAGAAAACTTAGGTGGTAGCCAGGTAGTAGTTACTTTAGGCCTTGGGCAAGACTCAGTGCTCTGCTGGCTTCAGGTCTGACCCATCATAGCCCCAGTGATGGTGGCCACAGGGATGCTTGTGTCAGCCTACTACCAGATCCATGCAGCTGAGAAAAGTGAGAGACACTCCGTTTGCTTGAAAGGAAGTAAGGGAAGAGAGAGTCTCTGCCTGATAATCCAGAGAGTTCATCAAGATCTTATTCAAGACCACCAAGGTTGTGCCTCTACAAGTCTTTAAGTGCCACAGCATTACTCAGCTTGGGATGCCCCCTAATGCAGATGTGAGTTAGATTACAACACCTAAGTCCTTTTGGATACCTGGAAAGCTTCCCAAAGTAGGACAGGTGCAAATAAGCCCAGACTGCAAAGACTACAACAAATATCTGACTCTTCAATGTCTAGACACAGATGAACATCCACAATTATCAAGACAATTCAAGAAAATATGACGTCACCAAATGAGGTCAACGAGGCACCAGGGACCAATTCTGGAGAAAGAGAGATATGTGACCTTTCAGACAGAAAATTCAAAATAGCTGTGTTCAGGAAATTCAAAGAAATTCATTATAACTCAGAGAAGGAATTCAGAATTCTATTACATAAATTTAACACAGAAATTGAAACAATTAAAAAGAATCAAGTCAAAATCCTGGAGGTGAAAAATGCAACTGACATACTGAAGAATGCATCAGAGTCTTTTAATAGCAGAATTGATCAAGCAGAAGAATCAGTGAGATTGAAGACAGGCTGCATGACAATACGTGGTCAAAGAAGAAAAAAAGAATAAAGAATAAAAAATAATGAAGCATACCTACAGGAACTAGAAAATAACCCCAAAGGGCAAATCTAAGAGTTGTTGGCTTTAAAGAGAAAGTAGAGAAAGGGATAGGTGTAGAAAGTTTATTCGAAGCAATAATAACAAAAAATTTCCCAAACCTAAAGAAAAATATCAAATCCAAGCACAAGAAGGTTATAGAATACCCAGTAGATTTAAACCAAAGGAGACTGACTACCTCATGATGTTTAGAGCCAAACCCCGTTATATGGTTTGGCTGTGTCCCCAACCAAATCTCATCTTGAATTTCTATGTGTTGTGGGAGGGACTCAGTGAGAGGTAATTGAATCATGGAGATAGGTCTTTCCCATGCTGTTCTCGTGATAACAAAGTTTCACGAGATCTGATGGTATTATAAGAGGGAGTTTCCCTGACAAATCCTCTCTTTGTCTGCCCTTATCCACATAAGATGTAACTTAATCCTCCTTGCCTTCCAACGTGATTGTTTGGCCTCCCCAGCCAAGTGGAACTGTAAATTCAATAAACGTCTTTCTTTATAAATTGCCCATTCTCCTGTTTGTCTTTATTGGCAGCCTGAAAATGCACTAATACACTCCCAAAAGTCAAGGATAAAGAAAGGACCCTAAAAGCAGCATAAGAAAAGAAACAGGTAACATTTAATGGAATTCCAATACATCTGGCAGCAGACTTTTCCATGGAAAACTTAAAGGCCAGCAGAGTGGCATGACACACTTAACACACTGCAGAGAAAACAAATTTTACCCTAGAAGAGTATATCTGAAAAAAAATCCTTCAAACGTGAGGGAGAAATAAAGACTTTCCCAGACAAACAAAAGCTGAAAGGGCGCCCTAACACTCTGTTGGTGGAAATGTAAATTAGTACAGACACTATGGAGAACAGTTTGGAGATTCTTCAAAAAACTAAAACTAGATATACTGTAAAGTTCAGCAATCCCATTTCTGGGTATATAACCCAAAGGAAAAAAAAAATACTATCCTGAAGAGGTGTCTGCACTCCCATATTTCTTCCAGCACTATTCACAACACCAAGAATTGGAAGCAACCTAAGTGTCTATTAATAGATGACTAAGAAATTATAATAATAAATATATACAATGGAGTACTATTCAGCCATAAAAATGAAATCCTGTCATTGGCAGCAACATGGATAGAACTGGAAGTCAATATGTTAAGTGAAATATGCCAGGCACAGAAAGGTAAACTTTGCATATTCTCACTTATTTGTAGGAGCTAAAAGTTGAACTAATTCATCTCAGAGAGATAGACAGTATAAGGATTGTTACTGGAGGCTGGGTTAGAGAAGTGGGAAGTTGGTGGAAGTGAGGATGGTTAATGGGTCCAAAAAATAGTTAGAAAGAATAAATAAGACCTAGTATTTGCTAACACAACAGGGTAACTATATTCAAAATAATTTAGTTGTACATTTGAAAACAACCAGAAGAGGCCAGGCGCAATGGCTCACGCCTGTAATCCCGGCACTTTGGGAGGCCGAGGCGGGTGGATCACCTAAGGTCAGGAGTTCGAGATCAGCCTAATCAACATGGAGAGACCCCGTCTCTACTAAAAATACAAAATTAGCCGGGCGTGGTAGCACATGCCTATAATCCCAGCTACTCGGGAGGCTGAGATAGGAGAATCGCTTGAACCTGGGAGGCAGAGGTTGCAGTGAGCCAAGATCATGCCATTGCACTCCAGTCTGGGCAACAGAGCAAGACTCCATCTCAAAAAAAAGAGAAAAGAACAACAACTAGAAGAGTGTGTCAATTGTAACACAAAGAATAAATGCTTGAGATGATGGATACTCCATTTAACCTGATGTGATTGTTACACATTGCATGCCTGTATCAAAATATCTCATCTAATCCATCAATATATACACCTACAATGTACCCACAAAAATAAAAAAGTAATAAATGCAAAAAAATGGACACAGGACCCCAAACAGATTTCTACAAAGAAGATATATCAATGGTCAATAATCAGATCACATGAAAAGATGCACAATATTATTAGTTATCCAAGAAAAGGCAAATCAAAACCACAATGAAACACTACTTCAAACCCAAGGGATGACTAAGATTTTTTCTTTAAATCAGAGAATAAAAAGTGATGAAAAGTATGTGGAGAACTTGGAACTCTCATATATTTTTAGTGGGAATGTAAAATGGAGCAACATCTTTGGAAAATGCTTTGTTAGTTCTACAAAAACCTTAAATATGGAATTATCATATGACTCAGCAATTCCAGACATAGGTGTATACCCAAGAAAAATGAAAATGTATATTTATAAACATTGTTACACATGTTTATGGCAGAATTATTCATAATAGCAAAAAGATGGAAACAACCCAAAATGCCCATTAACTAATAAATTCATAAACTAAGTCATGTCTCTCCATACAGTGAAATATTTTTCAGCCATAAAATAAAATGAAGTATTGATACATTCTATAACATGGCTGACCATGAAAATATTAAACTAATTGGAAGAATCCAGACATGAAATACCACAAGACATGATTTCATTTATATGAAGCGTCCAGACTAGGTAAACGCATAGAGACGGAAAGTAGAATAGTGGTTGCCAGGAGTTGTAGGCAGGAGGGAATGAGGAGTAATTGCTAATGGATGCAGTATTTCTTTCCATGGTGATGATTACACAACTTTGTGAATAAACTATAAATAATTTAATCAAATATTTTGAAACATACAAACTAAGAACATAGGAGTTACACTTCATTCTTTTTCTAGGAAAATGAAGTCACCGTACCTGTTAGGGTAAAGTGAGACTGTTTCTCACACTAGTTTATCAATTCCTGCTCTATGATAAGTATCTTCTTTGGAATATTGAACCAGTTCTTAATATTCTTGTGATCCCGTAAATCAATAAAAGGATAATTTTCTTTCTGTATATTAAGTATCAAATGAAGCTTTGGTAGACTAAATAAAGATCTAAGATATTTTAGAAAACAAATATATTAATGGCTGGGAGCAGTTTGGGGTCACTGTGGCAATTTTTTGAGGTGGTACGTGGTGGGTTTAAGCTGCAAGGAGGAAAGGAACCACATGTGCAAAGAGGATGATCTTGGGGATTTCAAGTGAAAAACATCCACTAATTCACACTAACCACAGGCAGCACTGGAGTGCTCTGCCAATTATTTGATATTGGCACACATAGCTAACACCTTCCCTGCTCCCTTACATGGTCACTTGGTTTTAAAAAGTACAAAATAGGGCTCAGTCATATGGCTTTTAATGTTAAAACTGAGAGCCAACGTTCACTGTATTATTAAGAGAATGAGTTTAGCACTGTTAAATGCTATCAGCTGGATGGCCAGTTAGTTGCTGGCTTGAGGATTTTTATTAAAATTTATGTTTCAACCTGAAGATAAATAAATTTGCTAGCACTAAATTTCCATGAAGCCACTGCTTTCTGTCACACATTCCATTTGCTGATAGCTACTGGATGCGTTAATATGCATCATTCTAGCTGTAGCTTCTGAGTTTATCGTATGTATCAGTTGCAGCAGGGGGATGTACTCAATTTTTCACACTATTTGAACAAGTTTTGAATATTAAAGAACAGACACAAAGAAGGGCCACACAACCGGAACTGCTGACAGGGCTTTGGGTCCAGTTAATTGCTGTAAACAGAATGGTTCCTAATACTCTTTGTAGTTATGTGTTTGCGGCTGCCAGCAGCATTCAATGGGGCCTTTACAAATTCCCTCTTTATCTCCAACTCCAGTTGATTGACATGTGAACCATGAGCTGGTGGTGTTTGAGGAAGTGCACTGGATTTCTATAAAGCTATGAATATTTCCTGAGCCAAACACAACCAGATCTAAATACTACAATTTCAACTGAAATTCTTTAATGTCTGAAAATCACTGGGCTGAAAAACCAGTCAAATAGTTTAGTGTTCAGTTCATTCCTTCATTTACTGAAAATGCACTGAGTGAGTACAAATTTTGTGGTGGGGGTTTTTTATTGCAATATTTACTAACAAATATTTTAAATATTTACCCATTTACATTTTTGTTTAAGAACATAAAGTTTCTATTTTGGTTTGGCCTCCAATTTTAATTATTTATATTAAGAAAATATTGGCATAATGCAATTTGTTTGTTTCTTCACTGATTATAAGTTACTAAAGTTATAAACAAGCCAATTACTACTAATATTGAGGAAATACTATAATTGTGAATTTTTTCAGAGAGGAGGTACAGTATTTCTGTTCTTTATCAGTAAAACATCCCAGACAATAAAGTAAGTACTCTTCTCTCTCTCTTGTCTCTGCCTCTCTCTCTTTTTATTCTATACCTCTGTGGTAGCTCACTCTACTTACAAGGGGAAGAAATTTTACCCATGAATAGTTCTGTGAAATATTGAAATAACACCATTTATAGGAATGGAATTAAAACACACTATATTATATAGTTTGACCTAAATTATCTGTCTTAAAATGGAAGAAATCTCTCATCTGAGAGATAGTAATTAAAATCTTTTTTCCCTATTATAAATCCTTATTAAATCTTTCTAAAAAAGATTGTGACAGGGTATAATCCAATATGAATTGCCAAGGAAAAGAATACATTAGACTTTATTTTACACTGTAGATTGCAACATTCTGCAGTGAATCTTCCCTTTGATAAGCAACTTCATAATACTTCTCAACTGCAATTGTACCTTTATATACTTTTTCACTTCCTTTGCAGAAGTGTAACTTTTATTTTTCTTTGTGATATTTAATCTTTTCATAAATTGATTAAAGATGACATAGTTCTTAGGCATCGGCAGTGAATTTGGACAAGGATGATGAACAATACAGTCCAACCAGCTATCAATATTTTCTTTTCTTTTTTTTAAAATAGATACAGGGTCATACTATGCTGCCCAAGCTAGTCTCAAACTCCCAGGTTCAAGTGATCCTCCCGCCTCGGCCTCCCAAAGTACTGGGATTAGAGATGTGAGCCACTGCGCCCAGCTGGAATCAATATTTTTTATTCTGAAAGAAGCATAGCCTCTTCAAAAGCGTGACTTCTTGGTATAGGAATAGTTTGTTTCATTATAAATAGCATTGTATATTTTTTCATATTATTTGGTAATCCAGGGTTCATTCTTAGGTTTTCTTCCAGTCTTTGGGCTGAACAGAAAATATTAATTCTCTGAACTCTATTTACTTGGCCATGTGAAATCAATTTGAAAGTGGTAAGCTGAATATTTTATGTAAACACAAACTTCTTTAATGATACAAAGACTTAAATTTAGGCCAATCGTGTCATGATCACTACATGATTTAAGGTTTCTGGTTAACAGCACAAGGTCTCAAACTGATCATATCTGAAATAAGAGATAAGGAGAAAATGATCTCAAAAGGCTTTGTAGTCTAAAACTGTGATTTTTTTTAACTAATATAGATGGGCAGTGTTATCTTTCTAAATGATATATTTCCTTGTGGACATAGCAATATTGGATAACATGTATTTGTTTACCTTACTGTTCTATTGAAATGACAATAGAATATTCTTACAGATTTATTTTATAAGTTACTAATTTTTAAAGCATTGACAAAACAATGAGAATTCAGTTGAACATGACAGTGACAGAAGTTACTGCATGCTAAAAAGTAATGGCTCTGGTTATGCCTTGGCAAAACTTTTGGTACATATAACACTCATCTGTTATGATTTGGAAATCAGACTAAATGACTCTGGAGCAATGGATCTTGTTATCTAACCACCAGAATATTGGGACATAGTGGCTGTATCTACAGCTTTTGGTAACAGAGAGGACCTCTGAGAAGAATTAGACAATTGCAGAGAAAACGGAAAGGAATACAGTTCTGTGAAGGGTAGCTCTCTGCATGGGGTCTATTATCTAAACTGACTAGGAGTCCACTAATTTGGTACATCAAAGGCTTGGAAAAGAAAATTGATTAAAAAATAATAATAATAAATAGGAAAAGAAAATATTTTAGAGCCTTCTGGGAGGACCTCCAAAGCAATATTCTTGGCTATAACAGATGCAAGCAAAGAGGCAAAGATCCTATTATTTATTTGCCTTCTTATGATTTTGTCATGATTTTTTTAAATCTTCTCGAGGCCCATGGTCACAGATGGACTCAAGAAGACAGAGACTCAAAGGCCAAGAAAAGACAACTTTAAATAAAAAAGAATATTTAGGTTCAAAAATTATGATCAGATGTTTTGGCTGTGCTTATTTTACTATAGAACTTACCTGAAACAAATCAACTGGATTCTTTTAAAGTTTTAACAGAAAATTCACTACCAAGAAATCTGCAATCCCAGCCTAAAAATACTTGTGATAATTTAACCTATACTCTAACTACAAAAGCCTGAACTGGCAGGAAGTAGGCTAAAAATCCCCTGCAGGCTTTTTAGGTGGAATCTTTTATTGCAGCATTCTGCTTTCAATTCATATAATAAAATTAGCCAAAAACTAAACTGGACAGAAAATTCACGTATATATGAGGATTTATATATATTACAGGTAAATATTATGGGCTATATTAAATTATATTAAAACCATGACTCACAATTTGAGAAAAAAATAAAGTTTTTATATATACTTTTTATATACAAAAATCAATTCCAGGTGAATGAAACAGCTCACAAGAGTATACACACATACACAGACAACAGCACTTACATATACACTAGTCTATGTTTGTAGATATATACAATTAAAGATATTAATATATAGTATAGATACAGACATTTAAACAATATTTTTGGCCTTGATAAACAAGAAGACAAACCACCCAGAATTTATAAAGAAAGGATTGATGGGTTTAATTATATAAAGTAAATCAACATTTAGGTGGCAAAGATAATAAAAGCATTTAGAAAAACAAGACATCCTGAAAAAAAAAGACTGGAATAGTTTATTTGCAATATATGCTACAAATAATAAATTGGAACACAATTATATAAATTTTTGTTTCAAAACAATAAGGGCTCAGTCCCACAGAATAAATGGGGGCAAGTGTTATGAACTGTCAATAACTATGGACATGAGTCAGTTAATATAAGAAGTAATACAATGACCCATAAACTAAACAAACATAGTAAAAGTGTTCAATATCTCAAATGATCTCTGAAATTCAAATTAAGAAACCTGTGAAATACCATTAAACCAATTAAAAAATACTTGATAATTGGCAAGGTTATGAGAAAACACTCATTGCATAGACAATTGCTGAAAGTTTACATGGAATAGCCCTTTCAGGTGACTTGGCTACCAAATATAAAATGCATATCATTTTATCCACCAATTACATGTTTTCTATTTATCAGAAATACTGGCACGAAAATATAAAGTTATGTGTTCAAGAACATCCATTGCAGCATTTTATAAAATAGAGAATATTTGGAACAGAGTAATATCTATTATAAGGAAAAATTTTCAGGAACATTCTGCCGTACTTAAAAAAATGATAGACCTATTTTTCATACAGTGGAAGAGTTCCAAAATATAATTCAATTTATGTAAAATCAAAATCCAGTATAAAAATATAAGTATGTGGTACTTAGAGAAATATCTGTGAGGATAGTAATTTCTGAGGTGTGCCATGGTACCTTGTGGAGACATTTTAATATAGAATGTATAAGCGAGTACTATTTGGATATTTGAACAATAATAATTACAATATTAATTTTCTAAAATATCAAAGAAACAGCTTTTCTTTTGTGGATTGTACTGTTGCTATATGATGACAATTTGTTTTGAGGTTTAATGTGCATTGGCAGGGGTTTTGAAGAGTATTTATTTCATATGTTTCTAAAAATAACTCTAAAATAATAATTTCAAATATAATCTGTTTAGCTGCCTGAGGCAAAGTCTTTATCTCTTCATGTTCATTACAATAGATTAACTTGGCATGTATATATTTTGAAGAGCTGGAATTTGAAAAGAACTAAAGATTCCTAAAACTATGGGACAAATTGCATGATTATTTTTCATGAATAATAAAACATCTGCAGAATCACACAAATAATGTCTACAAAATAACATGAACAACAAAACGTCTGTGGAATACAAAGCTTCATTACTTAAGTAGACAACAGAATATTACATTCTGCTCTTATTTAATTAGCTTATATGCTTATAAGTAAATATGTAACCTGTTGAGATCTTAATTTTTGTCACTATCAAATGAAATTATAGACTAGATAATACCTACATTCTATTATGGCTCTTGTTTCATATTTGTTCAATTTATTTTTTAAAATCCCAGTTAGAAAACCTAATAGCCTCCCAAAAAGCATAGTCACATTTCTTTCCTGTGTTGTGAAAAAAGAAAAAAAAATGTTGAACAGGGATTAATAAAAGATATATACCTAAAAGTTCCACAACTGAGAGTTAAGGCGTAGGAATATTTTAAATTTAACTTTAGAAGCGGGGCACTGTGGCTCCCCCCTGTAATTGCAGCACTTTGGGAGGCTGAGGTGTGGGAGGATCTCTTGAGCCCAGGAGTTCGAGTCTAGGCAACATGGTGAAAACCCTTCTTGACAAAAAATACAAAAATTAGCTGGGTGTGGTGGTGTGTACCTGTGGTCCCAGCTACTCTGGAGGCTAACTAAAACATACACTATTCCAACTATGCAGATACAAATAATCTAAAATTCTAATACTACCATGAGGAAGATTCACGCGACAACTATATGAATAGTAGTATATATAGTCGGCCCTCTGTAAACGTGAGTCCTACATCTCTGGATTCAAGCAAGTGTGGATTGAAAATATTTGGGGGAAAAAAGGATGATTGCATCTACACAGAATATGTACAGACTTTTTTCTTTATTATTATTCTCTAAACAATGAAGCATAACAACTATTTATATAGCATGTACATAGTATTAGGTATTAAGTAATCTAGAGATGATTTAATGTATATGCAAGAATGTGCATAGGTTATATGCAAATACTACACCATTTTATATGAAGGAGTTGAGCATCCATGAATTGTTATATCCACAGGGAGCCCTGGAAACAACACCACACAGATACTGACAGCCAACTGTACAAAGTGTTAAAGAACTTAAGAACTATTATGTTTGCATTTGAATTTAGCATCTACGAATAATGAGTGAAGTAACATTAGAAAACTTGCTTCAGATCTATGGCCTCAGTTGTCTCATATAAACAATCAAAAAATAGCATAAGCATAGTTATAAGTTTTTGTGTGTAGATTAAATTAGTTAATATATGTAAGTTCTCAGAAGAGTTTCTCAAACATATTAAACATTCAACAAAAATGTCACTTCTCATTGCTATTCTGTAATAGAAGTTT
This sequence comes from Homo sapiens, assembly GCF_000001405.40. NCBI lineage: Eukaryota > Metazoa > Chordata > Mammalia > Primates > Hominidae > Homo > Homo sapiens. The sequence continues at coordinate 77,624,111 of NC_000002.12, read as the reverse complement.
CCAGATTTTTTTCCGACTTGAGAAAATTTTCTTTTCTTCCTTGGGGGTAGATTTAGTTTAAATATTTTGATGTACTTTTTTAAGTATTACTTCAATCAATGAAGACACATAACAGAAAACAAAATCTTGGTAAGTTTCCCTTAGGAAAACAATACAAATTATAAAATTGTGCCTTTTATATGTTTTCCTCCTATCCATAATATCCTGAGAAAGTAGTGATTTCTCCTTGCTCCTTTCAAACAACTACTCCAACTTCTCCTGAAAAAAAGAAATAACTATATACAATGTATTACTTGTCATTATATATAATGTATATATACACATTATATATGTATTAATGTAATTAATATATTGATATATATTCACACATATATATAGTAAATACATATACATATGTGTTAGTAAAAATACTATATGTGTATATATATAAGTATATGTATATGTGTGCATATAGAGGTGTGTGTGCATGTGTGTGTGCACACACTGTCAGTATCCCTTTGACTCTTTTTAGTTCATTGTCTTTTAAACAATGGTTCTTTCTCTCCCACTAGTTCATTTAAGATTTCAACATCTGCCTAAATGTCTAAACCTGTTCCTGAATGTGTGTGTATGATTTTTAATTTTTGTGGGGCTTTTCTATGATTCCAGTACATTAAATTATATGATTTGGTCACTCATTTTTATGTTAGTTCTAAAAAGTATTTCTTCCCTAATTCAGCCACCCGTTGTCAAATGACTGTATATTTTATCAATAAAAATGATCATTTCAGTCTCAATTAGCCTTCAACTCTTATTTCTCCAGTTTAAATACTTTATTGTCTTTTTTACTTATTTTATAGCAATAAATTATATTCTCCACACCTTTTAACTTATACCTGATGAAAATTGTAATGAAAATCGGAAGACATGTATTTCAATGGCACCTAATAACAAATTATAAAAGATGCTGTTGGTTTTTTTTTATGTGAGCACTACCTGCCTCCCTGGTTTTTCCCACTAGACTGCAGGACAAGGATTGTAATTGTCATGAGTATTTCCTCCTTCTTTTGTTAAAAACATGCTTGTGCATGTATACACTTGCACTAAGAAAATATGCTCATTTTATTTCCTTTCTCCTTTATCATGTGACATAAGATTTATTGACTTCATATCAGCATTTAAGTATAGTTAACTTTATGTAATAGTATTTGGGTTGGGGATTAGTGTGTTTCTGATTGTATGAAGGATAGTTGTATTATGTTAGGCATAATTATGACCTTATTGTTGTCTTTATTTGAAGATTATGCATGATCTCAGAAGATGTGTATATATTCAAGTTGACAAGAGGTGGACTTGTGATGGTTAAAACTGAGTGTCAACTTGATTGGATTGAAGGATACAAAGTATTGATCCTGGGTGTGTCTGTGAGGGTGTTGCTAAAGGAGATTAACATTTGAGTCAGTGGGCTGGAAAAGGCAGACCCAGCCTTAATCTGGGTGAGCACCATCTAATCAGCTGTCAGCGCAGCTAGAATGAAAAACAGGCAGAAAAATGTGAAAAGAGAGATTGGCCTAGCCTCCCAGCCTACATCTTTCTCCCATGCTGGATGCTTCCTGCCCTGGAACATCAGACTCCAAGTTCTTCAGTTTTGCAACTTGGACTAGCTCTCCTTGCTCCTCAGCCTGTAAATGGCCTTTTGTGGGATCTTGTGATCGTGTGAGTTAATATCTGATAAACCCCACTTTATATGTCTATCTATTTATCTATTTCATTAGTTCTGTCACTCTAGAGAACCCTAATACAAACAGCAAACAGGAAAAAGGAACAAAAAGAACAGTAGAAAACAACTAAGATTATAGTTTATTTAAATCTAGTAATATCAATTGTTGCATTAAAGCAAATAGTCTAAAAATCCAAATAAAGTGCAGGGATTGGCAGATCATATAAAATAACAAGGTCTAATGCTATGCTTTAAAACCACTTTAAATAGAAAGAAAATATGGATAAATTGGAGGTAAATATGTATCATGCCATAATTAGTTAAAAGACAGCTAAAGTATTTATGCTATTACATATTATTACTAGAAAAAGTAGAACCCAGCAAAATTAATCTTATCAGAAATGAAAAAAATACATAAAATTGCCAATTTATGGGAGCTTCAAAATACGCAAAGGAAAAACTGATAGAAATAGCCAATTCTTGAATTATTTTTGGAGACTTTACCAATCCTCTTTCAATACTAAATAAGACAAATAGAGATAAGATCAGTAAGAGTCTAAATTATCTGAATAGAACTATCAACTAACATAACCTTACCTATATTTATGTAACATTTCCATTCAAAATAGATTGCTTGTTATCTTCAGGTACACAGAAACTTCAGCTAGATAGACAATATTCTGGACCATAGAAAAACTACCAACAAACTTAAAACAATTAAAAGAATAAATAATAAAAGCATGTTCTCTGGGAAAGGGAATTAAACCAAAAAATCAATAAAAGAGAATTCCCAGATATTTGGAAGTAAAACAATATAATTTTTAACTACCATAACTCAGAGAGCAAATGGAGTGAAATTTGAAAACGTTTTAATTTGAATTTAAACTGAAACCCATCATATGTAAAAATGTGTTGGCTACAGGTAGAGCAGTGCTTAGAGGAAAATCAGTAGCCCCAGAGCTCATATTCACAACAAAGAAAGTCTCTTTATTTCTGAGTTTTCTGTTCTGTTGTGCTGGTCTATGTGTCTGTTTTTATACAGGTATTGTGGTATTTTGGTTACTACAGCTTTGTATTACAGTTTGAAGTTGGGTAATGTGATGCTTCCAGCTTTGTTTTGTTTGTTTGTTTGTTTGTTTGTTTTGCTTAGGATTGCCTTGGTGATTCAGGTACTTTTCTGGTTTTATATAAATTTTTAAATAGTTTTTTTTCTAGTTCTGTGAAGAATGGCATTATTTGTTTGATAGGAATAGCATTGAATCTATAAATTTCTTTAGGTAATATGGCCATCTTAATAATATTGATTCTTCCTATCCATTAGCATGGAATGTTTTTTCAATTTGTTTGAGTAATCTCTGATTTCTTTGAGCAGTGTTTTGTAATTCTCATTGTAGAGACCTTTCACCTCCCTGTTTAGCTATATTCCTAGTATTTTATTCTTTTTGTGACTACTGTGAGTGGGATTGGGTTCTTGAGTTGACTGTCAGCTTAGATGTTGTTGGTGTATAGGAATGCTACTAATTTTTGTACATTGGCTTTGTATCTTGAAACTTTGCTGGGCTTGCTTATCAGATCAAGGAGCTTTGGGGCAGAAACTATGGAGTTTTCTGGGTAGAGAATCATATCCTCTGCAAAAAGGGATAGTTTGACATCTTGTCTTCCTATTTTGATGCCATTTATGTTTCTCTTGTCTAATTGCTCTGGCTAGGACTTCCAGTACTATGTTGAACAGGAGTGGTGAGAGAGGGCGTCTTTGTGTTTTTCCAGATTTCAGGGGGAATACTTACAGCTTTTGCTCATTTAGTAGGTTGTTGGCTGTGTTTTTCCCTGGATGCCTTTTTTATTTTGAAGTATTTTTCTTCAAAGCCTAGGTTGCTGAGGGTTTTTAACAAGAAGCGATGTTGAATTTTATTGAAAGTATTTTCATCATCTATTGAGATGATCATGTGACATTTGTTTTCAGTTCTGTTGATGTAATTAATTACATTTGTTGATTTGTGTATGTTGAACCCTCCTTGCATCCCAGGGATAAAGCCTACTTAATTATGGTGGATTTGTCTTTTGATATGCTGCTGGATTCTGTTTGTTCGTATTTTGTTGAAGATTTTTGCATCTATGTTCATCAAGGATATTTTCTTTTTTGTTGTATCTCTGCCAGATTTTGGTATCAGGATGATGCTGACATCATTGAATGAGTTAAGGAGTTCTTTCTGTTCAATTTTTTGGAATAGTTTTAGTAGGAATGTTACCAGCTCTTTTTTATACATCTGGTAGAATTCGGCTGTGAATCCATCCAGTCCTGGGGTTTTTCTGCTTGGTAGGCTTTTTCCTACTGATTCAGCTTTGGAACAATTATTGTTCTGTTCAGAGATTCGATTTCTTCCTTTTTCAGTCTTGGGAGGTACTATGTTTCCAGGAATGTATCAATTTCTTCTAAGTTGTCTAATTTGTGTGCATGGAAATGTTCACAGTAGTCTCTTAGGGCTTTTTATATTTCTATGAGATCACTGGTAACATCCCCTTTGTAATTTCTCATTGCGTTTATTTGGATCTTCTCTATTTTTTTCTTTATTAGTCTAGCTAGCAGTCTATCTATCTTATTTATTCTTCAAAAACTAAATTCCTGACTTTGTTTTCTAATTTTTTTTGCATCTCTATCTCTTTCAGTTCACCTCTGATATTGGTTATTTCTTGTCTTCTGCTAGCTCTGGGACTGGTTTGCTCTTGTTTCTCTAGTTCTTCCAGGTGTCATGTTAATTTGTGGACTTTAGATCTTTCTAACATTTAGAATTGGGTGTTTAGCACTATACACTTCCCTCTTTACCACTGTTTTAGCTGTGTCCCAGTGATTCTTGTATGTTATATTTTTGTTCTCATTATTTTCAAAAAGTTTCTTGATTTCTGCCATAATTTCATTATTTATCTAAAGGCGATTCAAGAACATGTTGTTTAATTTCCATGTAATCGTATGGTTTTCAGCAGTTTTCTCAGTTTTGATTTCTATTTTTATTGTGTTGTGGTCTGAGAGTGTGGATAATATAATTTTTGTTTCTGTTTTGTTTTTTGAATTTGCTTTGGATAGTTTTATGGCCAATTGTGTGGTCAATTTTACATCATGTGCCCTGTGCAGATTAGAAGAGTGTATATTCTGTTGCTTTTAGGTGGAGAGTTCCGTAGATGTCTATTGGTTTCATTTGGTCACGTGTTGAGTTCAGGTCCTTAATATCTTTGTTTTCTGCCTTGATGACTTAATTGTAAGTAGGGTGTTGAAGTCTCTCACTATTATTGTGTGGTTATTACATCCTTCACAGGTCCTTAAGAACTTTATAAATCTGGGTGCTTCTGTGTTATATGTGCATATATGGTTAGGATAGTTAGGTTTTATTGAATTGAATTATTTCCCATTATGTAATGCCCTTCTTTGTCTTTTTTGATCATTGTTGGTTTATGGTCTGTTTTGTCTGAAATTAAAATAACAATCCCGGCCTGTTTCTGTTTTCCATTTGTTTGGTAGATTTGTCTCCATCCCTTTACTCTGAGCCTATGGGTGCCCTTGCATGTGAGATGGGTCTCCTGAAGACAGTATACTATTGGTCTTTTCTTTCAGCTCTTGTATTGTTTTATTGCAATCCCTAGATTTCTTGGATTGGATTTTGACTTTCTCCTGAATCTTGGTTATCTTCATTTCCTATCCATATTCAGAATTCTATTTCTGTAATCTCAGCCATTTCAGCCTGGTTAAAAGCCCTTGTTGGTGAACTAGTGTGGCCATTTGGAAGAAAGAAGACACTCTGGGTTTTGAGTTATCAGAATTTTTCTTTTATTATTATTATTATTTTTAAATTTTAAGTTCTGGGGTACATTCTCAGGATGTGCAGGTTTATTACACATGTAATTGTGTGCCATGGTGGTTAGCTGAACCTATCAACCCATCACCTTGGTATTAAGCCCAGCATGCATTAGCTATTTTTCCTAATGCTCTCCCTCCCCCGCACCCCACGTCAGGCCCCAGTGTGTGTTGTTTCCCTCCATGTGTCCATGTGTTCTCATCATTCAGCTCCCACTTATAAGTGAGAACATGTGGTGTTTGGTTTTCTGTCCCTGTGTTAGTTTGCTGAGGATAATGGCTTTCAGCTTCATCTATGTTCCTGCAAATGACATGATCTCATTCTTTTTTATGGCTGCATAGTATTCCATGGTGTGTATTGTGAACTCCCAAAATCTAAGGGAGGTCTCATTTAATTTAGAAAATTTATTTTGCCAAAGTTGAGGACATTCACCTGTGACACAGCCTCAGGAGGTCCTGATGATATGTGCCCAAGGTGGTCAGAGAAGAGTTTGGTTTTATACATTTTAGGGAGACATGGGACATCAATTAACATATGTCAGATGAACATCGGTTCGGTCTGGAAAGGCGAGACAACTTGAAGCAAAGACAGGATGACTCAAAGCTGGGAGGAGGCTTCCAGGTCATAGGTAGATAAGAGACAAATGATTGTACTCTTTTGAATTTCAGATTAGCCTTTCCAAAGGAAGCAATCAGATATACATTTATCTCAGTGAGCAGAGGGGTGACTTTGAGAGGAGTTGGAGGCAGGTTTGCTCTAATCAGTTCCCAGCATGACTTTTTCCTTTAGTTTAGTGATTTTGGGGTCCTAAGATTTATTTTCCCCTCACAATATATACTACTTTTTCTTTATCAAGTCTATTATTGACAGGCATTTGAGTTGATTTCATATATTTGATATTGTGAATAGTGCTACAACAAACATATCTGTGCATGTATCTTTACAATAGAATGATTTATATTTCTTTGGATATATACCCAGTAATGGGATTGCTGGGTCAAATGGTATTTCTGGTTCTAGGTCTTTGAGGAATAGCCACACTGTTTTCCACAGTGGTTGAACTAATTTATATTCCTACCAACAGTGTATAAGCATTCCTATTTCTCTGAACCTCGCCAGCATCTATTGTTTCTTAACTTTTTAATAATCACCATTCTGAATGGCATGAGATGGTATCTCATTGTGATTTTAATTTGCATTGCTCTAATGATCAGTGATGTTGAGGTTTTTTTCATGTTTATTGGCCACATGAATGTCTTCTTTTGAGAATATCTGTTCATGTCTTTTGCTCACTTTTTAATGGAGTTTTTTCTTGTAAATTTGTTTAAATTCCTTGTAGATTCTGGATATTAGACCTTTGTCAGGTGGATACATTGGAAAAATTTGTCCCCTCTGTAGGTTGCCTGTCCACTCTGTTGATAGTTTATTTTGCTGTACAGAAGCTCCTTAGTTTAATTAGGACTCATTTGTCAGTTTTTGCTTTCATTGAAATTGCTTCTGGCAATTTCATCATGAAATTTTTGCCCATGCCTATATCCTGAATGGTATTGCCTACATTTTCTTCTAGGGTTTTCATAGTTTTGGATTTTACATTTAAGCCTTTTCTCCGTCTTGGGTTAATTTTTGTAGAAGGTGTAAGGAAGGGGTACAGTTTCAATTTTTTTGCATATGGTTAGCCAGTTCTCCCAGCACCATTTATTAAATAGAAAATCCTTTCCCCATTGCTTGTTTTTGTCAGGTTTGCCAAAGATCAGATGCTTGTAGATGTGCAGTCTTATTTCTGAGTTTTCTATTCTGTTGCATTGGCCTATGTGTCTGTTTTTGTACCAGCACCATGCTGTTTTGGCTACTGGAGCCTTGTATTATAGTTTGAAGTCAGGTAATGTGGTGCCTTTAGCTTTGTTCTTTTTGCTTAGGATTGTCTTGGCTATATGGGCTCTTTTGTGGTTCCATATGAATTTTAAAATAGTTTCTGCTAATTCTGTGAAGTATGTCAATGGTAGTTTAATGGGAGTAGCATTGAATCTATAAATTACTTTGGGCAGTATGGCCATTTTCATGATATTGATTCTTCCTATCCATAAGCATAGAAAGTCTTTTCATTTCTTTGTGTCCTCTCTGATTTCCTTGAGGAGTAGTTTGTAGTTCTCTTTAAAGAGGTCCTTCACTTTCCTTGTTAGCTGTATTCCTAGGTATTATATTCTCTTCGTAGCAATTGTGAATGGGAGTCCATTCATGATTTGGCTCTCCACTTGTCTGTTGTTTGTGTATAGGGTATAGGAATGCTTGTGACTTTTACAAATTGATGTTGTATCCTGAGATTTTGCTGAAGTTGCTTATCAGCTTAAGAAGCTTTTGGGCTGAGATGGCAGGCTTATCTAGATATAGGATTATGTCATCCGCAAACAAGGACAAATCGACTTCTCACTTCCTATTTGAATACATTTTATTTATTTCTCTTGCCTCGTTGCCCTGGCCAGAAATTCCAATGCTATGCTGTATAGGAGGGGTGAGACAGGGCATCCTTGTCTTGTGCTGGTTTTCAAAGGGAATGTTTTGAGCTTTTGCCCCTTCAGTATGATATTGACTGTGGGTTTGTCATAAATGTCTCTTATTATTTTGAGGTATGTTCCTTCAATACCTAGTTTATTGAGAGTTTCTAACATGAAGGAATGTTGAATTTTATCAAAGGCCTTTCTGCATCTATTGATATAATCATGTGGTTTTGTCTTTAGTTCTGTTTATGTGAAGAATTACATTTATTGATTTGTATATGTCGAAACAACCTTGTATCCCAGGGATGCAGCCTACTTGATTATGGTAAATAAGCTTTTTGATGTGCTTTTGGATTCAGTTTACCAGTATTTTCTTGAGAATTTTTGCATCAATATTCATCAGGGATATTGGCCTGAAGTTTTCCTTTTTTTGTTGTTTTTCTGTCCACTTTGGGTATCAGAATAATGCTGGCCTCATAAAATAAGTTAGGGATGAGTCCCTCCTTTTCAATTGTTTGAAATCACTTATGAAGAAAGGGTATTGGCTACTCTTTGTATTTCTGGTAGAATTCTGCTGTAAATTCATCTGGTCCTGGGCTTCTTTTGGTTGGTAAGCTATTTATTATTCCCTCAATTTCAGTAATTGATATTGGTCTATTCAGGGATTCAACTTCTTCAGTCTTGGGAGGGTGTATGTGTCCAGAAATTTATCCATTTCTTCTAGATTTTCTCGTTTATTTGCATAGAGTGCTTATAGTATTCTCTTATAGGCGTTTGCATTTCTGTGGGATAAGTTGTGATAGCCGCTTTATTATTTTTTACTTTATCTATTGATTCTTCTGTCTTTTCTTCTTTATTAGTCTAGCTAGCAGTCTATCGATTTTATTAATTGTCTCCAAAAACAGTTCCAGCATTCATTGATTCTTTTAAAGCTTTGTGTGTGTGTGTGTGTGTTTCTCTATCTCCTTCAGTTCTATTTTGATCTTTGTTATTTCTTGCCTTTTGCTAGATTTAGGGTTTCTTTGCTCTTGATTCTCAAGTTCTTTTAGTTGTGATGTTAAGATGTTGATTTGAGATCTTTCTAGTTTTTGATATGGGCATTTAGTCCTATAAATTTTCATGTTAGCAGTGCTTTATCTGTGTCCCAGAGATTCTGGTGTGTTGTCTCTTTGTTCTCATTAGTTTCAAATAACTTCTTGATTTCTGCCTTCATTTCATTATTTACCCAGGAGTGACTCAGCAGCAGGTTGTTCAATTTTCATGTAGCCATGTGGTTCTGAGTGAGTTTCTTAATGTTGAGTTCTAATTTGATTGCACTGTGGTACGAGAGACTGTTCATTATTATTTCAGTTCCTTTTCATTTGCTGAGGAGTGATTAACTTCCAATTATGGATCAATTTTAGAGTAAGTTCCATATGGTGCCAAGAAGAATGTCTATTCTGCTGTTTTGGGATGGAGAGTTCTGTAGACACCTATTAGCTCCACTTGACCCAGAGTCGAATTCAAGTTTTGAATATCTGTTCATTTTCTAATATTGACAGTGGGGTGTTAAAGTCTCCCATTCTTATTGCATGGGATTCTAAGTCTCTTTGTAGGTCTCTAAGAACTTGTTTCGTAAATCTGGGTGCTGCTGTATTGGGTGCATATATATTTATGATAGTTAGCTCTCTTCCTGTTGAATTGACTGCTTTACCATTATGTAAAGCCCATCTTTGTCTTTTTTGATCTTTGTTGGTTTAAAGTCTGTTTTGTCAGAAACTAATGATGCAACACCTGTTTTTTTTCTGTTTTCCATTTGCTTGATAAATTTTCCTCCATTCCTTTATTTTGAGTCTATGTGTGTCTTTGTTTTTGAGATGGGTCTTTTGAATACATCACACTGATGGTTCTTGACCCTTTATCCAGATTGCCATCCTGTATCTTTTAATTGGGTCATTTAGTCCATTTACGTTTACGGTTAATATTATTATGTTTGAATTTAATCCTGTCATCATGATGCTAGCTGGTTATTTTGCAGACTTGTTTAGGTAGTTGCTTCATAGTGTCATTGGTCTGTGTACTTCAATGTGTTTTTATAGTGGCTGGACTATTTTTCCTTTCCACATTTAGTGCTTCCTTCAGGAGCTCTTGCAAGGCAGGCCTGATGACCATGAATTCCCTCAGCATTTGCTTGTCTGAAAAAGATTTTATTTATCTTTGCTTATAAAGCTTAGTTTGCCCAGATATGAAATTTTGGGTTGGAAATTCTTTTCTTTAAGAATGTTAAATATTGGTCCCTAATCTCTTCTGGCTTGTAGGGTTTCTGTTGAGAGGTCGGCTGTTAGTCTGATGGGCTTCCCTTTGTAGGTGCCTCGGTCTTTCTCTCTGGCTGCCCTTAAAAATTTTTCCTTCATTTTGACGTGGAGAAGCTGATGATTATGTGTTTTGGGGTTGGTCTTCTCATGGAATATCTTACTGGGGTTCTCTGGATTTCCTGAATTTGGATGTTGGTCTGTCTTGCTAGGTTGGGGAAGTTCTGGATGATATCCTAAAGTATGTTTTTCAAGTTTGTTCCATTCTCCCCATCTTGTTAAGATACCCTGGTTAGTTGTAGGTTTGTTTTTTTTTTACATAATCCCATAGTTCACAGAGGTTTTGTTCATTCCTTTTCATTCTTGTTTCTCTAATCTAGTCTGCTTGCCTTATTTCAGCAAGATTGTCTCTGAGCTCTGATGTCCTTTCTTCCACTTGGTCTATTTAGCTATTGATACCTGTGTTTACATTGTGAAGTTCTCATGGTATGTTTTTCAGCTCCATCAGGTCATTTATGTTCCTCTCTAAACTAGTTATTCTGGTTAACAATTCCTGTAATGTTTTATCATGATTCTTAGCTTCTTTGCACAGGGTTAGAATATACTCCTTTAGTTCAGCAAAGTTTGTGGTAACCCAGTTTCTGAAGCTTGCCTCTGCCAATTCATCCATCTCAGCCTCAACCCAGTTCTGTGCACTCGCTGGAGATTTGTTGCAATAATTTGGAGAAGTGACACTCTGGCTCTTTGAGTTTTCAGGGTTTTGCATTGATTCTTTCTCATCTTCATGGGTTTATTTACCTTTGATCTTTGAGACTGCTGACCATTGGATTGTGTTTTTTGTGTGGTATTTTTCATTGTTGTTGTTGTTGTTGCTTTCTGTTTGTTTTTCTTTCAGCAGTCAGGCCACTGTTCTGTATGGCTGCTGTGGTTTGCTGAGGGACCACTCCAGATTCTATCTCCTGGGTTCCTCCTGCACCTGGAGGTATCACCAGTGGAGGCTACAGAATAGCCAAGATGGCAACCTGCTTCTTCCTCTGGGAGCTCTGTCCCAGAGGGGAACCAACCTGATGCCAGCTGGAACACTCCTGCATGAGGTGTCTGGAGACCCACACTGGGAGTTCTCACCCAGTCAGGAGGAATGAGATCAGGAACCCACTTAAATAAGCAGTCTGGCTTTTGGTGGAGTCTGCTCCTTGGTGGAGCAGGTGTGTGTTACTGGAGGAATACCCCTCATCTGAGCTGCCCTGACTCTCCCAAGCTGGCAGGCAGAAAAGACTAAGACTGCTGACCCCAGATACCTCAGCCACCCCTTCTTCTAGGGGCTCATCCCAGGGATATCAAAATTCTGTTCATAAATCCCTGGCTGAGGATGCTGAAAATCCCACAGGGAGGCCCTGCCCAGTGAGGAGGACTGGGTTGGGAAACTGGTTAAAGAAACATTCTGGCCAAGAACTGTCACAGCTACTGTGCTGCGCTGTGGAGAATTGCTCCTGGCCCAAACCACTCAGTCTTACTGGTACCAGAGGCAGGGACAAACAGCTGACTGGAACTGCAGTGATGGCAGCCACCCTACCTCCCACCTGAACTTTGTCTTCTTAGGTGGTCTCCAGCCTGCTGTGCTGGCCAGTGGGGGTTCCAAGCCAGTGGGTTTTAGCCTGTGGGGTTCCATGGGAAGGGGCCCACTGAGTGAGGCTTCTTGGCTCCCTGGTTTCAGCCCCCTTTCCACGAGAGTGGATGGATCTTCTACCTCACCACAGTTCCCAGAGCTGGAGTATGCAAAGACTCCTGTGTCTCAGTGTCTGCTCAAGTGGCGCCCATGTGCTCCTCATCTACAGGTTGCAAAAATCTGTGGGAAAAGCATGGTTTCCAGGGCAGGATAGGACAATCCCTCCCAGGCCCTTTGGCTGGGAGAGGGAGCTCCCTTTGTCCCATAAACTCCCAGGTGGTTCCTCGCTCCAATTTGCTTTTCCTCATTCTCTGTGGGTTGTGCCAATTGTCTAGTCAGTCTCAATGAGAGAACCTGGGTACCTCAATTGACGATGCAGAATTCACTCACCATTTTCGTTCTTCTCCGTGGGAGCCACAGACCGGAGCTGTTTCCATTCGGCCATCTCGGATGCTCCATCTTTTTTAAGTTATCAGAGTTCTTGTTCTGGTTCTTTCTCATTTGTGTGGGCTGATGTTCTTTTAGCTATGTTTTGAGAACAGTTAGTGGACTTTTTTCTGGATGTTTTCAAAGGGCTGCAGCTTCGTGTGAGGCCTTTATTTGTAGCTGAATTTTTGTCCTTGGTTTCATGGGGCTTGTGTTAGCAAAATACTTTCGGTATTGAGGTTTTGGCTGTTATCCTGCACATGACATTTAAGCATAAGGGCTAAGTGGGCACTTTAGCCATGTGGCTCCTCTGTATTTTCTCACAATGGAAGGCGTGCTCCTTCTCAGTGTTTGGACACTGTGGGTTCCTCTCCTACTTGAGTGCTAGCTGCAGATCTTGGTTTGGCCCTCCCAGGCTGCACACCATGGCACTGGGGTGAGCTCAGGCTTTATATTCCCTTCCCAGGTTGGAAGGAGCAGGGGAAGGAACCTTGACAGTGGCTGTGGCAGAGGGCCTTTCATTTGTCTCTTGGGGCTTCACTACAGAGAAATGCAGAGCCACCACCACTCAGCAATTGGCCCAGGAGTAGGGTGGCTGCATTGTGGGCCCAAGCTGGGGGGCCCTGCCTGGTGATGAGCAGCAGGACCAAAGGGCTTATAGTGGAGACAAACTGACCTTTCCTCCTTAGGGTGCTGTGGTTTGCTGGAAGTGTGCATAAAACACTCAGGGTCTTTGCTCTTTCACCAGTCAGTGCAGCAAGGACAGTACCACCGCATTGGCAGTGGCAGAGGGGCTTTTAGTTGCCTCCGGGAACTCCACCTCGGAGAAACACAGAGTCTTTGCTACAGGGAATGCTCAGTCAGGTGGGTGACTTTGCTACTTTGCCAAGCTGGGGACCCTGATATGATTTGGCTGTGTCCCCACCCAAATCTTATCTTGAGTTGTAGCTCCCATAATTGTGGGAAGGACCCGGTGGGAGATAATTAATCATGGGGGTAGTTTCCCTCATACTTTCTCATAGCAATGAATACGTCTCATGATATCTAACGGTTTTATAAAGGGTTCCCCCTTTCACTTGGCTCTCATTTCTCTCTTGCCTGCTGCCATGTAAGATGTGCCTTTCACCTTCTGCCATGATTGTGAAGCCTCCCCAGCCACGTGGAACTGTGAGTCCATTAAACCTCTTTTCCTTTAAAAATTACTCAGCCTTGGATATGTCTTTATTAGCAGCATGAGAACAAGCTGATAAAGACCCTACTTAGTGAAGAATGGGAGTTTGGGGGCTCACAGAAAGGAGAGACAGGGCTCCTCTCTGTATGGTAACTGTGGTATGCTGGAAGCACGAGCAAAGCGCTCAGGTTCCTTGTTTCTTCCCCAGTCTGAGGTGTTCAGGTGAGGCAGGGTGTTTGTACTGGGGGCCCATGTTGAGAGGCACTGCCCAGTGAGGAGAAGCAAGGATGGGGACTTGCATGGAGAACCATCTGGCCACTTTTCCCTAAGACAGTTGTTTTGTGCTGGGGGCCCACATTAGTCCCTAATTACGCTGCTCTCTCCAGAGCCTGAGGGCAACAGGAGCAATGGCTGCAGAGCAATGAAAATGGCAGCCTGCCTGCTCCTTCTGGGAGCTCCATCTCTGGGAAATGCAGGGATGCTACTAGCCTGAGACTCCAGGCAAGTGATGGCTGGGGTCCTAGGTTGGGAGGCCCTGCCCAGTAAGTCACAGCAGGGTCAGGGACACGTGTGGAAAATAGTCTGGCTTCTTTTTCATAAGGCAGCTGTGCTGTGCCAGGGATCCACATTAGTCCCTAATCACAGTGCCTCCTCCAGAGCCTGTGGGCAACCTGAGTGATGGCTGTGGAACAGTAAAAATGGCATCCTGTCTGCTCCCTCTGGGAACTCATCCCAGAGAAGAGCACAGCTGCTTCTGGCCCCAGAGCTCAGGCAGAATTGGGGTGGCCATGCTACGGTCCCAGCCTAGTGGGCCTTGTCTCTCAAGATGCAGTGGCGGTGAGGTCTGCAGTTTGTCCTCTGATTAACCTCATGGATTCAGCCCCTATGTTAAGGGTGTACCAGGGAGGCTAGCCTGGTGCCAGGGTACTGGCAACCCAGGGCTCCCAGAACTCTGTGTGTGCCTAAGTGGCAGCTCTGCCCAGCCTCCACATAGCTCTCTTATGTTAGTCTGGAGGCCCTGGTTGAGGGTAGGTCATGGTGAATCTCTTGAGCCCAGGGTTGCAAAGGACTGAGGGTGGGGTCCCGGAGACTCTCACTCACTTACTGCTTCCCCAAGATGGGGGTCCTGCCATGGCTCCGTGACACTCCCTGGTGGGCAGCTGTTCTGTCTCACTCCTCTCCATTCTCCTAGGTTGTATTGCTTCCTTGGTGAATCCCAATGTGTCCACTTGCATGGTCTAGTTGAAGAGCTTGTGTTTACTCGCAACTCTTTCTTCTCTCCAGAAGAGTGGCACAAACCAGCTACTTCTAGTTAGCGAACTTTCACATCATTTTTTAATTTTTTAAAAATTGAGTTAATGAAGGGAAATATTAGGTTTCTAACTTTTTACTTTTTTAATTAACAAATATTTCAGGCAAATAATATTGTATCTCCACTTTTTTCCCTAAGTTTTGGGAGGTCAAATTGTTCAGGATCTCTGAGTACTCAGAAATTCTATTCTTATTGTTAAGATTCTGATCATTCTGTTTATAACCTAAGTTTCAGCAAAAAAAAAAAAAAAAAGAAAATAAAAAAGCCTTGCAAGAGTATGTATTCAACTCTTGTTTAATATCCCCAATTCTGTGAAATCACTTGTTGAGATTAAAGTTCTCTACAGGATTATGCACTAAGGTATTTTTTCTGCTTAAAGTCCTTGCATTTTCCTTTATTCCTTGAAGCAAGAATTTAAGTTAGTGCTTGTCAGTCTCTCACTCTTCATGCTGCTATAAGCAGTGTTCTCCTTTGGTGTAATAGGAAAGATAATGATCAAGTTTCCCAACAAAGGCCAAAATGGCAATGGTTGAGCAAGATAAAATTTTAATGTTTGCTCACACTGTGGTCCAAATATAAGTAGCCTAGGGCTGCTATGAACATTCTCAGTGTGGATATGACATCCTAAACTCTTGGATTCCATATTGTGGCCTAAAATTGTTACTTCAGCACCTTTCAACAAGATTATTTTCTACTCATGGGAAAAATTGGAAGAAAAAGTAAAGAGCATGCCTCTTTTTATTAATGGTGTGACTCAGCTTTTATAAATACATTCATTTATATTCCATTGGCTGGTCCTCAGGTACATGATCATACCTAACTACGGGTAATCAGGCATATGTAGTCTTGGGTTGGCAAACAGGTACCCCCCAAAATCTTGTGGTTCTCTATCTAAAGGGATAGAATCACATGGATAAAGGGGAACAAAAAGTAGCCTTTATCACAACTGTCATTATTCATCTTTAAATTGATCTATCCCCATATTGATCCATTAATCACAGTCTTCATTCTCAGTGATCATTGTAATTATTTGAATACCTAATTTCCCAATACATCCTGTATAATGCTATCCCATAGAGAATATATATACAAATCGTACTGAATACAAGCGAACAGTCTGAATGCACCAAGATTTGTATATATATTCACTATGGGATAGCATATTTTATATTATTCAAATAATCCTATTTCTTTCTAATAATTATGAATTATATCCTACACTTAAAGTCTTTTGCCTACATACTACTTTTTAATCAAAGACATTTATTTGTAAGTAACAAAACCCAAATCTAGTTAACTGATGAAAAACAAAAGATTTTGTTGAAAGTATACTGAGTGGCCCATAGTATCAAAAGGACAATGACCAGCAGACACTTGAGATGTTGTCTCTCTTATTAGGATGGTGCCAGTTCCTCTTACCTTTCTATTTATTTCAATATGTTTTTGACTTTTAGGAAGAGATGACACAAAAATTGTTCAATACTATTCTTCCTTACCCTTTCAGCTAAGTATTTTATTCTCCTTGAGCACCAGTTTTATATATTGAAGATTAAACTATTATTTTATTCCATGTTCCTTTGTGTATTTACCTTAGATAATTACTACGATACCAGTTATAAGACTTAAAAATACGATTTTCTATGCCTGCTTAGTAATCAGTATTACAGAATTATTTAGTTTCTAATTCTTGCATTTCTGCTTCTTTTTTTTTCTTTTGGCTTATGTACAAAATTGTAAACTCAAGAGATTATTCTTTAAGCTAAATTGTTATCTTCTAAACTGCATAATTCAGAGCTAATCACTTATTTAGCATTCTATAAGTACTCCTTTATTAATTGATAGTTGTATCTAAGTTTTTCAACTGCCACAGTTTTACAAATTTCTCACATTTAAAAGATAAGAAAGGGCCAGGTGTGGTGGCTCATGCCTGTAATCTCAGCACTTTGGGAGGCTGAGGCGGCCAGATCATGAGGTCAACAGATCGAGACCATCCCGGCCAACATGGTGAAACCCTTTCTCTACTAAAAATACAAAAATTAGCTGAGTGTGGTGGTATGCACCTGTAGTTCCAGCTACTTGGGAGGCTGAGGCAGGATAATAGCTTGAACCCAGGAAGCAGAGGTTGCAGTGAGCCAAGATTGTGCCACTGCAGTCCAGCTTGGCAATGGAGCAAGGCTCCATCTCAGATAAATAAATATATAAATAAATAATAAGAAGGAAGAAACTAATATTATTATATAAACACCTACAAATCTATAACCTTCCATATGTAAATTCCAGTTGTTTGGGCAATGCTATGTGTCGATTGTTAGTGAGTGTCTTGATGCATTCCTTGATTGAATGAGATTCAGTGGAAAAGTTTGCCTTGAGTAATTATGGTGAAGGTGAGAGTATGGAAACATGTAGGAATACCTAACAAAAGATTGGACATCTCAAACTGTCATAAGCAATAGAAAGCACTTGGGGGACTTGTTGAAATGCAGGTTATATTTCCTAAATTCTGGGGTGGGACCCAAGATTATGTATTTTTAATTACCTGTCAAGTGATGTGGATGCTTCTAGTTCACAGGTTGCACTTTGGGTATGAACGTGATAAATGTTTCCTAATCAATCAAACCATTTCTCATGGAGAAGTTTTCTTGGCTTGTATAAATGAAGATTCATACATGCATGAATGCAACAAATATTTATTGACTTTTCCTGTGTACCAGGCAATTCTCTAAGTGTAAAAATACAGCCATGAATAAATAAGTTCCTGTTCTCACGGGTTTTATAGATCTTATATTTGTGTGTGTGTGTATGTGTGTGCACGTGTGTGTGTGTGTGTGTGTGTGTGTGTGTTTAAGCTGTGGGAAGAGATCAGGGCAGAAGAGGAGTAGAATGGTAGAAATTAAACAAGTTAGCAAATAAATAAGAACCTAAACAAAGGGTATCCTGCAATGGTACTATTTACCACAACTCCTATTATCAGTTTAGAAGCTAACTAAGCCATTTATTCAAATAAACAAGCTTGAGTTATTCTTTAGCAAATATAACACACTGAATTGAGCAAAGAAAATACTAGGCACCCCTGAGATCTTTCTGGTCCACTTAGGTCTGATTGTCCTGCCTGACATAAATCATACAACATAGATTCCAATATCAGGTGCCATAACTTTGTCCTGATGGACCAAATGAGTCAGCTGAATTAAAACAATTGTAATTGCCTGATGGGTTCATCCTGCTCACTGCACAGGCAAAATCACTTCACTGAGATTGCAGCATTGCAGTACAGAAGGCATTTAATTGACATGAGGCCAGCCCACTCAGGAAAACTGGATTTGTCACTCAAATCGGTCACCTTGAAGGCTCAGAGGCTAGGGTTTTTATGGACAATTTTATGAGCAGGGGACTGGAGAATGGGTGGTGCTGATTTGTTGGGAATGAAATCATAGGGGGTGTGGAAAACAGTCCTCAGTCACTGAGTCTGTCTCTGGGTGGGGTCACAGGACCAGTTGAGTCATGAGTCTTGGGTCTGGATGAGGTCAGTCTGAAAAATATATATATATAAAAAAAATCTTAGGTTCTACAATAGTGATGTTATCTGTAGATGCAATTGAGAAAGTCACAAATCTTGTGACCTCTGGCCACATGAGATTTGTGAACTCTGGCCACATGACTCCTGAGCAGTAAGGGATTATAGAAACTACACTTACCTTGTGACCA
Source organism: Homo sapiens (assembly GCF_000001405.40). Classification (NCBI taxonomy): domain Eukaryota; kingdom Metazoa; phylum Chordata; class Mammalia; order Primates; family Hominidae; genus Homo; species Homo sapiens. The sequence goes on along the minus strand of NC_000002.12, from coordinate 77,605,498 downwards.
CTCATTAGTCTTACAAAGGTGATTTCAGCCCCCAAACAGGGAAGGGATCAGTTTTAAAGAGGGACAAATATCATTCTTGTTTAAAAGTTAAACTATAAACTGAATTTCTCCCAAACTTACCTTGGCCTGCTCTCAAGAATGGCCAAGGACAGCTTGGAGATCAGAAGCAAGATGGAGTCAACTATGTCAGATTTATCTTATTGTCATCATTTTGCAAAGGTAGTTTCACAATCACTAGTTTAATGATTAATTATCCCCCTTGCAGAGATAAGCTGGCATATAAAGGTAGGTGTGTGTGTGTGTGTGTGTGGTGTGTTTGTGTTTAAGCAATGGGAAGGAAGTAAGGCGGGAGGAGAAGAATGGCAGAAATAAACAAATTAGCAAAAAAATAAGTACCAAAACAAATAGTACCTTGCACTGGGAATATTTATCCTAACTCCCTATCAGTTTAGGAGATAACCTAGTCAATTATTCCTAAGCAAATAAACAAGCTTGAATCACTCCGGTCCCAGCTCAGGACAGTTTTTCACCATTACAATTAAAACACAGTAAGATCCTCATCCACACAGCCATCATATAAATAGGAGAATCCTGGAAAATGGAAGAGCTTGGGAAAGAGAACTCAAACCTGAAGAGCTCCAAGACAGAATTCATCAAATGGGATTTCAACCAGTCCTAAAGAGAAGAACTTTGGATCAAATTAACATTTAAGCTGAAGTAAAACTGATCAAACTAGAAATAAATGAGATACTGTTCACTGACAAGTCTAAGTGTACCTGCTACCCAAGAAGGGTGGGAGCTCATAAAAATGATAAAGAAATGACAAAAACGTTACACATTTTTGCACATTTGATTGTAGTGTCAGCAGCTTAATGATTATATTATGTAGCCACAGACGAAATCCTTAGACCCTTCTCTTTTGGTCCTGTTTTTTGTAACCTTCTGCTACAGAAGACTTTTGTGATATTGTCACTCAACTGGACACTGATGGTGTGCAGTAATAACAGAAAAGTATTACATGCATCCTTTGCTCTGGGAAAAAGTTGAATGCTCTTCATATCTGACCATAATCCAACTAAAATCTGAAGATCTTGGTGAATTCATTGCATAAAAAGAAATTCAGGCCGGGTGCAGTGGCTCACACCTGTAATCCCAGCACTTTGGGAGGCCAAGGTGGGAGGATCACCTGAGGTCAGGAGTTTGAGACCAGCCTGGCCAACATTGTGAAACCCTGCCTCTACCAAAAATACAAAAAATAAAAATAAAAAAATAAGCCACGCTTTGGGGTGGGTGCCTATAGTCCCAGATACTCAGGAGGCTGAGGCAGGAGAATTGCTTGAACCCAGGAGGTGGAGGTTGTAGTGAGCTGAGATTATGTCACTGGACTCTAGCCTGGGCAACAGAGTGAGACTCTGTTTAAAAAAAAAAAAAAGAAAGAAAAAAATTCAGTACACACTGGCTAGATGAGTATAATTATTGAAAGTGGATTTTCTAAGAGATGGCAGCCCCTTTGAGTTCATGATCCCTTCCTTGGCTACTTTACATACTCATATCACAATTATTATGCAACAACACAAAATAAACAATTATTTTTGCCTACTTGGCAGCCTTAGGGAGAAAAGCATTCTCACGGAGCACACATTATTTTCTTATCAGAAATAAAGGTAGCATTTCAGCCTGAAATACCTGTCTCAGTTATTTTGCTATTCACAGGTGCAATAAGAACAACTATGAGTAGGTCTTGTCATCCATCTTTATGACTTGAAAAGTCCACTCTGATGTTGTCTGTCCCAGAAATAAGTGAGAATATTTTCCCAGAATGATTCCAATCTTCAAATTAAAAACTAGAGACTCCTTCAATACAGTAGACAATTTTTCAGCTGAAATTAAAGTTTCAATTGATTCCTTACTAAATACTTCAACTCAGGGCCTAATTTATCCTTCCTTTCTTCTTCTTGTTCTTTCTCCTCCTCCTCCTCCTCCTCCTCCTCCTCCTCTTCTTCTTCTTCTTCTTCTTCTTCTTCTTCTTCTTCTTCTTCTTCTTCTTCTTCTTCTTCTTCTTTTCTCTCTCTCTCTCTCTCTCTCTCTCTCTCTCTCTCTCTCTCTGCTTCCTTCTCTCTCTTTTCTGTTTCTTAAAATGTTCTGGATACTGCCTAGTCTAAAAAGAACTCCATCATCTTTAAGCACTTGAGTATAAATAAAATGAGTACAGTCAACTGTCCATATCCATGGCTTCTGTGTCCATAGATTTAATAAACATGAATCAAAAATATGTAGAAAAAAATAATTTTGTCTGCCTTGAACATGTACAGATGTTTTTCTTGTCATTATTCCCCAAACAATACAACAACTATTTACATAGCATTTACATTGCATTAGGTATTATAAGCAATAATCTAAGTGATTATAAGTAATGATTTAAAGGTGAGGATGTAACTCACTAGAGATTATTTAAAGTATACAGGAGAATGTGCACAGGTTACATGCAAGTACTGTGCTATTTTAAATGGGAGACTTGAACATCTGCAGATTTTGGCATCTTCAGGAGGTCCTGGAAACAATCCCCCATGCATACAAAGGGACACTGTAACCTAATGAGTATATTATATTTTACAAGACTATATACACTGGCCGTTTTGGGAAAAATTTTTAAAATCTTTTTTCTCCCTAGTTTGTTCTTTTCTTCTATACCTCTGAAAGAAGCTGTATTCTTTACATTATTTATTTTGCTGAGAGGGATGACATAGAAGGGGCCCGTTGGCACAGACTGTTAAGGAAAGGTGGTCAAGGCTAAACACTATTCAAGATAAAGTAGAATTTTTGAAAGGTTAAAAAAAATAGGAAAATATACATTCTATTATTGATGTGAAATAGATTTTTTTATTTAGAGAAAAAAAAGGAATTGGCCCTGATGGCAGAAAGGAAATGTTAAACTCACAAAAGTCAAATGAATATTTCTTCTAAAGTTTAAATAATATAATTATCAATCATAAAGTGCCCTACATTTTATATCCTGTTACAATTTCTAAATGCTTCCCCATATGTTTTGATGTAATTTTGTCCTCATAAATATCCTTGTGAAGGAGGATGGGGAGTTATTAATTTTCTCTGTTATTCTCAGAGGCAGCCCCAAATCCTTGCTGAGTAGATTAAATATGCATAACTCCATTTTTCATTCCCTGACTGATTCCAGAGTCAATATCTTAATATTGCTAAAAGAAGTTGCCTTCCTTAAACTAAGGCCCCTGTGATACAGAGAGAATATTTATAAGATAATAAGTAAAGCATTTTTATGAAGAGGAGCCCAGGTATTGTGAAAAAAAGTATTTCACATTTATTGTATAACTTTAATTATTGGAAGGGAAATGTTTCCCTTCCATAAAATTTCCCATAAATATTTCCCATAAAATAGAGATATATGCTTTTATTAAGATACGTTTTTAAAATAAATTTTTCTGCATTCTAAGATTTAACTCTTGCCTACAAGATAAAACTCTGAGTCTCTTGCAGACTCAGGAAGGGCTTGCTTCACATACACGGAATCTGTAAAAGAGAACACCAAACCTTGTATCAGAGGTGATGATCTCTTGTGCACCAAGCTCTGGAATGGAAGTCAGAGCATCTGATGAGGGTAGTAAGCTACACAAACAAATGCAAGCTCAGAATCAGGAGAATGGAGTTAACTCCATCGAATTCCAAGTCACACAGTGTTAAAATAAGCCCTGGGAAAATGGAAATGACATTTTTATAAGGAGCAATGAACATGGCTCTTCCTTCTAGGAGGAAGTCAAGGAAAGAAAGACAAAGGAAAACAAAAAAACAAAGCCAAGTAGATTTCTCCATACATCTCTGCAAAACTTATTGTTTAAGACCATCATGAAGATATTTCATCACTTAGCGAGAGTCATCGGGAGGTAAGTCTTTACAGATTTTTGTGTTCCATGCAAATGTACATACACACATACTGCAGCCATCCATTTATGTATATATGTGTGTATATATATATATATATATATATAGTGCCCTACTATATATATATATATATATATATATATATATTCTATCATCTCAATATCCAAGACAGTGCTGTCTAGTAAAAATATGTGAGTCACAAATGCAAGGTAAATATGAATTTAAATTTTCTAGTGATCACATTAAAAAATAAGAGAAATAAGTAAAATTCCTTTTTAATTTTAATTTAATTTTTATTCAATCTATATAGCCACAATACTATAGTTTTAATATGCATAGTAAACATTTAATAATATAAGATTATATATTGTAATATGTAATCAACATAAAGGTAATATCTTATATTCTTGAAGATGGAGAAAACTAGGACAATTTGTGGCATTATTTATTTCTATATCTATGAAAACCCAAAAACAGAAACAACCAGGTCTAAACCTTTTGAACCTAGGAATAACGACATGTTCATTTCATCCATCATGTGCATGTATTATGGAAAAATGTGAAAAGTAGTTTTCCTTATCTTTATTCTTTTGGGTAATTAATAATACCTGAAACACGAGTCAAACACAAGTCAAGTTCTGTTAGCAACAAAAAGTTCCTTGGCAATATTAAATAAATTGGAAAAAAAAGGTTATTTAATGAAAGTTCCTCCTCAATTTTTGTGTTATGAGCCATGCTTGATAATTATCTTCATACACATATATTTCCCGAAGGTACACCAAAATCACTGGAAATGCAAGTCATGTGAAAAGAGGGTTTTGCATAGAAATAAGAGTATAGCTTGGACTAAGATATTAGGCCACTATCTTAAGTTCTTATCCGGCTACCTTTTTCTTGCAGTTACTTGAGGAAATTAAGATGCATGCAGGAGACAGTAGTTCCTGAAGGAATATGTAGCCAGGCATTTAGAACTTTAATCCTAGTGATGTTCTGGAATGAGAAGGGCTTGAGTATATGTAAGTATAGTTTGCTTGTGCTAAAGAAAGGAATAAAAACAAGTTAGTTCCTCCCTAATGGGTAGAGAGACAGGTGCAATCCTGTCTCTTTGTAGCCTGTGATAAAAAGACATGTTTGTGAGTGCATGCATGGCTATGAGGAGGGTATTAAAACCCTTCCCCCAACACATCCATAATGCCTTGTGTTCTGCCAAAGTCCCTTTCTCAACCTCTTGAGAAAACAAGTCTTTCCCTTAGCAGAAGTAAGAAAGGTCATCATCTAGATGAAAACATGCAGGAAATCTACTTAATGCATTTCATTTTCCAAAGTACAAAAGTTTATGAATTCCATAACAGTTAATAGAAGCAGGTTGTTAACAAAGCAATGATTTAGTCTTTTAGTCATTCTGCCAAATCTGGTAACTTACCTTTACAAATTATTTTGTTCTCTTTAATAAAAAATGCAATGTAAACAAAAGCACTACTGTCACTCACATGAACAGAGACAAGTCAATGTTCAAGTCACACACCTGTTTTGGCAGTGCTTGGTCCAGATTTATTTTACCTTGTTCAAATACAGAAATTAGGAGGTGGTGTATTAAGTACCATAGAAATCAGAAAGAGGAGGAAGGAAAAGATTAGTATTGAAAAGACTTTAAATTGTTAAAAATGAACCACTTCAGTTTCCAGAGGAAAACTTTGATGTAATTGATAGGCTTTCTAGGTGCAACGTGAGATCAACTCCATAAAAGTGGTTCAGAAAGTCACCAGAGGCAAAGGGTGAAAAGAAAAGGAAGAAAGATAAATTACCAAGACAAAAAAATGGTGGACAAATGGAGAATGATGGAACACGGAAAATTTTCTGTACACTAAAATGTTCACGGAGTTTATTTGTTGTTTGTGCAGTTACAGTGAATTTTAAAGCTTAGTTTTATTTTTATATATTTTCTAAAATCCCTGTAGTGCATGTGCAATAAGTTTATAAAACAAAAAAATTAAAAATGGTATGAAATACAAAGAAAAATTTAAATAAGAATAAAAAGTATTGAAAATAGTTACAAAAACATTATAAAATAATGGGACTCCAGAATTAATGGTTTCACTTACTTCATGTAAATTTTTAGAAAACAGATTATTCTAAAAATACACAAAATAACAACGATGTAGCACAACCTAATGTGTATTTTGAACTTAATTTATACTTATAACAAAAGATAAGTACAATAAAATGGTAATGAATGAATATATCATATTATAAATCAATATTCTGAAAACATTTACTAGTAAAGAGAATCAAATATTTCTGAGTATCATTTATGTAACATTAAGCAGAATGTAATACATAGTGTAACAGATTGTCACCATATGAGAAACTCTAGTCTAGATTATTATAGACTAGAAATGTTGCCCACTCCCCTAAAGAAACACAAATAGTGTTTTACTTTTTTTTACTAAATATTTACTAAAATTTTAAAGTAGTTATAGCTTTCTGACACATGTATAGATGTATGTATATATAGATATGTATGTATGTTATTGTGTGTACATATGTATTTATGTATATTTTATCTGAATATCTTTGCAGGCTCTTTGGTATAGCCTTTTAAATATTAGTGCTATTATTTCTTCCTATTGCATGAACTAATTCTGGAATAATATTAGGAGTAATGTAGGTATTATTTTTAATAGAAGCACAATTTATAGTATTCTATCCTTAGGGTACTAACAATTTTTTTTAAGTTTTTTTTTTCCTTTTATTATTATACTTTAAGTTTTAGAGTACATGTGCACATTGTGCAGGTTAGTTACATATGTATACATGTGCCATGCTGGTGCGCTGCACCTACTAACTTGTCGTCTAGCATTAGGTATATCTCCCAATGCTATCCCTCCCCCTCCCCCCACCCCACAACAGGACCCAGAGTGTGATGTTCCCCTTCCTGTGTCCATGTGATCTCCTTGTTCAATTCCCACTTGTGAGTGAGAATATGCGGTGTTTGGTTTTTTGTTCTTGCAATAGTTTACTGAGAATGATGATTTCCAATTTCATCCATGTCCCTACAAAGGACATGAACTCATCATTTTTTATGGCTGCATAGTATTCCGTGGTGTATATGTGCCACATTTTCTTAATCCAGTCTATCATTGTTGGACATTTGGGTTGGTTCCAAGTCTTTGCTATTGTGAATAATGCCGCAATAAACATACGTGTGCATGTGTCTTTATAGCAGCATGATTTATAGTCCTTTGGGTATATACCCAGTAATGGGATGGCTGGGTCAAATGGTATTTCTAGTTCTAGATCCCTGAGGAATCGCCACACTGACTTCCACAAGGGTTGAACTAGTTTACAGTCCCACCAACAGTGTAAAAGTGTTCCTATTTCTCCACATCCTCTCCAGCACCTGTTGTTTCCTGACTTTTTAATGATTGCCATTCTAACTGGTGTGAGATGGTATCTCATTGTGGTTTTGATTTGCATTTCTCTGATGGCCAGTGATGATGAGCATTTTCTCATGTGTCTTTTGGCTGCATAAATGTCTTCTTTTGAGAAGTGTCTGTTCATGTCCTTCACCCACTTTTTGATGGGGTTGTTTTTTTTTTCTTGTAAATTTGTTTGAGTTCATTGTAGATTCTTGATATTAGCCCTTTGTCAGATGGGTAGGTTGCAAAAATTTTCTCCCATTTTGTAAGTTGCCTGTTCACTCTGATGGTAGTTTCTTTTGCTGTGCAGAAGCTCTTTAGTTTAATTAGATCCCATTTGTCAATTTTGTCTTTTGTTGCCATTGCTTTTGGTGTTTTACACATGAAGTCCTTGCCCATGCCTATGTCCTGAATGGTACTGCCTAGGTTTTCTTCTAGGGTTTTTATGGTTTTAGGTCTAACATTTAAGTCTTTAATCCATCTTGAATTGATTTTTATATAAGGTGTAAGGAAGGGATCCAGTTTCAGCTTTCTACATATGGCTAGCCAGTTTTCCCAGCACCATTTATTAAATAGGGAATCCTTTCCCCATTGCTTGTTTTTCTCAGGTTTGTCAAAGGTCAGATAGTTGTAGATACGCGGCGTTATTTCTGAGGGCTCTGTTCTGTCCCATTGATCTATATCTCTGTTTTGGTACCAGTACCATGCTGTTTTGGTTACTGTAGCCTTATAGTATAGTTTGAAGTCAGGTAGTGTGATGCCTCCAGCTTTGTTCTTTTGGCTTAGGATTGACTTGGCAATGTGGGCTCTTTTTTGGTTCCATATGAACTTTAAAGTAGTTTTTTCCAATTCTGTGAAGAAAGGCATTGGTAGCTTGATGGGGATGGCATTGAATCTGTAAATTACCTTGGGCAGTATGGCCATTTTCACGATATTGATTCTTCCTACCCATGAGCATGGAATGTTCTTCCATTTGTTTGTATCCTCTTTTATTTCCTTGAGCAGTGGTTTGTAGTTCTCCTTGAAGAGGTCCTTCACATCCCTTGTAAGTTGGATTCCTAGGTATTTTATTCTCTTTGAAGCAATTGTGAATGGGAGTTCACTCATGATTTGGCTCTCTGTTTGTCTGTTGTTGGTGTATAAGAATGCTTGTGATTTTTGTACATTGATTTTGTATCCTGAGACTTTGCCGAAGTTGCTTATCAGCTTAAGGAGATTTTGGGCTGAGACAATGGGGTTTTCTAGATATACAATCATGTCGTCTGCAAACAGGGACAATTTGACTTCCTCTTTTTCTAATTGAATACCCTTTATTTCCTTCTCCTGCCTCATTGCCCTGGCCAGAACTTCCAACACTGTGTTGAATAGGAGTGGTGAGAGAGGGCATCCCTGTCTTGTGCCAGTTTTCAAAGGGAATGCTTCCAGTTTTTGCCCATTCAGTATGATATTGGCTGTGGGTTTGGCATAGACAGCTCTTATTATTTTGAAATACATCCCATCAATACCTAATTTATTGAGAGTTTTTAGCATGAAGGTTGTTGAATTTTGTCAAAGGCTTTTTCTGCATCTATTGAGATAATCATGTGGTTTTTGTCTTTGGCTCTGTTTATATGCTGAATTACATTTATTGATTTGTGTATATTGAACCAGCCTTGCATCCCAGGGATGAGGCCCACTTGATCATGGTGGATAAGCTTTTTGATGAGCTGCTGGATTTGTTTTGCCAGTATTTTATTGAGGATTTTTGCATCAATGTTCATCAAGGATATTGGTCTAAAATTCTCTTTTTTTGTTGTGTCTCTGCCTGGCTTTGGTATCAGAATGATGCTGGCCTCATAAAATGAGTTAGGGGGGATTCCCTCTTTTTCTATTGATTGGAATAGTTTCAGAAGGAATGGTACCAGTTCCTCCTTGTACCTCTGGTAGAATTCAGCTGTGAATCCGTCTGGTCCTGGACTCTATTTGGTTGGTAAGCTATTGATTATTGCCACAATTTCAGATCCTGTTATTGGTCTATTCAGAGATTCAACTTCTTCCTGGTTTAGTCTTGGGAGAGTGTATGTGTTGAGGAATTTATCCATTTCTTCTAGATTTTCTAGTTTATTTGCATAGAGGTGTCTGTAGTATTCTCTGATGGTAGTTTGTATTTCTGTGGGATCGGTGGTGATATCCCCTTTATCATTTTTTATTGCGTCTATTTGATTCTTCTCTCTTTTTTTTCTTTATTAGTCTTGCTAGCAGTCTATCTATTTTGTTGATCCTTTCAAAAAACCAGCTCCTGGATTCATTAATTTTTTGAAGTGTTTTTTGTGTCTCTATTTCCTTCAGTTCTGCTCTGATTTTAGTTATTTCTTGCCTTCTGCTAGCTTTTGAATGTGTTTGCTCTTGCTTTTCTAGTTCTTTTAATTGTGATGTTAGGGTGTCAATTTTGGATCTTTCCTGCTTTCTCTTGTGGGCATTTAGTGCTATAAATTTCCCTCTACACACTGCTTTGAATGCATCCCAGAGATTCTGGTATGTTGTGTCTTTGTTCTCGTTGGTTTCAATGAACATCTTTATTTCTGCCTTCATTTCGTTATGTACCCAGTAGTCATACAGGAGCAGGTTGTTCACTTTCCATGTAGTTGAGTGGTTTTGAGTGAGATTCTTAATCCTGAGTTCTAGTTTGATTGCACTGTGGTCTGAGAGATAGTTTGTTATAATTTCTGTTCTTTTACATTTGCTGAGGAGAGCTTTACTTCCAAGTATGTGGTCAATTTTGGAATAGGTGTGGTGTGGTGCTGAAAAAAATGTATATTCTGTTGATTTGGGGTGGAGAGTTCTGTAGATATCTATTAGGTCTGCTTGGTGCAGAGCTGAGTTCAATTCCTGGGTATCCTTGTTGACTTTCTCTCTCGTTAATCTGTCTAATGTTGACAGTGGGGTGTTAAAGTCTCCCATTATTAATGTGTGGGAGTCTAAGTCTCTTTGTAGGTCACTCAGGTCTTGCTTTATGAATCTGGGTGCTCCTGTGTTGGGTGCATATATATTTAGGATAGTTAGCTCTTCTTGTTGAATTGATCCCTTTACCATTATGTAATGGCCTTCTTTGTCTCTTTTGATCTTTGTTGGTTTAAAGTCTGTCTTATCAGAGACTAGGATTGCAACCCCTGCCTTTTTTTTGTTTTCCATTTGCTTGGTAGATTTTCCTCCATCCTTTTATTTTGAGCCTATGTGTGTCTCTGCACGTGAGATGGGTTTCCTGAATACAGCACACTGATGGGTCTTGACTCTATCCAATTTGCCAGTCTGTGTCTTTTAATTGGAGCATTTAGTCCATTTACATTTAAAGTTAATATTGTTATGTGTGAATTTGATCCTGTCATTATGATGTTAGCTGGTTATTTTGCTCTTTAGTTGATGCAGTTTCTTCCTAGTCTCGATGGTCTTTACATTGTGGCATGATTTTGCAGCGGCTGGTACCGGTTGTTCCTTTCCATGTGTAGTGCTTCCTTCAGGAGCTCTTTTAGGGCAGGCCTGGTGGTGACAAAATCTCTCAGCATTTGCTTGTCTGTAAAGTATTTTATTTCTCCTTCACTTATGAAGCTTAGTTTGGCTAGATAGGAAATTCTGGGTTGAAAATTCTTTTCTTTAAGAATGTTGAATATTGGTCCCCACTCTATTCTGGCTTGTAGGGTTTCTGCCGAGAGATCCGCTGTTAGTCTGATGGGCTTCCTTTTGAGGGTAACCGGACCTTTCTCTCTAGCTGCCCTTAACATTTTTTCCTTCATTTCAACTTTGGTGAATCTGACAATTATGTGTCTTGGAGTTGCTCTTCTCGAGGAGTATCTTTGTGGTGTTCTCTGTATTTCCTGAATCTGAACGTTGGCCTGCCTTGCTAGATTGGGGAAGTTCTCCTGTATAATATCCTGCAGAGTGTTTTCCAACTTGGTTCCATTCTCCCCAACACTTTCAGCTACACCAATCAGACATAGATTTGGTCTTTTCACATAGTCCCATATTTCTTGGAGGCTTTGCTCATTTCTTTTTATTCTCTTTTCTCTAAACTTCCCTTCTCGCTTCATTTCATTCACTTCATCTTCCATCACTGATTCCCTTTCTTCCAGTTGATTGCATCAGCTCCTGAGGCTTCTGCATTCTTCACGTAGTTCTCGAGCCTTGGTTTTCAGCTCCATCAGCTCCTTTAAGCACTTCTCTGTATTGGTTATTCTAGATATACATTCTTCTGAATTTTTTTCAGAGTTTTCAACTTCTTTGCCTTTGGTTTGAATGTCCTCCTGTAGCTCAGAGTAATTTGATCATCTGAAGCCTTCTTCTCTCAGCTCGTCAAAGTCATTCTCCGTCCAGCTTTGTTCTGTTGCTGGTGAGGAACTGCATTGCTTTGGAGGAGGAGAGCTGCTCTGCTTTTTAGAGTTTCCAGTTTTTCTGTTTGTTTTTTCCCCATCTTTGTGGTTTTATCTACTTTTGGTCTTTGATGATGGTGATGTACAGATGGGTTTGTGGTGTGGATGTCCTTTCTGTTTGTTAGTTTTCCTTCTAACAGACAGGACCCTCAGCTGCAGGTCTGTTGGAGTACCCTGCCGTGTGAGGTGTCAGTGTGCCCCTGTTGGGGGGTGCCTCCCAGTTAGGCTGCTCGGGGGTCAGGGGTCAGGCACCCACTTGAGGAGGCAGTCTGCCCCTTCTCAGATCTCCTGCTGAGTACTGGGAGAACCACTGCTCTCTTCAAAGCTGTCAGACAGGGACATTTAAGTCTGCAGAGGTTACTGCTGTCTTTTTGTTTGTCTGTGCCCTGCCCCCAGAGGTGGAGCCTACAGAGGCAGGCAGGCCTCCTTGAGCTGTGGTGGGCTCCACCCAGTTCGAGCTTCCCGGCTGCTTTGTTTACCTAAGCAAGCCCGGGCAATGGTGGGCGCCCATCCCCCAGCCTCGCGCCTCCTTGCAGTTTGATCTCAGACTGCTGTGCTAGCAATCAGCAAGACTCCGTGGGCGTAGGACCCTCCGAGCCAGGTGAGGGATATAATCTCGTGGTGCCGTTTTTTAAGCCCGTCGAAAATCGCAGTATTCGGGTGGGAGTGACCCGATTTTCCAGATGCTGTCTGTCACCCCTTTCTTTGACTAGGAAAGGGAACTCCCTGACCCCTTGCGCTTCCCGAGTGAGGCAATGCCTCACCCTGCTTCGGCTCACGCACGGTGCGCGCACCCACTGACCTGCGCCCACTGTCTGGCACTCCCTAGTGAGATGAACCCAGTACCTCAGATGGAAATGCAGAAATCACCTGTCTTCTGTGTCGCTCACACTGAGAGCTGTAGACCGGAGCTTTTCCTATTTGGCCATCTTGCGACAAAGTGATCCCAGGTATTAACTATTTTAAAAATATATATCATTATTATAAATAAGTGCTTTTCTGTTACTTTTCCTTAAAAATACTAGTAGCTATTTTTTATTGTATCAAATATCTATTTCACATTTTAAGAAGATTATATATATTTTCTAGTTTCTTTACATGTTGATGTAATGAATTGTGTTTATAGATTTCTCAACAATAATAACAGCAACAGCAATGATAATAATTTAAATATTATTTTCTGGTTTAAACTTTATTTATATGCACTGTATTATTCTTAACCTTCCATCTTATTACTTTCAGAAATATTAGATTGTTACAACATTTAGAGGCTTTATTATGCTATTTTTAGAGAAAGCATGTGCTTTGCTTTTGTGAGGCTTTCATTCATTGTCACACACACACACACACACACACACACACACCCCAGCATCTACACCTGCCCATCCATCCTGCAACTTTGCACCCAGGGAACTGCAGCCTCTTTCTTCCCCAGAGCTGAAAATTCTTGTGGGCATCAAAAGGCAAAACACTTGGAGTCAATCCACGAATGTGATTATCACTCTAACAATGTAACTACTAGAGATTTCCTGTATATAGATAATTCTTTCTTTCTTTCTTTTTTTTTTTTTTTGAGATGGAGTCTTGCTCTGTCGCCCAGGCTGGAGTGCAGTGGCGTGATCTTGGCTCACTGCAAGCACCACCTCCCGGGTTCACGCCATTCTCCTGAGTGGCTGGGACCACAGGTGCCTGCCACCACACTCCGCTAATTTTTTGTATTCTTTGTAGAGATGGGGTTTCACCCTGTTAACCAGAATGGTCTCGATCTGACCTCGTGATCTGCCGTCCTCGGCCTCCCAAAGTGCTAGGATTACAGGCGTGAGCCACCGCGCCCAGCTGACAATTCTGTCTTTACAGTGCTATAGTCAATTCTCTGCTTTTTTTAAGTATGCTTATGAATAATTTTTACCAATAATTCACTAATAGAAGCAAAATTATCTAGCTTTGGTGAAATAGCTTTATTTATAAAATAAAATTCTTCCTAAATTTCTGATTTTAAAATATACTAATTTTATAATGAAAATCCCTTCCAAATAACTTAAATGTGTCCACAATTGGTGGGTTCTTGGTCTCACTAACTTCAAGAATGAAGCCACGGACCCTCACAGTGAGTGTTACAGTTCTTAAAGGCGGCGTGTCCAGAGTTTTTTCCTTCTGATGTTTGGATGTGTTCAGAGTTTCTTCCTTCTGGTGGGTCCGTGGTCTTGCTGGCTCAGAAGTGAAGCTGTAGACCTTCGCGGGGAGTGTTACAGCTCATAAAGGCTGTGTGGACGCAAAGACTGAGCAGCAGCAAGATTTATTGCAAAGAGCTAAGAACAAAGCTTCCACACTGTGGAAGGGGACCAGAGTGGTTTGCTACTGCTGGCTCGGCAGCCTGCTTTCATTCCCTTATCTGGCCCCACCCACATCCTGCTGATTGGTCCATTTTACAGAGAGCTGATTGGTCTGTTTTACAGAGAGCTGATTGGTCCGTTTTGACAGGGTGCTGACTGGTGCATTTACAATCCCTGAGCTAGATACAAAAGTTCTCCAAGTCCCCACTAGATTAGTTAGACACAGAGTGCTGATTGGTGCATTTACAAACCTTGAGCTAGGCATAGAGTGCTGATTGGTGTATTTACAGTCCCTTAGCTAGACATAAAGGTCCTCCAAATCCCCACCAGATTAGCTAGATACAGAGTGTAGATTGGTGCATCCACAAACCCTGAGCTAGACGCAGGGTGCTGATTGGTGTGTTTACAAACCTTGAGCTAGATACAGAGTGCTGATTGGTGCATTTACAATCCCTTAGCTAGACATAAATGTTTCTCCAAGTCCCCACTAGACTCAGGAGCCCAGCTGGCTTCACCCAGTGGATCCCACAGGGAGGTCGCAGGTGGAGCTGCCTGCCAGTCCCGCACCTTGCGCCTGCACTCCTCAGCCCTTGGGCGGTCCATGGGACCAGCGCTGTGGAGCAGGGGGAGGTTCTCATCGGGGAGGCTAGGGCCGCGCACAAGCCCACGGCGGGTGGGGGATGCTCAGGCATGGCAGGCTGCAGGTCCCGAGCCCTGCCCCTTGGGGAGGTGGCTAAGGCCCGGCGAGAAATCGAGTGCAGCGCCAGTGGGCCAAGACTGCTGGGGGACCCGGTGCACCCTCCGCAGCTGCTGGGCTGGGTGCTAAGCCCCTCACTGCTCAGGCTGGCAGGGCCAGCTGGCCACTCTGAGTATGGGGCCTGCTAAGCCCACACCCACCCAGAACTCTAGCTGACCGCCGCGGTTCCCACCCTTGCCTCTCCCTTCACATCTCCCCGCAGGCTGAGGGAGCCGGCTCTGGCCTCGGCCATCCTAGGAAGTGGATCCCACAGTGCAGCGGTGGGCTGAAGGGCTCCTCAAGTGCGGCCAGAGTGGGTGCCGAGGCCGAGGAGGTGCCAAGAGCAAGCGAGGGCTGCGAGGGCTGCCAGCACACTGTCAACTCTCATTAATATAATTACTATTTAATTTGAAAAGCACATACATTAGCTAACTACAAAACAAGTATTATAAAATGTATGCATTTGGTGAAGGGAATAAATTATTAATGCTAGAGGAAAATTATGGCAATATGACAAAAAGGAAAGGTAGAAAATAATTTTAAGTTAAGTCTGTTTCATTTAACTACCTTGCTCCTTATAAAAAAAATTCCAACTCACAAACACTGTTTTTATAGTTATAGTTTAGTCCTCTGTTGCTGAAATGACTAGGGAAAACTCACAGATAGAATGATTAAACCCAATTTCAGTTTATGATCTTGAGACATTAGCTCACCCTTAATGCCTTCAGGCAACCACACTAGGAGTCCCTGATCCACTTACAGTTGATTCTTTCTTTTCTCTCACAAACTATTTCTCACCCTTTTTTTTTTCCTGTGATTTAAGCCTAATACCTCTATCTATCTTCATTCTCCTTTGATGCCCTTGCTTTCTGCTTCACTGTAAACTTAACTGAAAACAGGGGAAGAGCAATCAAACTCCTCCCGCAACATCATCCCCCATCCACCACCTGGACCCAGCCCCCATCATCTCTCTCATGAATTCCTGTAAAGGTCTTCCTAACTGCAAGCTTCTCTAACTTGTTCTCCCAAGTATGCCAACTGGTATGTTAGGGAACTAACCTAACTACTGTATCAGAACAGTCTCATTAGGTGGTCCTATGTCATACAGAGATTCAGTTCTGAATAGAGCATGGTACCATCTACTGGGATATTGGCACACATCAGGTGCAGGAAGGACTGGATTTCTGTTTTGTCTCTACAAACAGAAAGAGAATAGCAGATGTCCCTAGGGCCAGATGCAAGAAGCAAGCATGCATACAGACTGTTAACTTTAAGATACTCGCCCTTGAGAGTCTCATTTGGCTTCTTGTCTTCTCAGTAAGGTTTTGGCAGTTTATAATCAATGACCCTAGAACTGTAAACTTTCCAGATGTGTCCGAGTTCCTCATATATTGACACTTGAGCATGTGCCAAACCTATATCTGTCTTTCCTAGCTATCCAGCATCCATAAATCAAAATCTTAAATACTTGCTGTATAGCAGATAGAGAAAATGTGCTCCTTAGTTTTACATATCCAAATCATCAAGATGACTAAAAAACGTAGGTCTTCTACTAAGATAAGGAAATGGATATATTGTGGAAGAAAATGTACTTTATTGTAATTGGATTTAACAAAGAAAACAAAGACCATAGTTCCTTAAGCTAGTAATTCATTCTAATTTTGTTTATATACATATATTTCCACAAAACCATGAAGCACTTTGAGCTGACCAATGCCAGTTTTTTTTTTACTTTACATTGAACCAAACTATTAGACATTCTTGTATTTTAAACATGATTAATACTGCCTTCATAAAACTATCAATGTAATTCACCATATAGTATATTTAAACTCTCGTTATTCAAATCACTTTTTTATATGAGCACCCTGCTGTGACATTATCAACATAAGGTAGGCTTTAAAAAAATAATAACTTAATTCTTTTTTAGCCACAGTTTATGACAGAAAAGAAAGGAAATAGAGGCATTGATCATGCTTTAATTGGTTGGCACATTCCCTTTGATTGCCATTTCTCAAGGTGATGAAAATGCCCTTTCCTTTTTGCTGATCTGTCAATATACTTTTTGAATGTTGCAAATTGCTCAAAGGAATTTGACATCTAAGAAGATGATGAAAAGTTATCTTTCAACTAGATGTAATGTTCTTACAATTCTGAAGAACCGAGCATTTCAAATACGTGCTTAAATACCTAAGCCTGGCATCCGTATCACAGCCACCTCTGAATTCAGGAATACTTTGGGCCACAAATCCCTATAGTCTATGTATATTCTATTCTTGATTGCTTTTTTTTTTCAATTTCTCTGTCTTTCTCTGATTTCTCTCGTTCTCTCTCTGTGTGTGTCTGTCTCTTTGACTTTCTTTTTTCAGTTAACCCTACTACTAAAGGCTTAAGTAGCCTTCACACTTTAAAAAATTTGCCCATATATACAGTCTACCTGGAAAAATTGTAAAATGCACCTGCTTGTTCTGATGGCTAAGGGCCCACCTCTGGACTCCTCATTTCATCCTGTCTCTCCTAGGCCCTCTTACTAGGACTGGTTTCCAAAGTTGAGATTTGCTTCTTTATATTTAGGTCTTGGTTACGTACTCCATCCAAATTTAGTTTTCCTTTCAATCCTAGATTTTGTTTCCTGGGTTAATTTTGGCACCATGATCTGCAGCTTGTCCTTCCCTAGTTCCTGTCCCTTATCTTCTTGACTTTTCCTTAAAAGAAAAGAGTATGGAGAAAAAAATGAAAGAAAATAAAATGAAACTTAAGGTAACAGCTTCTTTCTGTGTGTGCTGCCATAGAAAGGAAGGTAGATGTCAGATTGTGTAAAACCTTCACTGCCAAAATGTATAACCAAAGAAGTCTATTAAAACTTTTGTAATTAAGGCAGTGAAATTTTGAAAATGATATTTCTTGAAGCTTAATTTGACAAAAATGTACAAGAGGGATTAAAGGAAGATAATGCAGTTAGGAGGCGGGGCGATGTGTAAGTGTGCTTCATAACCGAGTGGAATCAGGAAGATGGAATTTCTTGTCCCCTATTTGGGTAAATGTATTGAATATCCTAAGCACAATGCACTAGGAAAAAGTGCTTTGATTTGCAAGTAATTATTGAATTTTCCTCAAGTTCATTTGTCTTGACTTATAGTTCTATATTTGCAAGACAGTGATTATTTCTTGAGAATTGTT
The DNA here is from genome assembly GCF_000001405.40 of Homo sapiens. Lineage (NCBI taxonomy): Eukaryota > Metazoa > Chordata > Mammalia > Primates > Hominidae > Homo > Homo sapiens. Next base: position 77,587,515 of record NC_000002.12, on the reverse strand, counting down.
TCCCAGGATTCTATTAGCATATGTGTGCTTACAGCTCCTTGAATTTTCCACTCCTATGAGCATGGACATATATTTTGATAACCACACCACATGCAAATAAATTCTGTCCCCCCTTGAAATTATTTTATGGAGCTCAAATAATTAGAAAATGATTTCTGTTTAAGACTTACATGTATGTTCTTTACCTTGCTGTGAATTATACATCGCTATTAAATTTAGAAAGTTAAAAAAACTACTGCAAATCAAAAAGAGCAGTAAATTTGATTTCAGAGTGTACATATGAAACATAATCAATTCTTTTTTCTACATCTTTGCTCAATGCAATAAAATAGGAAAAAAATGAACTTCGAGAGAAAGGCCAATATTTTAGTTTTCTATATAACTACTAAATTTAGTATATTTTAGAAAATATAAATACCAAGTGCAAAACATATTTCATTAACCGACATAGTGTCAGAGGATATATTTCAGAATTATAATAGCTTAATATGGAAGTGTTATATATTCTTACCACATGTTAGCTAGAGTTGTGGACTTGTGGCTTGCTATCTTGCAGAACTATTTGGTAATAAAGTATGTAATTTCCAAATAGGAATGGAGTGAGAAAGACACTGAAAAATTATTAATATCAACATTTTGTTTTATAAGAGGCAAAATAAGAATGAAAGAAGTTAATTTATTTACTCAGTGTCTCCTGAGCTTGACATAACTGAACTAGGACTAGAGCTAAGGTTTCCCAACTGAACTCTTTCCAAATTTTACTCAAGGTAGTCTTCCTTTAATTCTGGATGGCATTCCTTATGTCTTTCCTGTGAAAATTCAGATATGTTTTTTAAGGTTTAAATATGACACCAGAATACAAGTTTCGGCAATCCCTATGCACAGATATTACCTTGAAAAAGGCACAAATATTTTCTTCTCCAATACTGGTGATGTGTTCTTTTGAGCACCTCACTAGCATGTGTATGCATATGCACACAATATTTCCATATTTCAAGTAGCACTTTTAAGTGTATGATTATATAAGTATAAACAATTTTGCTCTACACATTTGACTCTAATTACAAAAAAACTTGGCTCATTTTTCCTAGTGAAAGTAAAGAAAATTAGAAGAAACCCTTATATTTAATTCAAATAACAAAACAAAATACTGTTTAGCAACATTATAATAATAATAATAATAATAATAATTATTATTATTATTATTTTTTTTTTGAGATGGAGTTTTGCTCTTTTGCCCAGGCTGGAGTGCAATGGCGCTATCTCAGCTCACTGCAACCTCTGCCTCCCCGGGTTCAAGAGATTCTCCTGCCTCAGCCTTCCGAGTCGCTGGGATTACAGGCGCACGCTGCCACGCCCGGCTAATTTTTGTATTTTTAGTAGAAACGGTGTTTTGCCATGTTGGCCAGGCTGGTCTCGAGTGTCTGACCTCCTGTGATCAATCCACCTCGGCCCCCCAAAGTACTGGGATTACAGGCGTGAGCCACTGCGCTCAGCCAACATAATTATTTTTTAAAATAAAGTAATGGAGGTTAATTTTTTTAATGTAAAATTTTTAAATAGGAAAATATAACCATGTTTTTCAGTTTCACATGAAAAGTGTTATCTATTCTAATGCTAACATACAATTTATAATGTGAAAAAATGTTTTCTAAACTAAATAAATATAATGTTAGCAGGAGTGGATATCATCACTAAATCTATGTAAGCTTCTATAAGCGCATGAAAAATACAACAGTTAGAAAATAAAAACACTAATACAACTAGCATTTTAACCATCCAGTCATGTGACAGCAACATAATCTTACACACTAGATTTTGAGGAGAGAGGTGACACCGCCCAACATTTTACGTTGTTGAATTTGGCAGTAAATGTTATTGGGGAGGCTAATATCCAAATATTTATCTAAACTCTCTCTTAAAATGATTTTTTCCATGCCGAATTTTAATTTTAGTATCATTTTTTAAGAGATGGGTCTTGCTATGTTGGCCAGGGTGGTCTCAAACTCCTGGCCTCAAGCAGTTCCACTGCCTCAGCCTGCCAAAGTGCTGGGATTACAGGCACGAGCCACCACACACCTGGTTAATGTCAAACATTTTTTGTTTTTTTTTTTTTTAGCCAGAGCCTTGCTCTGTCACCCAGGCTGGAGTATAGTGGCATGATCTCAGCTCACTGCAACCTCTGCCTCCCAGGTTCAAGCAATTCTTGTGCCTCAGCCTCCTGAGTAGCTGGGATTACAGGCGAGCGCCTGCATGCCCAGCTAATTTTTGTATCTTTAGTAAAGACGGGATTTCGCCATGTTGGCCAGGCTGGTCTTGAACTCCTGTGAACTCAAGTGATCCATCCGCCTCTACCTCCCAAGGTGCTGGGATTACAGGCGTGAGCCACCGCACCTGGCCAAAACTTTTAAAATACCTTCTACATCCTCATAACTCCCATATTAAAATGTTCACCTGGGATTTCTTTTTTTGTTTGTTTTCACTCTGAGCTCGTATATGTAAACGGATATTTCATATCTTCACTTGGATATCTAATTCAAGGACGAACAGACTTTTTCTGAAAAGAACAAATAGTAAGTATTTTAGGCTTTGTGGGTCATATTGAGCCTCTTCACATGTTCTTCTTCAATTTTTTACCACCCTTTAAAAATGGTTCACATGGAATATAGAAGCGGGCTATAATTTTCTGACTCCTGATCGAATCCACTTCTGTCCTACAGAATTATAAGGTGAACCACAGATGTAATTTTAAATTTTCTAGTGATTAATTTTAAAATTTTACTTAATCTGATACATCCAAAATATTGTTCTGTTGACTTGTAATTCAATATAAAATTAAATATAATTATATTCAATATAAATTATTGAGATATTTAAGATATTTTACATTATTTTGTTTCTACACTGTTTTCAAAACCCAGTGTGTATTTTTCTCTTACTATTATCTTTATTTTAGTCATTCGTATTTTGAGTGCTCAATAGCTACATGTGGTTAATGGCTACTGTATCGGACAGCATAGGTTTAATCATCTAAAACTTAACTGTGTTCAAAATGGAACTCTTGATTTTTTTCCATATGTTTGACTTATAGTCTCCTTTGACTCAATAAAATATGATCCTTCCACTTTCATAAGCCACAACATGAAGGTATAATATTAATCTCACCTTTAGTATTAATCCAGTATCAAGTTCTACTGATTCTGCCTCCAAATAGAAAGCTAGACTCACCCAACATGACTGCATTTCTCCAGTCTCTCTTCCAAGATCCTGCCAACACTCATCTAGACCTCTACAATGGCCATACTTCTACATCTGTTCTCTCTAATTTTTCCCACTGTAATTCTGTTACTTATATCTACATCATACTAGGTCACTCTTCCACTTCAAACTTGAAAGTAGCTCCCAGATTTTTTTTTTGAATCTTTAAGCTTTTCTTTATACCTGATCATGTTACAGAAACATGATGATTCATGATTTAACCTTTTCTACATATGTGATCATGTCACAGAGATAATTGTACTTCTTTCTTTCTAATTTGGATTCTTTGCTTTTCTTTTTTCTTGTCTACTTGCTCTAGCTAGGACTACCAGACTTCTACAGAAGTTCTATGTTGAATAGAAGTGGGTGGCAAGACTGGATATCCTTACTTTGTACTGGTTCTTAGAGAAAAAACTTTAAGTTTTTTACCATTGATTATTGTGGATATTAGCTGTGAGATTTTTAAATATGGCATTTATTGTGTTAAGTTTCTTTCTGTATCCATTTTTTGAGACTTTTTATCATGAAAGAGTGTGGAATGTTGTCAAATGCTTTTTTTTTGGCATCTCTGGAGATGATTATGTGGTGTTTATCTTTCATTTTGTTAATGTAGTGTATAACATTGATTGATTAGAATATATTGAATTATCATTTCATGTCAGGGATAAATCCCAGTTGGTCATGGTGAATAATCAGTTTAATGTGATGATAATTCTGTTTGCTAAAAGTATTAAAGATTTTTGCATCTATGTTCATTAGGAATACTGACCTATAGTTGTCTCTTCTTTTATTGTCTATATTTGGCTTTGATATCAGGGTGATTGTGGTCTCCAGGAATGAATTTGGAAGTGTTCCCTTTTATATATATATATTTTAAAAGTTTAAGAAGAACTGGTATTAATTTTTTGCATGTTCAATCGAATTCACTTGGGAAGCCATCTGATCCTGGGTATTGCTTTGTGGGGAGGTTTTGATTACTTGTTTTAATCTCTTTATTTGTTATTGGTCTGTCCAGGTTTTCTACTTCTTTTTGATTCAGTATTAGTAGGTTTATGATGAGAACTGTATTCTTTTCTTCTAGGTTTCCAGTGTGTTGTCTTATAATTATTTATAATAGTCCCTTGATTAGTCTTTTAAATAAACAAATGCAGTAAAGTTGCAGGATGTGAAATCAATAAACAAAAATTGGTGGCACTTGTATACACTAACAATGAAATATATGGAAAGTAAATTAAATAAACAATGAATTTACAAAGTTTAGCAACATAAGTAATAAAATTCATAGGAATAAATTTAATGAAAGGTTTGTACACTTAAAACTATAAAGCATTGATGAAGGAAATTAAAGAAGACACAGAAAATGGAAATCCATCCTTTGTTAATGGGCCGGAAGAATTAATATTGGTAAAATATTCTTACTATCTAAAGTGATGCATGCTTTACTGAAATAAAAAAATACAATCTTAAAAGTTGTATCACACTATTAACACCCTAAAATACCAAGCAATTATGAGCAGAACAAAGATAGAGGCTTCACACTTTCTGAATTCAAAGTATGTTACAAAACTATTTTAATTAAAACAATATGGTATGGGCATAAGAATAAGAATAAGACTAATGGAAATGAATACAGAGCCCAGAAATTAATCCACACAGTTATCTTCAACTGTTCTTCATGTGCCATGAGCACAGAGTGGGAAAAGAATGGCCTCTTCAATATAAGGAATCAGGAAAACTTGATATTCACATGCAAGAAAATAAAATTGGACCCTTACATCATGCCATATACAAAAATTAACCCAAAGTGGCTTAAAAATGTAAATATAAGACCTCAAACTATGAAACTGCTAGAAGAAAACATAGGGTAAATCCTTCTTGACATTGGTCTTGGCAATAGTTTTTTGGCCTTTACACCAAAAGTGCAGACAACAAAAGCAAAAATATACAACTGAAATTGTATAAAATTAAAACCCTCTGCATAGTGAAAGAAACATTCAACAGAGTAAGAAGGTAATCTACAAAATGGGAGAAAATATTTGCAAAACATATATAAGGGGTTAATACACAAAAATGTTTAAGGGATTTATGTGGCTCAATAGCAAAAAAAAATTAATCTCATTTAAAAATGTGTAAAGAACCTAAATGAACATTTCTCAAAAGAAGATTTACAAATGGTACAAAAGTACATAAAAAGATGCTCACATCAGTAATCATAAAGGAAATACAAATCAAAACTGCAATGAGATATCACCTCATATCTGTTAAAATGGCTATCACCAAAAGGACAAAGATAAATGTTGGCAGTGATATAGAAAAATGGGAACCCTTGTACATTGTCTATAAAAATGTAGATTGGTACAGCCATCATGGAAAATAGCATGAAGCTTCCTCAACAAATTTAAAATACAACTACCATATGATCTGGCAATCCCACTTCTGTGTGTATATCCAAAGAAAATGAAATCAGTATCTTGAAGAATTATCTTCACTACCATGTTTATTTCAGCATTATTCACAATAGCCAAGATACAGAAATAAGCTTACTGTGTGCCTGCAGAAGAATGCATAAAGAAAATTACACAGAAACACACACACACACACACACAAATGGAATTTACATCCTTAAAAGAGAAGGAAATCTTGCCATTTACAACAGTATGAATGATCTTGAAAGACGTTATGCTAAGTGAAATAAGACAGATATACAAAGACAAATACTGCATGATCTCACTTATATTTGGAATCTAAAAAAGTAATAAAATAGAGTAGAAGAGTGGTTATCAGAAGTTGGGGGTTGGGGCTAATGGGAAAATATTGGTTAAATGGTGAGAAGTTTCAGTTATACAAGATAAATTGAGGTAGGTGGCAGGACTAGACTCTGGAGTTGGGGCTCAAACTCCAGACCAAATTGAAGACTAGCTGAAATGGAAGAGGTGAAAGCACCTCTTGCCAACCTCATGCCAACCAGTGCCATATCAGTTTACAATTGCCATGGCAACACCCAGAAGTTACCACTCCTTTCCATGGTAACAACCTGGAAATATCAAACTGTGCCTAGAAAATTCTGAATAAACTGTGCCTTAATTTTCATGTAATTAAAAGTGTATATAAATATGAGTGCAGTATTTCCCTTGAGCTGCTACTCTGGGCACACTGACTATGGAGTAGCCCTGCTCTGCAAGAAGCAGTACCTCTGCTACTGCTGCACACTCCTGCTTCAATACAAGTTGCTGTTTAACACCATTGGCTCACCCTTGAATATTTTCCTGAGTAAAGTCAAGAACCCTCCCAGGCCAAGCCCTGATTTTGGGGCTCATCTGTCCTGCATCAAAATGAGTTCTGGAGATTCAATATGCAGCATGTCTGCAGTTAGCAATACTGTATTGTATACTTAAAATTTGTTCAGAGAGTAAATCTTCCTCACCAACATGAATACATAAATAAATAAACGTAACTGTGTGAGGAGACAGAAATGTTAATTAGCTTGTGTGTGGTAATCATTTCACAATGTATACATATATCGAAATATCATGTTGTATAACTTAATATATATACAATTTTTATTTGTTAATTATACCTGAATAAACCTGGAAAAAAACCTGAGGCTTAGTCCCATCACCTTTAAAATTCTCCCTCCTTGTCATAGCATACAAGTTCATATTTAATGTGAATTTCTTCTCTTGTCAGTCATTCTACACCATAAATTATTGTGAGCATAAATTGATTTAGTGAATATTGATAAGCTCTTACATTTTTTAAGGTCTGTATTAATGTAATTTTTTATTTATCCATAAATAAAGGAAGTGTCTTCCTTCTGGATTTCTGCTGAAGGCGAAGTGTTAGTGTAAGTACACTTAATGGAATTATTTGAGAGGTGACCTGATAAATAAAAAAAAACAAGAACATGGAATAATATAATTAATAACAATAATCTTAATAAATATTTTATGAGAAGGGAAGCAATTGAGGAAGATTTTGTCAATATATTTTTTAATGATATTGGCTGAATAAATTCCTCAACACATAAAAAACACTAATAGGAAACATCTGATTATCCATAGCACTTTTTCTCTTTCTCTAAAATTTTGCTACTGCTTCAGTACTGGAGACTGTGTGAGCAGGTGGGGCCCAAGCACATTTTTCTTCTAACCTATAAAAAAGTATTTTTTACAGGGAAGGAAGAATGAATAGAATGAGTTGAATATCCACTTTCTTTGATGGCCTTGAGAAGTTTTAAAGTAATGATTTAGAGTATTTCTCATTACATTAATATAAGTATGAAAATTTAAATATAATTTAATATCAACTTACATAAATATTACAATAATACAGTAAAATCTACATGTCACTCAAAGGAAGTATAAAGGAAATAACCTGAAGTGTTCAGTGAGTTTAAACTTTTAAAAAATAATCTCAGATATAGGTTAAAGACTTTCTTTTTTGTCTCTTTGTTTCTTGGGTTTTTTTTTGTGTGTTTGAGACACTATTTTGTACTGTTATCCAGCATGGGGTAGAGTGGCACAATTGTAGCTGACTGCAGCCTTGAACTCCTGAGTTCAAGATTCTCTTGCTTCAGCTTCCCAAATAGCTTAATCTAAAATGTACATCATCACACCAACTATTAAAAAAAAATTGTAGAGATGGGGTCTTGCTGTATTGCCCAGGTTGGTCTCAAAATTCTGGCCTCGTGGGAGCCTCTGGTGTCTGCCTCCCAAAGTGCTGGGATTACAGGAATGAGCCAGCATACCCCCCGGTTGTTTTTTTGTTTGTTTGTTTTTGTTTTTTGTTTTTGGTTGTCGTTGCTGTTGTTTTGTGCAGCAGTTCAATCATAACTCACTGCAGCCTTGAACTCTTGAACTCAAGGGATCCCCCAGCCTCAGCTCCTTTGTAGCTGGGACTACAGACACACACCACCACACTCAGCAAAGACAGAGCTTCTTATTACTTTACTTATGTAATTTATGTAGCCTCATTAAATCAAAGTTTTCTGACTCTCAGTCACAAGGCTTCAAAAGCCAGTTAATAATAAGCCTATTCAAGCTCCTTCTTCCACAAACATAATGCATGCACTGCAAAGAATGCATAATCTTTGGTTAATATTTCCTAAATTTGTAGAAGTTGGGCAAAACCATTTCACTATGATTTAATTTTAAGAGGGCATCAAAAATATGTTTTCAAATCTTAATGTCTGACAGGAGTTTGAAAACAAAACAAGTTTTTCATATGTTATAAGAATAATTATGTTATATTATGGACTACTCTCATATCCTGGAGGAAAAAATTAAATTATTAGAAAAATAATTATGTTCTGTCAAATATTTTAACGGTAATATTGTAAAATACAGCTTCATTAGAGTTAGCCTGGCTCTGCAGTTGCTCTTTTATCACAACAGAATCACTAAGGGATTCTACTGTAGTATGCACAGGTCCTAGTTAATTTAATTAACATAGAGTCCTAAATGCTATAAATGGTCAACCTGTCTTTCTTCTTATTAATGATTTTTTCCTTGATGGTTATTTTACACATTTAATAACTACTCACAAGTTTGAAAATAACAGGAAGAAGATGTTAATTCTATGCAATAAAAAGTGTCTTACTCAGGAAGTCAACAGGGTTAAGGGTCAAAGGTGATGAAGAGTCAGCATAAACAGAAAAGTGATAGTAAAGTTTCAGTTTACAGACATTCTATTTTAAATTCAAGCATGTCACAAGTTAATGCCAGCACAATAACATGCTTCTCCTACTCAGAAGGAAAAGAAATAAAAGAAGATTGTGTGAAATTTGGCTTGGCATTTATTGGCATGCTAACCAAACATTTTAAAGATGAAGCAATCCTGTGGTGAGATTTAGAAAACTCCAAGGTAGTCAGTAATTTTCCAGGATAAATACTTGATGAAATATGCACTTCTTAGAATTCAACTCTATCCCTTAGGTTTAATACATCTTTCACATTTCTAGTGTTTTATAGTTTAAAATTTGCTGATGTCTTTTACCGCATAGGTATTGTGGCTCAGAAAAGTAGATTGAATGATATCACCCTGGGTTTAAGAGTAGAAGCTTCTAACATAAACTCTTCGGACTCTAATATCCTTTTTGACTGCACAGTATAATTCTGCCCAGTAATTCCAGTTAAAACCTTTGATGACTCTTTTGTGATAAACTCTGATATTATTTAGTTTTGAATTTTATTGTCTCTCAGTAATTTTGTTAATGGTAATCCTCATGCAATGGTGTAATTTACTAAATCAACTATAATTAATTTTGTCTCTTTCTAGTGCTCCTACCAAATTTGGATACAAGTATAAATTTTCAAATTGTAAAAATGTGCTATGTTATTTTTTCTTTATCTACTATTTTCAAACAGCATTATCAAAATATAACTTAAAAACAATATAATTTGCCCATTTGAATTATACAATTCAATGGAATTAATAATTTACCCGTTTAAAGTATACAACGAACTTTAGTATATTGACATATATTTGCCCTCATCACCACAATCAATTTTATTTTATAAGTCAATAAACTTTTCTCTTAGATTTAGGGGTTACATGTGCAGGTTTCTTATGAGAGTATATTGTGTGATGCTGAAGTTTGGGGTACAATTGATCCCATCACCCAGATAACTGAGCAGAGTACCCAGAAGTTAGTTTTTCAACTTTTGCCTACCCCTACATTCCCCTCTTATAGTCTCCAGTTTGTATCATTGCCATCTTTGTGTCCATGAGTAACCATTGTTTAGCTTCCACTTATAAGTGAGAACATTCAGTATTTGGTTTTCTGTTCCTGTGTTAATTTGCTTAGAGTAATGGCATCCAGCTGCATCCATGTTGCTGGAAAGCATATGATTTTATTCCTTTTTATGGGCACACAATATTCCATGGTGCATATATATATATATATATATATATATATATATATATATATATATGCGCCGCATTTTCTTTATCCAATCCACCACTGATGGACACCTAAGTTGATTCCATGTCTTCCCTGTTGTGAATACTGCTGTGATAAACATGCAAGTGCATATGTCTTTTTGGTAGAACAATGTATTTGCTTTTGAATATATACCCAGTCATGGGATTGCTGGGTCAAATAATAGTTTACCTCATAGTGTTTGAGAAATCGCCAAACTGTTTTCCACAGTGACTGAACTAAATTACATTCCCACGGGCAGTGCATAAGTATCCTTTCCAACACATCCTTGCCAGTATCTGTTGTTTTTTTGGCTTTTTAATAATAGCCATTCTGTCTGGTGTGAAATGGCATCTCATGGTTTTGATTTGCATTTCTCTGATGATTAGTGATGATGAGCATTTTTTCTCATATTTGTTGGCCATTTGTATGTCTTCTTTTGAGAAATGTCTGTTCAGGTTACTTTTTAATTGGGTTCTTCGCATTTTTCTGGTTGATTTGTTTAAGTTCCTTACAGATTGTTGATATTAAATCTTTGTCAGATGCATAGGTTGAAAATGTTTTATCCCATTCAGTAGGTTGTCTTTTTACACTGCTGAGGATTCCTTTTGCTGTAAAGAAGTTCCGTAGTTCGATTAGGTCACACTTGTCAATTTATGTTTTTGTTGCAATTGCTTTTGGGGACTTAGTCATAAATTATTTCCCAAGACTAAAGTCCAGAATGATATTTCCAAGGTTTTTTATGGGATTCTTAAAGTTTATGGTCTTATATTTAAACCTTTAATCCATCTTGAGTTGATTTTTGTATATGGTAAGAGGGAGGGGGGTCCAGTTTCAATCTTCTGCATATGGCTAGCCAGTTGTCCCAGCACCATTTATTCAATAGGAAGTCTTTTTTCCATTGCATTTTCTTGTCCGCTTTGTCAAAGATCTGATAACTCTAGGTGTATGGCTTTTTTTCTGAGCTATTTCATTCCATTGGTCTTGTGTCTGTTTTTGTACCAATAGAATGCTGTTTTGGTTACTATGGCCTTATAGTATAGTTTGAAGTTGGGTAATGCGATGCATCAGGCTTTTTTTTTTTTTTTTTTTTTTTTTTGCTTAGGATTGCTTTGGTTATTTGGGCTTGTTTTTCATTTCATATTAATTTTAAAATAGATTTTATTACTTCTGTGAAAAATGACATTGGCAGTTTGCTAGGAGTAGCACTGAATCTATAGATTGCTTTGGGCAATATGGTCATTTTAACAATATTGATCCTTCCAATCCAGAAGCGTGGAATGTTTTTTTCCATTTACTTATACTCCATGATTTCTTTCAGCAATGTTTTGTAGTTCTTGTAGAGATATTTTATTTCCTCGGTTAGATGTATTCCTAGGTACTTTTGTGTATGTGTGGCTACAGTAAATGGGATTGTGTTCTTGATTTGGCTCTCAGGTTGAACATTATCAGCGTATAGAAATGCTACTGACTTCTATACATAGATTATGTACCCTGAAACATTGCTGAAGTCTGAGGTTGTTTGTCAGTTCCAAGAGCCTTTCAGTGGAATCTTTAGAGTTTTGTAGATACAGAATAATATTGTCAGCAAAGAGAGATAGTTTGACTTCTTCTTTTTATATTTGGATGCCTTTTATTTCTTTCTCTTGACTGATTGCTCTGCCTAGAACTTCCAACACAGTCAATTTTAGAGCATTTTCATCAACTTCAAAAGCAAATTCTGTACGCATTATCTATCACCCCTTTACCTCCCCATTCCTCCCCAGCCCTAAGCAAACAATAATCTTCTTGTGGTCTCCATGGCCAGAAATGCCTATTCTGGGCATTTTGTATAAATGGAATTGTGTAATACGTGACTTTCTGTGACTGTCTTCTGACTAGCTTATCAGATATATGATCCACAAATATTTTCTCCCATTCTGTGGCTTTATTTTCACTTTCTTTATAGTGTCCTTTGAAACATGAATGTTGATAATTTTGATGAAGTCCAACATATCTGTTTTTTTTGTTTCCCATGCTTTTGATTTCATAAGTAAGAATCTATTATCAAATCCAACATCATGAAGGTTTCTCCCTATATATTTTTAATAGGTTCATCATTTAACTCTTCTATTTATGTCCTTAATCCACTTTGAGTGAGTTTTTATATATGGTGTAACATAAAATTAACACTTCAGTCTTTTTCATGTGACTATCTGACCAGAACCACCATTTAAACATGTCTTTCCTATGGAAGGGCTTGGCACCCTTGTTGGAAGTCAGTTGACTGTAGACACATGATTGTATTTCTGGATTCTTAATTTTATTTTATTGATGTTTAAATGTATGTTTATGCTAGTACTACATTGTCTTGATTACTAATGCTTTATAAAAAGTTTTCAATTCTGGAAGTGTAACCCCATCTACTTTGTTTTTCTTTTTTAAGATTGTTTAGCTATATTGGGTCAGTAGCAATTCCATATAAGTATTAGAATCAGCATTTCAATTTCTACATATAAGATAGCTGAGATTCTAATAAGGATTGTTTCAGATCCGTAAATCAATTTGGAGTTATTGCCATCTTAATGATATTAAGTCTTCTGGTCCATCAACATGGGATCTCTTACTATTTATTTAGTTTTGCAGTTCTTTTGTTAAATTTACTTTAAAGGATTTTTTTGGTGCTTTTTAAAATGGAAATGCTTTCTTAATATCATTTTTTGGCTTGGACGTTACTACAAGACAGAATAGACTAGATTTTCATACACCAGTTGCTATAGTCTGAATGATTATATCCCTCAAAAATTAATATGTTGAAACCTATCCCCAAGGTGATGGTATTAGGAGATGGGAACCTTTAGAAGGTGATTAGGTCATGGGGGCAGAGCCGTCATGAATTGGATCTGTGCCCCTATAAAGAGGCCCAAGAAATACTCATACTCCCTTCTACCACGTAAGGACACAGCAATCAGCCACTATCTATTAAGCAAAAACTGGGCCATCACCAAGAGGCAAATCTGCCAGTGCCTTGATTTTGGACTTCTCAGACTCCATTATATATTATGAATATAGATTCAAAAATTTGGGAAGAAAAATTTTACAAAATACCACAAACTCGGTGACTTAAAGAAATAAATTTATTTCTTCACAGTATAAATTTATTTCTTTAAGTCACCGAGTTTGTGGTATTTTGTTACAGTAGCTCCCACAGATTAAATCACCGATCTTGAACCTGACAACCTTGCTGAATTCCTTTATTATTTTAGAAGTTTTGTTTGTTTTTAGTGAGTTCCTTTGGAGTTTGTAAAATGTTCATGATCATGTTATTTGAAAATGAAGATAGTTATACTTCACCCTTTCCACTCTGGGTGCCTTTTATTTCTTTTTCTTTCCTAATTGTCGCTGCTGGAACCAAACCTGCAGTTCAATATTGAATAGATGTGTCAAGAAAAGATGTCTCTCATTGTGGTTTTGATTTGCATTTCTCTGATGGCCAGTGATGATGAGCATTTTTTCATGTGTCTTTTGGCTGCATAACCACAATGAGATACCATCTCACACCAGTTAGAATGGCAATCATTAAAAAGTCAGGAAACAACAGGTGCTGGAGAGGATGTGGAGAAATAGGAACACTTTTACACTGTTGGTGGGACTGTAAACTAGTTCAACCATTGTGGAAGTCAGTGTGGCGATTCCTCAGGGATCTAGGACTAGAAATACCATTTGACCCAGCCATCCCATTACTGGGTATATACCCAAAGGACTATAAATCATGCTGCTAAAAAGACGCATGCACATGTATGTTTATTGCGGCATTATTCACAATAGCAAAGACTTGGAACCAACCCAAATGTCCAACAATGATAGACTGGATTAAGAAAATGTGGCACATATACACCATGGAATACTATGCAGCCATAAAAAATGATGAGTTCATGTCCTTTGTAGGGACATGGATGAAGCTGGAAACCATCATTCTCAGCAAACCATCGCAAGGACAAAAAACCAAACAACGCATGTTCTCACTCATAGGTGGGAACTAAACAATGAGAACACATGGACACAGGAAGGGGAACATCACACACCAGGTCCTGTTGTGGGGTGGGGGGAGGGGGGAGGTATAGCACTGGGAGACACACCTAATGTTAAATGACGAGTTAATGGGTGCAGCACACCAACATGGCACATGTTCTGCATGATGTTTTTTCTGTAAATATAAAACTATCCTAAAGAATAAACTCTATTAAACCTTGGGAAAAAAACATTAAAAAACTCAAGAGATGAGAAAGTAATGAAGCAGGACTCCCAACAAATCTTAATGCCATAAGGCAAAGTTTTTTTTATTTTTAACTTCATTTTTGTCTTAAAGATACCTAGAAAATACTAGTAAAAATTTTAATCATAATGATGTATAATGATAATAGCTCAGTACATTTTCAAAAACTATAAAAGCCTTACCTTCAGCTTCCTTACCATTATCTATGATAGAAGTCACAGCTACTAAGATGATGATGATTCTAACTGAGATGTTATTTATATGACTATTATTTTAGTGAATGGAGTTGGAGGTTGTAGTGAGGAAAAGTATAAGATTAATATTTTGCTGCATTTTCTATGTAATGACCTATTTTTAAAAAATAGCTCACAGACAATGGTATGCAATAGAAAAATATTTACACTCACTTGCATAGTGTTTGCTGGCAAAATAAAGTAGTACAACTTACTATGTAGCTTTTCAGTAGCCTGCTATGTTATCATCTAAACAGAGCCTTAATGTGTGCTTTCCTTTTATGGCCTGTAAATTTGCTAAATATAATACCATATATTTTCTTCTTAGTATCTAATAATCTGTCAGTTAAGGGTGTGAACATTTCATTCAGATCAACACTTTCCATGCAATTTGCATACATTGTGGACAATTTTATTTTCCTTGCCAAAGAAGTACTCTTAAACGAAATTACTCCCTTTGTAAAAGATATGCTATGCTAGCATTTTGTAATGTAGTTTACATCCACTACATAGCGAGAAATGACTCCTTCTAAGAAACATAATATAGAGACACTTATTGAAGTAATGAAATCAAAATTTCTCTAAGTTGCTATCTATTCCTTAGAGACAATGTCAGATAAAATTTTTTTCTCCCTCCTGAATGTGTCTGACAATTTTGAAGGTGAATGGTCCCAGTCAGAATTACACACTAACCAGCCTTGTCCATCTTCGTGTTCTTACCTTCCTTGAACATTACCTCTGCCACTGACATATGTTCTTTTCATGTCCTGTTAGATTCTGGATCCTGATTAATAACTTTCATTATGTCTCCTTTTCTTAAACGATGTGATTATTTTTGCAAAGTCCATATAAGTTTTCTGAAGATATACTTTATCATTATGATAAACTATTACATTTTTTAAATCTCCACATTAACCATTCAGTTCTTCTCTTATGTTCATAAATAACATGATCAGAATAAAAGTGTGGCCAGCCATAACTGCAGGAAGCATTATTGGCAAAATGATGCTGGAAATTCTATGCTTCATAGGAGCATGTTTGAATGCATCTTATAGTCACTGTAATTGAATTTTACTGCCTGTGGTTTACCGCTATCTTTAAATTATGTAGGGCCATTACCCCAAAAAGTATTTCCAACTTCAGCTGTAACATATCCATATTAAAACTCATAATTTCATGCTCATTACACTATATTCATGAATGTTTATTATTATAGTCAGTGTAATATCTGGGTCTGCAGGATGTCAATTCTTATTTGCTGTTGGCAGGACCACATATCACTTAACTTAAAGTGCTTATTTCCCGTTGCATATTTCCTACTGTGGTAATTTTTAAATCTTGCCTGTGAGTGCCTTAATTACATATTTATGTTGGATTCCTTCTTAAACCAGTTTGCTGGGCAAACTCTTCATTTTGGAATGGGAAATCAAATCTGTATAGATTAATTTTCATCACTTTAAAAATGATTCAAATAATAAAACAAAAATAAAACATATCATGAGAAAGTAAATCAAACTTTTAAAGAAGCTCTGAATGAAAAGAAATGCAAAACAACTATGCTAGAAATTCATGTTTCAAAAAGAAGTTGATGTTTTTTCAACAACGCCCTGAATTACCTATAAGAAAAGTTTTTTTATGAGTTTTCTGACATCTGCGATACTTTTGTTTTCAATATGAATGCATGAGTAATTGCCAGAGTAGATTTAAAAGACCTCTACAAATAGGTTGCTAACTTGAAAACCTGTATCATTTTAATATGTGGAAATAAGACTTCTTGGTCTATAGCCAAATTGATAAGACTTGCATCCTAACTCTACTTTTCCTACCTGTGTGCCCTTGGGTAAATCACATGAGTTTTCTGGACCTCAATGCCCTTGAGTTCCAAAATGAAGGAATATATTAGATATTGATGATGCCCTGTCCAGGTTTCCCAGAGCGCAATTATCAGTTTTGCGGGTGTGATAGTGCCGCAGTGGCTGTGGTGCTTGAGTACTTTCCCTAACAGCTCACTGAGCATTTTAATAAGGAGAGTCCCTGGGAAATTGAGGCTGCCTAGCACTGGGATGCATGGACATTACCTGGCCTTCTCTCCTCTTCTTTTCACTTGAAAACTCTATCCTTTAGGACTACAGCCATTGCTAGACAGGAACAAAAGCCCTGCTTCTTTTACCCAAAGCAGGGTAGAGTTTAGATAAATTTACCATTTTCCAGGTGTTGTTGTTGTTTTTTTGTTTGTTTGTTTGTTTGTTTTTAAAAGGTTTAGTTAGACCACTTTTGAACCCACATTCTTGTATGAGCATAACTCCTTTCTTTTTCCCATCTGGCTTTTTTTCATGGTCTTACTGTTACTCAAAGAGTACTGCTTCAATAAATCACATCCTCATAAGCCTTCTTCTCAAGCTCTGCTTCTAGGAAACTCAATCTAACTTATCTCTATCCTCTTGAGTTATTATAAACATTGAGTTAATTCATTTAAAACATCTAAAGCCATGTCTGATAAATTGTAAGCACTCAATAAATGTTAACTATTATTTTAATTATTGATACTGCTTAATGAGAGGCAAATCGTAATAATTTAAAGGGTTAGTTTATTTTGACATGTTGAAGATGGAGATGATGAAAACTATATGTGAGCAACTTCGGTAAAATGATGAATCTGCTAGTGAATTATTAAGAATCATTTTATTAAATAGCCAATTTAAATGTATTTTGGTCAATAGGTAAATACTATTTTTTTAAGTTTAGAGCAAACTCGTGCAAAACAACAACAAAAATACAAGTAGATAGTGTTTGCAAACAATGTTAGAAGACCTGAAAAATAATTCTGCGTTAAGAATGCTTTAGTATGAGGATGTCTGTATGTATGTATTAGTATATAACTCATGACTATGCCTCACATTCATTCTACAACTGTAAAAAGTGTGTACATATCTACATAATATATAATAGGGAGAAGATGGACTGAAAAGTACAAGTTGATAATCATTTGCTATTTATATGATTTTACAATGATAAAATAAATATACATGGAAGATGACTAGTTAGTAACCTAATGCTTTGGGAAAAATCATGATAGAAGTTTCAAGGGTAATTGACAGGATGCTATCCATCAGAATATCATTAACATGTAGTCAACACACAATAAGTTTAAATGATAAAACTGAGTCATTGTGTTCCATGTTTTGTGAAAGGCCATATGAAAGTCTGATATTAGTCTGTTTTAGCAATGCTAAATTTTATAATTAATTAAATTATTTTACTTTGCATCAGTAAAAATGCAAAGTCATACTCTCAGTGTGAAAATAATTAACTATTATTAAAAACAATATTTATTCACACAAGTAACTTGATTTTGTGGTATTATATTTTAAAGACAAAACTTGAATAAATTAATTTTTTATTTCATAGAAACCATAATTCACAAAAAATTAGTTTTTACTGCAAATTAATAACTATTCATTTCCTAAAAGCAGTCATTACACAAAAAATAAAGTTAATAATAATCACAGTATTTCACTACTTAAAGACAAATATCATCTTTTTTGCTGGATAGTCTTCTAGTAATTTCATATGCCTATACTCATTTTTATTATAGATGTCATACCTATATACTAATTGTAACAGTTACAAATACCTTTATAAATACTATGAACAGCCTTCTATGTCATTACATATTATCTGTGAAATTCATCAAATGATTATAGAGTATTCTATTGTATAAATTCATATATCATTTAACTACTTTTTATGATTTATAGGAATCTGAATTTTCCTAATGGTAAACACCCTAGCTGTGCAGATCGTCTCATACCAATGTCTTTGCACTTATTCAGGATTACTTCCTCAGAACAAATTATCTTGAAAGTTTGAAACAATATATGTCCATTTAGTTATATTTGACAGTGTTCAATTCAAAGAAACTTTGCTCTTATTTAGCTATTTTCTTTCTTTTTTTTTTGGAGAGACGGGGTTTCACCATGTTGCCCACATGGTCTCAATCTCCTGATCTCATGATCGGCCCACCTCGGCCTTCCAAAGTGCTGGGATTACCGGCGTGAGCCACTGCGGCCAGACTATTTAGCTATTTTCTAATGATTGACAAACTCACAGGTGAATTTTTTAAATGTGAAACTGAAAATACTTTCCTTTGCTTATTAATATTTATATTTATTTATTATATTCACATTTTGCACATTTCTGTAGGAATTTCCACAATTTTATTATTGTTATATTTTATATATTATACATATAAAGAGATATTATCAATTAATAAGAAAATTGTGGAAATTCTTATTTTTATTCACAGTTCTATAGGAATTTCCACAATTTTCTTATTAATTCATATATGTATTACATATATAAAGAGATCTTATCTATCAATTAATAAGAAAATTGTGGAAATTCCTGTAGAAATGTGTATTATATATGTAATGTGGTTTTTTGTTTTGTTTTGTTTTGTTTGAGACAGCATCTCACTCTGTTGCTCAGGCTGGAGTGCAGTGGTGCAATCTCGGCTCACTGCAGCTTTCACACCAGGGTTCAAGTGATTCCTGTGCCTCAGCCTCCTGAGTAGCTTACATTACAGGCCCATGCCATCACACTCAGCTAATTTTTGTAATTTTAGTAGCGAAGGGGTTTCTCTATGTTGGCCAGGCTGGTCTCAAACTCCTGGCTTCAAGTGATCTGCTTTCCTCAGCCTCCCAAAATGCTGGGATTACAGTTGTGAGCCACAGCACCCAGCCTCTCTTTATATATATTTATATATATGCTCCAGGCTTCTTTTGTTTTGTTTTTTACTTCCAATTTTCATGGTAGTTCTAGCCATTGTAAAAGCACTAACCATTTTTATACAGCACTCAGTATTTTATTGCATGTATTTTATGACATTTTTATGGAATGTTGATAAGCTTTATTGTCAGTGGCTTTAAAGTGAATGTGACAAGGGCAAGGGTGAGAAAGAGTGCAGTGAATAAAGAAAGCACGCAGAGCCAGCTGTGGTACAGAGCAGAGACTCACTTTGGACTGATCAGGCTCAAGCTAGGATCCCCAGCGTTGAGACTTGGACAGTTGCAACAGACATAGAGTAGCTTACTTAAGAGCAATCATCTTTAAAAATGTTAGTGGTATTTTCAAGCTTCAAAAATCATTTTAGATGCCCAGCTTCATTATTTAATAGTACATAAGTAAGTTAAGGGTTCATGGAAATATCAGTTGGGGAAATGTTTAGGAAGTATTCTGAACTTCTGTGTAAGATAGTCATGTGGAATTTTAGGTGCTCTCTTTGTGACCTTATCGGGAAATGTTATTTACCAATTACAAAGATAACACTCGATTTATTTAGTTCTGCTTATTAAAATATCACTACTGGGCACAGGCTATATTTTTGCTTACACATGATTGCTGTTTCTTTTTCTTATGCGACATTTTTTAACCCCTGAGTTCTTGCTTTTTATCTTTGGATGACCAATCGTAAAAAACTCTGTTTTTATTTTGATAATGAACTTACACTTATAGTCACAAATGTTTTGTCTAATTATGCTACATGCTCTTTTTTTTTGAAATGTCAGACTATTTTTATAGAAAGGGTGATCAATTTCAGATTGCATTACTACACATGACTAAAAGGATGTTTAATAAACTTTCTATTTTAGAAAACTTTTAGATTTACAATAATGTTGTGAAGACAGTACAAAGAGACCCAAACCTAATATTAGTACCTTACTTTAAATAGTAAATGTTTATAATTAATAAACCAATAACATTATATTATTATTAACTGAAGCTCATGAAGTATTCAGATTCCTTAGTTTTTACCTAATGTCTTTTTTCTGTTCCTGGATCTCATCTAGTAGGACACATTACATCTAGTAGTCATGTCTCCTTAAGAGCATTTTGGCTATGAGTTGCTCAGATTTTCCTTGCTTTTCATGATCTTGACAGTTTTGAGAAGTACTGGCCAGATATTTTGCCGAATGTCTCTTAGATTTTTCTGATGCTTCTCTCATGATTACACTGGGATTATTTGTTCTAGGAGGAGCCAACAGAGGTCAAGTGCCTTTCTCATTACATAATATCAAGGGTACATAGTATCAATGTGACTAATCACTGTCAACAGTAACCTTGATCATCCAGCTGTAGGTAGCTTTTGTTAGGTATACACGTACATTGAAGACAGGAATAGACTTTTCCTTTCTAGCTATGAAAGTACTACATGGCATCTTCTTCCGATAGAATGCTATTTTGTCTGCATTGAAAATCTGTTGTTTAGTATAGCCACCTTCACCAATGTTCTTAGCTAGATCTGGATAATTTGTTGCAGCTTCTTCATCAGCACTTGCTGATTCACCTTTTAAGTTGTGGAGATGGCTTCTTTCCTTAAACCTCATGAACCAACTTCTGCTAGTTTCAAACTTCTTTTCTTCTGCTGCTTTCTCACCTCTGTCAGCCTCTGCAGAATTGAAGAGAAAGGTTTTGCCCTTGATTAGGTTTTGGCATAAGGAATGTTGTGGTTAGTTTAATCTTCAGTCCAGACCACTAAACTTTCTCTATGTCAGCAACGGTAGTTTCACATTTTTATCATTTGTTTGTTTGCTGGAATAGCACTTTCAATTTCCTTCAAGAACTTTTCCTTTGCAGTGACAAATTGACTAACTGTTGGGTGCAAGAGGCCTAGATTTTGGCCTATCTAGACTTTTGACATGACTTCCTCACAAAGCTTAATCACTTGTAGCTCTTGATTTCAACTGAGAGACATATGACTCGTCTTTTCACTTGAACACCTGGAGGTCATTGTAGGGTAATTAGCCTAATTTTAATACTATTGTGTCTCAAGGAATAGGGAAGCCTGAAGAGAAGGAGAGAGATGAGGGAATGGCCTGTGTGTGGAACAGTTAGAACACATGTATCAATTCAGTTCATTGTCTTATAGGAGCACTGTTTGTGACACCCCAAAACAATTAGAATCATAACATCAAAGACATGGATCATAAATCACAAGGGATATAATGATAATGAAAAAGTTTGAAATATTGCAAGAATTATAAAAATGTAATACAGAGACATGAAGTAAGCACACGCTGTTGGAAAAAATAGCTCCAACAGACTTGCTCAATGCGGGGTTGCTAAAAACCTTCTGTTGTAAAAATCACAATATCTGCCAAATGAAATAAAGCAAAGCACAATAAAACAAGCTATGCTTGCACCTTCACTGCAAAGTTATTCTCTTTTCTCCATTTCCAGATTTTAAAAGAAAGTCACTACGTACAGCCCACGCTTTAAAAGTAGAGTTATACTGTCCCTCCTGCACCTTTGAGAGTGGGCCATTCACACTGTTTGGAAGTGTACTACATGAAAAATTTGTGTTTTAGGCTACATTTATTTATGTATTCAATTACTTATTTATATTAATGTGAATGTATAGATATTTATCTTATACTTTGGGTTATAACCTACTGTTACGTTATTTATTTGGTTGCCCAGATTGTTCCAGCTTTGGCCATTAGGAACTCTTTCACTGGTTTCCATATTACTTTCAAGTACCCCCATCAGTGTGATTTTAATATTGTTATTGTGTTGTTGTTTTTATTTTGAGTACCTCCTAAATTTCCAGCATAATAAGATGCTCAAGATTCACCTGTATATTCCTTATTGCAGCCCTAGGATTAGTTATTGTTTCCTGGGAGTACTGGTTCTACTTTTTTTTTTCTTCTGAAAAATGGCATCAAAAACCAAAATATGGTGTTAGGTTTTTTGTTACTCTTAGGGTTTCACTATTCTGTGTTGACTCAGAGCATAGAAACATATGTGTCTATACTAACCTTTGTCTATACGGCTAATCTTCAAAGAACATCATTTCGTTATGAGGTTGATGAGAAAGAAATCGATTCCCAGACAGTGCCACTGTCTTTGTGGAGTTTGCATGTTCTCCCCATGTCTGCGTGTGCTTTCTCTGGGTTTTCCAGTTTTTTCTCACATGCCAAAGAAATGCACATGAGGCAAATTGGTTTGCCTACATTGTCCGAGTCTGAGTGAGTGTGGATGTGTGTGAGTGTGCCCTGAGATGGGATGGTGTCCTTTCCAGGGCTGGTTGTTGCTGCCTGTTACCCTGAACTGCCTTGATGGCCTCTGGTCACCCATGATTCTGAACTTAAATAATTATCTTACTTTTTTTTTTTTACTCTTTCTCAAATGTATATACAACTCTCATTTATTTTAATGTTTAATACTAGAAGTGTTTTGGTCTTTATTTAGAAGTTTGGTAATGTTTTTGTAATTAGAAATATGCCATAGGAACTTAAATCTGGTTTATATCAATTACCCTTTTGTAAAATTGGTTGTGTTGTATGGCGTCACTTAAAGTTGAATTTCCAAGGAACTATTAGTGATGTTTAGTGAGAACTTACTGTATATAGATATCTATAAATTATCCATCTCTATCAATGTTAAGCTAAATACAAATTCATGCTGATGTCTCCAAATCTAATCTATTGCTGCATGTATTATTCTAACCTTCTCTGCTTGTCTGTAATCTCCAACAATGAGAAATCTGGTTCCCACCAACTCCCATCCACTTATTTAGTTTTTTAATTCTAGAATACTTGTATAGTGGTTTCAAATCTGTTAACCTATATTCCTATGGAAACAAACAAACAAAACGTTATTAGTCACAATACAGTGCCCCTGTACAATTTCTTTTGCCTTTAGTCTTACAGTTCCCTCTCATTTCCAAAATTAATTAAGGCCAGCACCTTTTCCCTCACCTCCTTCAGTAAGGCTATTTCATACACTCGTAACAGACTGAGATTCTATTAACACAGTCTGCATTCCATCAGGGGTGCCGTGATATCATAAATTATTTTTGAAAACTTGTATACATTTAAGGTGAACTCTTTGTGATATAAAGTTCTATGTGTTTTGTCAAATGCATAATGTCTGTAACCACTGCAATATTATACAGAATAGTTTTATAATGCTAAAAATACCTCATGATTAACTCCTTTAACCCTTTGCTTTTTCCAGATCCTTGAAAACCACTGCTTTTTCTTAACGATTATTGTAAGTTCAGGGGTACATATGCAGATTGTTACATAGGTAAACTTGTGTCATGGGGGTTTATTGTACAGATTCTTTCATCCCCCATGTATTAAGCCAAATACCCATTAGTTATTTTTCCTTATCCTCTCCTTCCTCCCACTCTCCATTCTCCAGTAGGCACCAGTATATGTTGTTCCCCTCAGTGTGTCCATGTGTTCTCATCATTCAGCTCCCACTTATAAATGAGAACATGCGGTAGTTGGTTTTCTGTTCCTGCATTAGTTTGCTAAAGATAATGGCCTGCAGCTCCATTCATGTCCCTGCAAAGGACATGATCTTGGTTGTTTTAAGGCTGCATAGTATTCCACAGTGTATTTGTACCACATTTTTTTTCCAGTTTACCATTAATGGGCACTTAGATTGATTCCATGTCTTTGCTATTGTGAGTAGTGCTGCAATAAATATATATGTGCATGAGTCTTTATAATAGAAAAATTCATATTCCTTTGGATATATTCCCAGTAATGGGATTGCTGGGTCCAATGGCCATTCTCTTTTTAGCTCTTTGAGGAATTGCCACACTGCTTTCCACAATGGTTGAACTAATTTACACTCCCACTAACAGTGTATAACTGTTCCTTTTTCTTCACAGCGTTGCCAGCATTTGTTATTTTTTGACTTTTTAAGAATAGCTATTCTGACTGGTTACAGATAATATTTCATTGTGGTTTTGTTTGCATTTCTCTAATGATAAGTGATACTTTTTTTTACATGATTGTTGGCTGCATGTATGTCTTCATTAGAAAAGTGTCTGTTCATGTTCTTTGCTCACTTTTTAAACAGGCTGTTTCTTTTTTTCTTGTAATTGTGTTTAAGTTCTGATAGATGATGGATATTAGACCTTTTTCAGGTGCATAGATTGTGAAATTTTTTTCCCATTCTGTAGGTTGTCTGTTTACCTTGTTGATAGTTTTATTTGTTCTGCAGAAGCTCTTTAAATTAGATGCCTTTTGTCGATTTTTGCTTTTAATGCAATTGTTTTTGGTGTCTTTGTCATGGAATCTGCCCATGCCTATGTCCTGAATGGTATTTCCTAGATTGTCTTTTAGGGTTTTTATAGTTTTGGGTTTTACATTTAAGTCCTTAATCCATCTTAATTTAATTTTTGTATATGGTGTAAGGAAGTGATCCAGTGTCAATTCTGTGCATGGCTAGCCAGAAACCCACTGCTTTGTTAACCATCTTTACAGTTTTGCCTTTTCCAGAATGCTGTATAAATGAAATCATAAATTATACAGTCTTTTCAGATTGTTACTTGCTTTTCATGGTTCCTTAAATATTTTCTATCTTCAGCTATGATGACTACAATATGTCTCTTTTTCCTTTTCTTCAAAATTTCAGGACCAATTTGAAAAAAAAAATGTTACTTTATCAGTTAGCCACCTTTACATTTTTGAAAAATTCATTTATATCTCTCCTGTTTAGAAATCAATTTTAAACATAAATCAATTTTAAAATGAAATGGAATACATTTTAAAATGTATATAACATAAAATAAAACAACATTTATCTTTCTGTATGAAATATAAGAGAATTTGTTCATTTAACTTTTCACATTTTATCTTCCTTCATTTTTTCTCTGTTTTAGTTGGTATGGCAAGACATTTTTGACAATATTTATATAGTTTTAAATAGTTTTACAGGTGATAATTTTAGTAATGTTCATTAGTAAATTCATTCTAAATATATTCACCATTTAATAAGTATATATACTGAAGTTTTTAAAATTTGCATTATTTTGATAACCTTTTAAAACATTGCTAAAGATAAAAATTTTAAAGTACTTTCTAATCATATTTATTTTTTTAACCCAGAATGTTTACAAGATTGTTTTTTGCACTGTTGATTCAATTTGCATTTCATTTGCTGTTTATTTGTTTTTTTCTTTATCATTTTTAAAGAATGTAAAATCATACTGCAATTAATATTCGTCAAAAGAGAGTCAACTGCCAGATGTCAATATCTGCCCTTCATTGAATGTTATGTTACTTATGTTTAGATCCAACTGATGCTACTTACTCTATCAAATGTTAAAGGTTTCATTTTCATGTCCCTCATAACCAGAAATAAGAATGAGATTCTCATTCTCATACAATCAAAGAGATTGGTCAGACATTCTATCAATTTGTTCCTTTCAAAAAAAAATTTTAGAAGTTTGTGGGGTGAAAAACATGTTTTAACCTGCTTTTCAGTGTTGAGTCTTGTTTTCTTATTCTTGAATTTCTTTGCTAATTTCTATGAAAATTTAGGAGACTAGGGGTCTTCAACCCATGGATTTACACTATGCTATTTTCAGGAAATGTAAACACATTTTAGTTTTCTCTTCCTTAGATCACTTTGACAAAAATATACTTATTTTCCTGTCATTTAAAATAATTTTAAAGTAATTATTAAAGAATAGATGGCTAATGACAGCCAAACAATTTTTGATGAAGAATTATCAGGAGCATTACATAGAAAATGTATGTTTCTACCGTCTATTTCCATCCCCTTCCTCATCACAAAAAGAAACGTAGAATCTATGGCACAGCCTAGTATTTTACCCAATACTGTTAGTGTATAATAATTTACAGAATGAATTTTATTTACTTGTGGTTTTTTTCTTAATGTAACATTTCAAGGAGCACTATATATATACACACATATATATACACCTTGGCTTATGACTGAAATAATGGAGCAAATTATTAAATACAGACAGACTTGAGAGATAACTGAAAATTAAAAGAACTCCTCTGAGAGAAAAAAAATATGACACTGTTATGATGTTTAATAAAGTTGCATGATCATTTTTCACATATCTACTTGAGGCTAAAATACATTTGCATCACTAATGTTTTACAAATATATTTCTTTAAGGGCTAATATTCCCCAATCCCAAAACAGATACTAGGATAAAAATTCACTAAGAAACACTAATTGGACACCTGAGTATAAAAATTTCATCTGTCTTTAAAGAATGTTTGTGTGTCAGCAGCAGAGTATTTATACTATAAAAATATCTTAATTCTATGAAAGGTATATATAGCAAAGTCCTAATATTTATTTATTACCCAGAATTCCCTCTGAACTAATGTTTCAAAAAAGCCTACCTTATAAAAATTTCATGATTAAAATGATAATCCTGAAATGCACATTTTTAAGGCATTCTAAAAACATTAAAACATTTTAGCATGATTTTGATTACTAACTACATTGAGTTATAAATACTCAAACAAAAATATAGCAATTATGTTATATACCACACACATCAAAACTATTTCACCAAAGAGAAGGCCTAGATCCAAACTTTTATTTAATATTTGAGTTATAACTGTACTTGACTAAAGACACTTACTCACACACACATTTTATGTTTAAAATATTAGTTGTGGCCGGGCACGGTGGCTCATGCCTGTAATCCCAGCACTTTGGGAGGCCGAGGCAGGTAGATCACAAGGTCAGGAGATTGAGACCATCCTGGCTAACACAGTGAAACCCTGTCTCTACTAAGTATACAAAAAATTAGCCGGCTGTGGTGGTGGGCGCCTGTAGTCCCAGCTACTTGGGAGGCTGAGGCAAGAGAATGGCGTGAACCTGGGAGGTGGCGCTTGCAGTGAGCAGAGATCGTGCCTTTGCACTCCAGCCTGGGTGACAGAGCGAGACTCTGTCTAAAAAAAAAAAAAAAAAATTAGTTGCTGGAGGCCACTTCTACTTACATTGTAAAAGCCTCTTCTCTCTCCTCATGTCTTCTCTACTGACTTCCTTTCTCTGGGTAACTTTTAGTAATAGTGCTTGACATCAAAGTAAGAATTACACACACCAGCACACACACATATTTACCACATATTCATTTTTTACTGCTTCATGTAATATCAAATAAAACACATACCAAAATTTAACTTCTAAGTTGTTTTCAAATTTTTTATAAATCCTTATCCTAACTCTTCTTTGCAAGGTATACCTGTTATCCTTGACTTTATAATGACGTTAAATACCTTAAAAATTTCAAGTGAGTTAGAAATGTTCCACAGACTTTAATAAGTAAAACATTAATTTCACTTTCATCATTAACAAAGCCCTAATTAACAGGATGATCAGATGTTTACAAAATCCATATTAATTTCCAATTCTTTCAACAAATGAATTTGAGCAAATGAAGCTTCTAAATGAACGCCACTGTCCGGGCTCACTTGATAGCCACCTCTACCCCATAATCTCACATTTCACAACAATGATCAAAAGAATATAAACTGGAAGGAGGAAAACAATGTTAGTAGAAAAAAGTGAAGGAGAGTTCTGGGGAGGTTTTAAATCATGTGTCCCTGGTTTTTTGACACACTGCCTTCCATTAGCAGTCTCCTTGAGGTCTGGTCGATCTTGTGACTACTTCATTATGGACTAAATGATGGTTTGATGCTGAGGCTCTAACATCTGAGATTAGAACTGTGTGCTACCAAGTAACACCCATGTATTAGTCCATGTTCATGCTGATGATACATACCTGAGATTGGGCAAATTGCAAAAGGAAGAGGTTTATTGGTCTTACAGTTCCAAGTGGCTGGGGAGGCCTCACAATCATGGTGGCAGGTGAAAGGCACTTCTGACATGGCGGCAGAAAAGAGAACAGAATTTGTGCTGGGAAACTCCCCATTAAAATACCATCCGATCTCGTGACACTCATTCACTGTCAGAAGAACAGCACAGGAAAGACTTGCCACCATGATTCAATTAGCTTTTACTGGGTGCCTCCCAAAATACATGGGAATTCAGGATGAGATTTGGGTGGGGACACAGCCAAAGCATATCATTCTGCTCTGGCCGCCCCAAGTCTCATGTCCTCACATTTCAAAACAAATTATGCCTTCCCAACAGTCCCCCAAAGTCTTAACTCATTCCAGCATTAACTCAAAAGTCCACAGGTCCAGTGTCTCACCTGAGACAAGGCAAGTCCCTTCCACCTATGAGCCTGTAAAATCAAAAGCAAGTTAGTTACTTCCTAGATACAAGGCACTGGGTAAATACAGCCATTCCAAATGGGAGATGTTGGCCAAAACAAAGGGGCCACAGGCCCCATGCAAGTCAAAATTCCAGTGGGGCAGTCAAATCTTTAAGCTCCAAAATGATCTCCTTTGACTCCATGTCTCACACCCAGGTCACGCTGATGCAAGAGGTGGGTTCCCGCGGTCTTGGGCAGCTCTGCCCCTGTGGCTTTGAATGTCACAGCCTCCCACCTGGCTGCTTTCATGGGCTGGCATTGACTCTCTCTGTGGCTTTTCCTGGCACATGGTGCAAGCTGGCAGTGGATCTACCATTCTGGGGTCTGGAGGACAGTGGCCCTCTTCTCACAGCTCCATTAGGTGGTGCCCCAGTAGGGACTCTGTGTGGAGGCTCCTACCCCACATTTCCCTTCAGCACTGCCCTAGCAGAGGTTCTCCATGAGAACCCTGCCCCTGCAGCAAACTTCTGCCTGGGCATCCAGGCGTTTCCATATATCTTCTGAAATCTAGGCAGAGGTTCCCAAACCTCAATTCTTGAGTTCTGTGCACTTGCAGGCTCAACACCACATGGAAGCTGCCAAGGCTTGAGGTTTGCACCCTCTGAAGCTATATTTTGGTCCCTTTCGACCAACCGCTGGAGTGACTGGGATGCAGGGCATCAAGTCTCTAGGCTGCACACAGCATGGGGAACTTGGGCTTGGCCCATGAAACCATGTTTTCCTCCTAGGCCTCCAGGCCTGTGATGGGAGGGGCTGCTGTGAAAACCTCTGACATGTCCTGGTGACATTCTCCCCATTGTCTTGGGGATTAACATTCGGGTCCTCATTACTTATGCAAATTTCTGCAGTGGGCTTGAATTTCTCCTCACAAAATGGGATTTTCTTTTCTAATGCATTGTCAGGCTGCAAATTTTCTGAACTTTTATGCTGTGCTTTCCTTATAAAACTGAATGCCTTTAATAGCACTCAAGTCACCTCTTGAATGCTTTGCTGCTTAGAATTTTTTTCCACCAGATACCCCTAATCGTCTTCTCTCAAGTTCAAAGTTCCACAAATCTCTAGGGCAGGGGCAAAATGCCACCTGTCTCTTTGCTAAAACATAACAAGAGTCACCTTTGCTCCAGTTCCCAACAAGTTCCTCATTTCCATCTAAGACCACCATAGCCTGGACCTTATTGTTGATATCACTATCAATATTTTGGGCAAAGCCATTCAACAAGTCTCTAGGAAGTTCCAAACCTTCACCCATTTTCCTATGTTATTCTGAGCCCTTCAAACTGTTCCAAACCCTGCCTGTTACCCAGTTCCAAAGTCACTACCACATTTTAGGGTATCTGTTCAGCAGTGCCCCACTCTACTGGTATCGATTTACTGTATGAGTTCATTTTCACACTGCTGATAAAGACATACCTGAGACTGGGCAATTTACCAAAGGAAGAGGTTTATTGGACTTACAAGTTTCACATGGCTGGGGAGGCCTCAAAATTATGGCAGAGGATGAAATGCATGTCTCACATGGTGGCAGACAAGAGGATAGGGCTTTTGCAGGGAAACTCCCCCTTATAATGCCTTCAGATCTCATGAGACTCACTCACTATCGTAAGAACAGCACAGGAAAGACCTGCCCCCATGTTTCAATTACTTTTCACTGAGTCTCTCCCATAACATGTGGAATTTCAAGATAAGATTTGAGTGGGGACACAGCCAAACCATATCAACCAGCTACTAAATAAGTCAGCCATGTTGTAAGGAAGCCAAGCCACATGGAGAAGCCTTTCATAGCTCTAGTCACTAGCCATAGTGGTCAAGCTATCCAATCCCAGGTACCAGTCATGGGAGTGAAGAAGCTTTCAGAGTCATTCTCATCCTTTTGGCTCCCAGCTGAGGTCACAATGTAAAGCAAAGTTAACCCACTCCCACTGTACTCCTTTCATATTTCTTTTCCCAGAATCAGTGTGCCCAACAAATTAGGTGTTTCCAGCTGCTAAATTTTAATTAATTTGTTTCAAGACTATAGTACCTTTAAAAATGCCATCTGCCTGAATAATACTCTAAGAAATTTCTCTAAAATATACTGTCAGCTGGATGAGAGAAGAGAAATTAACCCAAGGATTCACTTGATGTCTGTTCTGTAATAAACGAAAGGAACTCCAAAAAGAACCATCTTGATCCTGACTTCATCAGAGTAGCAGACAGAAGTTGTAAATAAAGGAGGGCTGTAGGGCAGTGGGACTAGGATGCTTGTTCCTGAGTTTCAGAGAAGCAAATTTTAATCTTACTAGCTATTCCTGAATGTATATTTAGGGTTGTCACAAAGGAAAATACTATTTCCAACTTTCTCTGTGTTGGTCTGCACCTTTAGTAACATACTGTGTCCCTATGCAAGCCTGTAATATGTCCATTTGAAAAGGAGACAAGTGTTCCAACTTGCAACACACTTCTAAATATCTAAGAAGTAGAAATATATGAGCATATTGCTCAGTTGCCACCCAGCATCTGCCAAGAGTATATCTTGTGCTGCCCTCTCAAAAAGGAGCTGCCCCAAGAAAAGCATTGAGCAGAGCAATGACATAGTTTATGATATTTTTAAAACATCATCTTGGCTGTTCAGTGTAGAATAGATTGGCAAAGAGAAAGAGTGGGATTGTAGAGATTTCTTTCAATAGTTAGGTGAGTGATGATAGTGCTTCAGACGAGGGAGGTCACAGGAGACAGAATCTCCATTTATCTTGAAAGTAAACTATAAGAATTGTTGATGATTTGGGCCTGTGGTGGAGATAGTAGGAGGTTATTTTTTATTATTTTCTATTTGTTTTATTGTTTATCAGAGTGAACTTGTTTTGCATTTGGTATTTGAATGTGTGTGTGTGTGTGTGTGTTTGTTTCTGTGTGACTTTACTTTTCTGACTATTAAGAAATGTTCAGAAACTTTTCTAACCAATAGTCATCTTTATGATGCCTTTAACTTAATTATGACTTCTGTATTAGCTCAAGGAAATTAACCCTTTCACTTCAATATGTCTCAAAAGTACTTTCCCATCTTGTCACTCTCCTTTTACTTTTGTTTATAGTTTGACTAGATTGCCATTATAGAGTTGAGTATTTTTATTTGCAATTATTTGGCTTAACAAAATGTACTACTCTAAAAATGATTTATGTTTCTAATCTAAAGCTAAGGCCAGATGCTGTAGCTCATGCCAGTAATGCCAGAACTTTGGGAGGCCAAGGCAGTAAAATCACTTGTATTAATCCATTCTCATGGTGCTGTGAAGAAATATCTAAGACTGGGTAATTTATATGTTAAAAAAAAAGAGGTTTAATTTATGTATAGTTCTGCATGGCTGGGGTGGACTCAGGAAACTTACAATCATGACAGAAGGCACCTCTTCACAGGGTGGCAGGAGAGTGAGTGCTGAGTGAAGGGGGAAGCCCCTTGTAGAACCATCACATCTCGTGAGAACTCACTATCACGCGAACAGCATGGGAGAACTGCCCCAATGATCTAATCACCTCCGACAAGGTCCCTCCCCTAATATGCGGGGATTATAATTTGAATTAAAATTCAAGTTGAGATTTTGGTGGGAACACAGTCAAACCATATCAGTCCAGGAATTTGAGAGCAGCCTGGGCAACATAGTAAGACTTCCATCTCTAAAATAAAATTAAAAAGTAGGCAGGTGTGGTGTTACATACCTGTAGTCCCCACTACTTGAGAGGCTAAGGTGGAAGGATCACTTCAGCCCAGGAGGTCAAAGTTGCAGTGAACCTTGACCCACTACTGCACTCTAGCCTCAGTGACAGAACCAGATTGTCTCAAAAATAAATCAGTAAAATAAAATAAAATAAAGCTAGAGAAACAAACACCATTGTGGACTTGTTGAAAAATTATGTCCTCTCTCCTCCCTAAATTTTAAGACATTTAAAGCAAATAAACAGAAAATTACATCTTTGGAGAATATTTTTTAACTCAGATCATAGGCTTTACTCAAAACAAATTTGATTTCTGATTTCTCAAGAAATGTTTGTACTATGAAGAGATCAGTTTGCTCAGAAACTTATGCTGCATATATATTTGATTATGCTTTTTTCCCCAGAATGTCAAGCCTCTATGATTAACCTTGATAAGCAGTGTCAGATTCCCTTTGAAATTATTTTATTCTCTGCATCTCTAAATAAATAAAGAAAATTCAAGAAATCCAATTATTCTTTTTTAATTTTATTTTCATTTAAAAGGTACGGACAATAGACAACTCATGTCTTCAGGAGAGTTGTTATTAATTCTAAATCCTGAAACAAGAGATTTCTATCCATATGGAGGGGCAAAACAATTTCTCACATTTATTTGCATGCATTTGAGTGATTTTTACCTTCCTAGAGTGAGTTCTGACTCAGTGACTGGTTCATGGCATTGTCAATTTTTATATCCAGAATGAATAAATGAATCTTGTGCTGGCACATTTTGAAATGACAGTTTTATAAATATTTGATTATACAAAATTACACTAATTATTTGTAAATTTCATTTGGTTGTTCAAAACATGTGATCAGTTAAGAAATCAGAGGAACCACAGATATTTATCTCATGGCATAAGGGCAAGAGGAAGAAATTAGATAAAGTATAGTCATATTTGAAAGATGGCAACAGGAGACTACTTGATGGAAAAGGGAGAGATGGGGCAAGGGTTGTAAAACTAGCTGTTGGGTACCATGCTTAGTTCCTGGGTGAAGGGATCATTTGTATCCCCAACCTCAGCATCACACAATATACCCAGATAACAAGCCTGCCTGTATAGCCCCTGCAACTAAAATAAAAGTTGAAAAATAAAAAAAAAGAGTACAGTCATCTTTGTCTTCATATCTGAAGCTAATAATCATATATATTGATCCGTACATATTTCTTTTTTTAGAAAAGGAAAAATTATAAAAGAAATAATGCTTACTCTTTGAAAAGGAAAAAAGGGATCAAAGTACAAAAAGAGAACTTTTTAAATATTGTGATATGTACCCTTTAAAAATTTGTTATTCTATGTGTACTATTTTTTTTTTTTTTTTTTTTTTTTTGACATGGAGCCTTGCCCTGTCGCCCAGGTTGGAGCGCAATGGTGCGAACTCGGCTCACTGTAACCTCTGCCTCCCAGGTTCAAGTGATTCTCCTGCTTCAGCCTCCCATGTAGCTGGGACTACAGCTGTCCACCACCACGCCTGGCTAATTTTTGTATTTTTATTAGAGGCAGGGTTTCACTGTGTTAGCCAGGATGGTCTCGATATCCTGACCTTGTGATTCGCCCGCCTCGGCCTACCAAAGTGCTGGGATTACAGGTGGGAGCCACTGCGCCCGGCCTTATTTTCTTAATAAAAGAAATGGAAGATAATTTTAATGCAAAAATGGCATGTATGAGTTGCATACTTGTTTGAGTTCATGTGTGAGAAATAATGACAGTACTCAAAATACTTTTGTGGCAAGTTCATTTTCAGTGGAGCATTGTATAAAGTGGTTTAAAAGGGATCGCTTTTTTTTTTTCTGCAAAAATTCCTGCTTGATTCAATGACCTCACCTCTTAAAATCTTAGTGGACTCACTCCACTGTTTCTTTCCTCAGACTTTCAGCTAGTTGTGGTTCTGAGCGGGGGCAGATTTGTTTCAAGGCAATGAACCATGACAGAGCCAGGCTTGTCTCCCTGGACAGGGGAGCCCTCATAGTATTTGCTTACACACACAGAGCAGCTGTAGCAGAATCAAGATAATCCTAATAATCTTGGTTTAAAAAGCAAGAGATATTGTCTTTGCAATACAACAATTTATTAATGTAGTAACAGAAAGCAACAGTATTTCATATTTTGATTATGCCATCAAAATTACAGAAATAAAGGTAGACTTGGATTTTCAAGCAGTGAAAAGACACGTAAGTGTCTCTTGATCGTATAAATGCACTAAAATAGGTAAATAAAAATACCACGTTGGCTAATCCTTTCATTGAGCTTTCATTTCTTGTTTTGATTCACAAATAATAAAAGTTAAACTATTTCTTCGAAGTAACTGAGATAAGCAATTTGGTTTATCCTGTTCTAACCAAAAGTAGGAGTTAGAGAAATTGTCATTCACAACTTTGAAAACCTTTCTCAGCTTACAGGTCATACAGAAAACAAGCAGCCTGTCCCTGATGTACATTAAAAACCCACCTTTGGGTAAGGAAAGAACAAGGGTCTATCATTCTTCTGCTAGACAGGACAGAGGTATGTGTCTTTTTTGCAGTAGCAAAATATTTACATTCAATTTAGACAACGATAAAATAAGGCAAATAAATGTATCTCTAATTCTTATCTCTCTATTATCTTTTCTTCCATCTACCGTAGTGTATATAAGT
Organism: Homo sapiens; assembly: GCF_000001405.40. Classification (NCBI taxonomy): domain Eukaryota; kingdom Metazoa; phylum Chordata; class Mammalia; order Primates; family Hominidae; genus Homo; species Homo sapiens. The sequence goes on along the minus strand of NC_000002.12, from coordinate 77,552,415 downwards.
CTATATGGCTATTACTACATAATAGATAAACATATACAAATGGCTTCTTCTTTTTTAACCTAAAATTATTTTTCTTATTGTTACAGAGTGCCATTAAATCCTAGTTAAAGGTTATATAATATATTATTATATTGATTGAAGGAATTTACTTAGTCTAAGCACATGTGCAGCAATAGTTAGATGATTCATTCCAATATTAAATAGACAATGCTAAAAATGAACATCTTCAATTTGGGAGAGGACTTTTTTCTGCTTAAGATTAGTTTTCACAAGAAAAACTAATATGTCAAAAGGTGAAAGCATATACATGGTTACTGATACATTTATTTTTGAAATTGATGTGTGTATTAGTTTGTTTTCACACTGCTGTAAAGAACTGCCAGAGGTTGGGTAATTTATAAAAAAAAAAAAAAAAGAGGTTTAATTGACTCACAGTTCTGCATGGCTAGGGAAGCCTCAGGAAACTTACAATCATGGTGGAAGGGGAAGCAGACAGCTTCTTTACAAGGTGGCAGAAGAGCGAGTGAGAGCACAGGAAAAGCTACCATTTATAAAACCATCAGATCTCTTGAGAATTTACGACTATCACGAGAACAGCATGGGGAAAATCTCCCCCACAATCCAATCACTTCCCTACCTCCACACGTGGGGGTTACAGGTCCTTCCCTGGATACATGGGGATTACAATTTGAGATGAGATTTGGGTGGGGATACAGAGCCAAACCATATCAATGTACCAAGTGTTACACTAATTAATATATCCCACCAGAAATATTCTCCACACACATATTAGCGTTCATGATTTTTTAGTACTTCTTAAATGGAGTACTATTTCCTTTTTGTTTTAACTTGTGTTTGTTTTACTACAAAAAATTACATTTTCCCATTTTCAGAACTTCTGATTGTATTTCCCACCTGAGAATTGCCTCTTATGCCCATTTCTAGTATACCTATTGGAATATTGATATATTTTATTAATATTTACATGTTTTTTTTCCATAAAGTGTATTTATAAATGGGCTCTCAGAATTGCCTGAAATATTTTCTGGGTCTGCTTTTCTTTTTAATTATATTTATGTTATAAAGAAATTAGTTGCGGCCGGGCGCAGTGGCTCACGCCTGTAATCCCAGCACTTTGGGAGGTCGAGGCGGGCAGATCATGAGGTCAGGAGATCGAGATCATCCTGGCTAACACGGTGAAACCCCGTCTCTACTAAAAAAATACAAAAAAAATTAGCCGGGCGTGGTGGCAGGCGCCTGTAGTCCCAGCTACTCGGGAGGCTGAGGCAGGAGAATATTATGAACCTGGGAGGCAGAGCTTGCAGTGAGTCGAGATAGCGCCACTGCACTCCAGCCTGGGCGACAGAGCGAGACTCCATTTAAAAAAAAAAAAAAAAAAAAGAAAAAAAAAGAAATTAGTTGAATTTTATACAATTTGGTCATAATGCTTTTCCTTGTGTCTCCAAGCCTGTAACAACTTCTATATTTTTCGTATTTTGAACCAACTTTTATATACTTTTAAATGTTTATTTTTCCTTTTATGTCTATCTGGACTTTAATGTTGTTTATGATATGAAATATACATATACAAATTTTTAGGAATTCATCTTTTCAGTGAAAAACCTGTATATAATCCCAAACCACAAAATTGGCATAGCTAAGAAAAAAAGTCTGCAATCCTTTCTCTAAAAAATAACTTGCAACAATTTATGCTGACCCATTTCATCACAGAGGTGGTCACATTTTATGGCTGTCTCTAAAGCAGACTTTTATGTGTAGGATACTGAAAAGGCTGCCGCAGAGGCTTTGAATCAGCAGACAGCAGCAGAGTTTGAATGGAGTTAGGCCTTTTTTTCTGAAAGGAAAAATAGAAGTGTGTGCATTGTGAAATCAATATACATTGGTGATTCCCAAAGTGTGGATCCTGGACTAAGAACAGTAGCATCACCTGAGAGCTGTCAGAAATGCACATTCTTGGATTCCACACATACCTACTGAATCAGAAACTCTGGGAATGAAGTTCAGGAATCTGTGTTTTAATAAGCTCTTCAGGTGATTCTCATGTCCACTCAAGTTTACGAACCTGAGAATGGCTGGTATACAAAGCGAGACCTGTATTTGACCAAATAGGTAAACATTTTCTTTGTCATTTTCATATTTTATATGTTTAAAGATATTTTACTATTAATTTCTAATCTGAACATTAATTTTTAAGGAAGTCAAATTCTTTTATAAAACTGTGGTATTTTGGAAGATATTTAACTTAATGAAGATTCTGGGTTTTGATAATTGCCCTTTTTTAAAATAAAGGTAAAACTGTAAGATCTTTGCAATTTATAGATTAAAAAAGATATTGTATCATCTCTAATATGAGAGCACTTATATTATGGAGAACCAAAGAGAACACAGTTAAAATGGATTTTTTTTTTGAAAATAAGTATATGCATGCATTTGTGAATATGAAAGGAGAAAAAGAAGTGAAACAGATCTCTATGTGTTTTAAATTTTAGCACATGTGGCTTAAATCCATGAAGGCTCAAAAACTGTTATGTAAATAGAAGAAACTATGGCATATGCAATTTAGTTCCTGATGTCCTAGATCAGAGGCTTTTTAAGAAAGGTCTTCAGATTTCATCAAAGTTTTGAGAATATCAACAAAATGTGTGTGTGGGAGGGCATACGTGTATGTTTTTAAAATTCTATGCTAGTTCCTACATTTGCATCAGTTTTCTGCAGATATTATTAAGTTTCCTACTAAGTTTTTGTGAGGGTTAAATGAGATAACATATGTAAACTTAATTAAGGAGGTAGGTCCCACACAGAAAAGACATTGTATAAATGTTACTTATCATTGTTGGTATTATTATTATCGCGAAAGTTATTTAGAGAGGCAAGCACCATTAAAGTATATTTCAAATGTAAATTTAAAGAATAAATGTTAAAAAATTGTATAGAAAGAGAACATGACAACTGAAATTTTATGGTTACTGCAATTGCGCACTGTATTTATATTAGACTCACTTGGATCTAGTTGTCAAGGTCTTAATTGCCTTATAAAAATATTAGCATAATGTATAACAAAGTACAACATAATAGTAGATATATAATAAAGGATCAAGCCATATTTTCACCTCATCTCAATCTCATTCACTTAATGCAAAATTATGGGAATAGTTTATTATTTGGGTTCTTTATTGAAGAACATCGGGGTAAATAATGGCTATCCATATGAGTTTTGCAAAATAATACAATCATTTCTCAAATAAACACTTTTCTAACTAATAATCTATAAGAAAGATAAATCATTGCTGTGGAAAACCAAAACAATTTAAATTTTGTATATTCTTTACCATCTTCTAGGGTATCATTGGACACAGTTTAAAATGTATAGTGTGCCCTTCTAATGTCAATATTTTAGGAAAGCTTCCGAAAAGTGCTAAAATAAACTCAAATCATCTACACAATACTTTGCAAGAAAAGGTTTGATCGTATATACTAATTTTATGATACATTATCTTTGGAACTAAAGAGGTTTACAAATGAATTTTGAAATTTGGGTCCCGTTGTTTAATGCATCACCTTATCTTCAGTTTTCTCAACTATTTTGAATGATACATAATAAGTAGTTGACACAATTTCTGAGATGTCATAGATACATGTGCAATAATTAGTTTTATATCCTCTCTTCTTCATCTTTAGATCTTTCCTCTCTGTAAGTCCCGTCAGCAAAAGCTTACAACATTGAAACAGATCCTAGTTTGTGGGTTCAAAATATTGTGTGTTTGTGTATGTGTGTGTGTTAAAGAAATGTTAAAAAAATTAAGCATGCCTTCTCCTTCATAAAAATAAATACTATTCTTATTGCTACCATGGATATTAGTAATTCTTTATTGAACCAAGCTTGCTTTGATCTCACTTAATTCTTATAGTCACTTAACATTGGAACTCTTATTATTCCAGTTTGGATAACAAGATGAGACAAGTTGGTAAGTTTCAACAGTTACTAAAGTGCAAAACTATACAGAATGTAGTATATCCTTTTGATTTACCCCCGAAAAGCAAATTAAAATACAAAATAACACAAAAAAGCACAAAATATCAATGATAGTACAGTAAACTAAAATAGATAAGCAGAAAAATTTGAAGATAACCTCTCCACAAATAAAGAATAAAGGATTAATGTATCAAAATATTCAAGAAAAGCATTAAGGACCTATCTAAATAACCAACAACTTCACATGGAGAAAAGAAAGAAGAAACAAAACACTGAAATAAATAATTTTAAAAATCTTTAAAGTTTAGAAATTTTCTTTTTTCTTCTTTTTTTTTTTTTTGGCTACAGAATCTCCCTCTGTTGCCCAGGCTGAAGTGTAATGGTGCAATCACAGCCCACTGCAGCCTCGACTTCCTGGGCTCAATCGATCCTCCCACCTCAGCCTTGCAGGTAGCTGGGACCACAGGTGCACACCCCCTTGCCCAGCTAATATTTTTATTTTTGATTTAGTATATACACATTATCCCTTTTTCCCTGGCTGATCTCAAACCTCTGGGCTTAAACGATCCTCCTGACTTGGCTGGAATTATAGGCATGAGCCACTACCTCAGGCCTTGAATTTTCAAAGAAAAAAGAAATCTCATGGAAAAACATGTTTAATTAGTGAAAGGAGGCCAATCAATACTCAGAAATTGAAGATAACCTCTTTTTATTAATTATTATGAGAGAAAATCACAAAAAAATAGAAAAACATTTTGACTGATTTTTATGCTTTCCAAATACATCACTGGTACATGATCACTACAAACATTTTAGTGTGTATTTCTAAAACTTATTTCTACTTTTAGACACATGCAAAGATTTATAGAATTGTGGTCAATTGTACACAAATTTCCACTTTATAATCTGCTTTTAAAATTTAAAATATAAGGATATCTCTCTATCAATATATAATATATTATAAGGATAATATATTATAAGGATATCTCTATATCAAATAATTACCAATACACAATTAATGGTAAAGTCTAAGTAGTGCTCTGTTGTATATGAATCATTAACCAATCTCCTATTGAATGACAGCATTGCAATTTTAAGTTTTTAATTGTGGTAAAATACACGTAACAGAATTTACCATTTTAAACACTTTTTAGTTTATTGTTCAATGATGTTACGTATATTTAAATTGCTGTGCAACCCATTTTCAGAACTTTTTTATCTTGCAAACTGAAACTCTATACCCTTCAAACAACCGTCCTTTAACCACTCCTCCCAGCCCCTGGAAGCTACCATTATGCTTTCTGTTTCTACGAATTTGACTATTCTAGGTATCTTATATAAGTGAAATCATAACAGTATTTGTCTTTTGGTGACTGACTTGTTTCACTTACTGTATTACCTTCAAGTTTCATCAGTTTCATGGCATGAGTCGGAACATGTTTCTTCTTAATGCTGAATAATATTATATTGTATGTCTTAATTTTGTTTATTCATTCATCCATTGAGGGATATTTGGGTTACTTCCATATTTTGACTATTGCTAATAATGGTGTTATGCACATAGGTGTACAAATATCTTTTTGAGATTCCCATTTCAATTCTTTTGGATACATACACAGAAAAGGATATTGCTAGATCATATGGGAATTCTATATTTAATGTTCTGGGGAAGTGCCATGCTGTTTTCCATAGTGACTGTATCATTTTACATTCCCACTAACAGTGAGCAAATGCCCCAATTTTTCCACATTCTTTCTTGCTAACACTTATTTTCTGCTTTTTTTTTTTTTGAAAGTATTCTAATAGGTATGAGGTAATATTTCAGTGATTTTTTTCAAATAAAAACCTTGTATTTTAGGTTCAGAGGTACAAGTGCAGGTTTGTTACATAGGTAAACTCCTATCATGGGTATTTGTTGTACAGATTCTTCCAACACCCTGGCACTAAGCCTAGTATCCTATAGTTATTTTTTTCTGCTCCTCTCCCTCCTATGCTCTACCCTCCTCTAGGGCCCAGTGTGTGTTGTTTCTCACTGTGTCCAAATGTTCTCATCATTGTGCCCCCACTTTTATGTTTTATTTTGTGAGACAGAGTCTTGCTTTTATCACTCAGGCCGGAGTGCAGTGGCACGATCTCGGCTCACTGCAACCTCCGTCTCCCAGGTTCAAGCGATTCTCCTGCTTCAGCCTTCTGAGTAGCTGGCCACCATGCCTGTCTAATTTTTGTATTTTTTGGTGGAGACAGTGTTTCACCATGTTGCTCAGGCTGGTCTCGAACTGGAGACCTCAGGTGATCTGCCTGCCACGGCTTCCGAGAGTGCTGGGATTCTGTTCCTGCATTCGTTTGCTAAGAATAATGGCCTCCAGTTTCATCCATGTCCCTGCAAAGGTGATGACCTTGTTCTTTCTTATGGCTGCATAGTATTCCATGGTGTATATGTACCACATTTTCTTTATCCCAGTCTACCATCAGTGCGTATTTAGTTTGATTTCATATCTTTGCTATTGTGAATAGTGCTACAGTGAATGTATGTGTGCATATGTCTCTATGATAGAGCAATGTATATTCCTTTGAGTATATAGTCAGTAATGTGATTGCTGGGTCCAATGGCAGTTCTGTTTTTAGTTGTTTGAGGAATCGCCACACTGCTTTCCACAATGGTTGAACTAATTTACACTCCCACAAGCAGCTGATAAATGTTCCCTTTTTCCTGCAACCTTGCCAGCATTTGTTATTTTTTGGCTTTTTAAGAATAGTCATTCTGACTGGTATCAGATGGTATCTCATTTTGATTTTCATTGACATTTTTCTAATGATCAATGATATTGAGATTTGTTTCATATGCTTGTTGGCCACATGTATGTCTTCTTTTGAAAAAATATCTGTTCATGTTCTTCGCCCACTTTTTAATGGGGTTGTTTGTTTTTTTCTGCTAAATTTGCTTAAGTTTCTTATAGATGCTGTATATTAGACCTTTGTCAGATGCAGAGTTTGCAAATACTTTCTCTCATTCTGTAGGTTGAATCTTTATTGTTACTTTCTTTGTGTTTGCAGGAGCTCTTTAGTTTAATTAGATCCCATTTGTCAATTTTTGCCTTTATTGCAATTGCTTTTGGCATCTTTGTTATAAAATCTTTGCCAGGTACTGTGTTCAGAATGGTATTGCTTAGGTAGTCTTCCAGGGCTTTTATAGTTTTGGGTTTTACATGTAAGTCTCTTATCCATCTTGAGTTGATTTTTGTATAAAGTATAAGGAAGGGGTTCAGTTTAAATCTGCTGCATATGGCTAGCCAGTTATCCCAGCAGCACTTATTGAATAGAAATTCTTTCCCCATTGCGTGTTTTTGTCAGGTTTGTTAAAGATCAGATGATCATAGGTATGCAGACTTATTTCTTGGTTTTCCAGAAATATTCCATTGGTCTCTGTGTCTGTTTTTGTACCAGTGCCATGTTGTTTTGGTTACTGTAGCTTTGTAGCATAGTTTGAAGTCAGGTAGCATGATGCCTCCTGCTTTGTTCTTTTTGCTTATGATTGCCTTGGCTATTCAGACTCTTTTCTGGTTCCATATGAATTTTGAAATAGTTTTTTCTAGTTCTGTGAAGAATGACACTGTTAGTTTAATAGGAATAGCATTAAATTGCTTTGGTCAGTATGGCCATTTTGATGATATTGGTTCTACCTATTCATGAGCATAGAATGCTTTTCCATTTGTTTGTGTTATCTCTAATTTATTTGAGCAGTGTTTTGTCCTTCTCATTGTAGTGGTCTTTCACCTCCTGATTAGCTGTATTCCTAGGTATTTTACTCTTTTTGTGGCAATTGTGAATGGGATTACATTCCTGATTTGGCTCTCAGTTTGGCTGTTGTTGGTGTATAGAAATGCTAGTGACTTTTGTAAATTGATTTTTTATCCTGAAATTTTGCTGAAGTTGTTTATCAGTTTAAGGAGTTTTGGAGCTAAAACTATGGGGTTTTCTAGATATACAACCATGTCATCTCTAAACAGGTGATAGTTTGATTTCCTCTCTTCCTATTTGGATGTACTTTATTTCTTTCTCTCATTGTAGTTTTGATTTATATTTCTGTATATTTATATTTGATTAATGATGTTAAGCATCTTTTCATGTGCTTGTTGACCATTTGAATATCATCTTTGGAGAGATTTATACTCAAATCCTATGCCCATTTTTAACATTAAATTAATTGTGGTGTTATTAAATTTTAGGTGTTTCTTATATATTTTAATGTTAACCTATTATCCAATTTATAATTTTTAAATATTTTTTCCAATAAATGGGTTGGCTTATCACTGTGTTGATTATGCACTTCGATGTATGAAAGTTTTAAATTTGTATATAATGAAACTTATTTACTTTTACTTACTTTTGTTGCCTGTGCTTTTGATGTCATGTCCAATAAATCTTTGCCAAATCCAATATCATGAAGCTTTTGCCCTATGTTTTCTTGTAAGATTTTTATAGTTTTCAATCTCACAGTTAGTTCTTTGATTCATTTTGAGTTATTTTTTGTATATGGTATAAGGTAAGAGCCCAACTCCATACTTTTGTATACAGATATTCAGTTTCACAACATCGTGTTTTGAAAAGACTGTCCTTTTCCCATGGAATGGTCTTGGCATCCCTTATGGAAAATCATTTGACCATAAATGTGAGAGTTTATTTCTGGATTTCCTATTTTATTTCATTGGTCTATATGGCGTGATTTCTATATGACATAATTTCCCAACAATTATAAATTTAATTTCAAGAGCCATAGAGTCTATGTAACTTTGTTGCACTTGGTCAGTTAGTTTCTTGAATAAATACCCAGACATATAATTACTGGATAAAAAGAATGCATGCTTTTACCATTTTTTTCGGATACCCTCCAAATAATTGTAAAAAGTTATTTTTAAAGGCTTATTATCACTGAATATGAACTATTAAACTTGTAAATATCCTCAATTTTTAAAATAACATATATTATTCCTTATTTTTAATTTGCAGTTTAAAAGTTTAAACTTAAATTTTTAACTACTTTCCACAGTGGCTGAGCTAATTTAGATTCCCGCCAAGAGCATGTAAGTGTTCCTTTTTCTCTGCAGCCTCACCAACATCTGCTATTTTTTGATATTTTAATGACAGCCATTCTGACTGGTGTGACATAATTTTCATTGTGGTTTTTATTTGCATCTTTTGATAATTAGTGATGTGGAGCGTTTTTTCATATGTTTGTTGGTATTTGTATGTCTTCTTTTGAGAAGTGTCTGTTCATGTCCTTTGCCCACTTTTTAATGGGGGTAATTTGTATTTGCTTGTTGAGTGGTTTAAGTTTCTTATAGGTTCTGGATTCAAAGTCTAATGACTTTTTTTAGGATACATAGTCTGCAAAGATATTCTCTAATCCTGTAAGTTGTCTGTTTACTCTTGACAGTTTCTTTTGCTGTGCAGAAGCTCTTTAGTTTAATTAGGTCCCACTTTTCAATTTTTGTTTTTGTTGCAAATGCTTTTGGGGACTTAGTCATAAATTATTTGCCAAGGTCAATATTGTGTAGGATATTTCTAGGCTTTTTTCTGGGATTCCTGTACTTCGAGGTCTTACATTTAAGTCTTTAATCCACCTTGAGTTAATCTTTATATATGGTGAAAGGTAGAGATCCAGTTTCCTCCTTCTGCATATGGATAGCCAGTTATCACAGCACCATTTATAGAATATAGCTTTTCATTTCAAGTAATACACGTTCAACATGTACAACTTGAAAGTTAAAAATCTATATTTTATATAGTACACTCCTTTAGAGATAACACCATTAATGTCTTCAGCAGTATTCTAAAATCATCTTATGATTAAACATATACAGATACACCTACCTATATAATTTAAAAAAATGCTAAAATGTATTTCTGAATATGATATTTTTACTAAAAATGTATACATATATTCATGTCAACAGATATTTTTATGAATAATTCTTTGACAGAATATACCGAAATCTACTTAAATAATTTTCTGTTTTTAAGTAATTTTCAAGAAAAAAATCCTGCTTTACAATAAACTACTCCTGATGTTTTTATTTTATTAATCAGAAATTACAAAAGTAGTTAAACAAGTAACATTAAAAAATGGCATTATGCTTCTGCATCATCTGATGTTGGCTAGTACATTTAAATAGGTTTTATTTATCATGTTTAAAGAGAAATTATCCTATTTATAGCTCCTCAGAGAGGACCAAGAATTGGTATTGAATTTTTCAAATTACCTTTTGCTTTAATAGGGATGGTCAAATGACTTTTTCTTGCATGAACTATTAATGTGGTAAATTATATTCATAGGTACCTAATATTGAACTATATTTTCAGTGCTGTAATTTAAATGTTGTGCTGTTATGAAATTAATTTGGGGCATTTTTGAAGAATTTTTTATCTGTAATTTCTTTGTTTGCACTTTGTTAGTTTATTTTTAACCTGTGTTCATCTTGATTCTTTTAAGGGGTTTTAGAAAAATTCCATTTTCTAAACTCTTGGTGAATTTAAATATATTTTTAATTATAAAAATTTATTGATAACATAAATATTTATAAATATTCTTGTTTCTATCAGTCCTGCTTATTTCAGTTTATCAGTTTCATAATTTATAATGTTATTTTGTAATAATTTTATTTATTAAGTGTAGCGAAATTTTTTATTGGCCCAAAACAGGCTTAGATTTATTAAACAACAAATAATTTGTTATTTGTTTAATAAGTCATTATTAGAGACTTCACCATTATATTTCTCATTGTTGTTTTTCATATTCTAAGTCTTGCAGTGAAGGCTTTTTTATTTTGTAAAAAATAAAAATTTAAGAGAATAAACTTTTCTCACCATGTTGTCTTAAAATATCCTTGATTTTTTTTTCTTTTTTTTGAGACAAGATTTTACTCTGTCACCCATGCTGTAGTGCAGTGGTGCAATCATGGCTCACTGCAGCCTGAAATTTCTGGGCTCAAGCCATCCTCCCACCTCAGCCTCTCTAATGGCTGCGACTACAGATGCATACCATCAAGTCTGGCAAATTTTTTTTTGTATTTTTTTTGTAGAGACGAGGTTTCACCAGATTTGAACTCCTGGGCTCAAGCCATTTGCCTACCTCAGCCTTTAGGACAATCTGCCAGAAATTACAGCAATCCCTACTAATTTTTTCTAAACACATATACAATCTGAAATGCATGCAAGGCATCAGCAAAATGATTTGAGTTGGCTTTTGCCTCTTTGTCTCTACCTGTTTCTCTGCCAGTGTGAGACCAAGATGTCTGTATTAGGTTGTTTCCTCATTGCTATAAAGAATGACCTGACACTAGGTAATTTATAAAGAAAAGAGATTTAATTGGCTCACAGTTCCATACTCTGGACAGGAAGCAAAGCTGGAGAGACCCCAGGAAACTTACAATCATGGTGGAAGGCAAATAGGAAGGAAGCACATCTTACATGGCCAGAGCAGGAGATAGAGAGCATGGGGAGAGGTGTTACACACTTTTAAACAACCAGATCTCATGAGAACTCGCTACCACAAGAACAGTAAGGAGAAAATCTGCCTCCATGATCCAGACACCTCCCACCAAGCCACTCCTCCAACACTGGGAATTGCAATTTGACATGAGATTTGGGTGGAGATACAAATCAAAATCATATCATTTCACCCCAGTCCATCCCAAATCTCATGTCCTTCTCACATTTCAAAATGTGATCGTGCCTTCCAAACAGTTCCTCAAAGTCTTAATTCATTCCAGCATTAACTCAAAAGCCCACAGTCCGAAGTCTCATCTAAGACAAGGCAAGTATCTTCTACCTATGAGCCTGTAAAATTAAAAAACGAAAAACAAAATAAAACAAGTTAGTTACTTCCAAGATACAGTGGGACATACAGGCATTGGGTAAATACACCCATTTCAAAAGGGAAAAATTAGCCAAAACAAAGGAGCTACAGGCCCCATGCAAGTTCAATACCCAGATGTCAGTCATTAAATCTCAAGGCTACAAAACAATCTCCTTTGACTCCATGTCTCATATCCAGGCCACACTGATGAAAGGGGTAGGCTTGCAAGGCCTTGGGCATCTCTGCCTTTTTGGCAATGCATAGTACAGCCTTTTTGGCTGCTTTTACCAGCTTGCTTTGAGAGTCTGCAGCTTTTCCAGGTACATGGTGCAAGCTGTCAGTGGATCAACCATTCTGGGGTCTGAAGGATGGTGGCAGTGCTCCAGTGGAAAGTCTGTATTTGGGCTCCAACCCCACATTTTCCCTCTGCACTGCCCTAGTAGAGGTTCTCCATGAGGGTTCCAGTCCTGCACCAGATTTCCACCTGGACATCCAAGTGTTTCCATACATCCTCTGAAATCCAGGGGGAGGCTACCAAGCCTCTACCATTGCCCTCTGTGCACCTGCAGGCTTCACAACACATGGAAGCTGCCAAGGATTATGGCTTGCAGCCTCTGGAGCAGCAGCCTGAAATATATCTGTGGCCCTTTTAGCCACGGCTAGAGATAGAGTGACTGGGATGCAGGGAGCAGTGTCTTGAGGTTGCACAGGACAGCAGGGCTCTGGGCCCAGCCCTGGAAACTATTCTTCCCTCCTAGGCTTCTGTGCTTGTGATGGGAGGGGCTGTCATAAAGATCTCTGAAATGTCTTCGAGGCATCTGTGCTACTAACATTCAGCTCCTCTTTCCTTAAGCAAATTTCTGCAGCTGGCTTGAATTCCTCCCTAGAAAATGGGTTTTTCTTTTTTACCACATGGCCAGGCTGCAAATTTTTCAAACATTTATAGTCTACTTCCCTTTTAAATATAAGTTTCACTTCCAGGTTATTTCTTTGTTCATGATTATAAGTATAGGCTGCTAGAAGCAGCCAGGACACATCTTGAATGTCTTTCTACTTAAAAATGTATTCCACCAGATGCCCTAAATCATTACTTTCAAGTTCAAAGTTCCACAGATCTCTAGAGCAGGAGCACAATGACTCCAACCTTTTTGCCAATGCATAACAAAAGTAATCTTTGTTTCAGTTTCAATAAGTTTCTCATCTCCATCTGAGACCACCTTGGCCTGGACTTCGTTGCCCATATCACAATCAGCATTTTGGTCACAACAATTTAACAAGTCTCTAGGAAGTTCCAAACTTGGCCTCATCTTTTTTTTCTTCTTCTGAGCCCTCCAAACTGTTCCAATCTTCTACCGTTACCCAGTTGCAAAGTTGCTTCCACACTTACAGGTATCCATATAGCAATGCCCCACTCCTGGTGCCGATGTTCTTATTAGTTCATTCTTACATTCCTATAAAGCAATTACCTAAGACTGGGTAATTTATACAGAAAATAGGTTTAATTGGCTCATGGTTCCACAGTCTGTACAGGAAGCATGGCTGGGGAGGCCTCAGAAAACTTACAATCATGGCAGAAAGTGAAAGGAAAACAGGCATCTCCTATGTGGCTGAAACAAGAGGAAGAGAGAGAAGTGGGAGGTGCTACACACTTTTAACCAACCAGATCTTTTGAGAACTCACTCACTATCACTAGAACAGCAAGGGGAAAATCCACTCCATGATCCAATCACCTCCCACCAGGTCTCTCCTCCAACACTGGGGATTATAATTTAACATGGGATTTGGGCGAGGACCCAAATCTAAACTCTACCAATGTCCTTCTTCATCTCCTCTGGGCTGTGGATCAGATACCCTGTGGTTAGCTACCTGGCCACAGATCTTCCTAAAACACAGAATAATTTTCAGATTTAGATTTGCACTCTAAATCTAGTATTACTGAAAGAAACATTATATGCACATATTAGAGCCAATATGGTAGCCATAACTTTTACAATGAAGAGACTGATACAGCCTCAACAGGAGCACCAGCTATACATAAATGGGAGTTTTTCATTTTTCAAGGGACAATTGGTTTTTAAATGGCTTTTAGCTTTAGATAAAAGCCTAAAACCTTTCAAGGACTTAAAATCCAGTGAGAATAAAAACATTTTGGCAAAAAACATTTTTATATAGTAATCGAGACCACATGACATATTTATTATTTTCCCACCTGTTAATCTCAACTTGAAAATCTGTATGGGTAGCTTTAGGGTTTAGCTTCTCATGGTGAATGAATGGTGTGATAAGTCATTTGTCAGTGTCCCCCACAGAGAATACCCACTGGCATTGTGTGAATATTTTGTCTGTGAAACCCCTTGAATGTCTTGATGTGGTTGTAATGGTCTACTGCTTTTCAAAGCAGTTCTATTTATAGAAATCTAAGGCATCACTGAGGAAGAACAGTGTGAAGCTTGTAAGAGGGTCTATGGTCCGCCGCAGACATGTTTAGTAAATCTTGCCTTGATTTAAGAATTGACATATCTTGGCTTCCAGAAATGCCAAAAGTTTCACCTTCAACTCTACAGCATAAATGAGCACATATTAATTTAGTAATTGGATATAGCATATTGCATATGTTTCCTCCTTAATAACATTAGAAATAAGGACAGGGACTTTTAAGACTGTTGAATTGTTCTGAGGCTGACACAGATTACAGAGTTTAGATTTATTAAGAATTCCCAAGTTTGAATTATTTTTATTGCACTCTAGACACAATTAACTAACTCTAGGGTGATCTTTAATATAAATGATAATTTCTACTGTATAAGAAAAGAATGGAGCTAGTTCTGGTGAATGCAAGTATTCTTAATGTCATGTTTATTTAAAGATAATATTTAATTAGAAATTATATTAATAAAACTATGTTTCTAATTTCTTTGTCATAGTGCTGTGTTTTCTGAGTTTCATGCAGTGATTAGATAAGTCTAACAATTAATTTAGTGGCCACCATCCTTTAAGTACATGTTTTTAAAACATGTTTTTTTAAGAGGTCCAGATAATGTCTCTCTTATTTAAGATATATTTTCCCTCAATTAACCTTCAGTGTAAAATGCTTGTTAATTGGAGAATGCCACTATTGGTAAAATGATGTATAAAATAACTCATTCTGAAAAGGTCAATCATTTTCAGAAACAAAATTATGCTATTCTTCAATTTGAAAAATTTAGAGATAGACTTTCAGGGCCAGATATTTTAGGACCAAAAGAAACTGTCAAGAACAGTAATGATTTCAAATATTATATTTTCTTAATTTGGAAACTTAGATGATCTTAATTCGCATTAAGTAAATTATTTCCATCTTGAAGTTGATTCACTTTAAAATATATATATATATACATTATTAATCATTAAGTCTTTTAATAATTTTAACACAATAAAACACAGAATTCATATTTTCAATTTAGTTCATATTGAATGTGCTTTCTATGACTCAAGACCTTTCTAGAAAAATTCTTGTGCTTAGATCTGCCCTTGATTTGTGATCTCTGAATTCCCTTAGCCCTCAAGTAATAGTCCTACTTAAAAAGGATAGGAGGTATATTGTAACTCCAGGGAACATTAGGTAATATTTGTAGGCATTTTAGGATGTCATAACTTGAGTAGATTGTTGTTACTGGTATCTAGTGAATAGTGACCAGAGATGCTGCTAAATACGCTATAATGTACAGAACATCCCTCACAAAAATAATTTCCTGGTCTAAAATGCCAGTAGTTCCCAGATGTAAAAATCTTGCACTAATATATCTGTTTACACATGAAAAATATAACTTTAAGCACTGAACGCAGAATTTCCTTTGAAAGCAAATCAAACTGCTTTGACATCATTGGCGAAGGCTATTTCAAGAAAGAGTGTTTCATTTAAGTGTTGCATTTAGTCAAGTGACTTATTACGTTAACAAGTCAATCAACCACAAGTCTCAAATCAATAATAAAATAAGCTTCATTAGCTCCAACATTTTCTCCAAGGAACAGTTTCCTGAATCATACCAAGTAGAAGTGATGTCATATGTGTGCAGGTCTTTGAGGCAAAAACAGAATACTGGTAATACACAATTTTGTTATGTGATGGAAATATTGAACATATTGTTTCTTTATTACTCAAGCACCCTTTTACTCTGAAATTTATCCATGGGTTTTTTTGTTGTTGTTGCTGTTGTTGTTGTTTTTGAGATGGAGCCTTGCTCTGTTGCCCAGGCTGGAGTGCAGTGGCGCCATGTCGGCTCACTGCCGCCTCCCTGTTTCAAGGGATTATCTTGCCTCAGCCATTACAGGTGTGTGCCACCATGCCCGGCTAATTTTTTATATTTTTAGTAGAGACAGGGTTTCACCATGTTAGCCAGGATGGTTTCAATCTCCTGACCTCGTGATCCGCCCGCCTCGGCCTCCCAAAGTGCTGGGAGCACAGGCGTAAGCCACCACGCCCAGCCCATGGCTTTTATATATTGGTTATGTTCACAAAAACCAGCTATAATATTAAGTCAAGAAATAATGCTTAATTCAGCAATATTTTCATAAATATGGATTTCTGAAACAATGAATGATTTGGGTTATTTAAATAATGCCTCCTTTTTGTAGGATTATATAATTATACATCTGTATGCATCATGTGAGATGTATGTAGTTGTAAAATTATGGTTCTATGTTTAAATAAAAAATAGTCAAACTCAAAGACTTACTCATGACTCAAATGAAAAGGTAATATTGAATAAAAATTTAACAAATTACAGCTCAGACATATCATCTATATTATGATTAACTTAATGAAAATTTGACCTAAAAGAAGAGTGTACACAAGGATTGAATTCTTATGCAGCCTAAGAAGACTTGCATTATGAGAATTTTGCTGACATTTCTGTTGACAGACAAATGGCTTCCAGCCTTACAAATTTGTTCTCTGTCAAAAGTTGCAAGAGCCAAAGGAATAATTTACCACACTCATACTCTACACTTTCAAAACTCAGTCTATCACACTCCTTTTTCATGTAGATTTTTAGTATGATTTTAATCTAAATTTTAAAATATATAAATTATTCCCTTTAGAAAGACAGAACTCCTTGAAAATTAGATATATGTCATAATTATTTGTTTTTTCATTTCTAATACCATTCTAATTCAATAGTAGACACTCAGTAAACATCTTGTCATGGAGAAACACATTCTTGCCTTTCCTAGTCCATTTTATGATCAATGATTAAGTCAATTGCTTGGTTAAAAAATTATATCTAATCTATACACACCCACCCACACCCACACCCCCACCAAAACACATATGTTCATTATACATACATATATTGTATATATATATATATATAGAGAGAGAGAGAGAGAGAGAGAGGTGTGTGTGTGTGTGTGTGTGTGTGTGTGTGTGTGTGTGTGCACGCATGTAGATAGATAGATATACATGCATCTATATATATACAGTGAAAGGTCTGGTAACCCTCAGCCTAGCAGCCTTCTACCTATCTGTCTTCTATCATTAGGTTTAGTTTTTATATGAATGATACCATCCTTCCCTTTATATGGAGATACAGTTATTCTTGGAAGCAGCTGAGCATTCTCCATTGTCCCCCTGCTGGAGACCAGTTTGGTCTCAGCCCACACAAACTCTGTGTCAGAGGGAGGATGCTTAGAAGTTACAGCTCCCACACTTTTCTTTATTCGGAGGGAGTTCATTGCCTAACTTAGTTCTGCAGGTTAGTCATTGTCCATATGACTTAATTTAGTGTAAAAATCAACCTGGGCAGGACTGAATCTACCTCCAGCACTGAAGGGGACTTATATTCCTACTTGTGTTCCCCCACATGCTCAGGAGCAACTGATCTGGGCCAGCCTTCGATGGGCCATCCTAGTGACTAAGGGTGTGAGCTCTGGAGTCTAGCTGCCTGTGTTCTAACACTGGTTTCACCAAATATTAGCTGCATATTCTTTAAACATTTATATAAAAGTTCATGCGTCAGTTTCCTCATCTGTAAAATGAAAATAGTAATAGTATGTATCACATATGTTTGAAAAAATAGACTAATATCTATTCTATTTTTGGAGCGGTGACTGTCATAGAGTAAGGATTAAATAGATGTTAGTTGTTGCTTGTATTATGATGATTGCTATCAATTCTGATTACCTAGTCTGTCACAAGCAGTTGACAGGTTGCTCTTCCTCTGTCAGCTGTACATCAGCTGAGCCCTACAGTAGTAATCTGAATAGATCCAGCAAGGCATCTTTGGGGTTCTAGCTCCTGTGTTGAGGTATAGAGCATACATCTCCCAGTCCACTTGTCCTTTGAAACAAGCTCTCATGTTCCTGTTGCAGAAGTGAAGTACTTACCTACTCAGAGTGGGCAGTCTGTTTTGCCTCCCCTCTAATTGGACAACATCACCTCCTGAAATAAAGCCTCTGATCTAAATTTGAAGTAAAAGTAATGATCCCTAGAAATAAGTTTTAATTCCCTCATAGAAGTTTCCAAGTCTAAATGTTTTAATCTCCTACTAATACCTACTTCAATTTCACCATTACCTGTATTAAATATATTACATTTTATAAACTTGAGCTGTAGATACATGTGTAAAGTGAAGCCCTAAATTTTTAAATAAGTAGGCCAAAGTCATATTCATAGCTGGCATCTGGACGGTTCTAGAACTCTAGAATTTCACCACACTGTGGCAGGCCACTTCCATTTCCTCTCTTAATTTCTAGTTATATCAATCTTTCTTTGGAGATTTTTCTTTACAGTAATGGCCCATTATAGAAAAGTTAGATGTGAACATTTTTATTGAAAAAATGTTTTAAAAACGACTATATTTTCATAAGCAGTAACTTGTGGAAAGTAAAATTTGCGCAAGACAATCAAATAAATGTGTACGTGTATGTGACTGTGTGTGTGCATGTGTACACATGTATATGAGAAATCAGTAATTTTTCCTTATTTCTGTTTTTAAACTATTATTTTGAAGTTTAGGGGTACATGTGCATATTTGTTATACAGATGAATCTGTGACATGGGGGTTTGTTGTACAGATCATTTTGTCACCCAGGCATTAAGCCTAGTACCCATTTGGTATTCTTCCTGAACCTCCACCTCCTGCCAACCTCCACCCTCAGGTAGGCCCCAGTGTCTGTTGTTCTCCTCTATGTGCCCATGTGTTCTCATCATTTAGCTCCCACCTATAAGTAAGGACATAAATATTTGGTTTTCCGTTCCTGAGTTAGTTTGTTAAGGATAATGGCCTCCAGCTCCATCAATGTTCCTGCAAAGGACCTAATCTCATGCTTTTTTATGGCTGCATAGTATTCTATGGTCTATATGTGCCACATTTTCTTTATCCAGTCTGCCATTAATGGATATTTAGGTTGATTCCAGGTCTTTGCTCTTGTGAATAGTGCTGCAATGAACATATGTGTACATGTGTCTTTATGACAGAATGATTTATATTCCTTTGGGTATATGACCAGTAATGGGATTGCTGGGTCAAATGGAAGTTCTATTTTTAGCTCTTTGAGGAACCAACACACTGCTTTGCACAATGATTGAATTAATTTACACTCCCACCAACAGTGTTATAAGCATTCTCTTTTCTCCACAACCTCACCAGCACCTGTCATTTTTTGACTTTTGAATAATAGCCATTTTTACTGATGTGAGATGGTACCTTACTGTGGTTTTGTTGGCATTTCTCTAATAATCAGTGATGTTGAGCTTGTTTTCATATGATTGTGGCTGCATGTATGTCTGCTTTTGAAAAGTGTCTATTTATCTCCTTTGCCCATTTTTTAATGGGGTTGTTTTTTTCTCATTAATTTGTTTAAGTTTCTTATAGATGCTGGATATTAGACATTTGTCAGATGAATAGTTTTTGAAATTTTTCTCTCATCCTGAAGGTGGTCTCTTTACTCTTGACAGTTTCTTTTGCTGTGAAGAAGCTCTGTATTTTAATAAGATCCCACTTGTCAATTTTTGCTTTTGTCACAATTGCTTCTGGCATTTTATTCATGAAATCTTTGCCCGTTTCATGTCCAGAATTGTATTCCCTAGGTTATCCTCCAGGGTTTTTATAGTTTTGGGTTTTATATTTAAGTCTATGCGTGTTTATAATGGACTATTTATTGCTCTAATTCAGTGAGTATGCAATTAATCAGACTGTCAGCATCTAAAGTAATTGATGCCCTTGTTTGGAGATGAAGAAAAAAAATGATTGAATCTATGATGTTCTTAATATCATTTTACTGGCAGTTAAGCCTGGATCATAACACAGTGAAAGGGTGATAGTGCCAATGTGATAGGACACAAATGATGAAAAGACCTGAGCAGGCCTGCTAACACACCAGCAATGGGAGTCATTAAATAAATTGAAAGCCTGTTTTCTCCTTTGAGTAAAAAGTTGGTAACAAAAAACACAAAATAGCTACAAACTGGCTTAGATAAATATTGCTGACTCTATTAGGAGAAAACTGAAGATGTGTTAAATAAATGCAAAAATATTGGTATATCTGTCAATACAAATATTGATATGAAGATACATACATTTAATAGTCAAAACAACCTTGGGAATAATATACTATAATCCTATTATCTCCCATTTACAAATAAGGAAATTGAGTGAGGAATGGTTAACTTCATTTTTTATATCAAGCAACAGAGAGACAGGGGTCTGTGTTTTGATCACTGATGACAGTCCATGCCCAACAAATATTTTTCAGAGGGAGAAATAGCTACTAATCATGTACTAGAATGCAAACCTATTTCCTTTTTACTTAAATATTCATTTTTTCTGATACACTATTTTGCTTTCCTTTGAAAAAATGTACCAGTGGAGCAGAAAGAGAAAAAATATTGATCAATAATGTCATTTAAGGCTTCGTGGGTTAGCAGATGAAAAATACCTGTTGGGCTCTTTCAGTGAAACTTTTCTGGATAGTACTTCACAGAGGACCATGCACAAATAGGCACTATCGTATGATGATAATGAATATAGTTATCTAGTGAGTAATTATAAAACTTTTTTTTGTGAAAGATATTATAAGCTACACCTTGTAGAAGACCAAAATTAATCAACAATGGCAATATGATGACACTTACCAAAATATAATTTCTGGATATGTCAGGACAATATTCAGAAAATAATGAATAATATGACTAGCTTGTTAAATGTATTTTTTATCAGTTGCATAAACATAACTTCTATTGGCAATGTTGCAGCACTAATCATTTTATAGGTCTTTCAATCATTATTTAATCAACTCTCAAAATAGTTGTACTGTATAAATTTGTGTTACAATCTTCTTTCTTATAGAAGATAAACATGAGATGTAAAGTGTAATGGGTACGCCAGCATGGTTCAGATACAAAAATAAGATTAGAATGTAAAATACTTACTCTAACCAATCGACCCCATCTAATGGACTGCTAATTGAATGTGTGTATGTAATCAGAAAAGATATTTAGTTTAAAATCATTTACAAAATATTCCAGACCTTTCTATAATGAAGTCAGAAACTTGGATTTATAATGATATCTGAAATTAATTTATCATAATTTAAAATGAAGCAACATTCTTCTGGGTATCATCTTCCATCCTTCTGATTCCCCTGTGTTGCAGAAAGGAAAATATAGCTATAGAGAAATGATCAAAAAACTTATCAATTCATCAAGTCAATAATTTTTTCCATGTTTCTTTTACTCCCTGTCTGTATGAGTATAATTTTGTTACATGGTTGTACTGATTTAGTACAATTTTGCTTTCCAATTTTGACATTTATCGTAAAAACTATTTTCATATTATAGGCAGGTGCAAATATTGTATTGATTGATAAACACTGAAGACAAACATTGATAACATTGAAGACAAACAATAATTATAAATGCTTGAACCAAGAGTTACTACTTGGTAATGGAATTTCTAACAGGAATTGACAGTATTGGCTGTAATATAAAAAAACTCATGGTATGTAAAAAACATGATGTTACTGAACATTGAATTCTATTTATAGCTCTATTTGTGAGATATTGAAAAGGCTGTTAAGCTTAACTATAGTTTGTTTGGCTGTATGTTTATATAGGTGATGTTTATACTACATACATTGAGAAGTTAAATATACTATTAGTATATTATTGAATAAAGTTAAATGAAATATAATCAGAGTAAGTATTGTTTCATGAGAAGTACTATTAGTTTAGTAAAATGTATTCCTTTCTGTGGATGATGTTAAAATATATATATATATATATTTATACTTATACCTGAAAGCCACTAAACTAAAAGTCACTTTCTATTATTTTATCTAGTTCACTAAATAATATTCTGTCAGCTTTGCCCAGTTTCCATTTCAATCTATTTGTGAAGTTATTGATTACAATTATTATGTTCATAGGTTTGGAATTTTGATTTGATACTTGTATACAGATTCTACTTCCGTACGGAAATCCCCCATCTTGAGATCTATTAGTTTTAGCATAATAACAGTTATTTTAAAATCTTTGTCTAAAAACTCCAATATTGAATCATCTATGAGTCTGTTTCTATTATCTGTTTTTTTCCTCTTGCAGTACTTCAACTAAACCAAGCAGCCACCTCTCTCAAGATTCTTTTCTTGTTGTTTTCTCTGCTGTATTTCTTTATTTTCCTCCTTCATTTCTTCCTGGTTCATTGCTATTCATACTGTAGGTTCCACAAAGTTTGGTAATTTATTCATTCTATGGATGTATGAGATCAGTTTACATGAATGGCCATTAAAATATTTTCAAAGACCCTTTTCCCAATATTCTATTGTTGTTATTGGTTTAATTTCCAAATTTCCATCTACCATAACACCAATTGAAATTTGTGGACTATTTGTCATATGTTTCACATTATCATTATCTTCTCATTAATAGCATAGATGATCAATTTATTTTTCTTACATGATAAGTTAGTTCATTGGTTAGGAAAATGAGAGAGAATATTTTCTGTGACTACATAATAATATAATCAGTATCTTTATTAACGTACATATTGGGATTAAAGGTTAGGAGTATGGGCATCAAGATTCCTAAATGCAGCTGAGCACATATAATAAAATTTTATTTTTCTTTAAATTTTTAACGAGTTAAGCAATCAATTATCACTACTATCAGAAATGAGGTACTTTTAAATTATGATAAATTGAAGAGGAAAAAATGGAAGTTCATTTTGAAAAAGATGATTTCAGGTGCTTCATGTTAAAATTGAATTACGTACATAATTGAAATGTGTCTTGAGGAGTAAATTATTTTTAAGCATGTGCTTGTATGGTGTGGGTTTCAAAGTGCATGGGTGTGTGTGTGCAATCGCCTTTGCGAAAATAACTGAGACACTTATTACAGTGAAAGAGATCTGAACTAACTGACTCCAACTTGCTTCTAAACTCCAAGCTGTGCTTGTTCATTCCTGGGCATAGGCCAAACTAACTTTGGGAGGAATTTACTTTATAGTTTAGTTTTGAAACAAAGACAGTCACAACCCTTTTCCAAAAGAAATCCTCTTCCTGCCTGGGGACTAGAATGTCTTTGTAGGACTAACAAGTTAGCTGTAAGATTAGAAATTATGGTGTAGAAGTCATGCAGCTGGAGGCTGCAAGATTCTAAATGTTCCGAATTGCTCCTAGAGATAACATTACTGTTGTATTTTTAAAACCTAAGATCAGTGTTTGAGATATTTTTGCAGACCCTGCACTCAACAGATCAGCTGGCACCACCCAGATGGATAAACTGGCTCATCTGGTTTTGTGGCCCCCACCCAGGAACTTAATGCAAGAGGACAGCTTTGACTTGACTGCCTATGATTTCATCTCCGGCCTGACCCATCAGCACTCCCCACTTTCCAACCCCTTACCCACAAAATTATCCTTAAAAACCCTGATTCTCGAGTTTTCTTGGAGACTGATGTGAGTAACAATAAAACTCCAGTCTCCTGTACATCCAGCTCTGCATGAATTACTCTTTCTCTATCACAATTTCCCTGTCTTGATAAAATGACTCTGTCTAGGCAGCTGAAGGAGAACCTGTTGGGTGGTATTTGTGTGTGTGTGTGTGTGTGTGTGTGTGTGTGTGTGTGTGTGGGCAGACACGATCTGTTAACTATGTTCCTTTACCAGTTAAAGAGTCAACTTAAGAGGTTTAGGAATATTTGGTAAATAAGAGTAGGGAGATGTTTAAATATTGAGAATAAAGAAAACATAGGTGCCACACGGACTTGATGGCAGGGTATAGCAAGAGCAAATGAAAGGTATTGAGAAATTGCTGTGTTTTGTTATATTGTTTTCCTTGGTTTTGCTTGTTACTTTTATTTGTATGTTGGGTTGGTTTGTACTTTATTTGCATGGTGTATATATATTTTTTTGCTCCCAACATCCACCCTTACCTGTCATCTCATTTATACTGCTAATATAAATGATTCCTTGAAGTTTATTAGTTTAACAGGCCTTTAGAGTCCTGGGTTCTAGCCAAAGGAAGAGGAGATAGGTCTAACCTAACCACCTTGCCCTAGAAGGGATACGTATCAAATCTGCTCATAGTCCATTGATAAAGATTAGTTACATTGGTCCCCACCTAGATGAAGGATGTGTTCTGGAAGGCACCAAGGCAGCTGCTTTTTAATGATGTCCCTGAGAGGGCTGTGCACATATATATACCTCCCATTTTCAGTCCACATGTCTTCTTAGAAGCTGTTTCCCACAACTACCCCAAGGGTAGAATCCATGAACTGTAAGTAAAACACCCAGGGAGTTTCATTTCTCTGGACATAGAATGTTATTCAGGTGTGAACAAAAGGTACCACTAGAGCCAATGAGACATTTATTGTTTCTTGAATATTAATATACGTAGGACTGGAGCTATCTTAAACCCAGAATCAGAATGGAAATAACACACTGGGCATTACGTCTGAGAAATGGATCAGAGGAAAGTGGATATCAGTGATACATTGAATTACTGAATCAAGCTGTATCTGACTATGCAATTTTAATTTACACGAGCTAAAACTTTTTTTCATTTTATTTTCATTCAGTTTGAATTAAGATTTCTGTTACTTGAAACTTTAAATTTCTTAACTGACATAACCTTTTAATCTTTTAATTGGGGAATAATATTTTAGAAATAAAATAAAGTATTGAAGGTACTGAAGGCAACATTACTTGTGATAATAGCAATTGACTACTTGATTTATTGAATCATTGGTGGTTGCAAGATTACTTGAGTAATTAATTGACTAATGCATTCACCCATTTTAAAATATTTTGTTGAGCATCTACAATTTGTTACTATGGTGCTAGGTTCAAACTGTTGTAGTACAAAACAGAAAAATCACATATGGTGCTGCCAAAATGTTATTGTAACTTTCAATAAGAAATGCAGATATATTCTTATTTCCAGTGTTCCCATGGTCTGGATATTGTAGGATTGTTTTATAAGCAAAAAATTGTAAGCAAGGAAGTGTCAAAATTGGAAAGAAGCCTCATGTTACTCACATGCAGTGTTTTATTTAGTTGTCTTTTTTTCTCTTAACATTTAATTGTGTCTGGGGTAAGAAAGAGAAGAATTCTTCAAATCCAGTCCATCACTAGCATTTCTTTGTTAAGACAAGTTCACCTTTGGAGCAATACATCTATTAACTCTAGGTAGAGTGGTGTGCTGATGAAAATGTTTAACAACTGGCTTTCCAACTGTCATTCCAACATGAGTATTGTCTGATTTTTTTAAATTAATGAGTAAGACAAAAGTGAAACAAGACAGATGTATATTGAAATTTCACTTGTTTATCAATGACATGAGTTACTTTTTTGTTCAATCAGAAGATAGTTTTCAAAAACTGGAAGAATTTTTCTCATTTTCATGCTATTTACATTTATTAGTTTGGTGTAAAAGTAATTGAGGTTTTTAAAAATGTCATTACTTTTGCACCAACCTAATAAGTAGCTTCGGGCACAGTACCTTTTAAAATTTAATCTATATTATTAATATTTTCTCTATCACTTAAGTCTAGATACACAACAAAACAATAAATCACACTTAATTTTTTTTTTTTTTTTTTTTGAGACAGAGTTTTGCTCTTTTTCCCCAGGCTGGATGCAATGGCACGATCTTGGCTCCCTCTAACCTCCACTTCCTGGGCTCAAGTGATTCTCCTGCCTCAGCCTCCTGAGTAGCTGGGATTACAGGCGCCCACCACCATGCCTGGCTAATTTTTATATTTTCAGTAGAGATGGGGTTTCACCATGTTTGCCAGGCTGGTCTCGAACTCCTGACCTCAGGTGATCCACCATCCTTGGTCTTCCAAAGTGCTGAGATTATAGGCGTGAGCCACCATGCCTGGCAATCACACTTAATTTTTAACCTTTGCTGATTTTGTTACAGTAGGTAGCTAGTCAGACATGAACAGGGCAGGAGAGGGCCCACCTCCCCAACCCAGAAATATCAGATGACCATCAGGTGATAGTCAGGCAGTTGCTAATTTTCTCTCTAAAATAATAATTGATCACAGCCAGCGCCAGGGAAGGGCCGTCTCCCAGTAGATGGAAAACACATGAAACTGGTGATCAGCAGCTTCCCGATAAGATCTCAGGAAGTTGGGTGAGTTGGCTCAAGCATGCACATTAAGAGACAAAATGACGGAGTTTAACTGGTGTATGACCTTCCTCTAGGAACATTCTACTAGTAAGGGAAGAAAGCCAAAAGGGACTATGTGTAGAACTCCAGTAAACACACCGCACATGCTCCCCTCCCAAGTTCTAGCAGGCCACTGCACATGTGGCAGATCACTTCACAGGAAGAATCAGGAGAGAAGTAACACAAGACCCCAGAAGTGTGCAACATATAGAATCTCAAGTCAAAATGTCAAATCGGCACTTGTCTTTGAAGTTGCCCACTTGGCCCTCTTCCAAGTATACTTCCCTTTCTTTTGTTCCTGCTCAAAAGCTTTTTAATAAACTTTGATTCCTGCTCTAAGACTTTCCTGGGTCACTACTTCGCCCTTCAGCCTCCTAGGTCGAATTCCTTCTTCTGAGGAGGCAAGAATTGAGGTTGCTGCAGACCCATTTGGATACAGATTCACCGCTGGTAACCATTTCTAGGTTGTAAATACTTTCAACAATGTCAATTTCAAGTTACCCAAGGTGTGGTCTCTAAATGCTCTTTGGGGTAACAGAGATATACTATTATCTTCTTAGTACGTGAAGTCTCAAGTTGGTAAATCAAAATATTAAGTCCATCAAGTATGATCAATACTGTATATAAATTGGAAGCATTTTCCCCCATTCCCCCAGTAGGACCAGGTGCAAATGGGCTATTTGCTACCTAGGAAAAAAGAGAAAGTATAGTCAACTTCTCTCATTCTTGCTGACCCCCTCCCACACTTCCTAACTGCTGTTTCGAACTGCCCGGGAAACATCTTGGTTGACTGGTATTACTGTAAAAAGGATTTGTTATCTCTGAGCCTAAGAGATGTTGAAACATATTTCTTTTTTTGTGAATGCATTGATAGATCCTTAGTAGCCCTATTAGCAATAAAAGACAAAGAATATACTTTTTATCTGGATTTATGTGGTGCCTGTCCACACTTGATTGGTTTCTGTTTGTTTTCTGTTTATTTGCTTGATTTGGCAATGCACTCACACACTCTTTCCGTTGTGGGATGGGGGGATCTCATCAGGATTTGAAACAGCTCCAAACTGACTCTCTCCCACATAGCCCTCCTCTCTTCCATGGAAAACACATGTACCTATTTTCATCCAGACAAACTTTGAAAATGAAATTCAATTTCAACACAACACTAACTTTTCTTTGCTCTGGAAAACCCATTGTTTATCCTCTGGATATACCAACAGAAATCAGATACCATCCCACTCTGCTAGGCTCACTGTTGGCAACACATAAGAAGCTCTTCAAGGTGCCTGTGGAAGTCCCTATCACTATAGTTAATTTAAGCTGAGGAGCCAAGAAACCTACCACTTTTTCTTGGGTGAAGGGTGTGTGTGTGTAAAGATGATACCAAAACAGCTTCTTCCAAGCAAATCTTCCACACAACATCCTCTACTTTTTTCAACTTTCTTTACCCTTTATATCATTACAATGTGTTCAAGAGACTTTTGGCCACTTTCTTTGTAAATTCTGCATACAATCTAGCACGTACTTTGGAAGGTAGCACCTGTTAGATCCTGGTACTTTGAACAAAATTTGCATTTTAGCCAGTTATTACACTATAGATGTGCCAGTTATTACACTATGGATGTAGAGAATATCCTGGGGTTTTCCCAACATTCTAGCAAAGCTGTTTTCATATCCTGAATTCAAACAAAGAAAAAGTTATACACACACACACACACACACACACACACGTATATTGATAGATATCACACATGACATATTCATTATATTTAAAATTAGAAAACACAGACAATTTTATAATAAAAGATGAAATCAAATACTTCTATAATCCATCTTCCAGGAAAGTCTGCTCTGAATATTTTATTTTGCTCTATTTACAGTAATAGACTCCCTTTCACTGCCCTTAACTATCTGAGTTCTCTGCCCCACCTTGCTTACTTTATACATGGTGGTCTAATTTCCTATCAGCATATATCACCCTTTATTTTAATTTTAATGGCAGTGTGTGTTCTATTTTATTAATATATTAATTTTCCCTTCACTCATCCTCTACCATTGATATTTGGGTGGGTTTTGTGTTTCTATATTAAACTACACCACTATGAACAAATCGTATGTGTACATTTATATTGATATACTTATTTTCAGCAACCACAATAATCCTGCCTCTTTTGGCGTGCATTTGCATTTTAATAGGTATTAAGCCTTAAGCCAAAGGCACACATTTCTAAGATAGAAATTCAAGTATCAGTTAGTGGAAAAGGAATATATTTGGGGGACATATTATTCCTTTCTGTTCCTCAAGAAATCTTAGTAATGAGACAATTGCCTGCAACTGCCTACTCATACATCTGAGTCAAATTATATGTGTTATTTATATGATAAGCCCCCTTAATTATTAATATTTTGGCAAACAATCTAAAACCAAGGCTCTTTCTAAAAATATCTATTTGCGATGATCCACAGCAATTCTAAATGCTTATGTGAAATTCATTTAAATTTCTCACGTCTGCTAAATTAGGTTAGCAGTCTTACCTAGCAGTCTCTCCCTGCATTACATTGATTCATTCTCCTGGATTATTCTAAAAATTGTTATCTGCCAGAGGATTATGGAATAAACTAGTAAAAATGAGGAAAAAATGGAGGTGATGCACTATGTTTTTCAACGTCTGTCCAAGCTTAAAGAAAGTGTGTAGGTCCTTTTAAATTATATATATATCAGGTGTTTTATCATGTCATCCCTTCTAATTCTGAGGATATTCTGCACATTTTAGAGTAATACCATGATAATGCAGAACTCAAGTGCTTTTGTTTTTCTGGAATTGCACATTACAATAAGTGATTTGCATAAGAAATGATTTGCATTCTAAATGTAGATGATTTAAGGATAATGGCTGCACTAAGAATGTCAAGCTAGAATTCTACTCTTATCTCTTAGTTACCTTCACATTTGGTAATATACTATAGATTATAACTGCTTTAAGACTAAAAATGTAAACTTTTAGAAAGTAGTGTTCTAGACTGTTCAATAAAATGCACAAAATTGTAAAATGCATTTTATGTCAAAGGTTGAGAATTTGAAAATCAGACTTAAACATGTTAAATGTAACCTGTTTAAAATTGATTAAAATTGCATTTTTCCCTTGAATAAGATTTCTTCCATAAGCGGTTAGTTTAAAACAATATAAATAAATAAAACAAACCAACAGCAACAGTGAATAAAACTTAAATTTCAACAATTTCTGTCATTTGCAAAAGATGATAAATCTCCAGTGACGTGCAGAAAAAACAAATTTCAGGTCATGGCAACTTTGAAAAACTATTAATTGCATAACATTTAGAGAAGCAGTATTTTACTTAATATTTGCTATAACTGAAAGGAACTCCTTGGCATAAACCTTTTAAATTATTGGAGAGAAAAAAATAGTGATTCTGTGCCTTTAATTTCCCTTTCTGAGCAAGGGAAGGCTGCACACCACTGACAGGCTCACTTGTTCCCGTCTTTAATGTGCAATCTGTTTTCTCCAGCGGAGGGCACTCAGTGTATCACAAACTCAAGCATTAGCACCAACAAGCTCTGAGCATCATCAGTCTCTGGAAAGCCTTCTGAATTAGACAAGGGCTGCCTCCCAGCACAGCTACAAAACACTTTAAACCTGACCAGCTAAATGGATAAACCTAGCCTGCATAGCTTTTAAACTGGGGTCTCATACAGCACAGGAGGCCTACTTGCTTCAAGAACTGAAAATCCAGAGGATGAATTGCTTTATCTGGGAATGGCAAAAGCCAGCACAATAAGGAATGCCAGGTATTCTGAAGATTTTCTTTTTTTCCTCTCTTTTTACAGAGAAGTTGGTTACCTCCGAGATGGGCTGTAGCTCTTTTGCACAGATTGCCAATTACTGCTGATGGGTCTCTGGTGAATTACACAATGGTCCTCAGAGCCTAGAGGCCCTCCCCCATCCCTATCCCCCCAACGGCTTCCTTTTCCCTGCCCCCACAACCATCCCACCCTGTGCTGATTTTTTATATATATATATATATGTATATATATATATGTATTTTTTTTTTTTTTTTTTGCCTGTCCTCTCGGGGAAGTTTGTATGGGGCTACTAGCTCACATGCGGGATCAGAATGGTGTGAATGACAGCCGCACTGTGTCATGAAGGTGGTGGTGGTTTCCGCACAAGAGACCAAATAAGAAGAAAGCTGAGAGAGGGGGGAAACGTTTTTGGATGACAAAGGATGGGTAAGTGAACTTTTGTTGTTTCCTTCTGAGCAAAGCTGATCCTCTTGGCTTCCTATCCTCAGTCGTGGCATTAGCAGATAAAAGACGGGGAAACAGGCAAAGAGCAGCAGCCTTTGAGTTTGCCAGTTGATTCACTATAGTTGCTATTATATTTTTAGATCATTTTCCTTTTTGCAGTGTTTTTTTTTTAATCTATAAATGCACAACACGAACTTAAACAGACTCTAGAGAAATATCTTTAAGACTGTTTCTACTGTCTGCGTATCCACAGCTTGGGAATTCAGAAGGAGATAAATACTGTGTTTGCTTCTATTTCTTGATAATATTAACGAGGCTTGTGTTTCTGGTAGCTGTCAGGATGACTATTAACACTTTGCTGCGTGTATGTAGGGGTGGGGTCCTTACTTTATCAGAGGTTGCACAAGGGCTTGTTTTATCTTTGAAGCTGGATCCTGAACACAGCTTCCGAATTTCCAGCAGTCATTTGCCAGTCTTATTTTTTCGAGTGTGACTGGCTTTTTTCCCCCCCTTTCTCCTGTCTGGGAGAGCTGGAATGTATTTCAATGAGTCTGTAGCTGGCAAGAGGACAGAGAGCAAGATCGGGTTTTAAATTAAAAAGAAAAAAAAGAAAAACTTAACTGTTTGAGAAGAAGGATGGGTTTTAGATTAGGGATTTGGTTGATTGCCTCTTGGTTAAAAATTTAAAAATTTAAGAAAAAAAAAGAAACTGCAACACATGGTAGTTGTTTCTTTTTTTTTCTCTCCATTAAGAAATAATAAATCTACTGTTGACGGAGGAAAGAAGTCCCTTAACATGCAATGACTTGGAAATGCAGTGTAAGTGCCAATAGATTGTAACTTTGCAGGCTTTCTGAAGTTAATGGAGATAGGGGAGAAAAAAGTCAGTGAGAAATGTGAAGAGATCAGGGTGATGTAGAGAAAAATAGTAGTTGGCTGCTTCTTTCCTTGTTTATCCTTCGAATTTGCAAAAACAACTCTAAAATAATGGCAAAGTGATACTACACAATATTATTTTGCTTTTTAGGCAAATAATACGAATTTTGATAGTCTTAACTTTGGAGTGTTCTCTGTTATGAGTATTTAGATGTCTTAGCTCCTGTATCGTTGGGCAGGGAGCCACAGTATGCAATAATCTATGCTTATTAACAACTTGAGAGCACCTCGTACCGTTATTAGTCTTCATCCAATGCTTCATTGGCTGCCTATACTAGTCTCAATGCTGTTTTTTCAGAGCTCACATATTGCGATCCTATTATGCAATAAGTACACAATTTCAGGCAGGGCAAACTTGGGTTACCTTGACAGCTTACTGAAGCTCTTTTGCCAAATCACAGCCTGTTTGCTCAACTGGGAAACACGTACAGGTACCAGGTTTACTAAGTCACATTTTTGCCCTTACCAGAGCACATAGTACACTTCCTTTTGGTACTGTTGTTCAATACAGTGGTTAGCCAAATATTATTGTTACTAAAATGTCAGCATTCAGTGGTGAGAAAGGCTCTGTGCTTTTCAATGTTGAAATAAGTAGGAACTCCTGAAACTCAAAAAGGCTTTTCTTAATTCTATGGGACTGTGGTGATTTGAAGATCAAGGAAGAAAAAGTGAAACCTAAGCAGCAAACATGCAACACTGAAGAAAATAATGCTCGAAATGTTAATGCATTTTCCTTAAATCAACTGTCCCATTCCTACACTAGAGGAAATGCCCCTGTTGTTGGTAAACCGACGGTGATTTATTTTAATAGCTTCACAATGTGCATCTGTCTTTTTTTTAATATCGTAGGTTTCCATTTAATTACGCAGCTGAAAGGCATGAGTGTGGTGCTGGTGCTACTTCCTACACTGCTGCTTGTTATGCTCACGGGTGCTCAGAGAGCTTGCCCAAAGAACTGCAGATGTGATGGCAAAATTGTGTACTGTGAGTCTCATGCTTTCGCAGATATCCCTGAGAACATTTCTGGAGGGTCACAAGGCTTATCATTAAGGTTCAACAGCATTCAGAAGCTCAAATCCAATCAGTTTGCCGGCCTTAACCAGCTTATATGGCTTTATCTTGACCATAATTACATTAGCTCAGTGGATGAAGATGCATTTCAAGGGATCCGTAGACTGAAAGAATTAATTCTAAGCTCCAACAAAATTACTTATCTGCACAATAAAACATTTCACCCAGTTCCCAATCTCCGCAATCTGGACCTCTCCTACAATAAGCTTCAGACATTGCAATCTGAACAATTTAAAGGCCTTCGGAAACTCATCATTTTGCACTTGAGATCTAACTCACTAAAGACTGTGCCCATAAGAGTTTTTCAAGACTGTCGGAATCTTGATTTTTTGGATTTGGGTTACAATCGTCTTCGAAGCTTGTCCCGAAATGCATTTGCTGGCCTCTTGAAGTTAAAGGAGCTCCACCTGGAGCACAACCAGTTTTCCAAGATCAACTTTGCTCATTTTCCACGTCTCTTCAACCTCCGCTCAATTTACTTACAATGGAACAGGATTCGCTCCATTAGCCAAGGTTTGACATGGACTTGGAGTTCCTTACACAACTTGGATTTATCAGGGAATGACATCCAAGGAATTGAGCCGGGCACATTTAAATGCCTCCCCAATTTACAAAAATTGAATTTGGATTCCAACAAGCTCACCAATATCTCACAGGAAACTGTCAATGCGTGGATATCATTAATATCCATCACATTGTCTGGAAATATGTGGGAATGCAGTCGGAGCATTTGTCCTTTATTTTATTGGCTTAAGAATTTCAAAGGAAATAAGGAAAGCACCATGATATGTGCGGGACCTAAGCACATCCAGGGTGAAAAGGTTAGTGATGCAGTGGAAACATATAATATCTGTTCTGAAGTCCAGGTGGTCAACACAGAAAGATCACACCTGGTGCCCCAAACTCCCCAGAAACCTCTGATTATCCCTAGACCTACCATCTTCAAACCTGACGTCACCCAATCCACCTTTGAAACACCAAGCCCTTCCCCAGGGTTTCAGATTCCTGGCGCAGAGCAAGAGTATGAGCATGTTTCATTTCACAAAATTATTGCCGGGAGTGTGGCTCTCTTTCTCTCAGTGGCCATGATCCTCTTGGTGATCTATGTGTCTTGGAAACGCTACCCAGCCAGCATGAAACAACTCCAGCAACACTCTCTTATGAAGAGGCGGCGGAAAAAGGCCAGAGAGTCTGAAAGACAAATGAATTCCCCTTTACAGGAGTATTATGTGGACTACAAGCCTACAAACTCTGAGACCATGGATATATCGGTTAATGGATCTGGGCCCTGCACATATACCATCTCTGGCTCCAGGGAATGTGAGGTATGAACCATGATCCTCCTAAAAGCATTTCTACTGCGGGGAAGGAGAGGTAAATGTTTGAAGCCCTAGAGGTGTCTCTAATCACTAGAAAGATTAATGACCCTTTTGCTTTTGGGTTTTGCTCAGTGTGAAAGGTTACTTAATTAAATTACAACCACCAGGAAATTGACTGCTTTTTTTTTTTTTTTAAATGGTTGAAACTTGAAGGAAGTTCATTCAAGGATAAGTTGGAATAAAGCACTATGTTAAAACATCTGCTTTTTAACAATTTGTATACAGGGGTTGGACTTAAAAACACACATACAAACAAAACTCTTTTCATTCTGAAATTTCTGTCTGGTTCTTGGTGTTTGACTGTTGTAATGGAGTAAAGAAGAGGGCCAGCTTAATTTAAAAATAAAGTGAGTTTACCAAAATTCCAGAAGGTAATGAAGATTTAAACCAAAGAGCAATTTTCCCAAGGGTTGATTTTGTTGTAAATTTTTAGTTTTAATGAAAGCATGCAACAGGGATCTCACACCCATGTTACTTGCCATTTAGTTATTATACCAGCATAGAGAATGTCAGAGGCCTACTGTGTAATTGTATCAGGCTCCTAAGGCTTCTTTCTTTTTTTTTTTTTGTTTCCTTCTTTCCTACTTTCTTTCACTCCTTCCTTTCCTTCCTTTCTCTTCCTTCTTTTTTTGTTTGTTTGTTTGTTTTTTAATTACTGGGATATAGATCCGATTTCAAAGGTTTTTATGCACTGGCTATTTGTGTTTAATCAGAATGAAACTTCAATTCCATGCTTTGGCTTTGTCCCTGGTAACTAAAATCAGGTCACAATTTTGTGGATGATTTAGCAATAATAAAATGGCAGTCATAACAGGGACTGTTTGTCAGTATTGCTGTCATCCCCAAAAGAAATGATATGTATTCTTGTTAAACTTATTAAAAAATAAGTGATACAAATATTTATAAATAAAAGGAGAGAGGTTTGAGTTCTGGGTATCCTCCCTTTCTGTAACAGCCTCAAATAAAGGTGTACCTTCCATGTTATATTATTTTTGTTTTTATAAGAATAAATTTGGACCCGGTTTCTGATTATTTAATTTAAAAGATCACTTACAGGATCATGTTAGTGAGCAGACAAATAGTCACAAATTTCAAACTTGTCAATAAGTAATGCTGGATGTAAATTGTTCTTTTCTTGGTAATGTTGATCATTATGTGCAAAGACTGACTACTAAGGCCTTGTTGCTGGAAGAAACTAGTGAAGAGAGGTTAAATTCTGGCAATATAATGTTTTAGTATCTGATTTTAGATGATCACTCTTTCAAAAGACAGTTTTAATGAGTAATTAAAGATGTTGCCCTTTCTAATGCTAGTTAACAGTTGGAAAATATAATTGCTCTTTGATAGCATATACTCCAATTTTTCCATAGTCCTAACTACAAATGCTAATGAAAATGTTTTCAGACAAAGCACTGAATTTGAAATAATCTCTAACTCAGTACAATTTGGACTATTGAACTGTTCTTCAAAGAATTCATTTTCTTCTTTTTTGTGTATCATTGAAAATAAGAGAAGTAATCCCAGATAATAAATTCCTAAAAGGAAACTGTATAAGCAATTGCCCTTAAAAATTAAAAAGAATAAAAGATTTTCTATAAAAGTCTAACAAGGCTTGATGTTTTTATTGCAGGCCCACAATTATACAATATACTTGAGTATTAGTAACACAAGTTCATCCTATTTTATTCTGGGTTCTCCTTATATTTTGTGATCCTCTTAAAGGCTGGTATATAAAAAGAAAAGAAAATTCTAGACGCATTAATTCATTTTCTCTTGACTTTTGGAGTAGAATGCTAACTTTTATGTTTAAGAATCACCAAGAAGAAAGAAACATTCTTAAAGAACCAGGATTTGAGAACTGGGGTTCTAAGACTTTTCCAGAGATCTTAAATTTCACAGATTATTCCATCAAAAACCCTAGGCATTACCATGACAGAAACAAGTTTAAAAGATGGTTCATTTAATTAAAACGTGTGTTTAAATAAACACATTTTGATATTGTATGTGTTATATAGATTGACATTTAATGTCATGAAATTGCACTAGTATTGTTGAAAATGAATGTGTTGTTAAGGCATTAAGTAATGAAGAATGTAATTAAATATTGTAATAATTCTGTTGAGTCAAAATGGAATCCTTACTAAAGTAGCTCAAACTTTCTGTGCCCTCAAACATGGACATTAGTAGGCTATACATTTAAGATCATATGTCCATTTAGGATGAGGAGGGGGGTGCTATAAAACTATATTTAAATGAATTTCAACTTGTTTTAAAACGAAAGCATACAAAAACAAACATTGCAGGGGTCACCCCATTTTTTGACAGAATGTTTGCTGTATTACAGTTATAGGTAGATATAAATGGTGAGGAAAAGCAAACTCTTAGAAATTGTTATAGGGAAAACCCTAATTACTTCTTACTTCTTTGTCACTCGGAGTAAAATTTCTCCTGTTGAGAAATATTCCTTTGGACAAAATCTCTCTACAAAATAGAGCCAAGAGAGGGCAGCGATTTGCCCAACTTTACAATGTTTTTGGAATAGTATAAGTATGCTGAGTTTTAGCTTGGCATTGTTTTCATAAGTCTCATATATCACTAGTTTAGCAGAGAACCATTAATATATTTATAAGACATTTTTGTGAGGTAGGTTTTTTTAAAAAAAAATTAAAAACACCAAACTCTACCCAATAAAGCCATAAATATTTAATTGGAAAACTTAGCACCAAATGCTAATTTTCTAAGATAGTGCCTTGAAGAAATAAAAATTGCATTAAATTAAAAACTCTACTTTCCACCTAACTTTATATTCAGTTACCATGACCTAAATATGGTTACAATATCCATTTTGCTTGTTTCTTTTAAAAGGATTTTTTAAATTGAGATTATTAGATTGGCGTTTGTGAGCCTCCACACAAATATAGCATGCAATTTTCAAATTAAATAATTTTCTCTATGTTTTGCAAGTTTTAATTCTGAAAAGTCTGTGTGCACATACCATTCTGATAAAATGAGGGATAATATTTTAATAATTTGGGCAGTAAAAATTGTTCATATCTATAAAAGAGAAATAGAGTAGATAGTTATGAGTAATTAATATGAATTATAGCACAAGTATAAGGGATACATACATCCTAATCATACTTTGAGTGGATCAGTGTGCTTGGTTGAACTGAATCATTCACTTAGTACATACATCCTCAGTATGTACTCAGAAAAGAGAATTTAAAGCCAAAAGGATACAGCTTTTCCTAAAACAGTAAGGTGTTACTATATAGACAGGAAATGCAAATATTTACTTTGAAAAATAGCTTGTGAAGCTTGGCATAATGTTATCTCATTAAAAAATATGACCAGGGATATAAAGTTGCTTCATTCTGTATATCAATTTTTTCCTTCGAAATTGTAAAGAACAAAGTTTTGAATATCTAGTTCTTCTAGGATTTGTTTTATCAACTGAAAGTAGCAGCGGCCTTTATATATTAGCCAATGTGAACAAAGGACAAGAAAGAATATTTGTAGTTTGTTTTGTACATTAAAAAAAGTTAAATTGGTGAAAATTTAAAATGAATGAATGTAGTCTCTAAAGAGACTCTCCATCCAAAGTGTTTCAATAGTTAAGTAATTGAAATATAAAGTTTAATGATCCTATAGTGCTAACAGTGCTGCTATTAGGAAAATGGCAGTAAAGGTGACAATATAGGTGTATATTTTCCAAATATTTAATATTTTCATTACTTTCTTCAAAATTGAGCAAAATTTTAAAAATATACTGGTTTTCAGTTCAGGTTATATAATTTCTTTGACTGTTATGCAGTGGGTGGTATAAACCATTTCTAACAACTTTTATTTATGGACTATGTTAGGTCAGGTTCAAACAACTGGTATAAAGTAGACCACTTAACTTCTTTTCACACTTTAGATATTGATATTCTTCAGTGTGCTAAGTGAATTTCCAAGGACTACTAAGCATAATGTATATATAAAGAGGACTCTAAGGAAAGCAGACCCAGTTACCTTGAGTTTAATTAACAGTTTATCGACATACAGCTATAGAAAACAAACTTTATTTAGGTGGCTGACTACAACTGTGTCATGGTACAATGTTATGATTGAAACTGTATTTGTATATTTAAATAGGATGTGTGTGTGTTTGTATGTGAGTTTATCCATGTATGTATGTCTGTATATATATATGTGTGTGTGTGTTTGTGTGTGTGCATATAAAGACAAAATAGAAACATATTTCCATCAGAATTAATGTCCATCAAAATTAATTAAATTTTTTTACGACAATTTAAATTATTAGTAACAAATATTTGTTAAAATCACCAAGATTTTTTAGTTAGGAATATGGCCCTTAAGGTAAATGTATTATCATATCTGAAAAATTATAAGTATCGTCAGGTGCAGTGGCTCATGCCTGTAATCCCAGTAATTTGGGAGGCCAAAGTGGGTGGATTACTTGAGGTCAAGAGTTTTAGACCAGTCTGACCAACATGGTGAAAACCTGTCTCTACTGAAAATACAAAAATTAGCAGGTCATGGTGGCGCACAGCTATAATCTCAGTTACTAGGGAGGTTGAGGCAAGAGAATCGCTTGAACCCAGGAGGCAGAGGTTGCAGTGCAAGATTGCACTACTGCAGTCCTGCCTGGGCAACAGAACAAGACTCATCTCAAAATAAACAAATAAAATATAAATTATAAGTATCTTACATCTATGTAGTCTAAAATTCTTTTTCAAAAAACAAAATTTAACATAGTCAAGTCTGTATTTGTACTACATATTGCCATTTTTTGTGTTGCTTTAGACTTGTCACTTCGTTTCTCTGTGACGCATCTCTCAAACGAGTGACTCAGCTAGCACAGTGTTTCCCAACACAAAGCAATTCTCGGATTAGTATAAAGTTTGTAAAGTCTCTATGGTCATTCTCAGAACTGAAAAAGCAGGATGAGCTGTGGAGAAAAAGACTGAGCTACTTACATTCATTTGTCAATGAGAAAAGAAAGAACTTCTTCAGTTACTAAAAACTGGGGTGCCCAGGTGAGCAGCCATACAATTTCTTTATGCTTGAGGGGAAAATATGTAACTCACGCATACACATGTGTGAGCACATGAGTGCACACTCCCACACACGTATATGTCTTTGAAATTCTGCTAAGTAACTAGATATTTTGAAAGCACTTAAAACTATGTCTGCTTTTTAAAAAATCGATTGTCTGAATTAGGTCCAATTAAAATCTATTTGTGAATAGAGTTTTCATTAGAATTCACAAATGGTAGTGGTGAAGAGTGACAGCTGCCAAAAAAAGACCGACATAGCTAATTTAGGAAAGATTTTAAACTGACAATAAATGGCCCTTTTCTTTTTCTAGAATTAGCTGGTATTAGCATCTCACGGACAAGGTTTTCATAAATGATTGCTCTTGAAGACTCCCAGCTGAGAAGTCTGTGGTCTTAGGAATGTGTAGCTTTTGACACACCCCAATAATATCCACAGGATACCAGAATTTCCTTCTTGAGACTTTTCTGTGTTTATAAAATGTAATCATCCCTAGTTCTTCTCAGGAATTGCATTTAGAGATAGTTTTATGCTTTAGGAGTTGCTCAGTAATATTTTCACTGGGGACTTGGTGACTCATCTGAATTTTCATGTCTCTAGAGTTTCATGATTCACTAAATCAAAGTGAAGCAGAAGCAACCTGTATATCACTAGACACTGAGAGTTTTGAAAAACCAGTATGTCTTTTGATCAGTGAAAAGCATGAAGTGATGTTGAATACATTTTAAAAATTAAAATTGCTTTTTATAGTACCAGAAGAACCATCATTCATTGAGTCAGTTTAATAAAATCTCAATATTCATGAAAGGAAAAAGAAATTACAGGGCTATTTTTCTCATGCACTCCATAAGCCATTAAAATTGTAACTGTAAGGTAGGAAAGGTTGAGAAAAAAAGCACAGTATTTCCTAAGGTATCAAAACAATTGGCTTTTTAAATAAACGTCTGCTAGAAGCTGCTAGATATGTACAAAGACTATGTATTTAAACTCCTGCTAAAGAGTTTAAAAATAATGCTATCACTGCCAAGAGAAATTAAAATCTAAACAAACGTAACCATGGAAAATTAGTCCTTTACAAGGGAGGCCAGGTAATATGGTACACCTGTAGTCCCAGCTACTTGTGAGGCTAACGTAGGAAGATCGCTGAAGGCCAAAAGTTCGAGGTTGTCCTGAGCTATGTTTGAGCCTATGAATAGCCTCTGTGCTCCAACCTGGGCAAAACTAAGACGCTGTCTCTTAAACATACAAATAAAAATATATGAAAGCTAACACCTTAAGTTTACTTACGTAAGGTTTGTAAACATAGGTTTGAGGAATGAAATGACAGCAAAGTCATTTGATTTAAGGTCATAAAGTTTGACCTTAAGTCAAATCTATACATTATAATATTGTAAACATAAGTTTGGGGAATGAAATGACAGCAAAGCTGATACATATTAATAAAATATTTAAAAATGGTGAAAATGTAAGAAATTCAGAAAGAAATATGAAGAAGCATAATTAAAAGGAAAACCCTGAACACAAACATTAAAATATTAGTATATTTTCTTTCCATGTACAAACAATAATAATAAATACCATAACCTTATTATGTATTTGCTTAAAATAAATAAGCAAATTTGCTTAAAATAAGTTAGCAAACTTGCTTAAAATAAGTTAGCAAATGTGCTTAAAATAAATAAGCAAATATATAACTCAATAAGGTTATGGCATTTAGCATTATTGTTTGTACATGGAAATAAAATATACTAATATTTTAATGTTATATAAATGATACGAAATATAAATATCACAGTAACTTTGAAATATTTCATTTAAACAGCTATATACGATTAAACACTCATGTATCTTCTATAAATATTTCTAAAATACTAACATGTATACTGAATACAGATGGTATTGCTTTTGAATACAGGCTGATAATTGCTTTTTAATAAACACAGTTCTGTACTAACTTATCCAGTTTATATGAATTGTCTCAAAAGTAAATATTTGTGGAAGATACATGAAAAGGAATTTAATGACAGAAAAGTAATTTTTTTAATTTCCTCTCTCATTGCCTCAATTTGGTATGATTGTTTTCCAAATTTTGGGATGTCTGTACACCATAACTTGTAAGGTATGTTGTCTTCTTTACCTAGTTTTCCATCTCTTTGTTTACTGAATTCAGACCTCAGAGAAAAGTGGAAAAACATAATCATTAAATCTAGCAAGAAGAATCATTTTTTCCATTTTGTTTCTTTTTAAACACAAATTCTTCTAGTGGAAGTAAATAAGGTATAGTAAACATTTTGACTGCAGGTTTTAAAATAAAATGGTCAGACGTAGAGTAACTATAATGTCAAAACTTATGACACTTATAATTTTTACTTTTACCTACATTTTAATGGTTCAGATCTTCAAATATCATTGATTTAAAAACTAAAAGGTGAGTAAATTTTTAATAAAGCAGACAAACTAAGATAAACATGGATGAGTTGCTTAAGAGAATTCACTATATTTTTAAGATCTAAATAAGCAATATATGCTTCAAAATAGGAATATATAGAGTTATGATTTGATTCCATTTGGGCTAAATTTTTTAACTTAAAGCAAAATTACATAGACACTAATTTTGGAGTAGCAAATAATATAGAAAAAAATGCCTGCAAATGTTCTTTTATTTTGGAAGGACAGTGCTACTTAATTCGTATTCACTGTATATTTTCACTTTTAAAGTATAACAATTGTTGTTTAGTTGCCTTCTCTTAAAATAAAATGTCATTAGGCAAAGCCTTGAAATTGTGATGATTTTATTGAGACAAACAGAAACAGTCTTTGGGTATAAATTCTATATTTGCATTTCAATTCTTCCCTCCTTCCTGAAGACACATTAACTGAAACATACGTTCTTTCACTTGCTCTTGAAGATCTAAATATTTGAGGTGTTAACTTATTAAAAGTTGATTTCTTGTTTCCTTTAACTGACTCATATTAAATAAATTTATTTTCAAATGACACCTTAAAAATATTGTTTGTTTCATCATAAATTTCATCATGATGCATTCATTTCACTATTAAGTGCTTTGATATTTACAATTGTAAATTGATACCACTCTTGTCAATTGTTTCTAATAAGACTTAAAGAAACAATGTAAATACACATTAATTAGGTTTGAGTCTTTTTTAGTATGGTCACCATAGATGAAAAAATGATATTTTCTTCTCTGTCTATAGATCTGTAAAAGTAATAGCAGAGAGGTCAGCCTTGAAGTACTTTAGGTTGATGGTCAAACCACAACATGGACAAATACTGCCTTGGTCCAGTGGTTAGATCAAGGGGTGAAAAAGAGGTCTTAGATTTGAAGCAGACTCTCTTTACTTCTCTAATATTGGACAAGTAAATATATATCTGACCTTTCTGTGATATAATTTTTTCATCTATTGGACTAGGATAATAACTTTCCAAGTAACTTGTTGAAATGATTAATGAGGTACTATTCAGAAACCA
Source organism: Homo sapiens (assembly GCF_000001405.40). Lineage (NCBI taxonomy): Eukaryota > Metazoa > Chordata > Mammalia > Primates > Hominidae > Homo > Homo sapiens. The sequence continues at coordinate 77,509,712 of NC_000002.12, read as the reverse complement.
CTCTGAACTCCTCCATAAAAAGCTACAGTGTAAATATGAATGATTATTAACCATAAGCCCTACTGTTTACTGAAAAATGCAAAATACAATGTAGCTGTATTATTTTCATTGTTATTATTAGTTATGATGATGGTTATAATACTCCCTGATGTAGAAACACGTGTTGTGGTTACATTTTTAGTAAAGTGAATAATAAACATGACCTTTCCGTCCCTTGTCTGAGCTGTAATTTAGTTTGGGTACCAGAGCTGGCAATATTTAATAATACCCCAGGATTTGTAAAATACTCCCTTGACCGAACATTTTATTCACCTTGCAAAGAAAGCAGCATTTATAATTATTTTGTTGTTACTATGTCTAAAGAAGAAAGGAGTTAGAGAAACAACTTATAAATTCCCTATCTTATCAGATATCATACTTCAGTTCATTTTAATAAGCAGAAACAGTTTGTTTGTTTGTTTTTGGCTTTTTTTTTTTTTTTGATACAGAGTCTCACTCTGTTGCCCAGGCTGGAGTGCAATTGTGCCATCTCAGCTCACTGCAACCTCCACCTCCCGGGTTCAAGCGATTCTCCTGCCTCAGCCTCCTGAGCAGCTGGGATTACAGGTGTGTGCTACCATGCCTGGCTAATTTTTGTATTTGTAGTAGAGACAGGGTTTCACCATGTTGGCCAGGCTGGTCTTGAACTCCTGACTTCGGGTGATCTGCCCGCCCTGGCCTCCCAAAGTGCTGGGATTACAGGCATGAGCTGCTGTGGCCTGGCCTTAGAAACAGTTTTTTCATTCCCCAGGTGTTTATGCATCACACATCACAAGTGGGAGTTTTCAACAATACATTAAATATTCCTTTTGAATTCAGAAGTTATTAGTAAGTGATTTAAAGAAGAATTGATATTGCTCTACTGCATATATATGTATGTAATATATAATTTAATAATTTGTGTATAAGTATTTATATTGGTTAAGTATAAGCTCTTATATTTGTAGAAATATGTATTGCATCATTCTTATTATTGTCCCCATAGTGTAATATATTTTAAACTGAAACACATTTCTTTCTAAGTTTTTCAATGGAATATTTCTCATGATATGATTGCGTACTATGAAATGAGAGAGGGCACTACTGACAAAAAACAAACCCCATAAAGACAAAAAAGACAAAATAATAATGTTACATTTGCTTGAGAAAACAAATGATTTTCTTTGTGATTGGTACAGCATAATTATTCCAATGAGGGGATTTGGCCAGTGGTTGAGTATATATATTCTGATTATGCACTATGGAACTAGGGAAATAACACGGCTTGGATTCTCACTGTGAGATGGATCTGAGCTAAAATTCCATTAATCACTTGTCCTCTACGAGCCCTTACTCTGACTGGAGGATCACAGGGATGTTTTGGATCTCCAAGAATTCGTGTCACTTCAGAGTTTGTGTCGAGTAATCCCCAAAAGTCTGATTACTTCACATTCCCCAATACACAGTCACCTTAGAAAATAGTTATAGATCTCGCTGGAGAAGGCTGGGGGAAAGTTTAACAGTATACATTTTTCATAGTATAGCAGGGTCCTTCCTCAAGGGGACCTGTCTGCCTTTTCATTCAGTGGATTCTGGGTCTGTAAACTGGCTCAAGTCTGGGAATTGATTATGGGATCATGACTATTTTGGTGATTCAAATTAGACTTCTGTTCACTTGAGCTAGAACTCTTCCACGTATGCAGATCAAGTATGAATTTAATGGATTTGTACGTACTTCTCTTCTAGGGACACCATGATCCACTAGTCAGCATCATAGATCTTTTTTGAGTCAGGGTATTCTGATCACTGCTTTGACTTTGCTGTCGTCATGGTAACCATGCTCACCTTGTCTTCGGTGATTAAGTTCTGACACCAGGTCTATGCCACTCTGGAATTCCATTTTGTGCATTGCTCTTAGGGATTCCAATTTGATAGTAGCTGTTTCCTCTGTAACTTCTGAACCACAGAGACCAAATATTCTCAACCACTTTTTCCTCTCACCTTTGGGGCGTGGCGTGTGGTATTCTAACTAGAATTTCTTTTCTTTTTTCCTTTTTTTAATTTCTGAGAAATGTTACTTAGATGTCAATCTTGAAACTTGAGAGGTAAGGGAATTTAAAATTTAAATATAAATTTTTAACTTTCGCAAATCATAATCTCTTTGGTTATCTGACCACTCACAGTGTGGCTTTTCCCAAATGACTGGAGGATAAGAGATGATTTAAAATCAGCATTCCAATGTGTTGCCCCTTCACCTTTGGTATAACATCTTCCTTTGGAATGTGTATATGATTCTCCAACAAAACATGAAGATTGACAAGGAATCTTTGGGCCAGAAAGAAGATAGCATTCATTCTCTTTCTCACTGAGTTTTTTACTAAAAATTTATTGAAACAGATTACATAATTAATTATATAAGCAAATATATGATTTTATCCTACAATGTTTGACTGTTTCTACTCTACTTATACTAAACAATTACAAAGATACAGGTTATTCTGAGATATGAACGAGTATAATTTTGTAGATTAACATGATACATTTTAATTTCCATTATTTTCTAGTTATAAAGTAAATGAATGCTTTTTAAGAAAATATTGAAAACATAAAGTTATTTATAAAAATAATCAAAATAATTACCAACAAGCCCCACTATGCAGAGGTAATACTTTAAAAATTCTGGAACATAAATTCTATCATATGCACAGGTATGTGACTGTGGCTATTAGAGAAAATTAATTTCATATTAGAAACTGTATGTATATGATTGCATAACATTACTTTGAAGTTCACATTTTATTATGAATAGGAATGCTTTTGAAAACATAGTTTTTGAAAGTATATTCCTAAGATGTGTCATCTTTTACTTATGCCTCCCTTTTTTGTTGGACATTTGCGATGGTTCATTTCACCGTCACAAAAATGTCTTAAATTACCTCATCATGTTGATAGATTCCTACAAAAGAGAATAAGTGGCCAGAAAGAATAAAAAATGTAATCTACTTAACACATTGCCAAAATTGCTCTCTCAAAAATATATAACTTTTTATGTTTTTTATCTTACCACATGCATTGTGTAAGAGTTCCCATTTTTCCACATATACCCCTAACATTATTTATTATCTCTTTTTTAGCAATTTGACAGGTTATTTTTTTAGCACTTAATTTTTACATGTTTGACGTTAGTGCAGTAGAACCTTTTTTTCACATTTTGTGTTACTGGATTTCTTATTTTGAAATGTGGAATCTAAACAGTCTTTGAAGTCAACAATAATAACATTATTCATTATGTTTTCTTACATTGCTTTTACTTTAAAAATGCCTTTCTCATCCTGTGTATACTAAATATTTACTATGTCTTAATCATTTCCTCTATAGGTTTATTTTTACATTTACTTCTTAATTTAAAACATACTTTAGTGTGTCCATGTGAAATAGAGAACTAACTTGTTTTTTTCCTGCTAAAATATTATAATTCTCTCCGGATATTTTACTTAATACTAACGTAAAATTCTAATATATCCAGGTCATTTTTGTGCTTTCTATATTCCACTCAAGGATTCACTCTTTATTACAATGTAAGAACCATATTTTCAAACACTATTATAGTTTACAATATATTTTAAGTTTTATAAATAAGTATTCTTGCTCCAACCACTAAATTCCATGTCTACTAAAAAAGAAATGTCATGGTTTTTCTTTGTCATTTCTATTTGAAATGAGATTTTTGTATCGCTCTCTCTTCCCTGAACACACATATTTGGTATTTTGACTAGAATTATGTGAATCTATGAATCAATTTGGAAATAATTGAAATCTCTGCATTTTTCAAAAGGAAATATTATAAAAAATATTGTCTTAGAGCTCGATTTATATCATTCCTTTCTATGTCCCCTTTAAAGATGTGTTCATTTGATTCATTTTAAAATTCTAATACAGATATGATAATGCATGTATATGTATGTCCATATTTATAGGCATCAATATTTTGATTATATGCATTCATTTTAGTAGAATAACTTTTAAAAATTTTTAGTTCAAAAATAATTTTGCAAAACACAATGTTTATCTTCTCTTTTTTAATAGTTACATTTCTTATTTATTATACTTCTACATATTAAGAGGAAATCTTCTAGAATACCATTAAATGACTATGGTGATTTGGAGCAATTTTTTTGTTTCTAACTTTAATTTGACTACTGTATTTTGGTCCACTTCGTTGATTTATTCAACAAAAATATGTTGTGTACCTATACTAGCATGTGGTAACACTGGACTCTGTGCTATTTTTAAACTAGGAAAACACTGTTTTTTAGCAAAATCTTATTTATCACAATTATCATATAGTCTCATTTATAAAAATTAACAATAGGACAGACACTAAGTTTACCAAATGAATTTTTAGCTTTTTTTCTTTTTTTGGTGAGGAATATCTTTTTTCCTATACTTTGGTTTTTGATTTTATGAATTTTATATATATTGTTTCATAATATTAAATGTTATTTGTATTTCTGGAATAAATTATGGTTGTTCTTTCATTATATTCTTTTCCAGATCAGCTCCTATTGCGCTTACTTTGATTCGTAATTTATAATTATCTCTTAAATAAAAAGAGATCTTAATATTATGTTCTTTATTAGTTGAGTTATATTTAATAATTTATCTTTTTCTAGCTCTAAAATCATTAAAATAATATAGAAATTGTTTTCCCTTGAAATGTATAAACTATTCATGAAAATTTGCCTTTGTAGAACCCCTTTTGGATGCAATGCTGAGAAAAAATTATAAATTTTATTTAGATTTTTCTTTTATGTCTTTGAAGCAGAATGTTAAACTATAGTTTCCTACAAAATCCACATTTCTTTGAAAATTTAGCATGTATAACAAATTGTTTATGTAATACTTAAACATCTTCTCTAGTCATATATTTGTTCATTCAATTACTATAGACCACTGCACTACAAACTATAAATAAGGGATGTCAGCTCCTTGAGTCTGTATTCTTATAAACAGAATAAAATTGTTAGATCATTACATGTAATTTTTCCTTAAGATTGTAAATGCCTCAACGTTCTGTTTTGTTAAATGATTCTTGTTTATAATGGCTAAAGATCTACAGATTTATTGATTTTTTTCAAAGAACTAGTAGAGAATTACCTTCAAATTAAAGGAAATTACATCAATGTTCTACTTCCCAGGGTATAATACTGCCAATGTCTGAATGATTCCTCCACCAATACTCTCTGACATTAAGTAATTTTACCTCATCAGTTACCTTTCACTTTTTTATGTAGTCAAATTATTTCTTTTATCTGGATCAGAGGGCAGCAAACTATTTCTGCAAATAATAAGACAGTCAATATTTTAGACTTTATGGGCCATATGGTCGATGTGACAACTACTTTGTCACTATAGTACAAAAAGCTATGGAAAATATGTAAAGGATGAGTACATCTGTGTCCCAGTAAAATCTATTTACAAAAAAAATGGTGGCAGTCTGGATTTAGCTCATGTGTTAGTTTGCTGACCTGAATCTATATCATTTTTATAGGCTTTTAAACATACTTGAGTATTACCACTCAAGAAAGGAAGAGAGACAGAGAGAATTTTCTTATAACTTTAAATTCTCCTCTATTACTGCTCTGTATTATACTTCCCTTTCATAGAAAATCTTTACAAAAGATTCTACCCCAGTCTACTTTTCTCCATCAATTGCTAAGTTCTTCAACCTACTATCATGTGTCATTAGAGCCCACTATGCCATCCAAACAGCTCTTGCTAAGCTTGCCACTGACTTCATCATCACCACATTTTATAATTTTTTAAAAAATTCTTTGCTTTACTTTGATATCTCAATAATTGTTAACAGTCGGCCTTTTTTCTTTCTTTAAATGTTTTCCTCCCTTGACTTCTGTACATGGGTTCATTCATTTTTCATTTAATCATTCACCTTTTCCATATCTTTGTAAGCTCAAATTCCTCTACCTGAGTTTTACGTTTTTCTTATGGCTACATCCTTGTGGTATTCTCTTATTCCATCATATTCTCTCTCTGTCTCTCCCTCTCACCCTCTCTTTCTGATCTCATTTACACACACAGAATACACTACCATTTATTCACTAAAAATAAACATGTTATTTCTCTGTTGCTTGACCTCTGCTCTGAGTTCCCCACATGTATAAATATATGCCAGCTTCTTATTTGACACCTGAATTCAGATATCTGAGACATCTTAAAGTCATTTCCAAAAGTAAGCCAAGATCTTTTCTCCACGTTTTTATTCCTGGTATTTCTTGTTTTGTGAATGAAGCTATCCCTCTTGGAAAGTCACAATCTCCAGAATTATCTTTAAACCCATCCTCACCCTCATACTCCATAAGCAATCTATCTTGGAGTCTTACTGATTTTACCTCCTAAATAAATCTCAAATTCATTCATGTCTCTCCATCTTTACTAGTGACAATTTTTGTCCTATTTAGTCTCCTTAATTCAACTCTTGTTCCATTGAATTTGTTTCTCTGCTACAGGCAAGGTGCAGCTTCCAAAACAAAAGTGGATCATGTTACATCCTCCATTATTTATTTAAAGCAATTTAGTGGAGTCCTATTGTTGATAGAATGAGAACCAAAATATAAGCTAAAAAAAAAAAACCCTGAATGACCTGGCCCTGCCTTCACAGATTTTCATTTTACACTCTCTTTGCTCTACAATCTCCATTCATGGATGACTCTACTCTCGGCACTGGCTTTATTTTGTTTTCCTCTTATTTGCATTCTTTCTCCTTGGACAATGTGTTGATGTAAGTCTGGCCCTAGATTACTATTCACCTCCATATAATGAATTCGCATTCACCAGCTCCTCAGGAAGCCGTTGCAGAAATCCTTGTATAGTCAAACCACCTTGTTTTACTCTTGCTCACCCATCTAATACTCTACATGAGATGTACCCAATTTGAGATTATCCCTCCTTTTTCATAATGACTTGATTAATGTCTGCCAATCCTACTTGATCTAATTTACCCAGCAGAAGGTAACATGACTTTTTTTGTTGGACTTTATAATTCCAGTGCCTCACTCCATGTCTTGTATACAATAAAAGCTCAATAAATACTTACTGAAAGAATAAATAATTACGTTCCCAAATTTTACTTTTTAAAAAATTTTCTGCCTTTTAAAGATAATTACATATCTTCTTTGAAAATCTTCTTTATAAATTTTTATTTCAAAATATTGATAAATTTATATCACTAAAGTTCAAAGCTATAGATTAACTTTACGGTATACAGTTTTGTGTGGCCCAGTTTTTTAATATAAATTTTTTCTCTCATACTTTTGTTCATTAATATGCCATTTTATTACATGTTTATGTTCAAAATGATAAAATACATAAAAGCAAAAATTTAAAAAATTTATATAACTTTTATTATCTTTTTTCTAAAACAATTGTGTATGCATTTTTATTACACAAAAATAATAATGTAAGTGAATTGCTTATAATCTGCCATTTTTGCTTACTCTCTTGTGAACATGTTTATATATCAGTAAGCATTCGTCTACACATATTTTTAGTTAGTGAATAATATTAATTTATTTTATATGGGTTCCAATTCTGTTTTGGTAGTGTTTTCGACATTTTCAGGATAAGCAAATTTAGGACAATAATGTTTGCACTTATGTCATTTCTGATACACTTAATGATTAACAATTTATAGTGATATTTCAATTTATTTTCTCACCTCAACATTTAAATTTTTTTGCAATGATTTGTTCTAATTGAGATCAAATGATATTTTATTGTTCTATTAATATTCACCACCACTGTGACTACTAGTGACACATGCAATTTCTTATGTTTGACATTTGTATATTTTAATTTCTGTATTTTATGTTCATTTTCTTTGCTTGTTCGTAATTTTATTAACTTATAATAGGTTTTAAGTAGTTTATTAATCCTTTAGCTTCTATAAACATTGCAAATCGTTCAGAGCTTGCCGTTCAGCTTTTAATTATTTTAGGTAGGATTTGATTGTATGATTAGAAAATTAATTTCATTTATATATAAATTATTCTATATTTTATTTTATTGTTTCTTCCTTTATTGTATGGTACAAAGATTCTCTCAAGAAAATAGTAAATAACTATTCACTTTATTTTTTTCTAATAGTCTCATGCTTTTTATTTGAAATAATTCAACTAACTTTTTATTGTCAAACATTTTACCTAGTTCCCCAATTTCACGTCATTTAATTACAACCTCAAAATTTTATATTTAAATTGTAAATCATTAAGTAGTTACTTATGGATACATACATTAACATTTTATGCATTATATTTATATGTTATGCGTATGGACTATGTATTCATATATGTTTTCATATATACAAATATATATGAAAACACCTGTGTTTCTATTAAAATTTTTATTTTGCTGGTGCTTTTGGCATACTGCTTAGTTAATCTAAAAGATTAAATTATGTTTAATTATTCTTGTTTAAAAATATATTTGGGGTATTATTTCCATCCAGTTTCTACATTTAGTTATAAAATGATATATATACATATATAAAATTATATATAATTACATTGGTAAGTGTGGTTCTTTCCCACTATCTTGTTTTCTATTGCCTTTTATCCTCTCCGGAACCATATTCTAGAAATAAATCATTGTTAACTCTCTGTTCTGTTTTCTTCTGGATATTTTCTGTACTTTTATGAATGAATATTTTCTTCTCAAAAAATATTATACTAGCTATACTGGTCTAAATTTTGTTTGTATGCTTCTGGAATTATTTGTTTCACTCAATATATCTTGGACATTTTCTCATTACAGTAAATAAAGATCTACCTCTTTGTTCTTAATTTATTAAAATGATTCTCTAGTGGTAGACAAGTGAGATGTTTAGGATATTGAGATGAACTTTAGAATTATTATGTCAGTACCCTAATAAAGTGTCTTTGATACATTTAATTGGAATTGCGTTATTTTTTAAAATAATACGGAGTGAATGATTATCTTTTAAATTCTAAATCTTTCATTTTGAGATATGATAAGGCTCTACTTACTTATGTTGATTTTCATTTATAAGTCAAGTGTGCAGGAGAATACTACAATGTTATGCAAACAGGAGAAAATTTATTTTTAAATATATTACAGATTATTTTATGATTTTTGTTTCTAATATGAATATGATAAGTTTTCTTTTTAAATATTTTCTGATTTTTGATCTTCTGTAATACAGATTTTTTTTTGTTTGTATGGTTGTATGTTTAATGCACTTATTACAACCAGAAACAATATGCCAAATATTAATTCCAATGGTGCTATTTTTTAGCTTAATAAATAATACATTTTTTCCCATTATTCCCTGAACACCATCCATTGTTCAAATTCACATTTTTTTAAATCAAACTTCTGAAATGATGTTGATTAATTAGGAAGCTGTGAGAATGCTCAACAACTTTCTCCTCTCTCACCTCCACAATAATTCTGAGGAGGAAAAGCCTTACTGTGGGTGATTTGGTCCAAGAACATGGAGCATTCAAAGTGATGGAAGAGTGTTTACAACTGATAGGAAGACTCTTCTGCAGGAAGAGACTGCAGTAAAGTGGCCCGGCAGCTATACTCAATTAAGAGTGTCTTTATACTGGGGAAGCAGACTTAGACATGCTACTCTAAGCTATAAAAAGAAGTATCACTTTTTTTTTCTTTGGTATCTCCTGTTGGGCTCCACTAGATCTTATAATTTCTGGAATGACAAGAACAAGAAAGTCAAAGTAACCATATACTTTAAGGGCAAATTTTTAGGAAAGTGCTCTGTTTAAATTTGACCATGGGTTGCATTTAATCAAGCCTAGGCAAACTCATATGCCTTCCAGGGAAGGAGAGGTAAGTAACATAGATGGTACACAAAGCAACATATATAAATAAAGATTATTAACTTGCAGGGACTATGGAAACTTACAGCTTGCATAATGTCTATGAAAGCATTCAAAATTTTAGCACTATGCTGGACAAATAAAATAGGCTTAGTCGTAAGCTTTTTTGTTGTTCATCTAGTTAGAGTGACTGACTCTGGGCTTTAAATAATTGACAGCAGTCTTTATGATTCACATGTTGTTCATTTCAGTTTAGCAAAGATAGAGTGAGGAACTAAAATCATTGCAGAACTAGGCAGCTAATGAAGCTTATTTTGAATTCTTTATTCCTATCATGCCTTAATATCTTTGCATCTCAGAGACAAGATTAACACCTGGTGTAGCTGGGCAGGGTCAGGTAAGTGTGTAGAGAACCGGGACCAGGACAATGTGACCTCAGGGACTTAGAATGCTAAGGCAGTTCTTCTTCCCATTGACACATTTCTGGACAAAACCAAACAAACAAATAAACAAAACTCCTGAACTAGGAAAGCATCTATTAAAGGTTTTAAACTATTGACATTTCGGACCAGGTAATTGGTGGGGGCTGAGATCTGTCCTGAGCATTGTGGTAAACATGCCTTGCCTCTATTCATAGATACCAATATCAGTATCCGCATGCCAATCATGACAACCAATGGTGTCTCCAGATATTGCCAATTAACCCTCTGGGTAAGCAAAAGCAAAATCACCCGTGGTTGAGGATTATTAATGTAGTGCATAAAACCTGGTCTTGGAGAGGCTAAAAAGACATTTCTACAGCCAAGGAAGGTTCACTTGCATTCCTGAAACTTCAGGAGTTGGATGTCATATGTAGCGAGCAAGGAGTAATCTATGTAGAGATCTGTAGGTATCTCTAAAGTAAACTGACACAAACTTCTAAATTGAGAGAATTTCTGTGTGCAGGCATTTAACAAAGTGGCATTAGGATTTTGTTGATGACATGGATGATATACTTCCCATGTTGAGCCTGAAGGACTGACAGGTTAGCAGACAAAACAATAATAGTCCTGTTACAGGATGGGAAAAATAGTTAGTTGCCACAATAGTAGTACTATAGGCTTAAAGAATTTTGGATATGGTGAGGCAATGTTAGGAGTAAGTAAGTACATGCTAGAGAAAATACACTATCTCACAGGGTCTCTGAGTAATTGGGTTTGGGAAACACATATAGCACCCACCAGGCCCAAGAATATTTAATGTTTAGTTAGGCATCAGTGAACTTAGGACTATTACTGTGCTTGTTTGCCTATTATGTGTATGGGAAGGGAAGAGATCTTAATAAGAGAGTGTCTGAACTCAGTTTAACGATGGGATCCCTGCAAAGAAAGATTCAAGGGAGAAACTGAAAAGCAAATAAATGGTTTTGAACACACCAAATGAAAATGTGCAGGAGGAAACTAGCCTCAGGGAAAAAATTTGGAGTCTGGCAGAGGCACTTCTGTAATTTTCTACAATCGCTAAAAAGACAGTTTTTTAGATGACATGCTCTACTAGAGGAAGCAATTTTCACGGATGGTAGAATTTTCCTCTATTATATGGGAGAGATATGGTTAAACTCTTGATGAAAGATTTCTTCCAATTGAGTTTAAGGCTCACAGGTAATGAAATCTGAACAAATCTGAACAAATGCCATAGACTGACATGGAGAGGCTGAAATTAAAAAGAAAATAATATTTTTTTCTTCTCTCTTCAGAAACATTTTGAAGTCGAAAAGACCTGGGCTTAAACACTAGCCCTGCCATGTTTAGTTCTTGGATCACAGGCAGACTATGTAACTATGTCAATCTGTATTTATATGTATAAGATAATGATTCTCTTATTACTTTGTAAGATGATATGAAGACATCACAACATCACATAGTATAGGACATTACATAGTCTGACACATAGTGAGTGCTCTTAACACATGGTAGCTATTATTGTAATACTGTTATTCTGCTTGTAATGTCCTAACTCAGATATCACAATTTTTGGTGATGACTATTACTGGTATCAGCAACTTGAGCCTAGAATAGAATGTGTGGTATGATTTTTGGATATACTATTATATAGGATAAATAAGATTATATATTATAATTACATAATGTATAATTATATACAAATCCATATATACACAGATATATGTGTATATGCATGTATATGTGTATCCATGCATACATATATGTACATAGTATAGTGGGTGTGTGTGTGAATATAGATGTAGATGTAGACTTAATATTTGTCTTCTTTAAGTCTTGAAACTAGAAAAGTGTGGCATAAGGGAGATGTGGAAGAAGATTCTTATTGTAGAGTCCCATAAAACAATAGCAAAACCACAACCAGAACTTAAAGGAAATTTGTATCAGTATATTCCTATATTAGAAAGAAAAAGTATCTCCAATCCATGACCTTAGCTTCTATCTTGATAAACTAAAAAAAAACAGAGCAAATCAAACACAAAGTAAGCAGAAAAATAATTAATAAAATTCACAGTTGAAATCAACAGAATAAAAAGCAGAAAAACAATAAAGAAAATTAATGAAACTAAAAGCTGATTCTTTAAGAAAAGCAATACAACTGATAAAATTCCAGTCAGATTGATTGGCAAAAAAATGAGCAAACATACAAATTACCAATATCAGAAATAAGAGCGGTAAGATCACCACAAATCCTAAATATATTAAAAGCATAGTAAGAGAATATAATAAACATCTTTTTGCAGATTACTTTAATAACTTAGGTGTAATTTACACATTTTTCAGATACATAAGCTATCAAAATTTACTCAAAAAGAAATAGATAACCTGAAGATCCCTATGTCTATTTTAAAAATTAAGTGTGTACTTACAAGCTTACCCACACATAAAAATCTAGGTGTAGGTGGCAACACTAGTTAATTCTACCAAACATTGAATAAAGAAATAATGCAAATTCTATATAAGTTGAAGAGGCTTGAAAAAAGAATTGAAGAGGAGGAAACACGTTCCAACTCATTCAAGAAGGCCATCACTACATCATTATAATGATGCAAAAGCAGACAAAATACAAGAAACAATACTACAGGCAAGTACACTTTGTAAACATTTGTGTACAATTCTATACACATTTTATCAGTCATACCCCAAAATCATTACCAAATCAACTGCATACCAGGAATGCTAGGTCAGTATAGCATCCAAATATTAGTCAATGTAACTCATTATATAATTAACATAAAATCATCTCAGTACAAGCAGACAAAGCGTTTGAGAAAATTTAACATACAATTCTAATAATAATTCAGCAAAATAGGAATAGCAGGGAACTTCTTCAACCTGCTAAGAAAACCTTCTGTGAAAAGGTGATTACTAACATCATACACAATGAAGACAAAAGAATGTTTTCACCCTAAGATCAGGAGCAAGACAAAAGTATCTATTCTCACCACCCTATATGACATTATACAATGGTTCTAGCAAGTGCAATAATTCAAGAAAAAGAAATAAAAGGCATAGAGATTAGAGAAAAATGTAAAACAATCTGTGGTAAAGCCATCTATGTGGAAAATGTAACTGAATCTGTTAAGAAAGCTACTAAAATATGTGAGTTTAGCAAGTTTATAGAGTACAAGAATATTACACAAAAATCAACTACATATCTATATTAATAGCAATCAAAAATACATAAAAACATTCCATTCATAGTATAAAAATATGAAGTACTTAGGGATAAATCTGACAGAAATAGCCAAAACCTGTACTCTGAAAACCACAAATATTGCTGATATAAGGAAGATGTAAGTAATGGGTGAGGTGGATTGGAAGCAGTATTCTTGAGATGTCACTTATCTCCAGACTGATTTATAGATTCAACATGACCTTAACCAAAGTCTAAGCAGCCTCCTTTTTGGTAGAAATTGACACATTTTCAAATATTAAAATTCATACAGAAATGCAAAAGACCTATAATAACCAAAACAATTGTGTAAAGGAAGAACAAAGCTGGAGTGTCAGCACTATCTTATTTCAAGACTTACAAAACATTGGTATGTAAAACAATGTGGAATTGACATTAAGACAGACAAGCAGATCAATGAAACAGAGAATCCAAAAATAACCCACACATATATGGACAACTGATCTTTGACAAAAGTGCAAAGGCAGTTCAGGGGAGAAAGCTTAGTCTTTTCAACAAATGATGTTTGCCATCCGTATGCCAAAATCAAGCAAAAATCACTCAACCTCATGCCTCATACCAATTTGATTTCATGGATCATAGACCTAAATGCAAATGTGAAACCATAAAAATTCTAGAATAAAACGTAGGAAAAATTAATGGTGACCTTACGTTAGGCAAGTATTTATTATATATGACAACAGAAGTTTGCGGCATAAAACAACAAAGCGATAAACTGGACTTAAAGTTAAAACTTCTGCTCTTTGAAAGGCACTGTGAAGGAAATAAAAATATAAGCCATGGACTGAGAGAAATAGCTAAAATAAAAATGACAGATCAAGTATTGGCAAAGATGCAGAGTAACTAGAACTTTCATATATTGCTAGTAGGGATGTAAAATTGTAAAAATCATTTTGGAAAGCCATTTGGCAGTTGATTAAAGTTAAACATGAACCTAACCAGGTACTTAGCCCTTTGATTTTTAGGTAACCAAGGGACATAAAAGCATATGCCCATACAAAGACTTGTGCATGAAAGAACATAGTGACATTATTTGCAATATCCAACTACTGGAAACAATCCAAATCTCCATCAACAGATTAATGGATAAACAAATTGTAGTGTATCCATATAATGGGATACTATTCAGCAATAAAAAGAAACACACTGTTGATATCACAACATAGATGAATCTCAAAGTATTTACGTTGAGGGAAAGAAGGCAAATCAAAACAGAGTATTTTCTGTATGATTCCATGAATATTTTTAAATAAAATTCTAGGGATTGCAAAGTCATTTATTGTGATAGAAGTTTAGTTGTTTCCTGGAGATGAAGGAGATTGATGCAGGAGGACTGAAGAGGGGAACAACGAAACTTGTGAGTGGTGAAAACATTCTCGATTTCGAGTGTGTTAATGGCTTTATCAGTACCACATCTCAAAAACTATTAAATTATATATTGTTTAAAATGCGTAGTATATTCTACATCAATTATAATTCCATAAATCTATTAAAATACAATCTGAGTCTTTAAACCATGAAGAATAAAAAAAAAATGGGAAAAGCAGTACATAGATCTGGGGATTTTTCAGAGTGGTAGAAGCAAGAATGGAAGAGGCAGACTCTCTTAATCCACTGCTGATCTATAGGTCTCAGCCTCTGGAATGCCTAGGAGAAGTATCTAAATGTTGGGGAACTGGATTGAGGGACCACTAGCACAACTCATTACCCATTATCCACCATCGTGGAGAAGAACCACCGACAGCAATGCGCAACATCACAATGAGTTGGTAACAGAGAGCTAGGGAGTGGATTGCCTGAAGGTCAAAACCAAAAACAAACAGATGAAGTTGTTAATAGCACTGTGTCTTTTCATTTTTAAATTTAGTTTCTTTTTGCTCTTTTACATTTCTAGCCTCATAAGTAAAAACTTGGCATATCTTCTGCAGTTCATTATTATATACAAGAACAGCAATTGATTTTCGCTGTAAAACCTTTAACATATTAAGAAAATACTCTATTTCTCCCAGTTTGTGATGTTTATAATAAATATAAATTTTATCACATAACTATGCAATATCAATGGAGATTTCTATTAACTAATTCAAAAAGTCAATTTATAAGGTTTCCTAATTTTAACTATCCTTGCTTTGCTACTAGAAATTCTATTTCAATTTCATGGTAAAGCGTGGTACGATATGGCTGAAGTAAATTGCCTATTAAATATTAAGTATTTTGTGTCAATGTCTGTAAAGAAAGCCAGTATTTTTTTCTTTGCCATTTTTATTATCAGAATTACACAAGCTTTTCATATGAATTGTAAAACTTTTCATAATTTCTGTGGCCTGCTATAAAGTGTATAAAAATGGATACTTATTTCATTGATGTCATCCTTATAAAAATGGATATTTCGTTGATGTCATCCTTACAATTCTTTGGGTCCTGCAACTTTTGGGGGAAAGATATATTTCTAAACTCACTTCTTTATAACTTCTACAGACATGAGTCAAAATATTATATCTTCTCTCCATGAAGCTGTATTGAAATATCTATTTTTTAATGAAATTGATCAACTTTTAAGAGATTCTCAACTATATTTGCAGAGTGATATAAATAAATTTTGAATTAGAAAGTAAAATAAAATGACAGTCTTTCTATTTACAGTTTTATAAATCACTTCTTTTTCTGTGGACTCAATGCCTTTCTTAAACACTGATGTCTAGTCTGCTTTCTGGGTTTTACTTTCCAGAAGTTTGAATATATATATCATTGTTTTAAAAATGACTATCAGAAATCATTATTGAATATAATGCTTCGTCTCCTGATTTCTTATTACCGATTCATTTTCCCTGTTTGACATTTATTAATTTGTATCCTTCCCTAAATATATATTATTATGTCATTTATATTACTAAGAGCAAATTTTAGTTTTTAAAATTTCCTTTCTTGTTGCATAATGAACGTATTTAACACTATGACTTTATTTCAGAGTACAGTGTTAAGTACATGCCATGAATTTTGGCGAGTATGTTTCGGATCACTGATAATTTCTAAATAGATTTTATTTGTGCCTTTGTTTTCTATTTTGGCCTTAGATTTATTTATTACTATGAGGTTATTTTTTGGCTGTATGTATTGATTTATAAGACTTCTAAAAAACATTCTAATTAATTTCTAATTTTATTACGTTAATTCATTTTTACCTTGTGAGACAAATTGAGATTTTCCTAGGTTGACCAGTGGATAAAGTGTTAGTAACATGAGATTTGGGCATTAAAATATATTATTTATATCTAGGGGACAATTTTCAATACATTAACTATCCTAATGATAATATTCACATTGTATAATGTTTGTCTTGCCTTTTGCTTATTGATCTCTCAAAACTGAGAGCTGTGCATTGATTTCATAAAGTATCCTTATACCTTGATTCTTAATTTCATAATGGATCTTTACATCTTGATCCCTTTCTTTTTTAGTATGAATAGGTTTTTATATATGCGTTGTTACCCCTATTATTTCATATATAAAGTTGCAGGAATTTGTGTGTCTCTTGGAAATAGCACCAATTAGAAATGTATAGTGAAGCTAGGTGCAGTGGCTCACACTTGTAACTCCAGAACTTTGAGAGGCTAAGACAGGAGCTTCTCTTGAGGCCAGGAGTTCAAGTCCAGCCTCAGCAATATAGCAAGACCCCATCTCCACACAAAATTAAAAGATTAGCCAGGCGTGATGGCATGTGCTTGTAGTCCAGATACTCTAGAGGCTAAAGCAAAAGGATTCCTTGAGCTCAGGAGTTCGAGGTGACAGTCAGCTATGTTCATGCCACGGCACTCCAGCCCGAGTGACGAGCAAGACCCTATCTCTAAAAGAGAAACAAAACAAAACATATATTGATATATTTTGTACATAAAATGCTTTCTGGATAAATTCTATAACATTTTAATTTTGTGAACTTGACTTAAAAAATTTTCTAATATTCTTTGCATACTTTTTAATATTATGTATATTTTAAAAAATGTGGGTCACTTTCTTTTGATTTAAGGGATAGCTCATAAAATATATTTACATATAATTCAATTAAATTTTATCCTAAGAACCACTTGAAATCATTCTTGTAATTCAGTGATATATTATGTTTTATAATATGATTTTATATTTTCTATTTTTAGACATTGCTTTCGTTTCCTTTGTTCTACGTTTTTGCATATCACCTGTATAGCCTTGCCTCATCTTTATTACCATTTCAGAAAGTCTATGTCTTGCTTTATGTTCTTCAAAAATGTGCCTTTTATAGTTTTTAAAGGTTTTTAAATAAAATTTCTGATGTCTCCCACATTTAAAAGAGTGAAAAATGAAGAAAGATAAATAATTTCATTCCCACTGCCTGAGAAAAGGACTCTTATTCCTTTACTCTTTCCCTCTTCTTCAAAAATATATTCTGGTTATTTATAGGTATAATGTCGTTAATATATTATCATATAATTTTAATATTCTTTTTAATACTATTTCTTATTTTTATATTTTTCTTTAGTATTTTGTGGATTGATGAAGAATTTTTTTCTTTTAAACTTCTCTCAGTGTTGCCCCATCGTATTACTACGTGATAGGACTTAATTTATTTGCTGGATGTTGTGGAATCTTACTTTATAGTACTCTTGTATTTGGTCAGGATGAGTCAAACTGTTGGATTGATATTGTTTGGAATGTGATGAGCCATTTTAATCTATATATTGAATTTTTCCATCTCAGGGACATTTCTAATTTCCATCTGATTTTTTTTTGTTTTACCTCCTTTATCTCTTTTTCACTACCATCTTTTTCCATATTTGGCTTTCATATACCTTCCTCTTTATCTGTCTTCCAGTTGTTCAATATTTTCTGTCTTTGTTTACTGATTCTTCCTCATTCAGGCAATCATTTAAAAAGTTTTCTTCTGTGTCACTTTACTTTTCAACAGGTTATTTAATGTAGACTTTTTCTCTTCAATTTGTTCTCTTAAAAATTATTTCTCAAATCCCTTGTATATCTTCTCTCTCTCTGTCTGTTTCTCTCTCTCTCTTTCTGATCTTCTCTTCTATTTTGTCATCCTTTTGCATTTATTATGGCAACTTACATTCTCATTTGGATATTCTGTCCTCTTTGGTACCTATCCAGATTAGTTTTACCTTATTATATGAAAAAAAAATGAATCATTTTGTGAACTGTTGCACTGATCCTTTTCAACATTTTTCAGTTTGCTTTTTTTTCTTTTTCTTTGTTTTACTATAATACTTTTTACTGGACTCACATTTTGTTCTTCCTAAAACAAAGAAAAATTGGTTCCAATAGGGTGTTTGCAAAAGCACAGGGAACAGGACTATTGTGTCCAGCATCGAGCTTGTAGAATTACTTCTTAGATCAGCAGCAACTCTGGCAGTTGATGTGAGATGCTTTCAGACGCAGTTCAAAGTTTTAGCAGGTGGCGGCTCTTCTCTAATGATTTATCATCTTCCCCTACTTAGACTGCTGTTTTTTTTTATTATTTTTGATACTTTATGGTAAGATAGCATGGGAAAATAGCAATTTGTATCTCATAACGAAAAATGTCACCATTCGCTAAGGATTTTTCTTTTGTGGATTGCACCTCCCAGAAAGTACTGCTCTTCTTCTCACTGTAGGAGGAACTTAAGTCTCTGTAGAGATATTGTGTTTCTTTTCTTTCCTATGATTTTTTTTACATTTAGCTTTAGTTTTATTTCAAATTTATAAATAGTTTTCTCAAATACTTAGTGTATCATCAGTGTTCCCTTTCTTTTATAACACTTTTCTTTTTCATTTTTATCTCTTTATTTTTCTTCAAGTCTTGTCAGATAGACTCAGTCTTCAATTTTTTTGTTTTGTTTTGTTTTTTTTGAGACAGAGTCACACTCTGTTACCCAGGCTGGAGTGCAGTGGTGCGGTCTCGGCTCACTGCAACTTTCGCATCCTGAGTTCAAGCAATTCTTGTGCCTCAGCCTCCTGAGTAGCTGGAATTACAGGCACCTGCCACCGTGCCCGGCTAATGTTTGTATTTTTAGTAGAGATGGGGTTTCACCATGTTGGCCAGGCTTGTCTCAAACTTCTTACCTGAACTGATCTGCCCACTTCGGCCTCCCAAAGTGCTGGGATTACAGGCGTTAGCCACCACGCCTGGCCAAGTAGTTTTTAAAAGAACAAAACAGGCATAAGGGATATGACTTCTGGATCTTTCTACATATAGATATGTTTCACTGTTCACACTCATAAGTTAGCAAGACTGAACCCAAAGTTACTTTTAGACACAAAGTTCTCCACATCTGATATTTTGTGTTGCAAATATGGAACGTGTTTGAGAATCATAAATGGAAGAGTTTGCTGTCCAGTTTTCTTTGTGGCATGGTTCTCTAATATTAGGTTTTGTAATAATGGGTTTTGTCACATTGGTCTGTCCAGCTACAATTCTTGCATGTTGTAAGAGAACATTACTAATTGCTTTAAAATATTAAATTATTTAAGCGTGTTCCAAGGCTGACTAAAATAATTATTCTTAAGCACTGTGGTCCACATTTTTGAAATAAAGAAAACTCTTAAATGTGCATGTTGCTTTAAATGTTGATATGTTTCCTAAAGGAAACGTAATTATCAAAAAAGGAAAGTAATTTATTTTTGTGAACAAACTATTTTTGGTTTTTCTCCTGTTGATTTTTGTAACCGTAATTCAGAGTCTATATTAGAAATTGTTGTTTAAATATTTTGAATATCAGTAGACAGTTCTACAAATCACAGTAAAAGCAGACTGCTAAGGAAGACCAATAAATGGTTGGTAAATTGCACTTCTGTGTAAATGAAAACTTGAAGGACTACCTGTGGACATAACTTATGTGCTGTCTTCTCCCAAAGGGTAATATTTTCACAGGTTCAGACAGATTATAGTCTTCTGGACAAGAGGCAATTTGAAGATATCAGAAGTAAACGTCATAGAGTAGTACTGAAAAATCAAGATATATAGAGACCATTTGGCCATCATTATATGTATTACTAACACATATACCTGTTAGATAAAATAGTAGGTTTTTGGTAATGGTTTGTGACATTTTATTTTATTTTATTTTTTTCATAGGTAGTCTCTTATTTTTTTTATTATTATTATACTTTAAGTTTTAGGGTACATGTGCACTATGTGCAGGTTTGTTACATATGTATACATGTGCCATGCTGGTGTGCTGCATGGCACATGTATACATATGTGGTGTGGTGGTTTATGACATTTTATAGGGTCACAAGTTGTTAATGGATTATCAAGGTGACTTACTCTATACCAAATAGTTCAGTGCTTCATGTGAGACTCTTTGTAGTACCAGATTCAAATATGGTCAAGACATTAAGTGAGTGGATAAGAAAAGGGGACTTAAATCAGTTTTATTAAATTCTGCAATTGACTAGATCATAGAATTAGAACTTAATTCAAACTGGTTTTACTTTGTACAAAAGAAGAGCTTGTTATATTCCTTGATAAACCTGCAAATATGTCACTTTAAAATTTCATTAAAGTCTCAACACATTGCTCTTTCTGTCATGGGATCCTTGGGTGTCACCTTGCCAGATGAAAAACTTTGTGATCAGTGGTGCCTTTGCCTAAGCTTTGCTGGGGCCCACTGGCTTCATTCCACCCATTCGTCCTGGCAGGCCACAGTCTGCTCACGCTACTGGCACTGATCTCACGCCTGCCAAGAGTGAGTCAGGTGTGGAGTAGCAAGGGGTGTATGAGTGAGCAAGCATGGTGTCCAGCTGCCGCACACAACCAGGCTTGCCAGCTGCGACAGGGCAGGCAGCTCCAGGTGCTGGCATGGGTGCTGGGTTCCTGTGAGGCTGTGGTTGGACCAGATGTACCGCAAGTGGCTTCCAGTGCTGGCACCGGGGAATGTGGTGGTGCCTGGAAGCTTGGAGAGGCCAGGTACTGAAGAGCCCCAAAGAAGGTGTCATAGCCCTAGCTTGGGGAGCTCCTAGGTCTGGGATCCCCAAAGAGCTGCAGCTCCTCTCTCCTTCTCTCTTCCCTCCTTCTCGTTGCCTGCAACATGGCAAGCTAGGGGTCTGTTTCAGCCCCGTTTTTGTTACACTTATTTCAGACCCACCATTCATCAGGTCTCAAGTTCTTGTCGCAAGTCCAGGAAGAATGAGGTATGCTGACAACTGGAGGGTGATTGAGGTGAAGAGGTGCTTTATTGAGCAACAGCACAGGTCTCAGGAGACCCGAAGTGGGTAGGTCCTCTTTGCAGGCAGGTTTTAGGAAAGCAGGAGGCTGGCTGAATCCAGGGGTTTTGACGGGCTTCAAAGGGGAGGAAGTGCATGCTGATTGGTCCATGGGTGGCCATAGGTGGGCCTGGAAAAAGCACCATAAGTTCTCACTCCATTTCCGGGGAACTGGCAGCCTGGTCCCCAGACTTCAGGCCTTTGGTGGCCTGAAGGTGGGGCTTCGGCCTTTGGTGGCCTGAAGGTGGGGCTTCACTGGGGAACTGCCCCTGTCTGTCCAGGAACCTGTCTGCCTCCTGCTGCCATCAACCCACCATCCATGGCACCCAGGCTCTTCATGCCGAGGAGCACCTGCAGGCCCACGCTGAGCTGGCCTCAGCCCTCCCTCTCAGCTTCTCTCCTGCGTTCGTGGGAATCCAAAGTCCAGAGGGGGCTGAGGTGGGAGGGGGCTGGTGTGTCAGCACCACACCAAGCGTACACACACCCAGCCGGATCATGACAGTGCCCAGTCGGCCACAACTTTACTCTGAAATCGGAGTGGGTACTGGGAGTCGGGAGAAGCCAGGCAGTGGGAGCAGGTACTTTCAAGCCTGCAGAGGCAAGGAGCTTCCTGGGTCCCCAAGAGCACAGGGATGCACAGGTCCACGACCAGGGCTGGGTGGCTGCAGATGCACCCAGAAGTGCAGGGCTTCTGCCCCACCAACTCAGAAGGGGGCGGGGCTCCCTCCTGTTCCTGGCTCCCATTGGCTCTGTGGATCCTGCAGCCCTGGCTGCGCCTCTCTCACTGCAGCCGGTGTCTTTGCAGCAGCTGCTCCAGATGGGCTGCTGCTGCCATTACTTCTATTTAATTTTTAAATTTTTGCTAGGTATTGATATGTTAGAGGAAGTGAAACCCAATCTTTCGATATGATTTAAATTATGTGCACAAGTAGAAATGTTTAGCTATTGAATTTTGCGTTTTTTTCTGCATGTAATATCTCTGATGGTCATCTTTCATTAAAACGAGAAGAAAACATTTCTAGTACGGATCTGTCATTTTTAGATCTTTATCAGAAGAGTTGGAAATGGGAATATCATCCTTACGTACAAAAAGTGGCATATCTCTTTGTGTATTATCTCATTATTTCCTAACAGTGCACTTAGTTAAAAGTATACATAGGCCAGTGATTAATCACACCCTCTGTGTAAGATAGAGTTGCTTAGAGTAATTTTCCCTAGATTCGCTCAAATATTTGTTACATTTTACATTCTGTGCATTCATTATATGCTAAATATAACTGGTATGTCCTGTGTTTAGATTTTTTAAATTAATTTTTAAAATTTGGTTAATATTATAATTGTTATTTTTTCATGAGAAATATGCCATTATACTGGATCCATTCTTGTAATCCATAATCCACAATTATGCCGTGTGTTTTCTTAATATGTGTGCAAAATGAGTACATTACAGTTTCTTATATTACATTACATTCCAATTGAAAGAATGAATAAGAAAGATATTTTATTTTATTTTTCTAAAACAGACAAATATAGAAGAATGGAAGGCAATTTACCAACTGCTCTGCCCTGTTTTTGAGTAAGGAAAGGATAACATATGCAATTTTTAAAATTTATTTTCTAAATCCATTAGTTAATATATTGTTAGCTTCCATTAGAACAACTGCCACCCCTATTTACTTCTGATGACAATGCTTTATTGAATTGGAAAGAAATGGATATTCCAATCAATGTGAAGCAGTAACTAATTAAAATAGTCTTTATGGCTTATTGTAGAAGAAGCATAGATATGGAATAATTACTGAATATTTATTAAGTGTGTCCCTGGAAGGCATGCTAGAGGTTCTAAATTTTTTTTAGGCTGGGCATAGTGAGACACACCTGTAATCCTAGCACTCTGAGAGGCTGAGGCAGACGGATAGCTTGAGCACAGGAGTTGGAGACCCGCCTGGGCAAACATGGTGAAACCACGTCTCCCCTAAAAATACAAAAAAAAAAAATTAGCCGACTGTGGTGGTGCATGCCTGTAGTCCCAGCTACTTGGGAGGCTGAGATGGGAGGATCACCTGAGCCCAAGAAGTCTAGGCTACAGTGAGTTGTGATCATGCCACTCTACTGCAGCCTGAATAATGGGAGTGAGACCTTGTTTAAAAAATAGTAATAATAGTGTCATCCCCTCCTTTGAAGAAGTGTATGAGAGAAGCTGCCAATCTTCACTTTTGTTTAGTGCTTCCAGGCTGTCTTGTTCAAGAACAAATCCATATCACAACCCTTATTTGAAAACCTCATTGGTTCCTTTTATTTTCCTAGCAACATCCAAATTCCTAACCTCTTTTTAATCTTTACAATCTTATCTAAAGCCTTTTCTCTGGATTCAAATCCTGGTAACCCCATTATACATTTCTTTGCACCATGACCATTGGTCCACAACTATATAAAAATATCTTGTTCTTCTTCAACCTCTGGGTCTTTGTTCATTGTTTTCTTTACATGTAGATTATTTTGTGTCCTATTTTGTCTACCTGGAAAATCACCAAGATTAAAGATCCAGTTCAAATTTTATCTTCAGTTTTCCCTGTGACTTTGTGATGCCTTCTCATGTTTTCCCAAGGTTTACTTGGTCTCTTTGTCTCTCTCCTCGGATTATATGACCTACTTTTAAAATATTCTGTATTTATATACTATTCTCCACATTTGAATTTGGGCTCCATGGAGTAAATATCTATATTTTATATTTATATTTTATATTTAGGAGTCTAGTAAATTATCAGACACATGGAAAATTGTCAAAATAAACTTTAAATGTAAACATAGTTTATAGAACATGCTAAATGTTGTAAATAACTCATTGAAGAGAAACCAGTTGTGGAACTTGAAATAATTATACTAAATATCTAATTCATTAAGCACTTGTAAAACTTGAGTTTTCCTAGTCTTTCTGCAAAGTTTCAACACCTAGATACTCCTTGGTGCTATTTATTCATAAACATGCTTAAACCTGCTATTAACTTCTCTTTGTGCTTGGGTAAACTTAGATTCCAGTAATTAAATTCAGTGATTGCAGCATTGTTCTTTATTAACTGTTAAAAACAATAAAGGAAATGTGAATTTACCATTACAAAAGAAAAAAAACCTGAAAACTTTTTTAAACTTTTAAGCATTTTTATTTAATCAAATAAAAATAGTTTTAAATTAAATTTACATTGCTAGCACCAAATCACTTGTGTGGATGTCTGAAAAATATGTTTTTACTTGATATAACCATAATTATGCATTTAAACAAATTTTATCCTAATTACTAATGTTCTGGCTCTAGGCAATGCCTTGGCCTTGATAAGATCCTTAAAAGATAAACTATAAAACTAGAAAAAGAAAAAACAGAAAGTCCCCATACCACAGACAAATCTCAAATCTGTGGACACCTCTTTGCAATCTCAAGTCTTGCTCAAAGGTATAATTATTCCTTTAAATACAGACCACTAGTCTTGCAAAAATATGTGAGTAATTCCATGATCCAATACAGTATAATCCACCATGATAGGGCAGAGAAAGGCTGCTAGAGAGACAGGAAAAAAAAAGGAGAACATATTGAATATATCAGATACATTAGCATTGGGCTATAAAAACCACACAAGTTATCTACATAAGAAATCCCCTGTTGCTAGCTCAAGTGCTTAGTTACCCAGTGGCCACAAACTCTGACTTCCTGTCTCAAACATACAAACTGCCTGCCTGTGAATGCCAGCATTTGTTTATTGACCAGTATTGTGTGTGTCTAGACACCCTTTAGTTAGGCTCAAACCACTAAAATAAATGCAGCTAAATTGCACTTCACTATGCCTTTATCTAATGGTAACACAACAACATATATGCTTTGGGATCTTAGACAAACTTTGTAAGACTGAGTTACTGGTGATGTGAAAACAAAATAAAACATTACCTTGAGATGCTGAGATGAAGTTTCTATACAAGATTGACAGATAGACTCTCTGATACAAAATAGTCAATCAATAAATTCAAGCTATTATTATTAATTACCATTCAAGCTATTACTTAGATGATAAGCTTGCTATACTAACCAAAATTGGTGGCAGTAAAATCTAATAGGTAGATGAAGTTGGTTTTTTAATACCAATCCCCCAACATTTTCTTGATCCACATTAATTCAGATTTCAATTCATGCTGGAAGCATTTTTGTTTTTCAGCTACCTAGAGCTTCCACTGCAAAGACGAAACTCCACTCAAAGTCCTCTTCCCTGCTGGGTGCGGTGGCTCACGCCTGTAATCCCAGCACTTTGGGAGGCCGAGACGGGTAGATCACCTGAGGTCCGTGGCTCGAGAGCAGCTTGGCCAACATGGTGAAACTCCGTCTCTACTAAAAATACAAAAATTAGCTGAGCGTGGTGATGCACATCTGTAATCCCAGCTACTTGGGAGGCTGAGGCAGGAGAATAGCTTGAACCCGGGAGGCAGAGGTTGCAGTGAGCAGAGATCATACCATTGCACTCCAGCATGGGCTACAGAGAGAGACTGTCCCCCTCCACCACTAAAAAGTCCTCTTCTCAGGACTTTGTCACCTTGTGTTCTAAACTTGGTTGTCTTCCAGATAAATAAAAACAATTCTTGAGCAGTCTTTTAAATTTTCATCTATAGTGAAAAAGTTACTTATCTTACATAAATTGTTAGATGATGTATATGCATTGTAAATTAGAACCTAATGGCATTTAACACAATGCGGTGGAATTTTTTTTTTTTTTTTTTTTTTTTTTTTTTTTTTTTGAGACAGTCTTGCTCTGCCTCCTAGGCTGGAGTGCAATGGCACAATCTCGGCTCGCTGCAACCTCTGCCTCTCAGGTTCAAGCAATTCTCCTGCCTCAGCCTCCTGAGTAGCTGGGACTACAGGTGCCCGCCACCACGCCCGGCTAATTTTTGTATTTTTAGTAGAGACAGGGTTTTACCATGTTGGCCAGGATGGTCTTAAACTTCTGACCTTGTGATCTGCCTGCCTCAGCCTCCCAAAGTGCTGGGATTACAGGTGTGAGCCACCACGCCTGGCCAATAAGTTGGAATAATAGATAAGATTTAAAAGATATTTGTAGAGGGACAAATAAGTTTTACTGTTTTTCAGTTAATACTAGTTAGCTTACCTAATAAATGAAATACATTATAAATAAAGGAGTTAAGGACATTTAAAAACTTGCTTTTGATGATAATTACCACGGTTATTTGTATTAAAATTACAGATAAAGAAAATATTTTTTCATGTCAACTAATATCTAAAAATGTACCAGTCTTTATATTATGTAATGATTTTAAACTTTTAATAAATTTCTTTTGTGACAATTCTCTTCCTTTCTGTATCAAGACTTCTCTAAAATTTAAATCAAGTTTTATTTCCTAATGCATTCAAATAGCATAGAAATTAATCACAGGTCTCTGTGTGTGTGTGTGTGTGTTTAAAAAATATTTCTATGGATGTTTTTGTGTTCAAAATGCATTATTTTATGGTAATTTACATTTCTTTTTTTATTTCTCTGCCTCTTCATTTATTTCGTGAAGTCTCAAAAATCTCATGTAGGGTATTCAATTTACAATCCAATGCCTTGCAGGAAATCAAATGAGAAATAAGTGTTCTTCTTGTTCTCTCACAGTTGGAATAAAGATTGGCAAAATCATATTGGAAAAAAGCACCAGCAACTTCAAATTAGTGAGAATCCTCTATGGTCATTCATAACATGCTTCCTTCATCTATTATCTTCTTTTTTAAAAAAATCACTGATTGAAGCTCAGGACAAGCATAGCCATCCATTGACCCGAATATATAACATTTGATTTGAAATTTTAGAACATTTCTTATTGTCTTCATCTAGCTGGTTAGAAATCAGAGTTGTACACTAATTTTAGGTTGTAAAAATTGCAACAGAACTTTAAAGCAATCCGTGCCTGCTGAGAGAAGTGGTGTATTTCATGCTTGGTGTCAGGTCCTAAAATAACTAGAAGTTTTAAAAAAAAAAAAAGAAAAAAAAAAACCCTTCACTCTCTTTTTATGTTAGTCTGTAGTAATGTGAAATAAGTTAACCTAAAGCTGTTGCCTTCATCCTTTGGATAGTCACACATTTTTGGAAAAAGGACTTTCTATTTTATGTATCCATAGATAGAAACTGACAAGGAATATCTGAGACAAATAGTATACACATCCAGAAAGAATCTCACAGTTTCAAATTAAGAAGCAAAGAACATAGAAGGAGAAACCAAGAGTAGCTTCTGGTGCATGAGAAGACTTAGGGAAGTGGAATCTCTGCCCTTGACATGCTTTTTTTTTTCTCTGGCTTTTGTAAAGGATGATCAGACTCCAAAAGTTAGAGAACCACTATTTTTGGACTGATTTAATTTTATGAAGCCTCTATATTTGAGTCCCTTGTCAAAGGTAGAATCCATTTACCCTAATCTGTTCATTCTGCAGTGTGGGATAAGCAGGGGAGACTAATGTATTGCCTTGCTAAAGCCAGGTATTATTCATTGTTAAGAAGGCAGGTTCTCGAACTAGATGGCTGCATTTAAATCTCAGGTCTACCATGTTCTAGATCTATGATCCTGGGCAGGATACTTGCTGAGCCTCAGTTTCCTCCTCTCTAAAATGGAGATAATAATAGGCTTTGCTTCACAGGGTTATGACAAGAATTCCATGAGCTAACACACATAACAGTTTATGTTAGAAAAAAGTTTGGTACAGAAAAGGTATTCTATAAGGTTAGTTAATATTCATGTTGTGTTTTCTGATAGGTGCCACCAGGTAAGGACTGGGTGAATACTCCTAGTGGAAGAATTAGGAACATCTAGTTAGGGAATAGGCAAAGGAATGGCAAGTGCTGTATTTCTGTATAGATCATATCTGAAACATCTTACATCAGTTGAAGGCTTTGTTACATGGGGAAGTTTGGGATGTGTTGGGTACTTCAGTGATTCTTCGTTGCATCATTTGGACGTAGGGTCCAACTTGAAAAAAGAGAAAATCCTGCATGAGAGCTATTTCTCTCTCTCTCTCTCTCTCTCTCTCTCTCTCTCTCTCTCTCTCCACACACACACACACACACACACACACACACACACACTCCTAAAACAGCCACACATAGCAAGTTTGTTTTGAATGTCAGAGTGTTGGAGAGTGATGCTGCATGACTCATAAGGGTTATTCTTTTTGTAAATTGTGAGATTTTATGCCTGTACTTTCTTTTTTACCCCCTGCTGCTGGTAGTGCTTAATATGCCTGCTTTATTAATAGTGGCAGTGTGGAGTAAGCAGAAAGAAATCTATCTAGGAATTGAAATGATACATTAATTGATTTTCTTAAGCTTGCTTGCCTTCACAATGCCGAGTTGAACAAGTGTTCAGTGTGCACTCAACATTAACCCTGGCTGATGCAGTTGATGACTTTCCATGGACTGTGCTCTCTTCTCTTTGCATTGCTAACACATTAAAATCGGATAAATAAACTATTCCTTTGGAAAAATAGAATAAAAATTAGCACAAAGCATTTCTAATGAAGAGTGAATGCCTATTGAATCAGCTGAAAATAATCTGCTCCCCTGCAATCGTGTTGGAGATATTTTGCAAGGGCTCTGCCAGTCTTCTTCTCTGTAGTTCCTTTTACTTGATCATCTTTTTTTTTTTAAGGTAGAAATTAACAAATGTCAACTTCACCGATTAGTCAGGATTTGCTGAGGTTGATAATTAGAGGAAATGTCGTGTAATGGTAGGAGCATGGGCTGAGTCAGACCCCATCTCTCTCTGACATCAAATTTCAATGCTGCTGGGCTGGCCCAGAGCTCTGGCTCTGTGAAGTTCACCTTCCTCCTCTAGATGGTGGTGATATCACCACCACATGCCAAATTAGGCTGAGAGCAATGGTAAAATAAGATCCTAGATAGGAAAATGTCGTGTCATATGTAAAGTATTATTTGAAATATATTTTTACCTAGACATTTAACCTTTTCCTATTTCTTTATTATTCAAATATCAGCTGGTTTATAGCTTTTGTGAGAAGAAAA
This sequence comes from Homo sapiens, assembly GCF_000001405.40. Classification (NCBI taxonomy): domain Eukaryota; kingdom Metazoa; phylum Chordata; class Mammalia; order Primates; family Hominidae; genus Homo; species Homo sapiens. The sequence continues at coordinate 77,479,849 of NC_000002.12, read as the reverse complement.
AGCATGCAATCATTCTGAAGAAGTCTGATGAGCCCTAGATGAGAAAGAGAGAGAGAAAGAGAAAGAGAGAGATGGAGAGAAGAGAAAGAGAGAGAGAAAGAGAAAGAGAAAGAGAGAGATGGAGAGAAGAGAAAGAGAGAGATGGAGACGAGAAAAAGAGAGAGAGAGAGAAGGAAATGCCACAAAGAATTGGCAGGATTCCTTTCCTAACCTCGAGACTGACTGTGGCTCTGGATGACTTACAGGGCAGTAACAAACTGTGTACCTCCCGTGGGTCACATTGCTTTCTCAATCAAAGACACTTGTCTGTTAGTTATCTTTGTTTAGGAGTCTGGAGAGATTAGCATCCTGCTACGGTGCACACTGTCCGGTAAACCCTGACGACTTGCTTTTTGAAACCTCCAGAGTTTTTACAAAGTGGACTGACTGTTTGATCTTTTTTTGTCAGATGTACTTTGTTAACAGAAAAATATTCATTTCTGAAGTATCAGACTTCCTATATAGTTTTATAATGGCTGTTACAGAGCCCATTCAGAGACTTTCACATTTACTTTCATATAAAAAAAATCAGACCTTAGCACTAATGAAAAGGTCAAGAAAGAAACTAAATTGCTTAGGAAACAGAAACGTCCTTATATAAAAATACTGAATTACAGCCAGGTGCAGTGGCTCATACCTATAATCCCAGCACTCTGGGGGGCCGAGACAGGTGGATCCCCTGAGGTCAGGAGTTCGAGACCAGCCTGACCAAGATGGTGAAACCCCATCTCTACTAAAAATATAAAAAATTAGCCAGGCATGGTGGCACATGCCTATAATCCCAGCTACTCAGGAGGCTGAGGCAGGAGAATTGCTTGAACCCGGGAGGCGGAGGTTGCAGTGAGCCTAGATCGCACCATTGCACTCCAACCTGGGCAAGAGAGTGAGACTTCGTCTCAAAAAAAAGAAAGAAAGAAGAAGAAAAAAACTGAATTACAGAAAGATCATTCACTGTAGGAGGTGAATCAAGATGAGCACTTTGTTTTTTTCTTTTTTAAAAAGACAAAAACTCTGAATACATCTGTGGCAATTATAGCAGATACCATCCTCACATCAAAGACCACTTACAGGTCCAGAGAAGTAAATGCCTCTGAAATGACTTGAACAAATAGAACTTCATTTTATCTAGTTGAATCACTTGAAAACCCAGATTGTTTTCAATGAAATGTGTCAGTGTGTGTATACCAGTGCATGTGTACAAAAGAATATTTCTCAACCAACAGGAGCTTGTGGAAAGTGTAAAATTTGCTCAGCACTAAATTAAATGTTTGTCAATATTTCTTTCCTTAAGGAACTCAGAAAAAAGAATGAAATTTTTAAAATGCTAACTGCTGATCTAGGACATAAAAGTTTACATATAAAAAGTTTTCTAGGTAGTCTATGAGGATTGTAAAAAGAAGAGAATGAAGAGTAAGAAGTTGATATCAATTATGGCTCTCAATTTTGAAGATTGTGAAACCCGAGCTACGTCTTAATATTTGCTTAGGTGTAGGGATAAATTACCAATTTTAAAATAACATTTTTATCTTAAATCATGTTTTGTAATAACAACAAAAAGATGATTTTCATAAATAAAATTTGAAATGGTGTGTCCCCATTGTCTCCAAACAAGTTCTGATCAACTTAATCTGTGGGATTTAATAGAAAATAGAGGGAAAGAAAAATACTAAAGAGGCAGCAAGTAATAACAGGGACAGCTTTTGATTCTGTAAAATCTTAATTTAAATTTAGCAGTTTAGAATATATGTAGCCTTGAAGAGGATACTGGAAAACTATGAGCCTGACTCCTTCATTCATAAGATGAAATTAGCAATAATTGCCTCATGTGGCTTTTTTTCTTTTTCTTTCTTTCTTTCTTTCTTTCTTTCTTTCTTTCTTTCTTTCTTTCTTTCTTTCTTTCTTTCTTTTTCTTTCTTTTTCTTTCTTTCTCTTTCTTTCTTTCTCTCTCTCTTTCTTTTTTTTTTTTTTGATGGAGTTTTGCTCCAGCCTTGTTGCGCAGGCTGGAGTGTGATGGTGCGATCTGGGCTCACCGCAACCTCTACCTCCCGGGTTCAAGGAATTCTCCTGCCATAGCCTCCCAAGTAGCCACCACACAGAGCTAATTTTGTATTTTATTATTATTCTTTTTTTTAGTGGAGACGGGGTTTCTCCATTTGGTCAGGTTGGTCTCAAACTCCCAACCTCAGGTCATCCGTCCACCTCGGCCTCCCAAAGTGCTGGGATTACAGGCGTGAGCCACTGTGCCTGGCCTAGTGGCTTTGAAGGGCACAAAACATTACATATACTTTCAAATAGTATATAGCAATGACAGATATGCATCTCACAGCAAAATTTCTTTTAAAAGGAAGATAAATGGAACATAATTTATCTATTTGTGTTTATGGTAGAGTTTAAAATAAAGCTTCAAATCTGAAGAATGAGCTCTTTACCTTGACAAATTTCACCTCAGAATTTCCTTTAGCCAGCATGAGAGTATTTCTGATTAAGAAATTTATTGGTTTTGCCATGGAACTCTCCATCCATGATATCACTCAGAATTTTTCAGATATACCTCACTCAGTATGTACTTTTACTTTCTATGATGGCTCTTGATCCAACCGTACATGATGCTAATGATTTCATCATGATCGTGTGCACTCTATCTTCATGATGCTAATGAATGCCTTATATGGTCTACACTCTGTCTTCCTATCTCTCTCTTGTCCTCTTGCTCTCAGCCACATTCCTCCTTTTATTTTTCTATTTCAGGAGAAGTGCATTGGAAAGCCCAGTAAACAATTCTTTTCACATTTATGGCATAAAAGTACACACATACACACACACACACACACACACACACACACACATCTCTTACAAATTTATTATACATAATTCTGCATTTACTTTTGCTATTCTTAGAAGTAGCATTTTTCAAAGAGAAATTAATAATGTACTTGAGGAAAAATAAAGAGAATTAATTTTAACTTAACTCCTTAAAAAAATACCACCATTTACTTATTTTTTTCCAGTCTAATACTACTACTTTTGCACCAAATATACTGTAGTAAATTGTTCATTTAGACTATTAATTTGTAAAACTCGGTCCATTACTATAAATAACATTTGTACCTCGCTTTAGCATAACAATTGTTCTACGTCATGAAATATGTCATTAGAACATTTTTTGGAGATTGCATTATCTACCATAGTAAAGATTTTCCAAAACAAATTTGGCTTTGAGTTTAGCTTTAACTACAATTCGTAGTTTCTACTCTTTTCATTATATTCTATGAATTTTCTAAATGGTGCTTTTGGACTTCCTTTTTGATATATGAGTTATCAAAGAGATTACCTCTTCTTATATTTCTAATATTTTACAAAAAAATCAATGTATGGCTTTTGTTGCATTGCAGTCAGATGATTTGACCTGTATATTTACCAATTTGAATTTCTTATTCATGTCATTATATAGCAATAATAATAATTTTCTGAATAAATGAGCATGTGAAAATAAATAGCATCCTTAAACAACTAGAAAGTATTAAGGTAGATGTTTACACAAGCATGATTGGAAGAAGAGTATTAGAGGCATAGCACTTATAAGACAACTAAGAAGACACGCTTTTGCCTTGACTCCATTAATGAACTCACATGGTTTATGAATCTTTCACATCTGTAAGCACAATTTCCTGAGCACATTTTCTCCCTGAGAAAAGACTCTATTGCTTTCATTAAATTTTCTAATTTTTCTGCATCAGAAAACGTCAGTATTAATCAATAGGGAAATATACTAATTAATTTTTTCTTTGTGTATGAAACCTTAAAATTATAAGGAAAGAGATAAGGTATAGAATGAAATAATATAGTTATTTTATTAAATAGAAAAAGTAGACCTGATTAATCAGTGATAAAATGTCATATATCTTAAATAAAAATAGGCATAGAATGTAAACAGGCAATCTGAGGGAAAAAAGAAATATAAATTGACAATATATAAAGAAGTGCCTAAATTCACACATAAATGAAAAGCATGTGAAGTATATACTAATTACACCAAAAACTAATTACCTTCTTTTTTTTGCCAGATTAGTAACTATTTATTAATCTAGTATTGGTAAGGAAATAGGACAATGGGAATTTTTATGTATTAGTGAGGGAACATGTCAATCTTTGTAGAAGACAATATAGAAATATAAAACACTTTAAAATATGTATATTATTTAATCTAAAAAGTGTATCTGAGTAATTCACTGAAAGGAATAATAGACCTTTACATGTGCCTTATCTGTAGAAGAAATTCTGTAGAGAAAACAAATTTTATTTGAGATCACTATATATTACTTAAATAAAACACTATGTGCTTATTTAAAATAGATGACATATTTGTAAAAAGTATTTTAGCCATGCTTTGTTATGATAGTAATGTGATATCTAGCAATATAAAATGAGTTATAAAAATAATGCTGGCTATCTATCTGTACAAGGTTGAAAGTTTGAAGTGCTTTTCCCAAAAGGAAAAATACGCCCCTAAACTTAAAATTTAAATTTATCATGAGCATTAAATTGGTTGCATATGAATGAACTGAGTTGCAAAAACAGTACCACCTGTGCTTCTTTATAGGTGTGAATTGGAGTTGCTACAGCTGCAAAACACACTTGGTATATTAGTCAAAAAACAATTTTCTCATCTTTAACATGTTTTGGAGAGAAACATTTCCCCTCAACATACATTTTCTATCCTGGTCACAAATTTTTCTTGATATCTGTTTGTCTGATTTTCAAAAAGTCAGTTGTCTACAATATACTCACTTCCTTCTTTCTCCCACTTTAAACTTGCTTCACGAAGTGGAGTTTGGACATGTGGATATCTTCTAGATGAGCAAAATTGTATATTATCATGCTGTGATGCTGCCTGGCAGTCGACAACTAAGTTGTAAAAATATTAAATATATTCATATTACGAAGGCATGTGTCATTTGAACATTTCATCATATTTACCCTTTATTATTTGTAATGAGCACAATATGAAAGAATCACTGATCCCACATCCAACATAATTGAATCAAAGGTAATCACTGCTGCATCTGCTGCAAACAACTAATTTTGATCCTCAATCAAAACATATTGGATTTAAAGCATTCAAATATAGGTTGATTATAAAGTACAAAGAAGAAATCTAAAAATCAATGAAAGATTTATAATTTTCTTTTAACAATTTGGTACCAGAGTTCCTATAACACTTATTTGAATTTTGACCAATCTATTATCTTAATTTAATTTATACAAGTTTTGGTCTTTAATCTATTATATTGATTCTATTCCAACCTTACTCTTGACATTGCTGTAACCACCTCTATAGAAGTTTCCACTGAAATAGGTTTCTGTGGCTATTTTGTATACAACAAATAATCTGAGAATTGGCAGTTGGGCTTAGTCAGAAAGCCATATAAATGTCTAAGTCAACAAAGGAAAAAAAAATGGACTACTAAAAAAATCACCTATATAAATAGTGACAGCCCCAGACAGACGCCTCAAAATCTACTGAATGTCTTTTGTTTTTTTCTATCAGCCATTATCCTCCTCTTTTGTGCTTTCTCTCTCTCATCTTCCCTCCCTCATTTCTTTTCTTTGTGTTGGACTATCCCTCCACACATGTTAACTTTTAAAGTAATTTTCTTTTGATTTCTTTTTTCCGAAAATAGAAGAAAAGCACATAAATTTTTTGAATCTCATGATTGAATTTTTCTTTACCTCTGACCCAGAAATAACAAAAACTCATATTTCTGTTTTAGTGTAATAACCAATATGGGACTATATTAAAACAAGAACAAAGCTCACATCCACCCGGCTCACATTCTAAGTAAGTAAAGTGACAAAGAACACGTGCTAAATTGCCAGGACTAATTGAGCAAATGGTTATTCGTAAGAATGATGTACAAGCGGGCTTGGCTTGACTGTTGCAGAGCTTAGAATTCCACCTGCCAAAGAAAATGGAGAAAATGCACAATGGAAGGAAATCTCTTCTTCATTTCTTTATTAGTGTTACATACACTGGTACCAATGAAGCTGTCAGGCAGATGTTTTGGCTTAAATACCCCTGGCAGTAACTTTATTGAAAATCAACACAAATCATGGTCAACTATCACTTCTTACTCCCCAAAGAAACAATTAAGTCAATGTGACAGCTCAGAAGGCCTCATGAGGCAAAAACTAAAGCTCAAGGTCTGTGAGTAGAAGGTGTTCTGTGTCACAGTTGTCAAGCTGCAACTGGGTCAATGGTCCTTTCTTTATTTGATTTTACTTGTGCACCAGCCCCGCTCATTTCTAGAAAGGGGGAAAAAAAGGCTAATAGAGCTATCAGGTGAGCACTGTGCATAAAATCAATCCCATTAGCCTGAAGGAAAAGCAAAACTCTTGTGCCTGAGTGATATTAATTTGTGTGTATGTCTTTGATTTCACATGGTTTCTTGTTATAAAAATGAGCTTATTTATCCTAAAACTGCCTCCTTATGATTTTCTTGATAAACATTTGTTTTAAATATTAGAAAAATGATTAAGATTGCATAACGATTATTCATCATTTCAACAATATATTGTAACATTTAGCCCTTTACAAATTGCTTTTATATTCAGTATCCTCCTTGATTACTCAGACAATCCAGGAAGACGGGCAGGGAAGATAATGTTTATATGTATAATAATGTCCCCTAAACTGCAGAAAAAAGTAGCCTGTGATAGGAATAAATTTTATATTTTCTGACTCTAGTTCCTTGATCTTCAATCTACTCTAGGCTGCTTCCAGGTTTAATTTTTGTATGTATCTATTTAGCATTTTAATTTAGAAGTAATAATAGATCCTTATATCACAATTGGTTTAATAACAAGTGATATGAGATTGCTGTGAGCAAAAGATGATTAATTCAGCTTAGAATTATATATACCTGATATTGACTTGTTTAATTCATTCATTTATTCCTTCCTTTATTTCATTCACCAGCCATATAGCTTATCTACCAACTTCACCTTCAACAGTACTGGAATGGTTAGGAAATCAAACCAGTACCTGGTTTCACACCTTAGCACTGACAATTACCATTGTTTGATCTTGAGCAGGTGTTGACCTGCTAGATATATGCTTCTTTAATGTAGAATGCACGCAGTAGCCCCTACAACATTGAATTTTTGAGAAGGTCAATTGATATAATAATGTAGGATTACTACTGGGCATCTGCTACATTCTTGGTATAGACAAAGCCCTGCTCTTACAGAATCCCCTTCATTTTAGGGAGGACTATAATGATGAAAAAAAAAAAGAACACACACAGTTGAATCTGATTCATGGTAGTTATGTTCTATAAGTGTCCATGAACACTGAATTAGCACATCCTATCCCATTGGTCCCAGTGTAAATACAGGGTACGTTCCTGTGAGCCTCTGGTAACAACATTTTTGTCAATCAATCAGTATGTAATTTCTTTCCATGTGTTTCTGTTTAGAGATATTTTCTTTATTATATGTTGTTGATTCACTAACTTTGAACTTACAGCCTGTTGGCACTATAACTTATTTCTGAAGGAAGATCACCTAACACACATATTTTCTCCGTCAGGTACATTGCAGTCTTCTCTCACTGAGCAACACTAGACCACACTTCAGCACTACACTTAGGGGCCATTTCAAATAACAAAATCACCAACATAAAGCACAAAAACGTAAAAAGGTGGTATACAATAGACTGCAAAGAGGACACTGGTTTAAATATGAGAGCTGAAATAAGAAGACAGAGAGTTGCCTTCCTAGACTCTCAGCTGGTGCCCCGAAGGTGACACAAATTTTTCACAGCTCTATGCAGGCTTATGAATGATCATAAAAGCACCACAAAGATTAGATTTGGGGTTACAAGTGCACTTCAGTGAGTAGGCAAAGTTGTAAATACAGAATTTACACATAATTAGATAAACTGTATATGTGTGTACATCTGTAAAACATACCTGGTGGCAAAAAGCATCATTGAGAAAAATAAATCAGGATGAAGGAGCTAGAGAATCCTGCTGCTGGTGATGGTGAATGTGTGTTATATATCTAAAGCAGTCAGCACAGATCACTGTAATAAGCTAGCATTTGAACAGAGACCTCCAAAAAGTTAGAGAAGCTATCAAGTGGATTTCCAGGCAAAGAACATCAAGGGCAAATGATTTGAGACAATATCATAATGGGTTTGTTTGAGGATCAACAAGGAGACCACATGGCTAAAGTGGAGGAGAGAGGATCAGAGAGGTTGCAAGAGGGCAGACCATGTGAGGCATTAAGAAGGTAATGGCCAACCAGTCAAGTGGGGAAGGGTGTGAGAAGATGAGTGACATAATCAATAAGTCATCTGGGCTTTGTGAAGAATAGATGGAAGGGTGCTAAGGATTAAGGTGTACATTTAGGAGGCTATTGTTATTCCAGAGCTTATTATAATAGTTTGACTGAGAGATGATATTTTGAGCCAGGATGGTTAGTAGTCATTCTTGGAAATTATTTGGAAAATAGAGTTAATAGGATTTGCTGATGATGTATAAGGTATAGGAATAAATGAGTCTATAGTAACTGTATGATGACTACCTGAGCAGCAAGAAGAATAGAATTGCTTTCAATGAAGAGGGGAAAGAACAATCAAGAATCTGGTTTTGTGTATGTCAAGTTTTTAGATGCACACTTGAAATGCAAGTGGAAATGTCAAGGCTATAGCAGTCATTGCATTTGGAGTTCAGGGAAAAGGCCTGAACTAGATATAGATAGATAGATACATAGACATCAGAAGTCAGCAACATATGGAGGATGTTTAAAACCAAGACACTAGAGAAAATCACCAAGCAAGAAGCACTGAGAGAGAAGAGGTCCTAATAGCGAGTCCTGCAAATTAAATTACTAGATGACTTGTGGTCTTAAGTCTTTATACTTACTTTATTGGTACTAACTGAGTCCCACAAAATTTCCTATGGTTTTTGAAAAAACTGGCATGCTTCTGCTGTATCCTAATCCATATAATCTAAATGGAAAGGTGCAGTTGTCCATTTAAAAATATTGGGTTCTGTTTTAGAAACTGCAGAGAGTAGTTTTGCATTCTCTCACTACAAAAGCAAAATCTAAAGACAAACATTATAATGAAAAACTCAGATGAAGCATTAATTCTGATCAGAATTCACCCTGTGGTACCAGGGTGCATTTTTATGGGCTGTCAACAAAGGTTGTGCTTGTACCTAAACTTTCTCATAGCACCTGATGTAACATTCCTTGGACTTAATGCTTACTCAACTGATTCACCTTTCTGCTCAGTGTGTCTTCATTGTACCAAATGAATGCCTTCTCGTAGTTTAGTATTTTAGTTGTTCTAAAAATACACTCTTATATCTTCCTTTTCAAAAGTATTTTATGCTTTCAAACACTTGCTTTGTGTTATTTGGTCTCTGTTTTATGTAATTTTCAACATATTTGGCATCAACTTGGTGTGCCTTCCAAAATTCTTAAGTCCATCCATCTGCCTGTCCATATGCCAACAACTAGGATATATGGCTCTTAATCCTTAGCTCTTAAGGGAAAAGCTGGACTATTTGGAATGAAATATTCTACCTTGTCATATGATATGTAATCCTGAATGATAGGCACAGCTTATCTGCCTGGTATTACGCATTTTTGAAGTGGTTTTCCCTACAGCCCAAATATATGCCCCTGCTGGTCGGTATCAGTCCTAAGAAACTATGCCTTATAGAGCTAATACCAATCCTGAGTGACTTTCACTTCTTATCCTCTCTGACCCAACCATGCCTTTCAAAGTAGTTTATAATATTACCTTTCCAGAAATATAAATTCACAGTGATTAACTGCACTTTTATAAATAAAAAGTCTTTGTTTAAATTAACTACCATATTAAACTAATAATCACTTAAAAATGGAGACAATTATATCTGCCTCATATGCCCTTAGGATCTGTATAAAAATGTCATCAAGAGTATGAAGTACTATAGAAGAAGAAGGTTTCCCTTGAATATGTATAAATTATAATACCAAGCATAATTATAGCAATATATGTATTCATATATATGTTTATATATATATATGCTATACATATATATATGCTATACAGATAAAAAAAATTCAATCATCTTCCTTTCCAGAGTGAGATTGATATCTTTAGTTTGCCACAATTCATCATCTCGCTTTCTTAAAATCTTTTTATATATTCATCAAAATTAGGGCCTTTATTCTGGAATCAGATGGAAATGAAATAAAGTCTTTGGCTTTCTCATTTGCATAATTGCAAAATTCTGATTTATGTGTTAACCTGGCACTAATTCCCATCTATTTCTTGGCAGTGTCTTTACTGTTAGCAGCGAGCTTATTTTTGAGTACATTAGCTCTCTATTACTAAATTTCAGTTTGAATTCTTTGTAGGATTTTTTTCCTGCCCCCCTGACACATTCTCTCTTTCTCCATCAAATGGGCTTCTGTTTTAGTAGTTTATTAGTGGCCTTCTGTGAAATAAAGACGCTTCTGTGTGGGCTGCGGTTGCCCACTGCCCCTGCTTTCAGAGGCAAACGCTTGCTGCTTCCTTTGCCCAGGCATACTCTGCAGTTATTAGAGATCACCACTGCAGTCTGACTGCTTTCCCCAAATGTAAATGCTTAGGCAGAAATAAGCTAACCTCTTTCCCTCTTGCATTCATTTCCTCAATGTCTTCTATCCTTCCTTTAAAGAAACTAGCTGAAGTTGGATATTAAAGGACAGTTTCCGTACTCCTTGACTGAGGCTCCATCTGCACCAATGGGACATCGTTCAGCCACACCTAAGGGAAGAGCTGGATTCGTTTTCAATTTCAGTACAAATGTAGTAAAAACGGACATCATATTAGGTTATTCTAAGATATTCAGTTCTCAGAATGGGTCCATTTAGCAGATGTTTTCTGTCAGTGACTGAGGGTTGAGCTTTTCTGCTGCTCAGATGTGAGAAAGGGAAAAGGATCCATGTGGAACTTAGGGATATGGCCTGTGTAGGGGTAGACTTCACATCATGAGAGTTTGGCCAGGACACTGGCACCAGGAGGAGAGCAGGGAGAGAGCCAGGGTAGTATGTGATGCCCTCTAGACTCCTCCAATCAATCAGAATGTTTGTCCCCCAAAGCTGGAGTAAGAGCACTAGCATGGCCCCAGAGCACTCTGCACCAAGGCCTGTGCTGGCATTCACCGTGCTGCATGGGGACTGCCCCTTGACATGTCTGTCTGCTCCATTAGCTTCAAAGCACAATGGGGACTTGACGCCCAGATACTTCAATATTTGAAGATTTCCAGTACTTGAAGAATAAATAGGAGAATACTTCAAAAACACTTGAAGCATACCTTGAATTTATAGCATGCTATAACACAATGATTATTTTGCCCATTCTTGTCTTCTTGTAGACAGGAAATGTGTATGATGTTCTATAAAATTCTCAATAAATAATGGTTCTTAGTTCACATGCTTCCCCAAACATAACATAGTACTGTGCTTATATTGAAAATTAAATATTTGTCACACGAGAACACAAATGGAAGAATGAAAAAAAAATCAGTGATACCTAAACATATAAATAATTGATGTGGTTTTGATGAAGACGTCATTCTCTGCTATTTTCCTATCCTTTAGTTTCTATTTTTTTGAGAAAAAGTAATGGGAGGGTATAAAACAAATACCACATCATCGTCACTGGCAGGATAGTCCATGATGGATATTTGTAACAGCATGAAAACTTTGGAGAAAAAAATCTAATGAAATAAAAAATACAAAAATAAATAAACAGAAATCCATGTGGCATGACTTTTTCACCCCTTAGCTGACATAGGGAACTATATAAGTACCTCTTTTTGTAACTCAAAAGTAAACAGTACTAGGGGAAAAAAGACAAATCAATAAATAACCTTTGATATTTTTTAAAAAATATTTTTTTCAGTGTTGATACTCATTGGTTATTTTTAGCACACAAAAATGTGTTTCTTCTCTAAAGATCTTGTCATTTTCCCTACCATCCAAACTTATGACCACTCTCACATATTTCACATATTTTTATTATAAATGTATGATTTTTAAAACAAAATGTAACTTTAAATTGTGTTCAAAGCCACTGTTAACATTACGTATGAACTCAATCTCACTCTAACTAATAAACTGCTGTGCTTGGGCCTATTTTTATGTTAACATGAATTATTCTTAGCGTATGCTTAAAAGATTACTCCCACTATCTTGATGGTTAAGCATGCAAGTGTTCAAGGTTACATGTACACATGTGCACTCATAAATGTGTAAGTGAGTATGTGTACTATTGGGCCATCTGAAGTGGAATTTCATCCAAGCATCCAGACTATTAAAAAAGTGACTAGATGTCTTTAGTCATCCCTGATGGTCACTGGTGAATAAGAATCCAGAGCAGCAACTGCATGGCTTTTGTCCTTTCTGAGTCCTGCATGACAGAGATGTCATGTGTGGAACTGTCCGTGGATGGGGCTGAGTCTTGCTGTCACTCGTCAGGGTGGTCATTCCAAACTGATAATACATGAGTAAATAAAGGAACACTGTGCTGATCACCAGGCCCAAGTGGGAGGGGGAAAAGAGTCAGAGCTGTGGATGAGACACATCTTTTAACCACACGTATTCAACTCCTTCTCCTTAACCAAAATAATCAAAATGATTACAACAACAACAACAACAACAAAACAGCCTGTTTTATTAAACAAAAAGTTAGCATGTGAAATTTAGTTATTTAATTTCAGTACCAATACTGAGTTTATCAAACAGAAAACAAAAGTTGCCATAGTTTGGGACCAGGCACGGTGGCTCACGTTTGCAATCCCAGCACTTGGGAGGCTAAGGCAGGTGGATCACTTGAGGTCAGGAGTTCGAGACCAGCCTGGCCAACATGGTGAAATCCCGTCTCTACTTAAAATACAAAAATTAGCTGGGTGTGTTGGCAGGCACCTGTAGTCCCACCTACTTGGGAGGCTGAGGCAGGAGAATCAATTTAACCCAGGAAGTGGAGGTTGCAGTAAGCTGAGTTCATGCCACTGCATTTCAGCCTTGGCAACAGTCTCTGTGTCAAAAAAAAAAAAAAAAAAAAGTTGCCATAGTTTGAAATTTTTTATCATAGCACCAAATATTTTATTGGAGACAGATTCTTTCAGAAACAAAGAATTGGAATTTTATTGGGTTGGCATCTTACATACCTGAATTTGTCAATTTTTCACAAAGAAAAACAGTGTATAAGAAATATCATTTAAATGCTAATAATATAAAATAGATGTCTCAAAAATGAACTAGTAGATGGATGAAATTGTTTATTAAGTGACTCTAGTGAACTGCATCAGCTACCTTCACTTCCTTGAATTAAGGCATCTCTCTCAGAACATTAACCTCACGTTTGAAACTGTAAAACTTGAAAAACTTACACTCAGCTGCCAGATATTCTCATTATTTTATTTTTCTTGCTTAGTGGTAACCAAGATCGATTTAATTCGGACTCCCCTGAAGTAATTCATTTGGGGTCTTTTAGAAATCAGAATTCTGCAGAAACAGAGTTCTTTTCACCTCCATTCAATTAAATTCACAAGCCTTTGCTGTCCCCATATGCCCCTTTCTGATAAGCTTTGTTCAGAATTGAAACTCTGCCGAGAACTGATCTGAATTTAATTCTATTGTTTCTAAGAAATGTATCCCATAGTTAAAGACTTGTTGTTTCTCTCTAAAACAAAGATTTTCTCCTTACATAAAAGGAGTCACGGCTGCTTAGGGCCAGAGTTAGACAAGCATTATGCTCTATGAATGGATTATAATCGCTAAGCAAAACAGAAGTGCAAAGGAAAAACAGTCCATATTGCATTTGAGAAGCCTGCTGCTTTTATCATTACCTAGGTGCCAGCTCCCTGTATGTATTTTTCTGTAATAGGAATCTAATCAGTGAAGAGGCCAGGAACAGAATATCCATGAAAACCAAATAAATGTTGCTCAAACCAATAAATAAATCCAAACAGAAACTGTAACTTTGCAACCATTGTATTCTGAAAGAAAATGCTTTCTGGGACCACTGATAGGTAAAACCTTTGGCAGAAACATATGTGTTTCTTACTTACATAATTATTAGTTTGAACCAAGTTTAGGTGGGTTGGAGAATCTTAGATTCCTCTCTGTATTATAAAATTCCCGGAAATTTTCCTTGACCCCCACCCTTCCCCACACCATTTTCACAAGGGAGAATAACAACCGTAGAGCAACCCCTTATGGATTAAAGAAGATCTCTTCTGATGTTTGCTTTTAAATACAAATGTCCTTGGTAGAGGGACTAGAACACGTTATTAACAGCTGTGACGTTATAAATTCACTTTTCTCCCTACAGGAAAAATGAACAACAATGGGGAAACGCTGTGTCAAATTAAAACCCCATACATATAATCAACTTTCATTTCACACAATCTTCTCAGATACATATTATGTTCGTTTTGTGAATGAATGAAATTTCAGTTCACATGGTTAACTAACGAGCTAAAGGAAATATTTCATTCATTTATAAGTATTTGCTGAACACTTGCTATTTTGTCAGTCACTATTTTAATAGATAGATACTATATATTATATGAATACCAGACATCAATCCTAAAGCTCGTGAAGATTGTATGTTACCAGAGGCAGAAAGACCATTTAAAAAAACTATATTACAGTGTGGGACTTCAATAAAAAATTAAGGATTTGAGCCTCTGAGACTATGAAAATGATGTATTCCATAATTTTTGTTCTCCAACATGCTTTATCTCTAGGTAAAGAATAATTAGATTCAATTTGACCCTAAAATATTAATGGTTTTATGTAGTATATGTCTTTATGTTATTTGCTTATTGGCACAGAATATTTTAAAAGAGCTGTGTTTTCAATCATTAGTTTACATAACACACACCTGGTTAGCTTGTTAAACAATGCTGATTTTTATTGCCCAACCCAGAGGTTCTGGTTTTGTCATCCTTTGTAGAGGATTATTTTATTAAGTGTCTCATATGATTCTGATGCAGAGGGTTCATTGGCTACATTTTCAGAGGCAATCCTATCAAGGAATGGATAGTTAATATTAGTTATCCAACATGATATCAGACCTCACCACGAGAGTTCTGAAGAACAAAACGTGCCTAAGACCAGTTCATAACTGAGAGCTGCTTGTTCCATCCAAGTGAATCTGTAGCCTTTGAAATGTGCACAGCCCAAATTAAGATGGGCTGAACATGTAAAAAAATGCACTGGATTTTGAAGACTTAGTTTGAAAAAAAAGGAAATAGCTCATTAATAATTTTATATCAATTACATGCTGAAATAACATGTTAGAGATATTAGATTAAATTATATATATAAATTACTTTTACCTTTTTTACATTTTTAATGTGACTATTTAAAAATGTAAAATTATATATGTGATTCACATTATCTTTCTATTAGACAGTACTGTCTTAAACCAAATATGAGTCCTTATTTATTTATTTAGAAATCTATAGAAAGTGATTTCATTGTCAACCTAAACTTGCATTCCAGGGCCATGATACTGTGGCACAGATGGTCTTGCTGATTCTTCACTGCTCTTACCTCTTGTGATAACTATAACTGGCATGTGCTCTCTTCCCTTCCTAGGTTCTGCATAAGCCTGCATCCAGGTCATTTTCCTTGTCTGTCCTTCCAAATCAGAATTTATCTCAATTACCTGATGGTCTTACTAGTCCATCAAGCCCAGTTCCAATTCTGGCTTCTCTCTAAGACTCATTCACCTTCTCTAAGAATCATTCACCATGTACCTGTAGTATTTATTGTATAACTTTGTATTCATCCATTCATCAATTTACTCAAAAAATTGTTAACTATCTACTATTTACTAGTAACTGTGGAAAGAGCTGTTGTATAATGGTGCGCTGGTAATATTTCTTAACATTGTACACTGTACACTGCCACCCGCCATGTGGTGTACAGAGGAAGTATACAATTCCCTGCTATGCTAACACTATTCGATATATCACTACAGCTGCTGTTGCAGTGCAACTATGATAAAATATGTACATCACTTTCATTACTCATATTCTACTTGTAAAAAGGGGGTTGAACTAGGAGGAATGTAACAAGGTCTGTGAATGAGAAAAACACAATCTCAGCATCACTTTTAGAAGTGTAAAATATATAATGGCCTATTATTTATAGAAAATATGGTTGCTATTCTCTAGTGGGTTTTTTGGAGGATAATTACAATTGTAAAAATGCACTTAGAAACTCTAAATATGTTCCATAGAGTTGTGTTGCAATGTGAGTATCTGCAAGCTATTTTGAATTAGGTAATTATGAACATGAGGAAAATTTTGATTTACTGGGTAAAAAGAATATGTTAATATATAATATTTGAGATTTGCAATGTACAGCGTATTCATGAAAATACCTTGACATTGAAAGAAAGGGTTTTGTTATTTACAATCATGTGCCACATAACAATGCTTTCATCAATGATGGTCCACATATACAACTGTGGTCCCATAAGATTATAATATTGCAATTTTAGGTACACAAGTGCTTACCATTGTGTTAAAATTGCCTATAGTGTTTAGTACAGTAACATACTGTACAGGTTTGTAGCCTTGAAGCAACAGGCTATACCATACAGCCTAGGTGTGTAGTAGGTTATATTATCTAGGTTTTTGTAAGTCACTCTATGATGTTCACACAATGACAAAAATCACCTAACAATATATTTCTCAGAATGTATTTCCACTGATAATCAAGGCATACTATATTTACTAAATTGATAGAATCAAATAATTAATCTGGCATTAATAATTCTCCCTGGCTCTTTAGTCATTTCTTCTGTGTAACTTTCATAATATTTGCCCCCCACCCCCGCTACACACACAGACACACACATGCACACCATTCTAGAATGCTTCCTTAAAAGAAGGAGGGTTGCCCTAGTCTCAAAATCTTAAAAGCCATATGTGCATTGATTTCTGCACAGGTAGGCAATTTGTGATTTTATTTTTCCTTATGCTGATTGCTAATTAGGGTGGATGCAAGACCTACTTTGTTTCCGTTTAAAAGCCTTTGCTTGGGAGTATTTCATCATTTGTGAATCCAGCAATATCATGAATATCAAAAGGAGAGCTGTTGGTAGATCTTCCTGCCACCTGTTTTTATTTTTTATTTATTTTTTCCTGGTGAGCCAGTGGTGAATTTCCATATGCTGGGACATTTCCTTTTAAGATTTCCTTATTTCATAGCAGGAGGTTTATTAACTGATTGGTGATAGCCAGGAGTGAGATTAGGGGCTGTGTCAGGAAGTTGAAGAGAATGCTGGTCTCCAAGTAATCTTTGTTGTTATTTTTTACTGAGCTTGTTCAAGTTCCTAAGAGAGAAGTGCTAAGCCACAGTAATTCCTATGTGATGGAAGACTATCCAGATATCTGGACTAATTGCCTTTCGTTAGCAACAATAATAATTCCCTTGAAAGATTTGGTTTTATTTTGATAATGGCTTATTCTTTCTGTCAGATATTTCACCACATACTGGAAATGAAATCGTGAATACTTCAGAGCTCACATCATGGCTTTCTCAATACTGTGAAAAAGACAACAAGCAAACTGACCATTACAATAGGGCATAATAAGAGTTTTGTATGGAATATTGTTGGAACAAAGTATATGGAGCATTTAAGTCAGACTTTCTGAAGAAAGTGTCAATTCTGCTGCTAGGTTAAATGAGTATATTACTAGGATAAAAAAAGACTCTTCAGTTGTTCTCAGTTTGCATTCACAGAGGAGTGAATTCCAGATACCATTTTATTTAAATGCTCAAGTGTTATGGACTGACTGATGTTAATTAATACATACAGAAAGAGCAAAACAACCAGTTTTTGCTAAAAGAAAGCAGACAAAGCCAAAAATAGGAGAAAGAAATAGCAGTTCAGTCAGCCTTTTGAGACAATTGATTGAAAATTCTTTCTGTTGGTTGCTCAGTGTAATTCAGTATTCCCAGAGCAAGAGAACAAAATCAGCCAGAGCAGGGCATGCTCAGAAAAAGTCTATAATGTTCCCAAATCCTCAGAATGAATTCAATTAACTGTGAAGAAGTTGCTTAAGTTCACAGCAAAAGAGGAGCATGCGTGTAATTGCTTCTTTCTGAAAAAAAAGCTTGATATTTGTTACTTTGAAAATCTCAAAAATAGTCGTTATTGAAAATATGATATTCCTATGATTACTTTACAGTTTTGTGCTATATTTCTGTTTTATTCCATGGAGGTAATTAGAGGTAGGGAATGGGTATTTTAACATTTCAGTCCATATGGTATTGGAAGTTTTTAATCTCTTCCATGGCAGGAAGATGTGTGTATCCAGTGAGAAATCCAAGATATTTAACCAGCACTCAAATGAGCAAAGCCAGGGAAATTCAAATATTGGGGCTGCTGGCAAGTACTGAGTTTGAATAAATTTCCCTGCATTTGAGGGTATGTACAATAACCAGAAAGTAAAATCCATAGTAGCAGTGGCTATCTGCAGGAGATTAATCTGTTCCCATATATTTTCATGTTTTATAAAATAACTATGTATTTGAGTCAGAGGAAAAGACTTCAAGGTCAGCAGATAGAACTCTCTCTCTCTCTCTCTCTCTCTCTCTCTCACTGTGTATGTAAATGTACGTATATAAAAATACACTGACATTTACTGACATTTTAAAGAATTTTAAAGAAAATTTAAGTACATCAAAAAGTTAATTAAAAAGGATTGCCTCTAGGTTAAAAATTTCTGTTAATTACTTACTTTATAATTTTCAAGGTCTTTAAAATGTAGTCTATATTTTATTTCTAATGCGGGTAAATATTAGTTTAAAAAATGTCAGGCTTGGGGCAAGGGACATGGCTTGCAATTCCCAGTGTCACACCAGATGACTGACATGCACCTGCCTTATTCAAAGTTACTGCTCAACTGGGGTGAGAGCAATGCAAACTTTTTATGGGGCTTTTATATCTGTCCTTACCTTTTGTTTTAAAACTTAGTAATAGAGAACCAGTAGCTCTTAAGACATGCAAAATGAATTATCTGACTATCAATTCAAATACTTAAAATATTATCATTTTCCAAGCAGCATATATCTAAGAGAATGCACCATTTCAAAAAAATTACTTCATAATCAATTAACTTATTACATGTGTATAATTATTTTGGTCAATGAACCATATAGATCATCATTTTAAGTTCATTTTTTATGGTTGTCAGGAATTACTAAAATGACCTTAGAAAATAAACCACCTGGGAAACTTCTTTTTTCTTGCCTGGGCAAAATGAACATGCAAAAGATATTCATTGTCATCCTCTTTAGACCAGTAGCTATAATGACTTCTCTCTTACTGATAACAGAAAGCTCATAGTAGTGAAGTAGCTTAACCAAAGTTATTTAGCCAAGAAGCATGCAAATTCAGCCTCGTCTTAGTCTGGTAGCTAGACTCCTCCCACTACACATAATAAAATGCAGTTAATATGTTTAAAAATAAAACAAAAAGACATTAAATTTGTCTCTGGCATGAGAAGCAGCCTAGGTTACTTGAATACATGGGGGATATTCAGGGAGTCAGTACATTAAGCATATTAAACACATACAAAATGTGTGTTGATCAGCAACTATCCAGATATTTAGGCATTCTTTCAGTTTCACATGTGTTTTCTTGTATTCCTCTGGGTATCCGTGGTGAATGCAGCATGGAATTCTTTCAATTAGTTCACTCAAGTGGAAAGAGAAACGTAGTAATTTGAAGATTATCATTTTTATCATGATCTTAGAATAGATTGGGACTTGATGAAATGGCATTGTAATAAGAAGTATGTGTCTAAACATAGTAAGAGGCAGAAGCTCATTGCTAAAAGGCATGATTAGCTCACAAGCATTCAAAATTTCATCAGCGTAAATGATTATTCAAAAGCCCCAGCTTGATGGTAAGGTGTTGTTTGTTTGTCTGTACATTGGCTTTATTGAGGAGATATTTTCTTTTTTTTTTTTTTTTTGCTAAAACCAGTTTATACACTAAAAGTAAGAAGCTTATAATGTGAATCATGAAAAAATAACTACTTTTCGGTCTCTTGTTTTACTGAAAGTTATTTCACAGGGGCTTCACCTGGGCTTGACATTAGATATGTTTAACATAAACTGTTTATATAAGTGTCATGAATTTCATTATATGATGTAGTGTAAGGGACCAATATTTTATAGTACTTACTCTACAGTGGGATCTGTGCAGAGATATAATCAAAATCAACTCCTAATTTTTTAAAGAAACTAAATTTGTGTTTTATTAAGGACTTTTACAATAAGGTTCATGAGAGGACCTACACCCTTAATTGCTGTATATGTCTCTGTATATCTATTTATTTAAACACAGAAAATAATTCTAATTTTAATGTGTTGAGTGTTGGGTACATCTGAAATAATCACCTTATTTGACAACCAAAAAAATTAAAACTATGCTCAATTTTACTACCCCTGAAGTGATCCATAGCTCAATAGCACAATAACAAAAGTTAAGTAAAAACCTGGCACACTTCTTCCAGCAATGAGGTGAAGATAAAATCCAATTTTTGAGGAGATAAATAATAGTCCCTTCAGGCATTTTATAGAGTGGAGCTTTTAATTTTATTGTTTTATTATTATTATTTTGGACAAAAATGAATGTCTGAACTTTTTGAATAAATATAAATAACAGATTGTGATGTATTTCAGGTTTTTCAAAGTAAGACTTTCCATACAGTATTATAAACATTTTGAAAATCCACAGAGAAGACAATGTGGTATCAGAAGCAGAGAAAGAAACAAAGGGCATGATTTCACAAACCTATGGGTATGGTACTGCAATTTTCACCCATCAGTTGCATGTGTACGTAATATGGCAATCAGAGCTTACATATTTAAAATTTCTGCCTCATTTTTGAATTTCCACTGAAATGACAGAAATAATACAATGACAAACCTTAACAATATTAAAATCTAGGATGCCAATCAAATTTGGAAAATATTGACAAATTTCTACAGAATAAACCGTAGCAATGGACATGATGAAATGACAGCCAGCCATCCACCGAACCTCTGCAAGGAAGGAAAAACCTGCCTAGATACAAGGTGTGGCAACTGTACTATAAAATCTCACTAGCATACTTTATTTTGCACCAGTAGAAGCCAGAGCCAACGGCAGTTGATGGAAAGTGCAAATGGATTTCATTATTCCCCAGATTTATACCAAACACTGGAGTCAATTCCACGGGACAACCCTGCCACAGTGCTGCTTCTCAGGTTCCATTGGCAAGTATGGCTTTTTAAATAAAACAAGGCAGTGCTACAACTGGCTCCAAATGAAGAGAGTGGTGCCAGCTCTAAAGAGTGCCACTGACCCAGCTAATGCCTGCTGCTCTGAGAAACACAAAAAGAAACGACTTGGCAGAAAGGTGAAACACTATGTCTCTGCCCTTTCTGGCTATAGCTCCCTTGTTACTCCATGCTGGCAAGTGAAAATAGAGGAACTCTAAAATTTGTTCTTCATTCTTTTGTCTGATCCTGAAATATTTGAACAGAGATTAACATCTAATCTGATAGATCCCACCTCAAATCCCAAGCCTGAAAAATAATTATTGACTGTCTGTACTCTGAGGGGTAAAAAAATATTGGACATATGCAAGAACTATATTTTTGAAAAAGAGAGTCAGTCTACGGATTCAAACCAATGCTCCTTATGAACGATTTGGCATTTCTCTCACCTGGATAATTTTAACTGCCATCCAATTTGGGGTCCCTGCTTCTATCCTGACTTCCTTTCTCTAAATACATTGTCTGCACTGAAGCCAGAGTGAACTCTCTAAAATAAAACTGTGGCAGCAGTGCAGGGTGATCCAGGAAGGCATCTCTTACAAAGTGACCTTTGAGCTGAGGCATGATGATAAGAAGGTGCCAGGTGATGATATTTGGAAGGCTGTTCTAAAGAGAGGAACCACAAAGGTCAAGGCATTAATTTAGGATTGAGGTAGGCATGATGGAGGGACAGAACCAAATTGTATAGTTTCAGTACAGAGGCAAGACAGAAGAGGAGAATGGTGTAAGAGGAAATCAGGGAATTATAAAGTGAACAGTAGGAAGATTACATTATGTTTTATAGTACCAGATACAGCATTAGATTTTTTTTTTGTAAATGGCAGTGGATAACTATTGGAACGTTTTCAAGTAGGATAGATATATGATGTAATTTGTATATGAAAATATTATTCTGACTGCTGTATGGAAAATAAATGAAGGCAGGAATGTTGGTGTGGAAGTTCTCTTGTAGCCCATCTGAGAAGTGAAAGTAATGGGGTTAGAGGTGTAGATAGATAATTGAATTATGTACAGATATATACCAGGTCTTGAAGAGTATTTAGATACACCTATTTGGAGATGAAGGCAATGAGGGAAAGAAAGCAATCAAGAATGACTTTAAGCCTATCCAACTCTCATTTACTGAGAGATAAAAATCTGAGAGAAAAACAGATTTTGTAGTGAGAGGGGGAAATAAAGTGTACTGACATGGCTTTGTTAAGTTTAAGATGCCATTAAAACTCTGGGAAATGACTAGGATTGGGGATATGATTTTAAAATTAATTAGCCTATAACTAGTATTTTTAAAAATCACTGAGAAAAAAAAAATCACCAAGAGAAGTGAAGCAAAGGCTTGTCAAAGAGTTCCAGGTTATACATATATATATATATATATATATATATATATATATATATATATATATACACACACACACATACACTAATATATACATTTATAATATAATATAATATAATTTGAATTTAATATATATTTATGTTTATTATAGATTCATATATAATATATAAACAGAATGTAATCAAAGAAATGTAGAGTTGGAAGATGAGGGAAAATGAAGGATGGTGTTACAGAAAATTAGAGAAGAAAGTATTTCAGTAGAAGGCTGTAAATAACTGATAAATGTTAAGAATGACAGAATAAGATAAGATCAGGCTACACACCATGGATATGGCAAGAAGAGGTCATTAGTGACCTCCTAAGAATGCTTTCAAGAGTAGAGAGGTGAAAGATGTTCTGAAAGACAGCTGAAAAGGAGGCTATTGGAGATGTAAGGCACAAAGTCAAGAGAGATTTTAATGTGAGATAAACTACATTAAAACATTGGTAGATGGGAGTAATACTAATGGAGAGAGAATGAGGATGTTGGAGAGAGAATGAGCATGTTGGAGAGAATAAGGATAAACTCAAGAGTGAAGTCAATGAATGAGTCAAAAGGAATAGAAACTATTTCAAATGGACAGGGAGGCTTTAGTTGTAAGCCTGGACAGTTAGCCTACTTTAGTTTGAGAATGCAAATTATTTGTGGAAAGAAGTCAGTAGGAATATTTGATAAAAGGAAAACAAAACTGATTCTTATTTTAATTATTTTTCTTTGAATTATTAGAAAAGATCACTAGCTGAATATATGACTTGGGGGGAAATAGTAAAACTTTCAGAGAATTTTTAGGGTAGCATAGTAAATAGTAAGCAGTAGACTGCGTCAGGAATTTATGGATTAAATGAGTGTTCATTTGGAATTTATGATCACAAGCATAAATTGAATTTAGTCAGTAGGGATTTGTGATTTTCTGTAGCAATGTCTCACTGACTGGGTAAAATTAGTTTTGGAATTTTGATGAAAGAGCTCAAGGTAGGGGACATGGAGGGATTTACGCATGTTGACAAGGAGTGCACACTAATTACAGAGAGTCTACATCAATCTAGAAAATAAGTGGGGTCATGAAACAGGTAATGAATAAGGAAAAATGGATAAAAACCAGTGGATTACTGGCAAAGGGGTTTTGGAGAGAAGCCATAAAAGTAAGTATTCTGGAATGGTGGAGAGTGATATCGGGAGAGTGGGCTGTTCCAAATGAAGATTTTATTGGAAGAGCAACTTCCAATAAAAACAGGATACATCTATGCATGTAGAAGGCTAATGTGAAGTGATAAAAAAGGAATTTGGCGTATAGAGGTTCTGGGAACTAAGAGGCAGGGTGTTGGACAGATGAAGGATGAGGACAGAATGCACAGCCAAGTAGTAAATAAATGAGAGAGAGTGACCAGTAGCATAGAGGTAATGGTGAGAGAGGTGCAGGAGGAGGGAGAGAAAAGAAGAGGTTTGAGAATAGGAAAAAAGGGTATGAAAATAAAATGGAGAGTGAGAGGTATATGTACCCCTCTTTAGGCTGGAAGTGTGTGGTATGTTGGAGGCAAGCCTATTTTAAAGAAGACTGTAAGGAAAACCATGTCATTTGGAGCCACTTGGATTTCAGGTGGATCAACTAGGTTATCTTGGCAAAAAGGGGTCAAATATTGGAAAAAATTACTGATAACTGATCTTGAGTACTGTTCTCTCATATTTTGATTTTGAAATAGATATTGAGATACTCTTACAAATTAGTATAAAAACCAATATTTGAAAAATATTTTGAAAATAATACGATAGTCTCTATGGTCTCTATGTTCAGGCTTGCATGAAATTTAAACACTTTCATTTAAAAATGGGACATTTATTTATTTAGAGACAGAGTCTTGCTCTGTCATCCAGGCTAGAGTGCAGTGGTGCTATCTCAGCTCACTGCAACCTCTGCCTCCCAGGGTCAAGAGATTCTCCTGTCTCAGCCTCCTGAGTAGCTGAGATTACAGGTGTGTGCCACCACATCTGGCTAATTTTTGTATTTTTAGTAGAGATTGGGTTTCACCATGTTGGCCAGGCTGGTCTCAAATGCCTGACATTCAGTGATCTGCCTGCCTCAGCCTCCCAAAGTGCTGAGATTACAGGCGAGAGCCACCGCTCCTGGCCAAAAAATAAAAATAAAAAATAAATAAATAAAAGGGGGGGCAGCTTTTAGATTACAAAGAAAGAAGAAAACTCATATTCATCAACACATATTGATTGGGCATCATTTATGTGTTGAATATTTACCTACATGCTGATGATACATTATTGAGTAAAGTTAATAAATGAACTAGCTCATCTATACTTTTTCAAGTTAAATGACTAGCAAGATATAGAACCAAAAAACAAATTTAAAAACCCTTTTATTTCTGTGACATTTACTGGATTATGTCCATAGTACTCTGAACAGTAGCGGTCATTGCTTGTCAGTATCCACCAAGAATATACACGGCAGCCAGTGGGGATTTACGCTAAACCTGAGTCTGTTGAGTTCATTTGTAAATTTGTTTCTATGTTATGGTCGTTTTGTGTTGGTGCAATTCAATTAAATATGAAATAAACTTTGAGAGGTGCTTATTCTATGAAAACTAACTTGAATGCTATAAGAAATGCGGTAAAGAAAAGTCACTAACAACCATTGTTATGTAGAATTAGGTGTGGCCGTCACAGCTTTAAATGATTGGGTAAAAGTACTAAAAAAGCAGATTCTTGTCTCAGATTCCCTGGATAGAGTGCAGAAGTTCTTGTTCCTCTTTTAGGAATTAAAATACGGGTGTTCATTAAAGAATAAGTGAAACTACCTTTACAGGTTTTACGTTAAAAAGTTTTTTAAAATATTATTTACATTAATTCATGAATTTCTGCTTTAATAGACATTATAGAATAATTGACCAATTACAAGTTCCAGTCTCCTATTATAATCAAACAAATATATAATTCTAAACTATAAAAGGGGCTTTAAAAGAAAGTGTCTGGCGTTATGAGAGGAGATAGTAAGGTGACAGGTGGAATCCATTGTGTAAGGTATTCAAAGAAACTTCGAATTGACATCTGAGAGGTAAGCAGATGCTAACTAGGTAAACCAGAAAAGAAATTGCTCTAGAAAATAGAAATATTACAAAAATTTGGCCAGTATAACAGAAAATGGGGGTTAGAAAACAAAACAAAGGAAAATAAAAAGTTAAATACTATTATGAAAGTATAAATTAAAGGCTATCAAAATAAATGTGAATGAATTAAACAATTTATAGCAAGGTAATTTACCAATGTCCTTTTTATGAAAGACATACCAAAAGAAATACCACAGAAATATCATAAGCAAAACAATAAAGAAATATTGACTAGCTAAAAAATGGAAAATATAACATTACTTTAGATAGAAATATTATATCAAGAAAAGCAGAATTCAAGGCTAAAATTTGTCAAATAGCATTGATCATTATGTTATAAGGATCAACTGTGTAATCTTTCCTTAAGACATACCACAAATGAATTTTTCTATCCAATGACTTGGAATCAACATTGCAAATAAAATAAAAATTCAAGAAGAGTCTGGGCACTGTAGCTCACGCCTGTAATCCCAGCACTTTGGGAGGCTGAGGCGGGAGGATCACAAGGTCAGGAGATCAAGACCATCCTTGCTAACACGGTGAACCCCGTCTCTACTAAAAATACAAAAAATTAGCCAGGCGTGGTGGTGGGCGCCTGTGGTCCCAGCTGCTTGAGAGGCTGAGGCAGGAGAATGGCGTGAACCCAGGAGGCGGAGCTTGCAGTGAACAGAGATCGCTCCACTGCACTCCAGCCTGGGCAACACAGCGAGACTCTATCTCAAAAAAAAAAAAAAAAAAAAAAATCAAGAAGAAACAGATAAAATCAAAATTACAGTGGAATATATTAATTTACCTATCTGTTTTTGTCATATCAAAAATCACAAAAACATGGATATTAGAATTTAAATAATATCAGTAATAACTTTAGTATTTATATGTTAAACTTTCTACCCTTTATCAAAAAATTAATTTCAAGTATGCATGGAGTATTTTTATATAAGTTTATATATAAGGTCACATAGAAATTATCAACAAATTTGGTTGAGGCAATAAGAAGCAGTCAGTCTTATGGTAGAGAGCACTGAATAAACACTTTAGAAAATGAAAATGTATGTTTCAGCTTTTCCAGTGACCTGTGGTATACTGAATCTGAGTTATAAAATCTTGACTAAAAAAGCCATCATTTTAGTTATTGTTGACCCATCGTCAAAATTCTCTTTCTATTCTTGAGTATGACTCTCTAGCAGGATTAACTACATAATTTGCAGGGCGCCGTGCAAAATGAAAATGCAGGGCCTCTTGTTAAAAAAAAGTATTAAGAATTTTAAGATGGTGATGGCAGAGCAATAAACCAAGTGCGGGATCCTTCTGCAGTCAGGACCCTGTGTCACGTGCAGGTTGCACATCTGGTCTCCCTTGATAGCTCATTCCTCTGCCTCCTAACGTCATCCATTGAAATAATTTTGCTCTATTTTATTGCTGTAATTTAGCTCATTCTGTCCTGCGCTTCCTCTTACATAGACAAAACTCTTCATTTGTTAGAAATGTTATTAAAGCGAGCTCATGACACACTCATTCTTAAGACCCTCAACATTTTCTTATCTCTCTTTTCCTTTACTCCCCGCATCCAATCCATCAGCAAGTCCTGTTGGTTCCACCACCTAAATATATGCTGAGTTTGTCAACTTCTTCAAACCTATCTGGCTGTCACCCTATTGCATGCTGCGTAGTCCACTGCAATAACTTAATAAACTGTTCCCCTTTATCTGTTTTCATCTTTAGTAAGCTGGTCTCCACAGAATTGTAAAAGTCACTTTTAAAAACATAAACCTGATCATGAGACTCCTCTAATTAAAACCTTTGATGGCTTTCCATTGCATTTAATGTGAAATCTGAACTCCTCTCAGTGGTCTATAAGGAGAAGCTACATGTTCCCTCCTCCTCCAACCCCAACCTACATCTGGTTCTCCAACTCCCCTCATTACTATTCTTCCTGTAGCCTGTAAATAGTTACCAGAAGCATTAGTAATTTTACCTTTAAACACCTCAAACTCATTGGTGATTCAGCCTCTGAACTTTTACAAATCCCTTTGTCTCAAAGGCTCTGCCCAGCCCATGAATAGCTCCTTCTCACTATTTGTGTCTCAGCTATAACTTCAACAGATTTTTTTAACCTGAAATGGCCTCCTCCTTCTCACCTTTTGTTCCACTACACCATGCATTCTATTTAAAGTAATTATCACCCTCTGAAAGCACCTTATTTATTTATTTGATTAGTAAGTTAGTTGTTTTCACCTACTGCAAAGCAAGATCTAGGAGAAGAGTATCTTGTTCATTGACATATTATCAATGCTTAGAATAGCACCTAGAATTTAAGAGAATTACAAGTATAGTGTAGACCTCATTCTCTAACTCCTGCAAGAAAATTTAGAATTAATAATAAAAGAATGAGCAAGCACACAGAAGTGTTTTCCACACATCCAAAATGAGACAGAAGTGTACCACATCTAATTTAGTATTCTAAGTCTCACCTCTAATCAAGTCCAGTGAACCTCCATGTTCCGTTTTCCAGCTCATCAGAAAGAACAGCACTGATGCTCAGATTGCATCTAAAAATCAATCAACAGATACTTATTGATTGCCTTTTATAGGCATTGAGCAGGATTAGGTGATGTGGGAAATTAAAAAATATATAACATGCAATTTTTAAACCCCCTGTTGGAGGAAAGTGGATGCTATCTAACAATGAAATACATAGAATACATTCAAAAACTCAATAAATTTATTAGCGAGATTGGGATGGGGGTGATCAAATGTGACTTCAGAAAAAAACTAGTCTTCGGATAAGACTCTACACAATGAATTAGGCCTGACTGGAATTGAATAATAAGACTTAAAATGTGGATATGATACTCTCCAAGGGAATTTTATGGGAAAGTATATGAACTGTTTTGGTTATTGCAAAAGTTTACATATAGAATTTTTAGAAAATAAGTTGGAAAGTTATACTTAGTTAGATTGTTGAACTCTTTGAATGCTAAATACATTTAAAAATTAAAACATAGGCAGTGAAGATTCATAAAGCCTTTTCAGTAGGGAAATAATATTGGGGAATGTAATATGTTGGAATTTAATCTACATATATATATAAAATAGATGGGGCTGTCAAAAACTTGGAACTGAAAATAAAATTTAGAATATTATAATTGGCTAGCTATAAGGTGATAAGTGCTTCAGCTGGAATGTTTATGGTAAAAATTGAACTGGGGAGATGTAGAAAGCAAGCCATTAGTATATAACCAGATATAGTTTTTTTTGGCAGATCAGGAATCAAATTCTTGGGTATTGTTTCAACTCTGAAATCTAGAGACAAAGAGAGGCAACAATAGTAGTTGCAAACTCCTATTAAATTCTTAGGTGTAGAATAAATACACTTTATCTTTATTCAGCTTTATAAACAAAAAGTATTTAGTTAAAAACAGAATCAAAGACTGTATAAAGCTGTTTTCTTCCTATGTTATTGACTAAAGATTGAAATTTAGGTTTAAGTTGGAGACTAATGGATTTCAAGTATATATCTTGGCTAATGTTAATAGCATGTGATTATTTTTATTATGTACCCTGTAACTTTGTACCTGATGAGATATGTATGTGTGTGTGTGTCTGTGTTTGTGTGTGTGTGTGTGTGTGTGTGCATGACAGAGAGAGAGAGAGAGACGGAGAGAGAAAGAGGAGAGTTTTAATATTATATAACTCCTAAGCTGTTGAATAACATCTCTCTAAAGCAAATATGAAGCCACCAGGTAGTATCAGGTGTCATATAAATATCATATTAAAAGTGTTTTAAATAATGCTTCAATGAGTAAAATTTTCATGACTAAAGATTTATTTGATATATAGTTGTTTCATGTCTGTTATATGTTACTTGAACTAGGTGCTGGGAATACAACACTAAATAAGCCAAGTGTTTCTGACTTGTTGGAGTTATATGCATTATTACTATAGACTTGGTCCTGCTTAAGTATTTAGTATACTGTATCAGGCAAGGTTTATTGCCAAAAGCAAGAAAAACTGACTCTGGCTGGTTTAGGTAGGAGTGGAATTCATTAACAGCAGCGCTGGAGAGACGGGAATTGAGGTGACATTGTCAGTAGTAGCATCCAAAATTATGCCTTTTGGCATAAATTGATCCATTGAAGCAACACTGTGGTCACACTGGGCACCAGGAGCTGTTTTTGGCAGTGCTAACCTCACCAACACAGCACACTAGACAAGATACAGTTGCTGCGAGTGGCTACCTTTTTCAGCAGTGTATTCCGTATAGTCCCGGCTATCACCAGCTTCTGATTTAAGGCTGGTGGAGGGTGCTTCAAACTGGCAGAGTGTAGGTCACATGATTGAACCTTAGTAATAAGAGAGACTGGGAAATGAGCCTGGTACTTTTAGTTTCTATAACTTTGGGAATGCTTTATCTCATGAGATGGGAGATTCCATAAAATAGAGGAAGCCAGTCAAAATTCTGAAAAGGCAAATAAATAAGAAACAAAAATGACACATATCCACTCTGTACATTATCTACTTTTAGACTTTTCACAATTCTCGTATCATTTTATTATTTAAAACATGAGATAAATGGCATGCAAAGACTCTAATTAATAAGTGAAACAGCCAAACTTTGAAAAAATCCTCTCATTCTAAAGCTTATGCCAATGAACCTGCGCTATAAAACTTTTCTAGATTTATATGTTGTTTGGATTTCTTAATGTAAAATAAAAGTTTAAAATTATCTTAAACGCATATTCATGTTGGTTAAACTAATCAGATTCCTTAAGATTTTAGGTCCTTTTTCAGCCTAAAATGTTTATCCAATGACAGGGAATGGATATATAAACTTAAAGATTAATTGATGTTTTTAGACTCAATTCACTGCTATTCCTTATGTTAGGAATCATGATGCATGTCACATAGACACAAAAGGAACTATAAAAATACTTCTGATATACCTATGATCAAGATAATCAAATTTCAAATATGTCAATATCAGTTGCAAATATAGTAAAATGGTTTAAACTGGCCACTTTCCACAAATATCATGTGAATGATTGCCAATTGACAAGGTCAGATTTGAAAACAAATCAACTAAACATAAGAAAATGCATTCTTAACTTTGTTAGGTACACGCGGAAACAATATACTGTTCTGATTCTTGTCAAAGAGCATCCATTTATAAAAGTAAAATATTACAGCAGGGATCACTGTACAACCTGGTATTTCTACTTCTAGAATTATACCTCCAAGAGACTCTCTCTCATGCCCACACTAATATTTTACTTCATCTTTTTTTGATAGCGAAAATGGACCTAAAGAAGGAAGGCAGTAAGAATAAGAATTATGTAAATGAACTTCCCAGTTCTTCTCCCATTATAACACATCAGATGATGGTAATTTGAAATGCAGACTGCAGAGATGAATGAAGATACTTGAAAAGAGATTTTTTTGATAATACAATTAGAATAATACAGATACAAAACTGCAAACTGTATCCCTCTAGTGTTTTAGTTATTGTATGCAAAAGAATAATTTAAGATGAGACTCAGGAAGGTACTATGTATATCATGAGTGATAATTTCGTCTCTTATGTAAAAGGCTGATCTCTACCAGAAGCCAGGTATGCACTGGCCTTGCCAATCATCTCATGGTGTCTGCAGTTGAACCACAGTGCTGAACAGGAGGTCAGAACCTACTGAGCTATCCACATCACAACAGCTGATTCATATGCAAAATCTTACCAACAGTGACAAAGGAGCTAATGCCACCTTCTGTGTAATATGGTACACGTCCTACTTTCTAGCCCCTCGAGAGTGGATAAGAAATTAATTAGAGAATGATTAAGGAAAAGGAACATTTTCATAATTTATTTTCTGTCTTTTGCACCTTTCTCTTTTTTGTCCCCATGGTTCACTCATCTAATCCATTCTTTCAATAAATAATACCTTCTCTGCTTTTTATATAAAAAGGGAGATATTGAAGAAATAAACTGTACTAATAAAATGCTAAAATCCCCACGTTCAACATTCATTACTAACACCTTTGTGTGGAAACAGTGAGCTAAATCCAACAACACGAGGAATGTTTGCCAACATCATTAAACTACAGTCGGGGTCTGCTATAACATGCCATATGTGTTCTGAAAAACCACTGTGCTCTGCATAATTGTGCAATACAATTCACAGGGCTTGGGGGAAACAGAGTTAGGGGTCTGATACTCAAAAACTTTGTCAATGACATATTAAAAGACAAACATCAAAAAAAAGTCTAACAGTTGCATACGTGTTGAATGGTTAAAAATATAGAAATACTACAAGAATTATGGCACATAAACTATGTTGTGGATGCAGATGTTAGAATGGTTGAAGCTTGTGAGTTATTATAAAGTGACAGAAGGAGGGTTATTGAAATTGGACATAGAATGTGGATGGGTGTGGCTAATAACACATGGTGAATTGAGATACCTCAGTGATGTGTCAGGTATCAGTGTTTCCTACCAAGCTCTATTCAGCTGGAGCCGGATACAGTTTTCTGCATGTGCCTATTGTTCTTGTGGGCAGAATTGCACATGAGCAAATATATTTATATCTGTACACATATAAATATACCTATGTCTTTACAGATATACTTGCTTACAATACACACACACACAAACACACATAGACACACAGACACACATACACACACAAATTGCCTTGGAAAAATTTGCATTTTCAAAACAAGTGTTATAGTAGAACTGACTATACTTGGAGTTTTTAAAGTATTGGAGAATCTGGTGAAAGATGTGAAGCTTCTCCCATAAATATCCACATATATGTACATATGTTCATTCACATTGTATATGCAATAACGACCCCATTCCTTATAATTTCTGCCTCTGGTAATATGTTTAAAAAATTGTTTTGCATCACTAGATTTTTCTACTGCCTCCACCTTTATTTTGTACTAGTTTTGGATTCATATCTTATAAACTGTAAAATGACAAACACCTATTTGATTTGTCAAGAAAGTTTCAAATTTATTCTTAAACATGTTTCCATAATTTTGGATACCTTTGTGAGTCCTCAAAGCCTGAGTTATTATTTACATTACTTTCTTATACTAGTAGAGGGTAATGGCAGACTTCACCAAATCTGGGATTAGAGATGGCCAGAGTAGTCTTAGGGGAGAAAAATGGCATATCTTGGGAAGCGCATCATGATTTTACAGTATCCATATTTAAAGTGCTGTCTTGTTATGGCTGAAGTCCAAGCTCTGACTCTTGTTTACATCAATAAAATGAGAGGAAGACAGTGTGGCTGATGTTCGATCTTAAAGAAGCAAAAAAGGTATGAGTTTATGTTGGAACTAGGTCAAATTAGGCCCCACAAAGGGCTAATTATTGCAAATCGCTGATGGTACTAAGTTAGTTGTAAGAATAATCTATTTTTTATTCTGTTAATATTCAATATAAGCTATATCTTGTTGTTGAAGATTATGACCCAATATTATATCTTTGAAGATCAATGTAAATCAGTTGTTCTCAACCTAGGGTAATTTTGCCTCCTGACCCCCAGAGGATAATGGACAATTTATGGAAACATTATTACACCTCAGCAGGAAGAATGTGCAACACTTCTAGTGGGAAGAGACTAGAGATGCTGCTGTACATCCTACAATACACAAAAATACTCTCTACAAACGATGGTATGAACCAAAATATCAGTAGTGCCAAGATGGAGAAACATGATACAGAAAAAAACCCATAGCATTTTATTTACTAAAATAAACAGATTGCCTATTACATGTTGAGTCAAATATTTAGTGAAGCATTGTTCTGTGCTACCTATATAGATTATATGATGATAATGTTATTTTGAAAGTGCTTACGTTATATAACCTATCAGTCCCCAACCCTGTCTCAAAGGAACTCAGAACATGCTCCATATTTTTTGCATTATGATTACATCTCACTTAGGAAAATAAAGTTAATGATACTAATAATATCAATAACTATCTTTCACTGACTACTTGCTATGTGCCAGACACTGTTTTGACTATTTTTGCAGGTTTTACTTCATTTATTTCTCACGAAAGCCCATCAGATAGGTGGTATTTTTATCACTTGTTTATAGGTGAGAAAATTGAGAAGTTAAACACCCAAGCCACACAGCTTGCAGTCTTAGAACTAGGAAATGGAAAATGGTAACTATTTATTTGTGAAAACATTTGTATAAATCTTGAAATTAAAGGACCCCAAATGTATTGTAACTGTGACAAATGGTATTTTGTTTGGAGATGTGAAAATGTACATTGATATCCTGAGCATGTTAAGCTTATTTCCAAATGTGCTTCATTGATGCTTAGTAAAGGAGAAAACTGCTATGCTACACTTTCACCCCCATGTTACAGAGAGACTCAGAAATCGTTTGAAGATTAAGGAGAAAGCTTGGGAAAAAGGAGGAAGAAATCATAAGAAAAGATAGGCGAGCAAAAGAGAAATAACAAAATATGCTGGGCATTTGGTGTACAAGTGGTAGAAGAGACTTAGTCCAGCTTCAAGGATTGAAAGGGAAAATACTTTCCCAGAGGCAGGGAAAATGGTGAAAACTGAGACCTACTAGATATCAAACAATCTTCTAAATATGCCACATGTGTTGATTCATGTAATTCCCACTACAACTCTGGGAGGTAAGTATACTATTCTCCCATTTAACAAATGATGAAACCAAGGCACAAAGAGATTGGGTAGCTTGTCCAGGCCTTAGGGATGGCAAGCAACCAAGACAACATTTGAACCTAGTCACTAAGGTGCTAGCATCTATTGTCTTTAATCATACACAATTGCCTTATAGAAGATGCTTGAGACCCAGAAAAACAACAACAAAAATGAGTGACTAAAATATCTGAACAATATTTCCCTGCAAAAATCACCTAAGAATTTATGCTTTCTAATTTAGTGTTTTTTTTTTTTTCCGGATCGTGTGTGTGTGTGTGTGTGTATGTGTGTGTGTGTGTGTAAAATAAAGGAGACAGAGCCTATGTGCTTAGGTGCATATATGCTGCATTTTAATATACCTAAAGCTCATTTATAATAAGGTAATACAGAAAAACAACGTGAAGATGTTTTAATATTTAAGACTGATTAGCTTTCTGATATTTTCCAGCAAGTGGAAGTATGGAGATTGAAGGAACTTATTGAAGAAAATTATTCAATAACCTGTGAGTTTAATAAACACTCCTGTTTTGAGTTTAGTAATTATCATGTTTGGCTGAAATCAATATTAAAAGATTTTTATATTTTTAAATTTTACTTTCTTGGTGTTTTTTCCCCCAAGTTACAACAATGATATATGATTAGTGCATGAAGTGAAATACTAAATTCAAGGAGATATACAAGCAAGGAGAACCACATCACATGCCTCTACCATATCTTCTTCTATCTTCTCTTCCCATCCTG
The DNA here is from genome assembly GCF_000001405.40 of Homo sapiens. Lineage (NCBI taxonomy): Eukaryota > Metazoa > Chordata > Mammalia > Primates > Hominidae > Homo > Homo sapiens. The sequence continues at coordinate 77,444,492 of NC_000002.12, read as the reverse complement.
GAAATAATCAATTGAGTCAGCCTGTCGTGTGTCCTTCCACGTTATTCTTTCATAAAAATAACATGAAGGAAATATCTCCGTCATAAGAGCAAGGGAATATATCACTATAATGAAAGGCTGAACTTCAGAAAGTGTAAATTTTTACTAAAAATATAAATGTTACTTTTGTTGAGTGAATGATCTCCTCAAAACTTTGTCACTATGTGACTTGCTCAGTGTGTACCCATGTGATCCACATCTGTCATACGTGGCCAATATATTCGGTATCTATCCATGACCACCTAGGTATATCATTCATGTTGTTGGTTTGATTGGGTGTTATATTGATAAGAAATAGCTTTATTTCTTAATTATCATCTTCCTAAGAATTCCTGAATTTTGCTATGCCAACCTTCTTGTAGAAGTATACATTAAGCTCTTACTTACCTGTTTAAGAGGCCTTCACACGGATCTCTTCATTGAATTTAATTCCTTTAAATAAAGCTCTTATGGTGTGACTAAGATGTGATCAGTATGTTCTATGCCTGTGTACTTTTTCAAACTTCCATCTTTCCACCTATATATTACTCTTTTTTATTTTTTCTTAAGATTCAACCTGAGTCAGAGTCTTATTGTTGTTGATGTGTGGCTGCCTGATACTGCCATAGATATAAATCAGTTTGGTGAAAACATTTAACTTAGAAACTAATCAATCAATAATTTCATATCAACTGTCAATGTTAGGGATGCTGTCATATTTTTATATAAAGTATTACAAGACCCAGCTGTGGTTCTGAACAATGTTTATATCATATTACCTGTTTTTCTTCCATGTTTTTCTTGAACCATGGAATTAAAAATGCTTCATATACTATGTTTTATCACCCCAGTATCTCATTTAGCAGGTGATACTAGTAATTATAATAGTAATAGTTAGAATTTATTGAGTGTCAGGCATTGATAAAAGCAATAAAACTTATTAAAGCTCAAGTATATGTTGTTTCTTGGACTAGCATTTTATTTATAACATCCATTTTACTAAAAATGTGTACAGCCTATCCGTGTATTTTCAAAGTAAACTAAAATAATAAAATACTTATTGGCTACCATACGGGTATTATATTTTCCCTGGTGCCACTGCTTTTTGCTGGAAAAACTACTACCAAAACATCTAAGTAATGAATATGCATCCGATCTGACATCCTTCCAATCCCTGTGACTCATTGCTGCAAGTCATCATTTATAAGCTTAAATTTGACCAGTTCATTTTCACTCTCTCCTTTTGAAACCTTTCTTAGAATAAAAGAAAAACAGCACAGCTGCAAACGTCGGCTGGAATGGCTCCTACCTACATTTGCAACCCATCTTACACAATTTTCCATTTCTCTTTCCACTTGAGCCACACTGCTTTTCTTTGAGACCCTTTTATCAGCCACAATCTGTCATGACACGGGGATCTTGGGCACGTTGCTATTTTGCTAACTGTAATAATATTATTAGTAATACAAATAGATAACTTGTGCCAAGTGAGCCTTATTATGTTTCAGGCACCTACAAAATGATGTACCCAGATTATATCATTTAAGCCATAAGAGGGACCCATGAATGCTTAGACTAATCTTCCATATCCTCTCCATTGGAGTTAAAATCTTTGACTCAGTCAGACCTCCTTCCAAGTGTCACTTCTTCAAGAATATCTTTCAGCTAATATAATCTCAAAATACAGTGTTGGTCTTCTCTACATAGCCTTGAACACCAAGTGCTATCAGCAAGAAAAGTAGCTTTTGTTGCTCACCATTGAATTCTGTTTCTCATAGGACCTGAAACATAGACAGTACCAACAAATGGTTGCTTTACCAAAAATGTATGTTGGATATATGGGGCTTAAAAAAGTTTAACACATACTAAGATCTTGTTTATGTCTTCAGCCAACATTGATAGGAGAAGAGCTTGCTACACATGCAGCTTTGAGGAAATTCATGTAGAATGTGATAATGTAATCACCATGCCAATTTGTAGGTGGTATAAATCATAAATTCTTGTTTTGGGAAGGAAGATAAGTTTTGAATTGCACTATATAAAATGTATTCTTCTTTTTATCTAAATACATGAACTACTACATTTTAGGAAATCTGAAATGCCATCAATTTTAAGACTCACTACTTTTTTATATACTCCTTAGAAAGAAAAAGACTGCCAAAGAAAATACATGATGCTTTCTTGTTGGTTTGAATGTGGTAGATTTCACCAATAGCATAATATTTTTACATTCATTTATATAATGATGTGTACCTTGACAAAAGGAAAACACAGGTGAAATAAATCAGTTAAGCTATTTTTAAAACCCCTTTGCACTTAGCATCCTGTTCTTCTGTACTAGATTTCAACCCAGAGTCCTCTGTGACCATGTCTTTCCACATTCTGCTGTTCTCAGGGACAACAAAAGCGTTGGTACTAAAGAATTTCTGAATAGAATACTCCACTTCTGCCTCTGCTCTGTTTGCTTCATTGCTTGCATTGCCTTGTTTTGTTTTTCCAAGCTGGTGACATCTCCTCTGCAAGTTTTCTTGCAAATGTTGATTTATATTTGGCAGAAAATTCAAAAGAAGACTTTTGACCATATCCAGGACTCATACACCTACCTTAAATGTCCTTAAACAGTTTATTGATTAAGACAATGTGAAGTCACATTGTGAAGCTAAGCCAGCAGAAATAACAAGTTTACACGTATTCAAGCAAGGAAAACTATGTCTTACTTCTCTTTGGGTTGACTACAACTATAAGATAGAAAAAAACATGCTTTTATGGTCCATTGAAATAAGATATTTTGTGATTCTATATATCAACTATGTATCTAGAACTATGATACATCTTTGCAATGTTTATTTCTTTAGTCATTATTTCTCACAACTCAGGCCAGATAAGCTTATTATCTCCATCTTACAGGTGAGAACAGGGAGACTCACAGAGAGGAAGAGATTCATCAACTTTCCCAAAATGAAATAATCAGTAAAAGAGTTGACATTTAAGTCCTCTTCTGTAAATATCGAACAGCAGAAGTATAAACTTATTAGGTGATTGTAAGCATTAAATAAGGAAATATACTTAAAGTGCTTGGCACGACACCTGGAAAACAGTAAGCATCCGATAAATATTAGCCTTTTAACAATATATTTGTTCAACAAGTATTTTTTTGAGCATCTTCAAAGATGAGTTACTGTTCTAGGCACCGGGTCTGCATAATTAAAAACATTTAAAGTTTTTAAAAAGCAGTCTTTGCTCTACTGAGCATTCATTCTAGTGGATTGTTAATAATGATGTATCTTTTTTAATTCTAAGAATTTAGTTTGAAGAAATTATACCAGATCATCTTCAATTCATGGTGTGATAGGAATGTTTAGGCACTAAACAGACTTTGTACCAATTTATTAAAGTATGCATATTTATTAACAAAATCAAGTTCTTTTGGCAGACTATTTCAGCAGATTTAGTTCATTGTGAGAATGATTTTTGTAAGAATAAATAATGTAAATAGCTACAACATGTGCAATTGCACAGTGACAACATTTCTTCATTGGATTTTGGAGAGTACTTCTTGATTTATAGGTGAAATGACAAATAAAGACTGTTCTATTAAAATATTACACTCATTCCTGCAAAATCAAATTTATGTGGCTGGAGAAGTAAATATATCTAAACTTTCCTAAGCCATCTGAAATTTTTTAGGGCACAGTTATGTAAAGGAAATGTCTGTATAGGCACAGTTTGATGTTTTGAAAATAATATGTAATACAAAACACCGTCAGTATCAAGCCTAAATTGTATTTGCACTGCCTTTGTAAGAATCATTTCAGTGTCCGTTAATTAATTCATTGCAACAGAATCGGTGCTGATTTACAAACTTCAAGTCAGAAGCTACTGAGTTTTCATTTATTTGAAATTAACATTCTAAAAGATCTATGTTCAAAATAAAATTATTTTCACTGCAAACATTTAATTTTTATAAACAGTAGAAAGTAAATGTATTTCGGGTTTTTGTTCCCTGTCGATTGCACTCCTATGTGGTGTTATCTCTCACACAGAGTTTTTTTTTCTTTTTTGAGGCGGAGTCTCACTCTGTCGCCCTGGCTGGAGTGCAGTGGCACGATCTTGGCTCACTGCAAGCTCCACCTCCCGAGTTCACACCATTCTCCTGCCTCAGCCTCCTGAGTAGCTGGGACTACAGGCGCCCGCCACCACGCCCGGCTAATTTTTTGTATTTTTAGTAGAGACGGGTTCTCACCGTGTTAGCCAGGATGGTCTCGATTTCGTGACCTCGTGATCTGCCCGCCTCGGCCTCCCAAAGTGCTCGGATTACAGGCGTGAGCCACCGCGCCCGGCCTCACACACGGTTTTTAATACATTCTTTGGCCTACTCGTAGGTTACTCAATTTCACCCATCTTTTCTTTGCCAGTGCTACATGACTGTAATTACTGTCCTGCAGAATAACATTTAATTATTTGATAAGACAGATAGATATCACTTTGCAAATTTAGGTGTATAGTATAATCTTCAAGGGCACAGTCTCTGGGGCCTTGTTGCTTGGTTCTTTTTGTACTAGCTGTGACATTTAAAGCAATGCTTCGATTTTCTCTGTCTCAATTACTTCATCTGTAAAATGAGAGTATGATATTGCCGTTTACATAGTTTTGTTCTGAGGATTAAATGGGATAATTTATGAAAAATGGCACAATACTGGCTTCCAGATAGGCACAGTATAGTAGCGTCACCTGTAATAATAATAATTATTCTTTTGCTGTTTCAAAAAAGTTCATATGTTTCTTAACATATTAACACTGTTAACTTTCAAATATAACCTTATTTGGACTTTAATTCTTATTGCATTAAATTTAGAGATTAATAAAATAGGGAAAATAGAAAATAAAATTGGAAAAATAGGAATCCTTGCAATAATGTTGTCTCACACAATAGATTTTTTTTGTACAGATTTCTTCCTCAGAAATGTTTTTTTTCTAAGTTTCTAAACTGAGTTAATAGTTTCAGCTTTTCTTGCTAGAAAAAAATCAATCAAGCATAAATATGTACCTATTTGAATTTTTTATAAAGCTATGGATATGTACCTATTTGACTTTTTTGCCCGTATTTTTCTTTATTTCATAAGATGAAAATAGGATAGAAGAAGGAAGAGAAACTTAAGGAAAGAGAAGAGAAAGGGAGGAAGAAGAAAAATATGAAAATTTAGCATTATAAATCATTTGAAATAGGACTTCTAAGAGCTGTACGCGGGAAATTATTTCATTTGATTTGATTTATTTGCTTCTGGTTTTAGTCTTCTTTTATAGGTGCAGAATCTTAGGCTTGAAAGGGTAATGTCTTCAGCTTCACCTCACTTCAGACTGAATCTGATGGTTCTGAGCTTTACACTGCTCTGTCCTAGTTACTTACTTTCTAAGAAAGCCTATAAGAGACGTTTTGAGTTACTCTTTGACTTGAATAACTTGTGGGAATATTCCTTAACTTTCTAATTGGCAGGATAGCTTGGTTTACCTTTGTTGTTAAGTATAGTTCAATTGCAGTATGCCCCCATAACAAGGTCTAATATCTGATGCTTTACAGAAAGTTTTGAGATTGTATCCACACTAGAAGTGGGTATTATCTGGCAAAATGTTTCATGCTTCCTAAAATGAAGCAGTGTTTTTTATGTAATGGGTTCACAGTTGGATATGTATTTGCATATACCTATGTTGATAACTAGCTTATTTTCTGAAAAGAATTTTTTAATTTACATTTTTAAAATTATCATTATCCGCCGGGCACGTTGGCTCACGCCTGTAATCCCAGCCCTTTGGGAGGCCGAGGCAGGCAGATCACGAGGTCAGGAGATCGAGACCATCCTGGCTAACACGGTGAAATCCCGTCTCTACTAAAAATATAAAAAATCAGCCTGGAGTGGTGGCAGGCGCCTGTAGTCCCAGCTATTCGGGAGGCTGAGGAAGGAGAATGGCGTGAACCCGGGAGGCGGAGCGCGCAGTGAGCCGAGATCGCGCCACTACACTCCAGCCTGGGCGACAGAGCGAGACTCCATCTCAAAAAAAAAAAAAAAAAAAAAAAAAAAAAAATTATCATGATCGAGAGCGAAAATGTAGCTTTTAGATTCCAACCTATTTGAGACACACTATTATTTCCACCCTCTTCACAAAATATGATTTTCAAAATATATATAAAAACAGTTTTAAATCCATGTTACTACTCTATTAATTTCTGTGTTATACAATCAATATCAAGATTATTTTTGACGTTTTAATTCAGAGCTATAACCTGATTTACTGCTTTACTGAAAAACATAACTTTTATTTATGTCATAGTTTGGCAATGTGGTTTGTAAATATTCTTGATATACTTTGTAAATAACATTTTATAGACTCTGAAATAAGAATATATTCACTACAATTCTGTAACATAGCATCCTTAATCTAAAGAAATTTAGTACAAGATGCCATTTATAGAATAATTGTGATACCCGTTACAAGTTTAAATCTCCATAATAACTTGATAATAATCTTGTGATAGATAGGTATAGAAAGGCTGTACTTACAAAGTATACTGCTAATTGTTGATAATCATCCCTACTCATTCCTCCTCACCTCCCACATGGACAAAACTAAGAGAAAAATTGTGTATTATAAACACTCAGCAAATAGGTCTTTATTTATTTTCATCATTCAGGAGAGAAAAACATTCAAAAAGGAACTAAGGCAATCTTAAATAGCCCATAGAAACACAAAAACCCTAAACTAGATAGTCATTAAATATTCTGGCCTTACATTTTCTATCAAACATGATTCAATTAAGTTTTGTACTGTACTTTTTATGTCATTTTTAATCACTTTATAACTTTTGCAGAGTAATGCTAATGTTTTACACTTATCTAGTGAGTTAAATGTTCTTACTCGAAGTATACTTTTATTCCAATTCAATGAGATTTCTTTCTTTTATATGAAAAGGTTATGCCCAATTTCCTCAAAGTAACTTGGTTATTTTTAATATATTTCATTTCAAACATAGGTGTAATAGTTCTAACACCATGGCTTAAAAAGTCAGTGGGGTTGAGATAATGCAATTACCTTGTTTTCTTGCATGAGTCAACAAATAGAGTTCATTAGAGGGTTGAATCTCTGTATAATAGGAAGCTGTTGTGAAATGCAAAGCATATTTAAAATTTCTCATGCTTGCCTGCTCAGAATGGTATGTTTAATAAGCTCAAAATTTCATGTTTAAAAATATCAACGATATTTCTGATTCCTTTATACTAAACATCTTGCTTAATCAAAAATTCATAAAAATCGTCAAATTTAGCTAACTAGAAATGTAACAGACCAATATTGAAAGGTCATCTTAATTAAAATGGCTACCCTTAGCAAATTCACTATATTGTGGGTTCTTTTTAATCAGATCACTGTCAAAACAGATAAGCATACTTTTCTTTCTCATCCTACAAACCAGACACATAAGAGTTCTTATAGATAAGTTATTTATATTAATATTTTTGTTTATATATATGTTATGTGGATGTTTGGGTGATAAAAATATTCCTTATTATAGATGTACTCAGAATGGACTGTGGGTTATATTAAATCTATCTACTTATACTTTGTTATTTTTGTTGTTTAGAGAAAGAGTAACAGAAAGATTTGTCTATACCAATAAAACATTGCCTTTTAGTTTTATATACTACATACAGAAAATATGTGATCATTACTTATCATTATAGAACTAAAAGCAGAAATTAATGTATTGGTTATGTCTTTACTTCCTTTTTCTTTATTTTAATATATTTCATTATCAAAAGATTATGCATGGTGAGTTGTCACCCATTTAAATCATCTAAAGCTTTCTAGAATCTATTCGTTTGTTTAAACGCATGTTATTTCTGATGGTAATGGATTCTATAATAAATTAATCCCTTTTCTATTGGTCCAAAACTTACTTTCTCCTAACATCAAGCTCTGACTTCTAATTTTTATTTAATCTTATGGTATTATATAAATTACATAAAATAAATTATAGCAATTATATATGATTATAAAAATCACATATAATTAATTTAATTTAACTTGTATTATTATCAAACAACCTTAGCATTGCTATTCAAAGACAGATGATTTTCTGTATTTAGGATTCTAGCCATCATTAGCTTAGCATTGCTAGACGTTCAAGGTATATGTCATGTTTAGTATTGTAACCTCACCACTACGTAACATACTAGACTTTATTCAAATGTGTATAGTCTATTAACGATTTAGTCATTGCTTTGGGCATTTTTTTCTCATAGTCCCATAAGAATATGCAGCATGTTTTATCAATAGATGATTCAGTAATTTTGGTACCGCTTTTAATATGTTTTCTTACAACACTCTACTCTGTTTGAACTTATCAATGTCTCTCCTATTCATATATATTTCTACATAAATGGAGAGTCAAAATTATCTAAGAATGGATGCTCATGTGAATGATATAAATGAATTAAAACTGAACGAAGAAATGAATCAATAATTCTCTAATTATACCATTAATCCTTGATATTTTTTTCCCTTGCAGTATGGTCTAGGTAAAAGTTTTAGTGTCCTGAATCTGCAGGAGTACTTCATGAATGTAAGGAGGGATAAAGATATTGATGAATGAATATATAACTGAAGCTATATGAAGGTTTTGTGTCCACCTCCTACCTTAGAGGACCTAGTTGTCCAGCTTTAGAGGTTCTCAGCCTTGCCACTATTAACATCTTGAATTGAGGAACGTTTTGGGCTGTCCTGTGTGTTGTAGTTTCTTAACAGATTAGGAAGTATTATATTCACTCTTTATTTCCAAACTTTCATGTATCTTTCTTACTCACATCAAAGCCTATGAAAGGTGGCTGGGTTCTTGGTCACCACTGGCCCATTCGGTATGACTTTGCATGACCTTTAAACAAATGTTGGGTTTATTTTTAATGTTATCATTATAATCATTTTATATAAATTGGATATTGAATCTTCATGTAAGAAATTAAAGAATATGCACATATAGGATAATTGACCTAAGAATGTTTAGCTAAGCAATACAGCAATTTCTTTAAGGAATAGCTGAGTAATAAAACTTTAAAATATGTCTCATGATGCAATTTCTTTTCATGAGTTGTAGATACAGCTCCAATTCTTTTAATTAGTTGGATTCAAGTCTTCAACATCAGTTATGAGATCACAACAAATCTCAAAACTGGACTCAGGACAGTGGGTAAAGAAAGAGGTCCTTTGGCCACTCAGTCACTCTAAATGTATGTTACCTAGTGCTTCTCAACCAGGGGCTCTTTTGCCCCCCAGAGAAAATTTTGCAATGAATAGAGATTTTTGTTGTCATCACAACTTGGGGGTGGGAGTTCTACTGGCATCTAGTGGGCAGAGGGAGGCTAGGCATGTTGCTAAACATCCTACAATGCATAGGACAAACAATTGAGAACAAAAAATTGTATGACCCAAGATAGCAATAGTGACCACTGAGAATCCCTAAAACTGGATGACTAGGTCCTCTAAAGTAGGAGGTGGAAACACAACCTTCAATATAGCTACAGTTTACATATTCACTCACCAACATCACTATCCATCTTTATGGTCATAGTTATTTGGTGTAATTACTAAGGGTAGGATAATTGGTGTGAATATATTTGAATTTTATTTCTGATTTTACCACCTATTGGCTTGGTAACCTTGGGCAAATCACTATGCTTTACTGACTTTTAAAATGGGAATGCTGTAAAACAATTTCTAAATTATGGAGTTGTTTAGAAGATAAAATAATGCATGCAAAGTACTGAACACCAAACCTGGAGAGAAAGTTCTCCATAAATTACAGCTATTATGTTAATTTTATGTACCAATGGTTATTAAGATGTATCAATTGTGGTGTGTAAAATATGTAACTTTTTTGCATAACTCTAATTAATTTCTGCCACCAGCTCTTTTAAGACTGTTTTTAAAAGAAAATTAGCCATTTGTTAATAAACTCAATCCATTAGTTTTTTTTTTTTTTAACAGATCAAGTGTTATTATTTTCTCCCTTTGTTTCAAAAGTTGCATGTACGTTTCTGACTCACATCAAGGCCCATGAAAGGTGGCTGGGTTCTTGGTCACTATTGGCCTGTTTTGGTATCTTTTGCAGCATTTTTATTTTCCTGGTTCCTATTCAGTAAGAGCCATTCTGCTCTGACATGTGGAAAACTTTTTTTTTTTTTCCCAATCTGGGATCTGATAAAAAAAAGTCTACACACATGATTGTGTCTGTTCAACATCCTAACGCTGATGTCACTCTCTACAGCTTTAAGATCTCCAGAGGGATCTTTTGGATATTATCTTAATTTTATCACTGTGGGAAACTTAGTAGGGCAATCTCACATCTAGACCCATTGGACAATTATGTCTACTTTATTGCTACAGCAACTTACATGCTGGGAAGTCTAGAACCGCATGGTTCTTGTGGGCTCAGATATCCTCTGCTCTCAAATCCCATAACTTGTGTAGAGATTCTGTTGTGCCTCTTTGCATGAAGCTCAGATGGGTTAAAATGCAAGACAGAAAGCCATCAGAGACCTATTCCTAAACAGAATTAATTCTTCTGCTCTTCTCTCTGATGTTTCTCATGCCCCAGCTCAAAGATCGGTGGAGAGAGCCTTATCTACTCATTCTGCAGCATCCCAGTGGCTTGTGAATTTTCCTTCCACTCCTGTTGTTTGTGTTAGGACTTCAACATTTGAAAACTCCAAAGCCAAGAAATCCTTCTTTTTGGTTTTTCAATGTCTGCTATGGCTTCCCTTAATTGGTGGTAAAATGGCCTAAGGTCTTATGGCAATGAAGAATGGAAAATCTATAGGTAAACATATCAGAATATTACCTGATAAGTATATCATCTTGCTTTCCTACACACTCTACTTCATAATAAGCAAACTTTATAGGCATAGTGTTTGACTTTTAAAGATCTAGTCATTTTTAGATTTGTTAATTTTGGTGCAAGGTTGAGATGGAAGATAAGCTTTCTCTGAACTTGGCAATCCGTTTTGATTTTAAAGTGTTATGGTTAATTCTGTTTGACCTTTCCCACTTCTTTTTTTCTCAAAATATAATATTATAGCCTCCCTGCACATCATATCTTCCTCATACTGCCCTCATAACTTTCTGTTCATCTATTCTCTCCTATTTTCATTTTTAAGGAAATAAATGGGCAGTTCTGCTCAAGTTCTTCTTCAGGGCAGCAGCTTTCAAACAATTGAACATTTTTATCTGTTGGTACAGTACGAAGGCTTGGGGTTACAAAAGCATGTATAGTTTTAAGAAATTTAATTTCCAGATCCACATGTACTATTTCTTAAAACTAACCTACCTGAAAACTGTCTAAAAGCTGTAGATTGTCTTTTTCTGCCTTGTCTTTCACAATTGCCCTTCTCCCATTTCAGAGAGGAAAGACACAATGCTCACTCAGCTATCATCTTTTCACTGGCAGAAGATGTAAACATCTCCAGGGAATCAAACAAAGAGACAGTTTGGAGAATGCCTTGTAAAGTATACTCCAAAGAGCAAAGCAAAGAAAATCTTAGTAAGAAGTATTGAAAGGAGAAGTCTTACTTCATCCTGTTTACATTTCTCTTGTTTACATATCTGTTTCAGCTAGACTGAAACAGGACTCTGACTCTTCTTACCAAAGCTTTCTTGGGGTATACATGAGTTTGGGTGTTTGTGTATGCCTATATCTATATACACACATATAACATATACATGCATATGTGTCTGTAATCTCTTTACCTATCTCTAGCTCTCTAAATATGAATACATGTATGTATACTTAAAAGTATACTTATCTCTTAGCCTTTCTGTCTCTTTATCTGTGTAATTAGAATTCAGTAGTGAGAATGTTGTATCCCATATGTCGATGACTGGCTTTTGCCAATGCAGACATTTTCTCTAAATTGAATGAATGAGATAAACCTGTTTTTCTAAAGTTTAATAAACAATATATATTTAAAGGATATACCTTACAAAATTTGCCAAAAAATTCATCTTCCACAATTATTTGACATAATCATAGCTACTGCTTTCGTCTGAATGTTTGTGTTGCCTAAATTAATATGTTGAAAGCTAATCGACGATGTAACAGTGTCAAGAGGTGAGGGATCCTGAGGGAGACACAGGAATGAATCCTTAACCATGAGAGCTGCTACGTGGGTTGCACCCAGGAAAGTCACAGGGGCAGGGCTATGTGGAGCTTTGGGAACCCAACCCAGTGTATCCTGAAAGCAAGAAGTTGAGTCAAAGATTATTCTCAGGCTTTAAGATATAATGTTGTCTGCCCTGTTGGGTTTGGGTTTTGAACTTACTTGATACAAATTACCCATTTCTTTCTTTTTTTCTTTTTTTGAGATGGAGTCTCACTCTGTTGCCTGGCTGGACTGCAGTGGCACCATCTAGGCTCACTGCAACCTCTGCCTCCCAGGTTCAAGTGATTCTCCTGCTTCAGCCTCCCAAGTAGCTGGGACTACAGGCACATGCCACCATGCCCGGCTAATTTTTGTATTTTTAGTAGAGACAGGGTTTCCCCATGTTGGCCAGGATGGTCTCGATCTCTTGACCTCATGATCCGCCCTCCTCAGCCTCGCAAAGTGCTGGGATTACAGGTATGAGCTACCGTGCCTGGCCCCAATTACCAATTTCTTAGTTCTGATTTCTGCATTTTAGAATTGAGAAATATCTACCCTCTGCCTTCCCCACCATAAAATTTTGGAAGCACGTAAGTTATTTGATTTCACAGATTCCCAGCTAGAAAGCAACTGGCCTCAGAATAAATCACACCCTGATTGTCATCCATATCTGATTTTGATATTTAGATGAGACTCTGGACTTTAGACTTTTGAGTGAGTTGATGCTGGAGTGAGTTATGACATTTGGAGCTATTGGGATGGAGTGGATGCATTTTGCATGTGAGAATTTTGGGGAGCCAGGGGCAGAATTCTATGGTCTGAATGTTTGTGTTCTCCCAAAATTTTATTTTGAAACCTCATTCTGAATGTGATAGTATTAAGAAGTTGAGTTTTGTGGGATGTGATCAGGTTATGAGCATAGCCCTCATAAATGGGATTAGTGCCCTTATAACAGAGGCTTTGGGAAGCTTGCTCACCCTTTCTTGAATTTGTACTTTCCAGCTTCCAGAACTCTGAGCAAAAAAAAAATTGTATTATTTATAGAAGTTTATTTCTATATTAGTCAGGGTTCTATAGAAAGACAAAATCGAAAGCATGCATAGATAGAGATAGACGAGAAGATTTATTAGGGGAATTGGCTCATGCGGTCATGGAGGCTGAGAAGTCTCACTACAGCTGTCTTGGAGTCGAAGAACCGGGGAAACCAATGTTGCGACTCTCAGTCCTAGGCAGAAGACCTGAGATGCTGGAGGGCTGCTCATGCCAGTTCCAGAGTCTAAAGGCCAGAAAACCTAGAGTTCGGATGTCCAATGGCTGGAGAAAGAAAAGGTGTCCTGGATCCAGAAAACAGAGCAAATTGGCCTTTCCTCTGACTTTTTTTTTATCTGGGCCCCCATCTGATTGGATGGTGCCTGCCCCCACTGAGAGCAGATCTTCCCCCACTCAGTCCCCCAACTTACATGACAATATCTTCTGGAAACACCTTCACAGATACACCTCAAAACAATGCTTTGCCAGCTATCTAGGTATCTCTTAATCCAGTTCCTTTTCTTTTTTCTTTTTTTTTTTTTGAGACAGAGTTTCACTCTTGTTGCCCAGGCTGGAGTGCAATGGCGTGGTCTCAGCTCACCACAACCTCCGCCTCCTGGGTTCAAGTGATTCTCCTGCCTCAGCCTCCCAAGTAGCTGGGATTACAGGCATGTGCCACCACGCCCGTCTAATTTTGTATTTTTAGTAGAGACAGGGTTTCTCCGTGTTGGTCAGGCTGGTCTCGAACTCCCGATGTCAGGTGATCCTCCCGCCTCGGCCTTCCAAAATGCTAGGATTACAGCCATGAGCCGCTGCACAGGGCCCAATCCAGTCAAGATAATTCTAAAATTAATCATCACATGCCACCTAAAATGTCTTATTATAACAGCCAGAATTGAATAAGAAAGATGCTAATTTTAAAAGGTTAAGAGATTACCTAGATTTTAAGTGATTATATGGGATATAAGACCATTTTTTAATTGACAGATAAAAATATATGTATTTATTGTGTACAACATGATGTTTTAAAGTATGTATACATTGTGGAATAACTAAAGCTAGCTAATTAACATATGCATCACCTCACATTGTTATTGTTTGTGGAGAAAACAAGATCCATTCTTGCATGTTTCAAGAATACAATATATTATTATTAACTCTAGTTAGCATGTTTTAAAACAGATTTTTTTTTTTTGAGACACAGCCTTACTCTGCTGCCCAGGCTGCTGGAGTGCAGTGGCAGAATTGCAGCTCACTGCAACCTCCGCCTCCTGGGTCCAAGTGATTCCCCTGCCTCAGCCTCCTGAGTATCTGGAATTACAGGCATGTGCCACCATGCCTGGCTAATTTTTGTATTTTTAGTAGAGACAGGGCTTCACCATGTTGGTCAGGCTAGTCTCGAACTCCTGACTTAAAACAATCCACCCGCCTCGGCCTCACAAAGTGCTGTGATTACAGGCATGAGACACCCCACCTGGCAGATTTCTTGAATTAACTCCTCCTGTCTCAATAGAAATTTTATATCCTTTGATCAATATTTCCCCCACCCCTTCTTTCTGTCCCAGCTCCTGATAACCGCCATTCCACTCTCTACTTCTATGAGTTCAACTTTTTCTGATTCCACATACACATAAAGTGAAACTATGTGGTATTTTTCTTTCTGTGCCTGGCTTATTTCAATTAAAGTTATGTTCTCCAGTTTGATCTATGTCGTTGTAAACGACAGGATTTTTTTTCTTTTTTTAAGGCTGAGTAGTATTTCATTGTGTATAGTATCACATTTTCTTTATCCACTCATCTTTTGATGGACACTTAGGTTGATTCTGTTTCTTGGCTATTGCGAATAATGCTGCAAAATCATGGGAGTGCAGGAGTCTTTTAAACATACCAATTTTCTTTTTCTTTGGATATATATTAAGTAGTGAGATTGCTTTTTGAATGAAAGTGCATATTGTAATTCTTAGATAATTTTCCTGGGTCATAAAAGATCTTATTCTTATAAGATCATTATATCTTATAATCGATTATTCCGTATCTGGAGTTGTTCTTTAAATGCTTTATTTCACACTTGCCCACATTGGAGCTCAATTGCCATTCGTCTTACCCTACACAGCTCCGTGAGTTCTTCCTGCACTTTACTCCCACTCATTCAGCATTCCTTTGCTTAGAATAGCTTGGATAATTTACTGTGTACTCCCACTTTTAGGTTATTTATAAAAATCTTTAAATGAAATTACTGTCAAACCCAGGGAATGACATTGTTAAACTTTCCTACCCAGTAAAGGATTAATTTAGGTCTGTTCTTTTTCTTCTAATTGTGTCTACTCCTTATTAACAGTGATCAATAGGTATTTGTTAAGCAGCACACTATGTGCTTAAAAGTACACCAGAGTCTTGGGACATACCGATGAATTCAGACATTAAAAGGATTCTACTTAATCACAAGGCAATTAAACTTTATTTGCTTTTTTAACAGTCTCAATAATGAAACTTTACTTAAGAACATGCAATAGTTATATTCACCATTTACTCTTCTGATTCTTCCGTTAATGAATGGCCTTATCTGTGTTTTCTATTGACAATACACAGGCAAACTTCAACTTTTCTTCTAAGTTTTAAACAGTTATCCAATTGATACTAAAATTATTTAGAGCCTATATCTAAAAAATGTGAACCTTTTAAAAATATTACTGAGAATGGGAAAAGGCAATATTCTACTGTGGGCTAAGAGTCCTTCTCACATTAAATGAGTGATTCTCAAATATAAAATTATGGAACAGGGCCAGTCTCCTGATGAAAGTTTTGCCAGGCCAAAGTGAAATAATAAAAAATAAGAACATTAACCACAGTTTAACAAAAAGTTACATTTATGTAATTGCCATATGTATCCTAATGTCCTTCTGATTTTTGTGTGTGTTAATATATCCTGTCTCTACTGTTGATGTGGTTATTGGACGAGGAATGTGGGCATTTTTAATGTCTGTAGTTGGTGTATCAGTCCATTCTCGTGTTTCTGTAAACAACTGCCCAAGACTAGGTAATTTATAAAGGAAAGAGGTTTAATTGACTCACAGTTCCCCATGGCTGAAGAGGCCTCAGGAAACTTACAATCATGACAGAAAGGAAAGGAAACACATCCTTCTTCACATGGTGGCAGGAAGGAGAAGTGTCAAGCAAAAGTGGGGAAAACCCCTTGTAAAACCATCAGATCTTGTGAGAACTCACTCACTCTCACAAGAACAGTAGCATGGGAGTAACTGCCCTATGGTTCAATTACTTCCCACTGGGTCCCTCCCAGGGCATGTGAAAGTTATGGGAACTACAATTCAAGATGAGATTTGGATGGGGACACAGCCAAACCGTATCAGTTGGTAAATGGGAAAGTTGGCAAATTTATGCTACTCTTCCTCACTTCTTTAAATGTTATATGGTATGTGGGATTCTAAATATTAGTAACATTGATTTATATATCAATAAGCAAAGAATTTTAACTCTTCAGTGGAGCCTTGGTTATAAGATCTAAGTAAAGATTGTATGTCCCCAAATCCCACAGTGTTCTCCCATATTCTTTCCCTATGGCCAGCTGATGGCCAAATCATATATTTTAAGGTGAAAATACATGTTAAATCAACAACTCAACTATATAACTGCTTCACAAGGAATATTAATCTGCAAAACTCATATTGCTCTAAAACTTGGTTTCAAACTATCAATAAATGAGAGTTTTCTCTGTGCTTATAAATCATTGTTACACACATTTGTGTACATTCAAATCTATACTTCTTTTCACTTAGCAAACATGTCCTTATAGGGAAAAATACTTTAACTTGGTAAAGGGTAAATATTTACATAAAAGTAGAATTAATGTAGTGATCCATAACTGTACTGTGGACTAAGAGTCCTTATTTGTTATTTTTTCAACAAATTTTTCTCAGATATTAACTAGGTCCCAAGCACTTTGCTAAATTCTAGAGAAGAATAAAGCTAGGCCGGGTGCGGTGGCTCACGCCTGTAATCCCAGCACTTTGGGAAGCTGAGGTAGGCAGATCATGAGGTCAAGAGATCAAGACCATCCTGATCAACATGATGAAACCTCATCTCCACTAAAAATACAAAAATTAGCTGGGTGTGGTGGTGCGCACCTGTAGTCCCAGCTACTCTGGAGGCTGGGGCAGGAGAATCACTTGAACCCAGGAGGCGGAGGTTGCAGTGAGCAGAAATCACAGCACTGTGCCCTAGTCTGGCAAAAGAGCAAGACTCCGTCAGAAAAAAAAAAAAAAAAGCCAGGCACAGTCACAGCCTTAGCTTAAAGAATAAAGGGGAATACAGGCAGCCATCCATAGCCTTATAAGAAAATATGCATTTGTCACTGTGGAGAGATTTCTTTATCTCTCTTTCTCTCCCTCTCTCTCTCTCTGTGTGTGTGTGTGTGCATGTGTGTGTGTGTGTGTGTGTGTGCATACACCTCTGTGTGTGTACATATTATGTACTCACATACACATGGAGAGAGAGAAAAAGAGAGAGACAGAGAGCATGCAGAAATCTGAGGAATAAGTGAAAGTTAATAAAAAGGGAATTCAAAGTAGGGGAGGAAAAGAAGGCCCTTATAAAACCATCAGATATTGTGAGAAACCACTCACTCTCACAAGAACAGTAGCATGGGGGTAACTGCTCCATGAATCAATTACTTCCCACTGGGTGCCTCCCAGGGCATGTGAAAATTATGGGAACTACAATTCAAGATGAGGTTTGGGTGGGGATGTAGCCAAACAGTATCAGTTGGTAAATGGGAAAGTTGGCAAATTTGTGCTACTCTAAAAGGAAAGGAAAGCCTGTAAGTGTTTTGCTCAAGGAATATCAATATCTGATCAATGTGATGGAATTATAGCTCTGGCTGAGTGCAAAGAATGGACTGCAGGGAAGCTGGGGGGTACATGTATGTAGATGATTTAGGTTCCTATTGTAGATACATTAAGGGAAAAGGTTAAATCACAGCTGAACTAAGAAAATTGGTGTTAGTTAGTGAAAGACACTAAGAAGTAAATGAGCTTGAGTAGCATTTAACAAGTAGATTCAAGAGAATTTTTGATTAATCGAACAGGGGAAATAGGGAGATGGATATCAGGGATGACTTTTTTTTTTTTTTTTGACGGTGTCTCACTCTGTTGCCCAGGCTGGAGTGGTGCAGTGGCGCAATCTCGGCTCACTGCAACTTGGCCTTCCAGGTTCAAGTGATTCTCCTGCCTCAGTCTCCTGAGTAGCTGGGACAGCAGGCATGCACCACCATGCCAGCTAATTTTTTTTTTTTTAATAGAGACAGGGTTTCACCACATTGACCAGGCTGGTCTCAAATACCTGGTCTCAAGTGATCCGCCTGCCTTGGCCTCTCTAAAGTGCTAGGATTACAGGTGTGAGCTCCCACGCCTGGCCAGGATTGACTTTTAATCACTGTCTTAGAAGCTAGATTCAAACAGGTTCTATTACATGAGGAGCCAAGGCTTGAAAGGAGAGCTGGATATAGACCATGTAGAGATTTGAGATATCCAAAAGACTTTGTCAAGGAGGCAGTGGATATACATATCTTGGGCTAAAAGTAAGATCTGGCCTTAAGAAATAAACTTCTTGTTTATCCACTTATAGGTGTCAATTGGTACATATATGATTATCTAGGGAAATATTATAGAATGAAAAGAAAACAATCTTTAGAGGGAGCCTTGAGGAATTCCAATCAGTAGAGAAGGTAAGATTCCAAACAAGGCAGAAAATGGATTGCCTAACATAAGAGAAGAAACATAAAAGATAGATAACCAGGAAACCAAGGTAAATATAGATCCAGGCTAACAAAAGTAAATGCTACTTAGGGGCCAAGTAATATGATGGTTGGAGAATATCCAGTGGATTTAGAAAAATGTGTTTGGTGATAATCATGAGACATTTGGAAGTAGAATAATAGATTAAATTAATGACTAGGCTGAGAAATGTATAAAAAGTCAGGAAATGGAGAGACTGAATACAGAGAGTTCTTACAAGAAACTTGTCTTTGAAACTGGAAGGTCTCTAACTTGGTCCTTAATTTTCAGATGTTGGTTTACTCTGAATGAATAAAATATAGAAGAAAAACTTAAGGAATATAAATGAAAATCTTTAAAGATTGTTAAATACCAAATTCCTCACTCTGTGAGTGTAGTTTTATTTAGCACAGGTCTTTTTGTAATTGGAATAGTTTTTTAATAGACACCATGCTTAATCATCCTCAAGAGTCTGCCGCTGTGATTCAAAGATGTTTCATATTCCACTTAAAACATCAAGCATCTAAAATAAAAAGAATATACTAGTTCACCTCCTGGAGCTCTGAGAAATTTTAATAAAAACAACCAACACTAATAATGGACTCATTAACACTTGCCTTTGTCATCTATAAGGATCCCTGGGTCTATAGCCAAATATAGTATAACTTCCACCAGGAGTGTATATGTGATTAAGGCTGGAATTTCCTCAAGTTTGAAGCAAATCTTCAAAATACTTGTTTGTTCTGATTCATTTTTAGTTAAATAACCTCAAGAAGTTTATATGAACTGTGATGGCAAATTGTACAATCATCACTAAAGTATTACTTGATGGTTTCTGGAAATTGTCCTTCGCTAAAATGGTTCACCCATCAGAAAGTTGCTAACAAAGACATCAAATTGCAAAATATGCATTCCATTGGAATAAGGAAGTGGTTTTGGTTAAAAATCAAACTATTCTATAGCAGAATGATGATACTTCATGTCTATTATTAACACTTTAAAACTGAAGAGTTTACCCGGTATTTTCTGAGCTCATCAGTTCACTGTATAATGGAGTATATTATGAAAAACTTGCGAATGCCAAAAAGTAGGAAAATATATCCAGAGCTAAAGCTCTTTCCATGGAGGATGAGTAGAAAACATTATTTCGAGAAATTCTCAACATTTTTTTCTAAAAATTCAGTTTTCTAGTGATTGCTTCTTATTTCAAAAACAATGAAAATAACAATAAACTAAAATGTACAGAACTCTTGCTATATGCCCAGGAGAATTCCAAGTTTGCATGATTGCTAAGAGGTTGAGCAATAACACAAAACCAGATAACTTAATTTCAGATTCTGACCTCTCAGTCCTCTTAAGTACAGTAACATCTGCCACCCATAAAGTTGTTGATATAAATGTTTTAAAAATTACCTAGTTAGGTAATGACAAAACACATGTATAGGTAATTTAGAAAATAAATAATAAAATTAATAAAGATAAAAAATTATTCTAATTGACAGCTTAATGGATACAGCTGAAAAACAAGATAGCATTTTATATGTAATTATTAAGTGGAATGTGACTGATTGTACCAAAGACTGGTTGTCATTTGCACTTTGGGATTCCTGAACCCAGGCTCTTATACTATGAATTGGCTCACTCGGGGTCCATTTTCATCTACCTTATCTTTTTTTATGCAGATTAGAAAATGAAACTCATATTTTCCTACATACCTTCTAGTCAGGCATGACTTTGCAACACAATTCTGACTGTTGAGAAGTTGGAAGTCTTTTAGGAATTAGCCGCCTATCTGCATAGAAAGATAATGCTTTGAAAGAAAGTTTTGCCCCTTCCATCCTATTCCAGTCTGGCCCTCAGATATGGTGCTTCAGCAACCAATCATGACCATTGGTAGCATTAGAGATGGCAGAAGGGATAGAAGGGACTTGTTACTGATGACACCATGCATGGTGCCATGCTACTAGCCCTGAACTTTTCATTATGTAAGATAAACAGAACACTCCCTGTTTAGGTGATTGTTACAGAAAGTTCAATTTTTTGTTACCAAATGCATTTTTCATATCTACAGAGAGTGATTTGTCTTCATGTATCAGTAATATTTAGAATGATGAGACCTTATATTCAGTTATTTAAATTTTGGGAATTATTCCAAAGAGATGGATTTATAAAAGACCCATGTGCCCTAAAATAAATGAGCTTGGTTAAAAAAAAATTACATGCAAAAAGTATTTATTTCAGTATTATTTATAACACTGAAAAGTAGAAAAAACTTAAATGGTAAGTAGGCGATGAAAAGTAAATTAAACAAGTTATGCTTATTTTATGGGCCATTATCTAGCAATAAAGCAACTCTTAAAATGAATAGTGCTAAAAAATTTTTCAATCTAAGCAGAACACTAAGAAATTAATATTTAAAATTAAACACAATATGATTAAAATTCCACATTAAAGCAAGTAATCCTAAGGTTTGTGTCAAGTTGATATATGTTATGGAATATTTTGTTGCTATTTCATTATATGTTTTTTCCCTTAATATGACTACAGTAGGGATTAAATAGAAACTTGTAAACTTTAAAAACTTTTATTATGCCAAATTTTGAAAACATACAATAAAGAGAATGCTGTATGATAAATTCAAATTGTTTCACATATATTCCTATACTTTCTTCCTTTTTCACTCTAGATTATTTTGAACCAGCTACCAACATCATACCATATTCCTGTAACAATTTTAGTCTGTGTCTTAGAAACAGGAGAATGCTTTTAAAAAAATAAACACTAAATAAACTCTATATCATCATCAGGCCTAGAATATCCTAAATAGTTTCTCAATATCATAGTCAAATATTCTATTTTTTCAAATTTCTATGATGGTTTCATAAATTGTTTTCTGCTTATTATATCAATAAGAAAGCAAATGTATTCCATCTCTTGCAAATGGTTGATGTGTCACATTGCCTCGTATTACTTCTTTGCAATTTACTTCTTGAAAAAACTGTGACATCTTTCCAGTAGAGTATCTTAAAGTATGGATTTAACAAATTGCAACTTGCTGGTACCATTTATTACATTTCTGCATCAGACATGGATGCAGTTTATTGACAAAGTATGGCTTATATGGTGTTTTGCTCTTTCATGTTTATGTAGTGTTAACAGCCATAATAATGAATACCAAAATCCACCTTTTATTAGAGATTACAAAAAATGGTATTTTACTTTAAATATTTCTACTTTCATTAGCTGGAATACTTGCACAAAGAAAAACTTTATCTCTTCAACTACAGTCACGCATTGCGTAACAATGAGGATCCATTCTGAGAAATGCATCAGTAGATGATTTTGTCATTGTTTGAATATCATAAAGTATATGCTTAAGTAAACCTAGATGGCACAGCCTACCACAGGCATAAGCTCTACGGTATAATAGGCTATACGATATAGGTTACAAACCTGCCCAGCATGTTACTGAACTGAACTAGACAATTATAACAAAATGGTAAATATTTGTGTATCTAAACATACCTAAACATAGAGTAGTTACAGTAAAAGCACAGTATTATAGGCTTATAAGACCACTGTTGTTTATGTGGTCCATTGTTGACCAAAAATATCGTTATTCATTGCATGATTGTATATCGTTATCTCAAGATTTCTCAACCCTGGTGTTATTGACGGTTTTGGACTAGATAATTCTTTGTTATGAGGAGTTGTTCTGTGCACTGTAGGATATTCAGTCACGTGTCTGGACTCTTCCTTTTTTTTTTTGAGATGGAGTCTCCCTCTGCCGCCCAGGCTGGAGTGCAGTGGTGTGATCTCGGCTCACTGCAAGCTCCGCCTCCCGGGTTCACGCCATTCTCCTGCTTCAGCCTCCCGAGTAGCTGGGACTACAGGCACCCGCCAACACGCCCGGCTAATTTTTTGTATTTTTAGTAGAGAAGGGGTTTCACCGTGTTAGCCAGGATGGTCTCGATCTCCTGACTTCGTGATCCGCCCGCCTCGGCCTCCCGAAGTGCTGGGATTATAGGCATGAGCCACCACGCCCGGCCTGGACTCTTCCTTCCAGATGGCAGTAACGCATTTCCCTAGATGTGACAACTAAAATGGTATCTAAGACATTGCCAATGACCCTGGGGGCAAAGATAAAAAAACCCAGTTGAGAAACACTGGGTTATCTTAAGATTTGTATATGAAAAGCAGGATATATGTTTGATTCTTTTCCTTTATCAGTTTTCCAAATGACCAGTTAGTTCTCAAGCTTTCCTTAGAGGAGACGTAATAACTCATAATTTTAAATGGAATTTATGTCTTTGTATTCACTATAGCTACTAGTTCTATTTATGCTCATATTTTCTTATTTTTGAACTGTGAAAGCCTTTTCTAGTTGGTTTCTAAATTTCTTTGATACCTCTAGTGGCCTTGTTTCCTGCTATACCAAGTTCTTTCAAGCTAATTTTTTATATTTTCTGCCCAGGCCTGTGGCCCACTATTTCTCCAAGGAGCCTTGTCTTTTTTTCACTAGGAAATATAATTCAGAGAATATAATCTGGATGTTTGAGGTGCTCATTAGTCTTAAGGCTAATATATTATATATTATATATATATATTCCCATTTTGTCCACTGAAAGGGCCTTAAGACTTAAGTCTTAAGGGTAATATATTATATATTATATATGTATTATATATATATATACATTCCCATTTTGTCCACTGAAAGGGCCTTAAGACTAATGAGCACTTCAAACATCCAGATTATATTCTCTGAATTATATTTCCTAGTAAAAAAAAGACAAGGCTCCTTGGAGAAATAGTGGGCCACAGGCCTGGGCAGAAATATATATATATATATATCACATACACTACGAAGTCATATTTCCATTTCCATTTCAGTATGAATAGCTTTTTCCTTATTCTTTAACCTTATACCTGTACGTCCTTTCTCCAGTGCTGCAAATTTTAATACCCAATGATACTAACATAGTCACTCATTTGTTTTATACTTGTGGTGGGCAGACAATAAAGCTGCGTTTAAATTTCTAACCTCCTGCTAATTAAACCCTAGTGTAATCCCATACTTTTGAGTGTGGGCTGGACACAGTGACTCAATTCCAATGAATATAATTTGACAAAAGTGATAGAATGTCACTTCCTAGGTTACATTACCAAAAGAGCATGACTTCTGTCTTGCTGGCTTTATGTAATTCTTTGCTGGTTTGCTTTGAGGTAATCCATGTGTTCTGTTATAAACTGCCCTATGGTGAGGTCCACATGACAAGACACTGAGGGAGATCTCCCAGCAACAGCTGGAGAGGACCTGAGGTCCTCAGATGAACAGCCCACAAAGAACTGAATCCTGCCAACAATGATGTGAGTGAGCTAAGAAGCAGATCCTTTCACAGCTCACCCTTGGGTTAATTCTAATGACAGAAACACCAGCCAACACCTTCATCCCAGCCTTTTGAGAAACCTCAAGTGCAGACACTCAGTTAAGTTGCACCCAGATTCCCACCTTCAGAAACTGTCCCCAGGTGGGGAATGGGGCTACAGTACAAGCTGCAGCTTTCTATGTTTACCGATCATGTTTCTTCTATGATTACTTAATCGTTCCTTTCCTTTGTATTTCTGGAAGGCATCTGGTCAAGTGTGATTAATCTTAGTTTTCTTTTTTTTTTCTTGAAGCTCCCTTATAAAATATTATATGCTTTTATTTGAAACCCCACCCAAGTTTATTATGAAATGTCCATACTAGGTACTGTGCAAAGTGGAAATTCATAAATTAGTAATAACCCCAAACAAAATACAGTCATCCCTCTGTATGTATCTATGATTTTTTTACATCCATGGATTCAACTAACTGTGGGTCAAAAATATTCAGAAATAAATTGCATCTCTATTGAACATGTACAGATTTTTTTTCTTGTCATTGTTTCCTAAGCAATACAGTATAACAACTAGCAACTATTTACATAGCACTTACATTGCGTTAAGTATTATAAGTAATCTAGAGATGATTAAAAGTATTTGGGAATATTTGTGTAGGCTGTATGCAAATACTATGCTGTTTTGTATAAGGGACTTGAACATCCATGGATTTTAGTATCTGTGAGAAGTTCTGGAACCAATCCCCCATAGATACCGAGGGACAAATGTATAACACATGCCAAAATGTGGAACATTCTATTGACACAGCATTAATGTTTCTTAGCCATAAATTTCCTTAACCAAGCACATGAGTCTTGGAATTAACTTTGGCCTCAAGTGTTTGTAATCACAGCATAGGGAGTAAGCCAAAGAAAATAAATAGATAAATCCACTGACAGGGCAGACAAAAATAATGTATTTATGTGTTCACTCATGCAACAAATATTTATTGTGTCTACTATATATTGTGTACTATTCTAAGTACCCAATATATATGAGTAAATAAAGAAGACTTAAAAATGCCTTTGTGAAACTTATAATCTAGCAGAAACATATAATCAATAAACATGATGAATAAGTGAACATCAGGAGGCAGGGATCCTAGGACCACCTTGAAAGTCTGTTGGCCACAGTAAATAAATGCCATTGTATAGTGGAAGCCTGTAAATGCTATGGAGGTAAATAAAGTTGGTCAGAGGAGAAGGAGTACACAGATGTGGCTTGGTTTAAATTGAAACAAGATAGATAGTGAAGATCTTTTTAACAAAGTGACTTTGTGCAAAGTCATGTGTATGACTCAGGAGAAAAACAACTCAGGCTGGAAGAACAACAAGTTCAAATATTTAGGCAGGAGTGCACCTGCTATGGTCTGGTAACAGCAAGGGAGTCGTGTTGCTGGGATACAATGAAGAAAAGCAGAAGGTGAAAGAGATATTGAGGTGGCACTGGCTTTTTAAGGGCCAAATAGGCCTAAGAGGATTTTGTATTTTCCTCTGCAAACAGTGGAGAATCACTGGAAATTTTTGAGCACAGAATTATTAGTAAATTAGGACAACCAAAGCCTTACTTCAGTCTCTGTGATTCAAAATAAGTCAAGGGCATATGCTCGGGGATGGAGCACCATGTAATAATTTTCTAACGTGACCCCAAATTTGTAGGTATCTTTGATATACAAACATATTATTTTTCTCAGTTTAATGTCTGTATAAACTCTTCAAAAATTGAAATGGACAAAAGTATACCAACTAATCAGATCATGTCACATAGTATTTTTAGAAGTCATCAGGAATACTATGTGTAACACTGCTATTGTTCCTACTTCACAGAATCACTTTGGAGAACTCCACAAGTCCTCATTATCTGTGCTCAAAAAAAATATCAAAAATTTAGTTAGGGTCTACGCTAAGAACCCTTGACACAGAAATAGCACAATTGTGTGCTATTTACATCTTCTTAAAGCACAAGGGCTTCCCTAATGAAAGTTTGCATTTGTTTCCTTCAAAAATCATCCTATGCCATTAAACTAATTTTTGAAGACTAGTCATCTAATTAATATGATTTTGTTCTCTCTTTAGTCCTCTCTCTCTTTTGGGAACTATTATTATTCAAACAGTAGATAGAGTGGTATATTTTTCTTTTTTTATTATACTTTAAGTTTTAGGGTACATGTGCACAACGTGCAGGTTTGTTACATATGTATACATGTGCCATGTTGGTGTGCCGCACCCAGTAACTCGTCATTTAACATTAGGTATATCTCAAAATGCTATTCCTCCCCCCTTCCCCCCCAACAACAGGCCCCAGTGTGTGATGTTCCCCTTCCTGTGTCCATGTGTTCTCATTGTTCAATTCCCACCTATGAGTGGGAATATGCGGTGCTTGGTTTTTTGTCCTTGTGATAGTTTGCTGAGAATGATGGTTTCCAGCTTCATCCATGTCCCTACCAGCTTCATCCATGTCCCTACAAAGGACATGAACTCATCATATTTTATGGCTGCATAGTGTTCCATGGTGTATATGTGCCACATTTTCTTAATCCAGTCGATCATTGTTGGACATTTGGGTTGGTTCCGAGTCTTTGCTATTGTGAATAGTGTCGCAATAAACATACGTGTGCATGTGTCTTTATAGCAGCATGATTTATAATCCTTTGGGTATATACCCAGTAATGGGATGGCTGGGTCAAATGGTATTTCTAGTTCTAGATCCCTGAGGAATCGCCACACTGACTTCCACAATGGTTGAACTAGTTTCCAGTCCCACCAACAGTGTAAAAGTGTTCCTATTTCTCCACATCCTCTCCAGCACCTGTTGTTTCCTGACCTTTTAATGACTGCCATTCTAACTGGTGTGAGATGGTATCTCATTGTGGTTTTGATTTGCATTTGTTTGATGGCCAGTGATGATGAGCATTTTTTCATGTGTCTTTTGTCTGCATAAATGTCTTCTTTTGAGAAGTGTGTTCATATCCTTTGCCCACTTTTCGATGGGGTTGTTTGTTTTTTTCTTGTAAATTTGTTGGAGTTCATCATAGATTCTGGATATTAGCCCCTTGTCAGATGAGTAGAATGCAAAAATTTTCCCCCATTCTGTAGCTTGCCTGTTCTCTCTGATGGTAGTTTCTTTTGCTTTGCAGAAGCTCTTTAGTTTAATTAGATCCCATTTGTCAATTTTGGCTTTTGTTGTTTTATAAATAGACCTAAAAAAATAAAATATTACAGTATTTTACTGGACCTCTTTATTTTAAGGACCCATTTATGCAGTTACCCTATTAACTTCTTTATATATCATTTTTTCTTTGACACAGTATCTTTACTTTTTCTGTAAGAAAGAAGCCTTTTTTTATTAAACATGGGATGCCTATTTCTGGTGGTTTTGTCTGAAGTGGTATGATTTTGCTAAGATTATATTAATGAACACCTTAGTTAGAGATAACTTTTGACAATAGTAATTTCCTGTGTTTATTTTTATGGAGGGCCAGAAATATCTGATTTTTTAAATTGAGAATGAATTTGTAGCCATTTTAATGTTGGGCGATTATCAATCTTTCTAATAGTAGCATATGTTCATGAACAAACTCAAAGCATGAAATAAAACCTCTTACAAGTAAATGTTTTAGTACTTACCATGAGTTATATATTTATTTCAGAAAAAATTTTACTGATGGACTGAACAATCTACAAGTAGCCACAGAATAATATTTGTTGCAAAATGTCCCAAAGTGTAATAACATCAGGCTTGTTCATTTGTAGGCTCCTTATGAGCCTACAAAATCACCTCATGGAGGTGAATGTTTATTAGTTACTGTCATTAATTTTGCAGTCATTATTTGAAAGTCCACAAGACTTAAAGGACAAAATTAAAGAAATATTATTCTATCCCATATTAAAGCAGGTTGAATAAATGGTGTCACCAAACAAAAGGAAAGTGCAAAACATATTTTATTTTAAAGAAAAAGAGATGTGACATGAACTGTGAAAAGAAAATAACTGTATATCCTCACACTACATCTTGATTCTATACTATAAATTAAGGGAAATATTAGCCAATTATATAGACTTACTACATAGGATTTTGGTCACCATCTAGTAACCAAAAATAAATCCATCATGTTTGGATTTGGCAAGTTAGCTAGCATGTAATCAATGACAATCATTTGTGTTTTATTTATTTATGCATGTGACAAATATCTAGGGAATACCTCTTATATACCAACACTGTGGTAAGGTCTATGATACAAAACCTACCTCTGCTCTCAAGGAATTAAGCCCAGTTGAGTACAGACAAATAAATAGGCAGCCATAGTACAAAATATAGAGACAAGAGAAAGGTGCTAGAAAACATTTTTAGGAGGTAACCTGTAAAAGGAATTCAAGAGGAGACTCCTGGAAAAAAATAGTACTTCTAAGGAAGCTACATATTGAAAGGAAATTAAACAGGCAAATAGATGGGAGCAGTAGAATGCTCCAGGCAAAATGAACAGTATGTGCAAAAGTTTCCATAGAGTCCAGAGAACATGATGTTTTAGAAGAACTAAATATACTTTTAAATAATTTAATTGATCCATGGAATTTAAGAAGGCTATATGAATAAGTTTCGAGTTCAGTAAGAAATCTTGATAGTTACAAAACTGACAAAGAATAAAATTGAGGAATTAATATGTTCTTGCACCTTGAAGAGTAGAAAGCAACTTTCAACTGGCAGATATATTATAGGGTAGAGCCTGTAATACAGTAAAAATGAATAATTATTAGCATGAAGAAATGTATTTCTCTAAGAGAAGTCTGTTACATGTAATTAAGACATAATCATTCTTCCATTATCAGAATTGTATGTAGAAGTATTATTTTCCCAAAAATATTCCTTCAGAAAAAAATGTATACAAAATATTTGGATAAAGTGAGCAAACTTATGTCTTCTTAAGTAATTTTTCAGTGAATATGATCTGTAGTGCACTGGAGTGCAAACATAGCAGTACAATTTAGAATTATAATCAATATTTACTCCTTCCTAAATCACTACCATCTAATCTTTCAAAAGGCTATTTTGGAATGATTAGATTTCAGTAGGACATTAGAGGCTATCTTCTCTCCCTTCTTTGTATTATGTGTGGAAATCCAAAAGCAATGAAAAAAAAGGCATTGGAAAGTGTCAAACTCTACTTTCAATTTTAGTTTTGATGCCTGATTTTCCAGCCAGGAAGCTCAGACACTGAAAGTGGATTATTGGTGCTATTGTGTGCGAGGGAAGATGGTATAGAGCGGGGCAGGAGGCACAGGAATATTTGCTCATTGATCACATAAACTAAAACATAAATTCCTTGCATGAGCAGTACACTACAGCCTTCACTTTTGGTGCTCCCCAGTAAGCATTGTTTCCAAAGAAAGTGTGGTTGGGTAAGAACAATCCTCCATCACTATGAGAAACTGTAGGAAAAAGCACATCCGTTACTGATGGCAAATTATACCTAAAATTCTATCTAATTGCTTCTGTTGCTGGTAGTGTCTGTGGTTGGCAAATAATTAAAGACACAAAATAATCTGAGATAAACAGAAGTATGAACAGGGCTCATTGGGAACACAGAAGAAGATCACTACCATTATCAAGACAAGGTCTGGGGAGAGGGCAGGGGAAGGATGATTGACACAAGTAAATAAACTGTTCACATAGTACTAAGTATTTCGCTCTTTTTTTGTAGTATGTACCAGACTAAATTACAACTCTCTGTGTAGCTGTTTGTCTTGCCTTGAAGCCAAAGATTTGGCTTACTCATCTTTGTTTTCTCAGCTCTTAATATAGAGCCTACTACTTAGGAAGCCTTCAATATCTGTTTGTTGAATGAAAGGAAGGTTAAAAAAAAGTGAAAAGAGAGAGATATACAGGAAGAAAATAAGTAAAAAGAGAGAGATACAGGAAGAAAGGAAACAGAAGGATAAAAGGAAACCTGACATAATAATGTGGGATTAGAAGCATTTTGATTTGAGGTAACAGTATAACCTCAAGTGCCTTGTCAGTTAGGAGTATTGCAAATATCTCCTCACTTTTCCAGTGTAATGAATCGGATTTGTAGTGAACTCTGCTTACAGGAAAGTCTCATTGATGTTTGAAGGACCACAGCTATCCACACAATCCAGAAGATCTCTGAAGGAATTAACATAACCTTAACATATGGATATATGGGGTTTTGTGTGTGTGTGTGTGTGTGTGTGTATAAAACTAGACAGAAATATCAATGTTTGCCTGTTGGTTTCTACTTATGAAACTTATGTCCATATGTACTGCATAATTTCATTCCATTAGGTGATAGTGTGCATTTTTTTCTGGTTGGGGGAGAGAGGAGAGGAGAGAAGAGGAGCTCTTTTGTGGTTATTTGTGTTTTGCTTCTTAACATCAATTCTCCCTCCTTCTGGCAACAGCTTCCCATATTTGCTGTGAGAAATCACCCTTCTAATTGTTACATTTAGGTAAAATTTTCTCCATCATTTACTGTGTTGGCTTAAGCCAGATGGACTGTCCATTCCACAGGTAACAATGATTGGTCCAGAATAGGGCAAATACTACATTCAGAACAAGAAGATCAAAAGAAAGCTCTCCTGTAGCTTCTGAAAAAGAAAACTTTTCACTGTTTGGAATGCGTAGGATGAGTTTAGGAGGTTGGGACTGCTACAGCTAATTGGTTACATGAAGAGAGGCAGCTTGATGATGAAACCGACACTCAGAGGAAAGGGCCCTGAGACATGGATCTCAGTGACCTCATTTGAGCCTTCGCAGCAACTAAAGCCAGACCTACTCATGTTCTTTTTAGGTCTATCAAGCAACAAATTTCGTTTTAGTTCAAGCCATTTTGAGGTAGGATTTCTGCCAATTACAAGCAAAAGGACCCTTAATGATGCAAGTACTGAACTGGGAATAATAAACACCAATAGTTGAGTCAATGTTCTTGCCATTAACCAACTGCACATGGGAGCAAATCACCCCTATAGTTGAGAAAGCTGTCTCCAAAAAAGGAGAAGTCTTTCCTTCCTACTTCAAAAATGTATTCAGAGCCTCAGTAGAGAAGATGTACACAAAAATGCTTTTTAAGTAGTAAATTGCTGAACAATGATAAGAGAGTATTATTGAAACCTCAGGGATGTAGAGTAGAATGAGCATTATTTTTTCCCTCTTACTACTAAAAAAACTGAGTCACAAAAATTAGATGGTAGAAAGTTAAATTAAGATATTTAAATTTACTATCCAATATGTCAGCCATCCCATGCTGCTTATTTTATTTTAATTTTTATATATGTCAACAGAATAGTTCTCACTCGCTGGTAAAGTGTGGAATAATATTGAAAATTGTGTTTTATTAGTGACAGTAATTTCTGATTAGTTTTGTACACACTTTCCCTCTTAATACTCTTGTGGCCAGGGTTACACTTACAGACTGTGATTGCACAGACACGGCTGTGTGTTTCAATGTTGTCATATCTTCAGTTACAGACAGACATGATTCCAAGCAGCCGCATTTCCTTTTTACAAGGAGTAATTCACATTTAGGCTGTTTGAATTACTCTTGGGGTTAGCACATCAAGAAGGCATTATCCCAAGATTAAACACTGGTAGCTGCTTGCAAAACGCTTGCAAATACAGAATATTTGCTAGATGGCTGAACAGATGCAATTGTGGTATGCTAGAGATTTAGGGAACTCTTAGGAATGGAACATATTAAGAGAGGATACTTTTATCCCACCATCTGCTAGTCTTTGCTCAGAAATAAGTTTATTTATTTCAAATGACATCCTTCTAGAATCTTGATTGTACTGCGAACTAAAATGCTGCCCCTAAATTTTTTACCTATGTCTAGTGTCCTTGTTCAATCCACTTACCTACATTCTATTCCTGGCACTGAGGAGATATTCATGTTGATGGGTCTTGGAGGCCCTTACGAATAATGCAAATCAAAGGTAGAACTCAGCCTGTGGAATTCAGGGACAAGTGGTCCATTCTTAAAGAACTCATGTAAAGACCACAGTTGTACTTATGGGGGACTGGGGTTGAGGCATGGCTGATGCCACAGCAGTTCATTCCTAAAATCAAGTGAGAGAAGCAAGAGGAAAGCATGACCTCAGAACCTAAAACCAAGGTCTCACTGACAGTAGTTCAAGTGTTCTTCAAAGATAAAGATGAGATTTTATGTATTCTTGTCTTTCAGAGCAAGCAAACTGCCTTTTTTAAATTGTCTAAATGAACACATTGGTGTGTTGATCAGATGAGAGCTAGGTTAGAAATCCAAGACCCTGGGGGCCGGGCGCGGTGGCTTACATCTGTAATCCCAGCACTTTGGGAGGCTGAGGCAGGCAGATCACGAGGTCAGGAGATCGAGACCATCCTGGCTAACACAGTGAAAACCCGTCTCTACTAAAATTACAAAAAAAAAAAAAAAAAAAAAAAAATAGCCGGGCATGGTGGCGGGGGCCTGTTGTCTCAGCTACTCAGGAGGCTGAGGCAGGAGAATGGCGTGAACCCGGGAGGCGGAGCTTGCAGTGAGCCGAGATCACGCCACTGCACCCCAGCCTGGGCGACAGAGCAAGACTCCGTCTCAAAAAAAAAAAAAAAAAAAGAAGAAAGAGAGAGAGAGAGAGAGAGAGAAACAAGAAAGAGAGAAATAAAGAAGAAAGAAAGAGAGAAAGAAAGAAAGAAATCGAAGACCCCGGCATCCAATACTTGGTTAGCCTATCCTTATCCTGGGGCAAGATGTAAGAAAGAGTGACTTGAATCATGTTTTGCTGAGACTATTTATTGTTGTAAAGTTTAGCAGAGCTTAGGGACACAAAGAAGATTAAGGCTATAAGGTAGACTGCCAGTGGACTCTTGTGTGAGGGACCAGGCGAAGGTACGGAAAATGAAGAAGGGGCCTGAATCTGTGCTCCAGGAAGCCTTTCCTGAATGTTCTCTTCAAAGGTACTCTACCCCTCTACATTTTATTTGTAGCATTTTATAATGCTAACAGATTATGCCTGTGTTTCTAATGCTCAGGATTTATTGTTCCAGGTAGATTATAATCTTGAAAATAAGATTCTCGTTGGGTCCATCTGTTACATTCACATTACCTGAACATTGTGCCTTCTATGTAGAAAGTTTCCAACAAATGTTTGGCAAATGGAATTGAGCCCAAGATAGTTAACTTGCTTGGTTTTTATGGCAATTGTGTATGTAACAGAATCACCTTGAGAGGTTTAAAGAAATATGCAGACCCAGGCTATCCTCCAGAGACTGATGTGCTCAGTCAGTTTTAGAGCTTAGGATGTGATTTTAATAACCCTCCCTTCACCAGATGATTTTAATATACATCCCTGGTTATAATCATGATGGAATGAGTAGAAAAGAAAATAGTGTTGATTTCCAATACATGTATCCCTAGGATAAATTTCAATTAGACCACATTTTCTTCAGCATCCTGCCTTCTCAATCAGTATGCCTCTCCCCTTTATAAGCACCCCATCCTCAATGTACTTTCCCATAGGATCTATCTCATTTAATTAGCTGTCTGCCAGATTGGAAAGTATTCCCTGATCAGGTGTTAGCTGGTGCTTCCTATGGTGTTACATCCTGTAAAGCAATTTCAATTTAATAGGGAAATATGAGGACCAAAATCTTTAGGGCTTAAGATATCTAACAGGGGTTTCAAGTACCAGTGTGGGAGCTATTTCAGGGCACGGAGGTCTTTAAAATAGACCTTAAAAATCACAACAGAACTGGCTCCCTACTCATGTGGTTGGTCCCATTTTCCCAATATCAGACTCTAGTTACACCTGACATGAAAAAGTTTCTGGTGGTTCTCTTTCTACTGAATTATAAAGCCCTGATGTTAGAAAATATTTATCTGTAGATTTCTCTTCTTTATATTTTATTTAAAAGCCTCTAAGACTTGTTTGTTTTTTCTTCTCAAATATACAGATAAATGTAGATATGGATATAGATGTGAATATAGATATAGATGATATTGACATCATTATATATATATAAAGAAAAGTCATCCTTCCAGAATCTCAGTGAAATCATGACTTCTATAAAGGTTTGGTGATGACAGGTTTATTAATCTGGGCTGTCTCTATTCAGGAATTAGGTCAAGGTTTACTTGTTGGGAGATGTTTTCTACTTTCCCCATCATGATGTTAAGTGGGGCAAGAAGGGGGCAGAACTGCCACCACAGGAGAAGAGCTTCACGAGAAGGTTGCAAATACTTGTTATTTTCTATTCTGGGTTGATTAGCATTGCTCCTTAAACTTCTTCAGTCAACCCCAGTTTCAACTTAAGGCCAGTAAAACTAAAAATAAACTCTTTTACTTAACAAACACCTTGGTAAGTGAATGTCATGGTATATTTTCTAGAAGAGTAAAGGTTGAAGAAATGATATTTCTTATTAAAGAAACTTAGCCAGTTATTTGTACTTCAAAAGAAAAAAAGTCTTAAAGTGAAACAAACACACACAGAGAAACAAGAACAATTATTGAACCTACTAAAAGGCTGCTATAGTTTGAAAACATCCCCATCAAAATTCAGTATTAAAAGATGGGGACATTAAGAGGTGACTAGGCCATGAAGGCTCTTCCCTTGTGAATGGGATTAAGGCTATAGTAAAGAGGCTTAATGAAGGGTTCACCTAGCTTGTCCTTCTGATTTCTGCCATGTGAGGACACATAAAGAAGGCCCTCACAAGATGCTGCTGACTTGGTGTTGGAATTTCCACCCTCTAGAACCGTAAGAAAATAGAATTCCGTTCTGTACACTTTACCCAAACTCAGGTATTCTGTTAGAGCAGCACAGATGGATTAAGACAAAGACAAAAAAAAAGACTTCCAACTGAATAAACGATGTTGTATATCAGACACTCTTACACATATTATTATATTTAGTTATAATATTAATCCTGTGGAGAAAAACTATTGTTATCTAGATTTTCTTTCTCTCATTAACTATCGTGATGAAAATCGCATTTAGCAGGATTCAATGTTCATTAAAAGACACACACACACTTTCAGTGGAAGAATGTTACTTGCATAATGGGATGAAAACGGCAATATTTTTCCCTACAGTAGTTGGCTGAATTATGATATAGTCTCAATAAGTGCAAAGTATCAGTCTTAGCAGATAGTAGAACATGTATATGTGATTTATGACACATTCTTTTGACTGTTTAATTGATATTCATTTATAATTTGAAACACATTTATGAAACAGATATTATAATACCTGTATTAGACACCGGGGGATTGAATACAGGCATAATTTCTTCTTTTGATAAAATTTAGTCTAATGGGGATACAGAGAAGTAAACAGACAATTATAATACAGAGCACAAGGGCCACAATGGGGAATCAGAGCTTGACAGAGGAGAAGCACCTATCCTTCCTGGGGGGATTCAGAGGCTTGCAGAGCTAACTGGTAATGTGGATGAACATAGCAGTCAGTGGTCCAGTTGCTGTAATTACTAATGTTTATGAGAAAACACAAAATGAAAATTATTTGTGAACAGAATTTCCACAAGTTAAGAACTGATTTTATATTTCTTAAGGAGTTAAATTCTACACTTAACAGATAGGTGAAAGTCCTAATTAGAAGCAGCGTGTTTTAATGACTTATTTTAAATTGGGATTTATGACCTGATTCAAAATTCACTTTTGTCTCTAAAAATTATGTCTAGATAAATATCTTAAACCATGATAAATATTGAGCTATTAAGAAAGAATTACTAAATTAGATAGCAGATATGAAAGCAAAGATTACAAAACCATGGAGTTGGGAGCACCATGGCAGGATGTCACGAATATGGCAGAGGCCACACACTTAAAAAACAAACGTAAACAGGAAAAAGCACTCCCCCTGGGGGGCAGGATTAAAGGATAGGAATGGAAAGTATCTGTGCCAAAAACTGATTTTTAAAATGGAAAATATTGAAGAGTTAATATTTTCTTATAAGACTGGTTATATTTTCTGAATGTGGAGATAGAGATTCCTGTATGTGTGTGACTATAGACTTTGATTTGCAAATTTCCTTCTAAAAAATATCAAGGTTAAGAAGACAGGTTATTGGTTTGAATCAAAGAAACAAATGATTAGGCATTTGTGATTTGTTTCCTCTGTTGCCAGGTTATTTGATAATCACTATTTCTTCAAAAGCTACACTCAGATCAAAGAGAAAAAGTTCAAACATGACCTGAGCAAGACTGTTAACAGACAGTTGGAGACATTGACATAGCCCTGAGACTGGTAGGTGGAGCTCCTTGAAGTCTTTCAAATGCATATATATAATATCATAATATAATAGAATATAATATATAATATATAATATAATATATGATATATTATATATATCATATATTATATTAAATATTATATAATTATTATATATAATTATATAATATATATTATATAATAATATATCATATATTATATTATATATTATATTATGTATACAAATATATCATATTATGTATGTATACTATTTACCATAGCTTTTTCTGTCAAGATTTACCATTGACCTTCAACTGCCAAAACAAACAAAAAAACCCCAAAAATATAAACTAAAAATAAGCCCCAAATTAAACATAACAAAACCTGCGCTCAAAACTAGATGTTCTTTTTTTCAAAAGTAAAGCTTTACTCCCCAGAGTATTTGTCAATCTGGAATCAGCAGCTCTCAAAATTTTAATGCAGTAATATTACATCTCATACATATAAAAATATTTCAGGGCACATTCTGAAAATAATATAAAGGTAAATTTACTTGGATTATATAAGTTTTGTTTTCTTCTAATCAAATATTATTTCACTTGTCCCTTTTTCAAATTGTTTTCAAATGAGCACATGGAAGATCAGCATATATGTGTGAATTCATCTGACCTTATGGATACCAGAAAGCAAATGGGCAGATACCAATTCTTTGTAAGGTTTCCTTGAAAGGATTTACTTCTAATTATAAGTGAGTTCGATAATCTCGTCGTAAGGAATAAATTATTCCCTTACAATTAGAAATTATCTATTTAAAACATTGGCTTTATTGACCAACTTTACAGTAGTTAACTTTGTAGCATATGCATCAGCAGCCTCCTGAAAGAGAATTAAATTCTCCCTGGGCACTGGGCAGTATATTTCCCCAGTTATTTCCCACTAGGATGGAAAGACGTATTTTTTTGTGGTCATATTTGTTTAAGGTACAAGATTACTGTATTCCAGTATTTTCTTGTTATTTGAAAATTTAGAGCAGGAAAAGAAATGTTTTCTACTTCAGCTCTTTATATTAAATGAAAGTAATCTCTCATCACACTAAAGGAACATATTTAAGTTCAATCTATGCACTGTGCAAAGTTGTGTGTGACTATCAATGATAATAGTAACACCTATATTACTGTTATAATATAAAATGATTTTCATTCCACTAACTTTAATATTACTAAAAGAGAGCATGTCAGACTGGGTGCGGTGGCTCACACCCATAATCGTGCACTTTGGGAAGCCGAAGTTGGAGGATAACTTGAACCCAGGCGTTCAAGACCAGCCTGAGCAACATAGTGAGACCTTGTCTCTAAAAAAGGAAAACAAAAAATTAGTGGGGTCACCTATTCACGAGGTTGAGGTAGGAGGATCACTGGAGCCCAGGAGTTAGAGGCTGCAGTAAGCCATGATCACATCACTGCATTCCAGCCTGGGCAACAGAATGAGACCCTGTCTCTAATAATAATAATAATAGATAATGCATGTAAGAGTCCCTGTTATAGAGTCTATTACACGTTAATTGGTTGGTTACTTTCATAGTTGATTAATAAATTGTGTCAATTTGATTATTTGTCCAGACTCTAGTCAACAGCTTTCAGGTATATCTTTTTTTCTCATTTTCCTGTTTTGTCATCTGCCACTCTCCTCCCCCAGCCCACTACCACCACTGAAAGAAGACAGGACACTATAGAAAATATCAGTCTATGAAAACATGACTGAGGATATTGGTTTGACATGGGGATTTTGTTCATTAATTTACTCTTTCACTTCTTTATCTAATGTCTCCTGGAGATGGACCAAGTGTTAAGCTTCATTATAGGACAAAGATAAACAAGACATAGTTCTGTTCCTAAGAAGCTCATTGTTTAGTGTGAGAGTCAGACATGTGAACACACAAACATGGCAAAGATAAATAGAAATTTTGAAAACCAACAGAGAAACACCTTACTTGAATGAGAAGAGTATAAGGACACAGCCACCTTTCTCAGTACAGAGAATCAGAGATAATCCAAGGTATTCAACACTAAAAACAGACATGCGATGGCTGGACTTGAGACCTGATTCTTAGCTCTCAAGTTTCCCTTTAAGATCACTTATCAATTATAGCTGTCGTCAACACTTTTTTTGTTTCAGGAGTAGTTCTTTTACTAAATTCATTGCAGATGATTAGAAGAGGATAACTGGAAAGTGATCTTTGAACCAAATATCAAACACAAATAGATGTTAGCTAGGTAAAGTGTGAGAGGCAAAAAAATGCAGGAAGTGACATTGGGGAAGAGGAACAGCTTAGAAAAAGAAAGAAGCTTCTCCTTGTTTTATGCTAACTTTCAAAGTCTGAGAGGTATATCACATTCAAGAAAGTGCATGTTGTTCCATAAAACAGAAATCAGGTTTTAAAGGGTTAGGATGGTAAGCAGTGGGCTAGTTCCTGGATATGTCTTGCCTCTACCATGTTCTGGGGTGACCTCCACCCCCACTTCAGTTTTGGTTGGTGAAAAAGTAACACTACTGCTGGGCTTTGTGTAATTCCCAGAAGGGCAGCCAAGTCAAAATTAGTATTTTGCCCATAAATCAAAATGAATAGTATTAATTTGGTTGCAATTAGAGTGAGACTGATAAGTGGAAGCTTTCAACTCAAACATCTGTGGAAGCTGACTTTTTTTCATATTAGACTTTTAAAATTACATTATAAGAGTAATTTAAATCATGGCTTACACTTGCTATTTAGTAAAACTGATTGCTGATTGTTTAATAAGTTTATAAATTTATCTTAAAAAATGACTATCACA
Source organism: Homo sapiens (assembly GCF_000001405.40). Taxonomy (NCBI): domain Eukaryota; kingdom Metazoa; phylum Chordata; class Mammalia; order Primates; family Hominidae; genus Homo; species Homo sapiens. Next base: position 77,405,006 of record NC_000002.12, on the reverse strand, counting down.
TTTACCTATAATGTGAAAGTTCAATGATTTAAAAAGGAGGAAAGGGGGAGTTCATGAAAAACATTAGAAACATTAAATTACAGATGCCCAATAATTCCTGTTGCTTAACTAAATGCTATTTTTTAAAAAAACTTTTACTCTATGCAGCTACCTACTGTATTTAGAAGTTCCCTGTGGCCATTTTTAATTAGCTTTCCCACCACTCCTGTGATATAGGCGGATCAAATAATGTGTTGAGTTAACTGAATCTGGCTATGGCTTAACACTTTTTTTCATAGAAATTCAAGGGTTATGATGATATTGAAAGAAACTTCAAATATCTTGATTCCACTTGTTACTTCAGTAAGCTAAGGTAGTGAGAGGTCAAACTATAATTATGATGTATATGTTAAGCCACTGTATATCCAGTATATCTAGCCACAAAATTATCCCAGCATTTTCCTGTCCTTCTACGGGCCTCTTTTGCCACTTTAAGTTTGCATAAAGGCAAATGTCTTTTCTTGTTCTTGAAAGATTTAAGTGTGTCATTTTCTGAAATGTAGTGCCCAACAGAGAAAGACTTAATATTAAAAAAATTAAAGATCACAAAATTACTATAGTAAAATGCTGAGACATCAAATTGAATGAAACTCTGTCTGTACTGCATTTTGTAGTAGCCAGCTGAAGAAAAAAAGATGATGGGAAAATTAGAGATAGTGACAACAGAAGAGTGTGCTTTTTCCCTAGGATACAATTACAATAATTGCAAATTTTCTTTTTATTCTATAAATTAGTTAGGTGACTATATTATAAACTGGAGTGACTTGCTAAATTAGAAACTGGAATATAGTCTTTGGTATTCCTGTAATAAGAACTAATCTAAGGATTACTCTTGTATATGAAAGAATGAACTACAGTAGAAATGATATTGTCATATTTATCCAGGCAAGACAAGTTATGACTCGAAAGTAGTTGTGTTAAATGTCAAGATGGATTATTTAAAACTAGAATAATAAAGTACATTTTATTGTATTTATGAGACATTTAAAATTTTTAAATGATTCTTTAAATGGTCATATATATTTTTCTTCCATTTAGTGAATAAAAAAGAAAAGCCTCTCAATGAAATCGCCTTTCCTAAAATATATATATATATATTTCTCATTTAAGTGGGGGAATAAAGACATAATGGCCTATTAAGAAAACCCAAACCAACAATTAGTCATATTTAGTATTGGCCATTACAGGGTAGAGTCGGGGCTAGGGTCAGATTAAATTCTAAGACAATGGTATCAAAATGTGACACAAATCCAAGAGTGGATATAGAGCAAGGTTTCAAAGGAGGAGTTTTCTAAGACCCACCTCAATTAGCTAAGACCTGCCACATCACAGCCCCAATGCTGAGAAGTTAGAAAACATTCATTAAATATTTATTCAGTAGAACAGGAGATGAAGAAATAAAAAATCAATATATTTGATGGTGAACTTATTTTTAAATATATGTTTATATACATATTATATATATTTAAGGTTCTCAATTTTCTTTACTTCTCATTTATCTTTCATTCATTCCCTCTTTATTCAACTATTAAGCACCTACTTCACTTCAAGTACTGTACTAAGTCCTGGAAATACAACTAAAATAATGAATAGCTCCTGGCCTCAAAGAAGTTCCCATCATATGAAAAAGACATGACATAAAATTTGTTCAGTAGGATTGGAGCCCTGAAACCAAATGGCACTGAAATATTTTGGATTTTTCTGGGGGTGCGGGTGATGGCAGTGGGAAAAAATAGGTATTAAAAAGTCAGTATAGGAAGGCAAATTGATTATTAAGAGTTTTTTTCCCAGTCAGATTAGGTACTTTACATTTTACCTGATGTTAACTGGGAGACATTTTTTTAGGAGGTTTTCAGCACAAAAATGGCATAATTAGGTTTGTATTTCAGAAGAATTTTTATGGTTCATTGTTGAGAATAGTTTAACAGAGATAAAACATGAAAATACAGGAATCTTAAAAAATGATGTTAATCACAATAAAGATAGTGGGAAATAGAAATGTACACATCTTTATGAGAGAAAGGTCTGAGTTTTTCTTATCTACCACCATAATGCAGAGCCATACAGTGGCAGATTTTCAAGTATAGATATCCATGAATGGAGTAAAGCAAGAATTTTAGAAAATTCTAGTTTCGGGATGTAAATTGAAAATGAAATGTTAACCAAGGGTGACCAAGATCACATAGTAATTGAGGGGCTGAGGATGGGGGATCTGAATCAAGCAGGGTCATGTAAGGTGAGATAAAGTCATTGCCCAGCTGTGAATATATGTGAAAACAGAGTAAGAAGTGAAAAACAAAAAAACGTAAAGGAACAACTTTGATAGCCAAGAGAACAAAGACTAGATTATGATCCAGAATGGATGAAAGAAAACATTCAGGTAACACTGAATGAGGACAGAAATAACTATGTACAAGTCAACATTACTAGATCCTGATGTTCAATGCCAGTGTGCATGACAGCTGAAAGCAGTAATGCTTGACTGGAAAGTTGGTTTAGGAAGATAAGAATTTTGAGTCATCCAGGAGCAGTGGCTAATAACTGTAATCCTAGCTCTTTGGAAGGCTGAGGTAAGAAAATTGCTTAAGCCCAGCAGTTTGAGACCAACCTGGGCAACATAATGAAACCCCCATCTCTACAAAAAATTTTCAAAAACCAATCAGGTATGGTGGCACACACCTGTATTACTAGCCCCTCAGGAGGCTGATGTGGAAGGATCTTTTGAGCCTAGGAGTTTGAAGCTGCAGGAACCTATAATCACATCACTGCACTCCAGCCTGGGTGACATAGCGAGACCCTGTCTCATACATTTTTAGAATAAAAATTAAAGAATTTAGAGTCAATTCCTGATCAACAGATGATTTTGGTGAAATGCATAATATTTTTATTTAGAATTATCATATGATTAAAATTATCTCATTTTATGCACACCTATGTACAATATATTTATATGTACAAAGAAAATGTTTAAGTAATCTCTTTATAAGCAATCCTAAAGCATTGCCTAAGCGTTCTAAAATAGTCGTTCTTTCAAACACTTAACAAAATAATGAAATCCACCAGAGATTCTCAGCCTGTGAGCATTTTGGTTATATTCTAGCATTATAGCTCAAATTCTTGAATTCTACATCTAATCGTAGAAGATACAAGTTACAGACTTTTGTAAGTCTTTGAAGATAGACCTGGGCTGCTTCTGAATACAAAAATATATAATTTATTTACAAAGTCAGAAACTAGAAAGATGATTTTCCTTTTACTCCTATGGCAAAATAGAAGAAGGCAAATTATTACACTTAGGGCTGGCGGTAGCTATTTGAAGTAACATTAATTTTAAAAATACAATATTTAAATATTTATTCATCCACTTATTTGTTAACAAAATTTAGCACCTCTTATCTGTCAGGAACTGTTCTATGTGCTAGGAATTCAATAGTGAACAAGATAAAGTCTATGGCTTATATTCTAGAGAGGATAAGAAGAAAATAAAATAAGGAAAATTATATTTACCGTAATGTTACATAGTGATTTATGATATGAAGGAAAATGAAGAGCAGAGAAAAAAGAAAACAGGGATGCAATTTTAAATAGCATAGTCAAGAAATAGTTCACCAAGGAGTTGGATTACCTGCATGGTAAGAGATTAACCATTTAAGTATTCTATAACATTGATTCTCAAATGTTAGTCTGCATAAGAATCCCTTGGAGGTTTTAACAAGGTGCAATTGCTGGGCCTTACCCCAGCACTTCTGATTTAGCAGGTATTCAGAGGGACCCAAGAATTAGCATCTTTAACAAGCTTCCAGGTGATGCTGATGGCAGCAACCACACTTTGAGAACTCTTCTAGACCATGCAACCAGCAATATTTTTCTATAAATATCCACATAGTAAATATTTAGACTTTGTGAACCATATAGTCGCTGTTGCAATTACTTATCTCTGCTGCTGTAGTGCAAAAGTAGCACGGAAAATATGTAAACAAATGAGCAAACAAAATTTTACTTATAGACGCTGAAGTTTGAATTTTGTATAATTTTCACATGTCAGGAAATACTATTCTTTTGATTTTCTCCAATCGTTACAAAATGTTAATATCATTTTTATTTCATGGGCTCTACAACAACAGATAGGGGTTGGGTATTCAGGAAATAGGGGTTGGGTAAACAGGAAGATAAAAAGTCCCAGAGGCAGGATTTTATTTGCTGTGTTCTAGGATCAGGAAGAAAGACAGTGTGTTAAGAGGAGAGAGCAAAGAGATTAAAGAGGCTGCCGAACTTGAGCACCTATTCAGGGCTAGATCATATCTAGCCCGGAGGAGTACATAATTCACCGAATTTCTGGCAGAGAAATGGCATGATCTGTTATATTTTTGAAGTCCCTCTCTGGCTGCTCTATATCATCATGAGACTAATCTGTGGAGAAATAGAGCAAGAGAAGAAGCAAGGAGACTTGTCAGCATCCTCCCTTGGTTATCCAGGTAAATACTTTGGGTATTGAACTCAGACCGTGTTATAGAGGTGGTAGAAGGTTTTTTGAGCTATAAACCACTTACACGAGCTGATATATGAGCTGTGAGATGAAAGAGAAATAAAGAAATCAATGACAGTTCTGAGTGTTGGAACCTGAGTGAATTGTAGGGCCAATTACTCAGCTGTAGTCATTAGAGCAAATTGTAGAGCCAATTACTCAGCTGTAGGCAATAGAGCAAAAATCAAAAATCGCAAAAAACAGGAATATTTAGAATGGAGAAAAAAAAGAATACGGTATCATGTTACCAAGTCAAGAAAGCATTTCAAGAAGAAAATAAGCTGGGCACAGAAAGACATATAAATATGTGGAATCTAAAAAAGTTGATCTCATAGAAGCAGTGAGTAGAATAGTGGTTTCCAGAGAATAGGGTGGTGAGGTGGAGGGGAGCGTCAGATGGCATTATCTCATTTAGTCATTTTAACACTATAATATAGGGACTGCTAGCCTGCCATTTCATAAATTAGCCATTAGCGAGTTTAAAGTGCCTTACACAAATTTTCTGAGATCGCTTTCAAGCCCAGATGTCTGACTTCATGGTCTGTCCTTTTAACTGCTTCTAAGTGAACGAAGTGAGGAGGGAGCAAAAAGATTTCCCAATTTCAATGCACATCTTTTCCAATTTCCCTTTCAAAGTTAGTGTGTGTTATGTTTAAGGGAAAGGACAATGATTTCGTCCTTGTTCTCAGCAACTTGCTGTGTGACTTTGGTCAGGTTGCCAAAATGTTTTAGGTGTTTGATTCCTCCTGATTTGTATGAAGATAGCAAAAGAACCTAATTCATACGATCACTGTGAAAATATAACGAGCACTCACTAAACGGTCTTTAGTTTAGTTTAGTTTAGTTACTAAAGATCCACATTGTTGTTAACTACAGTCACCATCACCATATTGTACAATAGGTCTCTTGAACTTATTCCTCCTGTGTAACTGGAATTGTGTAACCTCTGACAACTCCGCAACAGCTCAACCAGCTCCTAGTAACCAACATTCTGCTCTCTATTTTTATGAGTTAAATGTTTTTAGATTCCACATACAAGTGAGATCATGTAGTATTTGTGCCAATTTTTGAAAATTGCGGAGAGTACGTTTTAAGTGTTCTCACTACAAAGAATGATGTGTGTATGAGGTAATGCATATGTGAATTAGCTCAATTTAGCCATTCTAAAGTGTATACATATTTCAAAACAACATAAGCATAATAAATATACATATAATCTTTGTCAATTAAAAGTAATTAATTTAAAAATATTTTTTAAAATTAAAAAAAAAAAAAGCCCTGCTGTTGTTCTGGACCCCTATTGACTTCAATAGGAATGGCATCACGTTTGAGAGGCAGAGGGAGACCAAGAGCCAGGGAAAAAGACATAGAGTTTATTGAGGGGACTTACATAAAGGCCAGTCTAGTCATGGCAGGATGGACAGGAGAACTGCTACCATTTGTAAAATATATGCAGTTTATATAGCATTTTCAATTAGTATCTACCTTCCCCCTACCAACCTCCACCTGTCAACCTTCATTCAACCCAAAACAAAGCACCTCTTTCCCCTGTGGGATGGGCCATGAATCAAATGCTCCTCATAGATAAGGAATGAATCTCTGGGTTGGCCACTTCTAGATTCCTTAGCTCAGAACTGCAAACACACATTGTTTTTAGACCATAAGGTCATTATCAGGGTATGTTTAAATTATTGCTGTCAGGTACATCTGCCATACGGGGTCATTCTCAGGGTATACTTAATGTAAGTTACTGCTGTAAGGTGGATCTGCCATATACCCAGCATACTTCACTTAAAAATGAATAAATTAATAAATAAAACAAAACTGTTCTAAAATAATTTCACACACAATCCATTATTTCCAATTCTGATATATGACCATTCTGAAAACTGAAGTTGTTCTGTAATTCATCATCAAAACTCAACCTAAACCTACATATGACTCTTTTTCACTTTCATGTGTCTCCTATATTGTAGATATTCATATATTTATCTGAAAAAAAAGTATGTGTTTGATTGCAAGATGCAGCTCAGACTCCTCTGAGATGTAATATGCAATATGCATAATATGTGCTTAATTGCTTCTCTAAAATTCAAAATATTCTGAAATCCTAAACGTATCTGGTCCCACAGGTTTCAGTGAAGATGTTCTAGACCTGTTTTAGCATTCTTATGTATTATCTGTTATGAAGACGTATTGTAAATTGATGCAATTCTGTGAAATGACCCAGTTTCCTTTCAAGAAAACTATTTTTTAAGTCATAATACAATTAGAAGAACATGATTTGCATTTGAGAGAATTATTTGCACTGGAATAATTATACAGAGAGAGAAGAATTAGGAGTTCAAAGTAGGGCACAATGAAATGGGAGGTTCTTTTGGGTCAGGCTAGTCAGCTGGCTTTCTTAAAGCCTAACGGGTAGATGACATATAGGAATTTGTCATTCCAGAGTCTGGCCTTAAGCTTTGCAACCTTTGAAATCTGCCAGCACCTTTTCAAGAATGGGTGAGTCATCTGTAGTTTGACTCACCTAATGAAGGGTAAACTGTAATGCCAGCCTGGTAATTTTTAATGGGAACCATCACTACCAATGGAATCGTATACACTTGGTGCAGAGTCTCCCTATTATCAAGGGGTGTGGAAAACCAAATTATACTCAAGGTATCACTTTTTAAATTTACTGATAAGAGGACAGTACATTCAGTCCAGCACGTGGGAAGAAAACCATATGCATAACTCTATTTATTTAGCATAGAATCAGGACAAAATAATGGAGATAATAGCTATCAGTAATCTAGAGACAGAGGAGGCAAATCACATTCTTGGGCCAGGGCACCTCACAGCTCTGCACAACTCTGTAATGAGCACATTCTTTTGTGTGTGCCTCTTTTGTAGTCTATGCCCTGTAAACTACTATTAGATTGATAAATTACTTTTTAGAGATTATAAATAATTTGACCAGGTCATAATCACCTCCTGCTGTCCTGTGGGCGATCAAGTCTCTTTAAAATGTCTCTTCACTGATTCACTATCTGCTGATAGCTATGTTTAATTAGCAGTAATTAGTCTTAGACAATGTCCCTCCTCCTCCCCTTTTTATGATACTTTCAAGATACTCCCTTTTCCTAGAAAGGACTGAAATGCCTGAAAATATAATGGCTATGAAATATGTAATCAGAAAACCTGAGTTCCAGTCTCCATTTTATAAGTTATTCTAACATGGGAGTCATTACTGCAAATTTCTATTATGCAAATAGAAATATTTTGATCTTGGTATCACATACTTGTTTTGATAATCAGCTAGGCAATGCATGTAAAAAGAAATCTGAGAAACACAAAATTCTGTTGAAATTGTATATATTATTATTAGTTCACAGCATACAATGCATCCTCTTTACACTTAGTAAACATCTGTTGAATGAAAAAGTGAATCAATGAGTCAAGCCATCTGTTAATCGTGTCTTGCTGCATTGGAAGCCACAGGTCAAGAGTTGCTATTACATGTGATTTATCCATGGGTAAAATAAAGAATCACAGTAAGAGAAGATGGTAGCAATGTCCACTCTTCAAATATAGATTCTTTTAAGAAACGTATATTCAAACATTGATCTCAATTGAACTTGTTGCTCAACACTCTATCAGCAACAATGCTGTTTAATCACTTTACTGCTGTCTGTGTTGTTGAGAAAAAAAAACTATTGTGCATATTGCCTGGTTTCACCAATATATTGCCTAGTTCCACCAATAAATAGCCTCTTTGCTGTCTACTACGTGGTTGAAATATACCTCTGACACTGCTTTTTATTAAATTCTCATAAATATACATTTATATCAGTGAAAGATATAATGAGGGAAAACTTTTATAAAGACTAAATTTACTGCATTTGGATTTAAAAAATTTGTAGACTCAAGAGTCAAATAAGCCAAATTTACTTTCTTCTGTCATTCATTTAACAACATTTAACAAGTTCTCACAGTATGCAAAGCTGTCTAGGCACTGTGGGAGATATAAAGATGAATTAAACACACTTCCTACCTGTAAAAACCTTAGCAGAGATAAAAAAACATGCCTAAATTGCTAGAATACAAGCTGGAAATGATGAATGCCTTGAGGGGAGCATAAACAATGTCTGTTGAGTTCAGCGGTGGTGGAGATTACTTTCTTGCTGAAGGTAAATATAGAATACATATGCAAATATAGAATACATATGTGTAAACACACACATACATACATGATTAAGGGGGTTGTTATATGCTAATCAGTCTTTAAAATGTTAATCAGCTTGTAAAATGAACAAATCTTTTTGGTGGTTTTAATTAAAAAAACAACAAAATTAAACATATCCTAATGATAGCACCTAAGTGATTCAGAACAAGATCCTGCTTTAAATGTTCAAAGAAATGTTTCTGTGCAAATATTAATTCCAAGCCTGAAAAATATAAAATATAATAATGAGCAAAATTAACTCCCTGGCAAATGTCATAGAATCACATTCATTTTCATGTAATTATTTAAAACCTGGCTAAAATTATGAAGAAAAGTGGACCACTTAAGAATGAAAATCAAAGGAGAGTAGCTGATGTAATACTGAAATGAATATTAGTGAATGTGAAAGCATCAAAATATTCTGAGTGTTTTAAATAATTTGAAACAAGGCTTTGGTCCAGTGGACTTAAAGCATAGATATTTCAAAAATGACTCTGGCCAGCTAGTCTCATTTGTCTCAGTGTATAGATTGCAAAATCAATTTAGGTCTAGTAAGAGGAGCTCAAGTTAGCTATTATAAATTTTCTTAAAACAACCTAAATATGAAGAAAGCATCAGAGCAACTTATTAAGAACTGTCAACTTATAAAATTCTATAAATTGGCTAAAGAGGCTTGAGATAAGTTGTAGATTAGGTGGTCTCCTCAAGGGAATTTATGATGGCACAACCAAAACTAGCTAAATTCAAGCACTGGCTACTTTGGGGTCTAGCTCTGTGTTTTCAAGAAAATTCTGTAATCTTCCTGAACCACCTTCAGAAAGTAGATATCTTAAATCTCAGGCTACATTAATACCTACCTCATTAATTGTTTTTAAAATTAAATGAATTCATACACATGAAGTAAGACTAAAATTAAAATCCTAAGCCTTTCAACTGACTGAACAGACTCCCTTTTGGCTAAGGAGACCACAGAAAACCCTTATCAACAGAAGTTCCTGGCCATGACAGGATGAGAGGTCAGATACGCCTCTTATATTGGCTTCCTTTGTGGTTTAGGCACAACTGACCAGCAATAATGTTAAATTAGAGATCATAAGACTGATAGAACAGACTCTTTGTGGCCCAGTAAGATGCCAAAGTATAAACAAGACCAAAGGCCATGCCAGGCAAGGGTTAATTCACACACCCTTACACTTAAAGAATAAATTCTAACTGCCACAAGGTTTTTCTGTCTAGCAGCTAAATAAGCACTGGCCTCAAGATAAGCAAATTAAGACAACTTGAGCTCAATGCCAGAATCTGACCCTCCACCCCCTGTTCCACAAGCCATAACTACAGCTTTGATGGGACAAGAGACGGATTTCACTCACTTTCTTCTGATAAGAGACCACCAACCCTGGCCTGGTTCTGGCTGGTTTACATAGGCTGCACTCTTGAATGCCTTCGTGTTCCTGCTTCACCTTTTGACATAGGGGGCCTAACTGTAATATATTTAAACATTAAGTCTCTACCCCAAAGTGAATATGAGTTGTACGTAACCTGCATGTTCATTCAGTATGCATGTGTTAGGACGCCCTTCATGAATATTCACGGCTCCTCCTGTAACTTGTTGTGTATGTGTACTTGGTCAACCTGTTCGGTATAAATCCCTGTTTCACCCTCACATCGCTTGAAGTGCCTGCTTCTGGGCCCTCCTGGAGGCTTCTTTTCCCAGCCTGTCAGAATGGCCATCTTGCAGGCTGTTATCCTTTATGAGAAATAAAATCTCCTTTCCAAATTTATAGCTCTCATGATTTTTTACTTGACAGAAGTTTAAGAATAGCATCATCTCAGAAATTAACTCTCGGTAACTATCTTTTCCAAAAGTGAAAATACAATCTTGACAGTAAGGGAAGGAAGGAGAAAACACTGACATGGGAAAATTGATTGTCACTAATGCTATAATGATTATTTCTTTTCCTGCATTAAAACCTGAGTGGAAGCTAGAGACATTACAACAGAATAAGTACATTAAATTTTTAAATTTATTTTCTTTTTACACATTTTTCACTTTTTTTCAGCAGCTGTTTATAGTCTGTAATTTGCTTATTCTGTGATTCTTGATGTAAAATTTTGAGTTGCATAAATAAACCTACAGCTACATTACAATACAGAGGGATTCCTGAATGTTGCAAAAATGAAGGTATTACATCCAATACTTCATTGCAGTATGATTGCCAGGTTAAATATAGGACACATGGTTAAATATAAATTTCTGATAAATCAGAAAAACTTTTTTTCGAATAAATGTTAATACTAACAAATTATTTTGTTTGTCTTTAAAATTCAAATTAATGAGTACATCCTGTATTTTTATTTGTAAATCTGGCAACCCTGGACTCTTAAGAAATACACTAATCTCCAATGTACTAAACCAAAAACAAATCAATTAACAAGTAGCTCTGTCCCTTTGTTGTAGTCCCTGCCTCCACCTCCTTTATTTAGACTATAGTCATTCTCTCCCTAACAATTTCAGTAGCCTCCTAACTGCCTCTGGTTTTACATGCTCCCTCTTCCAATCTATTTTCCACACTGTAGTAAAGTGATTGTTCCAAAAAACAAACCTGATCACAGTGACTTGTCTGCTAAAATCTTGCCAATATTTCCCCAGAGCCTTCCGGATAAAACATAAGCTCTTTAGTAAATAATGTAAAGTCTTAGGTGGTCTATGTCAGCCTTCTTCTCTAGTTTGGTGAAAATTAAACTCCCGCAATGAACTTCATCCTTTTGCCTGGAAGGATCTTCTCAACCTCACCTTTTCCCCTGGTGAGACTCCTACTTGCCAATCTGAATTATGTACCTTTTCTCTTATGTTTTCCCATAGTGTTCCAATTTTAGCACTTTATAACAGTTGTCGAATAGGACTGCAATTGTCTTTTCTACTCTCTAGTCTGCCTGGTAGACTCTATGCCGTGGGAGGGTTAAATATAGGACACATGGCTAAATATAACCATGTGTTTTTGTTTTTCTAATTTGTTTTTCTAATCTTTAATACACACTATTTGACAGTTCTTTTAAGTGTGTTGAATGAAGAAGGAGATTTCTAGTTAAATAATATATTAGGATAGCAAGATAAGATGAAAAAAGAGAATTACGAAAAGCTGTAATAGCAAAAATAAAGCAAAACTTTTAGTGTGCTCTAATGTTTTGTCTACCTTTGATTATTTATTGGTGGCATAGTTCTTTTTTTAACCGAAAAGTAAAAACTATATATATTTATGGCATACATGATGTTTCAATATATGTATATGCTGTCTAATGGCTAAAGCTAACTATTTAACATATGATAATCCCTACTTATAATTTTTGTGTGTGATGAGAACACTTAAAATCTACTATCTTAGCAGTTTTCAATACAATGTACTGTTATTAGCTATGCTATTAGTCACCATGATATACAGTAGTTCTCTTGAACATATTCCTCCTGTGTAACTGAAATTTTGTGTCCTTTGAGGAGTATCTTCTCAATATCTGCAGCCCACAGCCTCTGGTAACCAATATTTTACTCTCTGTTTCTATGAGCTCAAACTTATTACATTCCACTTGTAAGTGAGATCATGTGGTATTTGTTTTTCTGAGCCTGGCTTATTTCCCTTACCATAATGTCATTCAGGTTCATCTATGTTGTACAGATGACCGGATTTACTTCTGTCTGGCTTCTTTTGTAAGGCTAAATTATATTCCATTGTGTATATATACTACATTGTCTTTATCCATTCATCCATTGATGGTGTAAACCAAAAAGTATCTGAGACAGGTCTCAGTGAATTTAGAATTTATTTTGCCAAGGTTAAGGGTCATAGCTCATGACAAGGCTTTAGGAGATCCTGAGAACATGTGCCCAAGGCGGTTGGGCTACAGTTTAGTTTTGTACATTTTAGTGGGAAATCTCAAAGTGGGATGGGTGGGGGGCAGGGCTTCCAGGTCATAGGTGTATTTAAAGATTTTCTTATTGGCAATTGGTTGAAAGGAATAAGCTCCACCTGAAGAGTTGAAAACAGCTTGAGTTAAGATATAGGGATGGAGATTGTGGTAGCCAAGGTTCTTGTCATGTAGGTGAAGCCTCCAGGTAACAAGCTTCAGAGAGAATAGATGTAAATGTCTTTTATCGAAGATGTCAGACTCTTTGGAGGGACCTAGTAAGGGAAGGAGATTCTCTAAAGAATGCAATTTCCCCCAAGAGATAGCTTTGCAGTGTCATTTCAAAATATGTCAAGAAATATGTTATGGGGTAAAATACTTTGATCTCTTTTTAGGGTCTGTTATCTATTATATGTTGCCGTACCAGAGTCAGGCTGGAGTTGGTATCCTATTGCTACAGTCTGTTCTGTCAGTCTTAGAATCTCTGTTTTAATGAAAATGCCAGTTAATTGTGCCTGAACTCCAAAAGGAGAAGAGTATAATGAGGCATGTCTCACCTCCCCATTCCAGTAATAATCATGGCCTGAACTAGTTTTTGGGTTTAGTTGGGTCCCCTTGGCTGAGAGGGGTGGTCCATTCAGTCAGTGGAAGGAATTATAAATTTGCAATGGACATTTGGGTTGATTCCATATCTTGGCTATAGTGAATGATGTTTCTTTCCATGAACATGGATGTACAGGTGGCACACTTCTTGGCATACGAGGTAAATAACTTCCAATCATTTGTTTAAATACTGAAAAGGTTTATAAGTAACAATATCTCATTTTAATAAGCCTTGAAGACAGATGTGAACTGAATAACATGAACAGAGAAAGAATTCCTTAACTTCTAACCAGGATATTTTAAAATTTGACATAAAACAATGCATTTTTAATGAATAAAATATACACAGTGTTTAAAAAGTACAGAAAGCACCTTGTCCTGCTCACCCAGCCATTTACTGCCTGTCCCAGAGATAACCATCTGCAGAGTTTCCCAAGTGCCCTTCCAGAGACCATTTGTGCAAATATAAGCAAATAGAAGCACATACACATTTCCATTGTTTCTAAGGGTAATTAAATCTTCAACCAATAAAGAATATAAAGTTATAAAGCTTTCATCTGTCCTATTCAAGCAGTAGATTTCATAAGAATAATTATTTTTTACTTGGTTTCACTGTTTTAATCAGTAATTAAGTAATTAAATATTCATTAGTAAAGAATTTGTAATGTCCTGATTGCAAATTTTAAGTGGGTCATGCTCCCCAAAAATAAGCTCCTTTTCATTGTCTGAAGTTCTTAAAAATTTAAGCAGACAGACTCTCTAAAAATTATATATTTTCTTTTTTTCAGTTATTTCTTCTCTGTGTTGCATTTTTGAACTTTTTATTTCTCTAACAATCTTTGCATTCATTTTCAATGCTCAAAAAGATTAAAAATTAAAGTATAGTTGTTTACAAAGTATATGAAATATATTTTCATCAAAAATGTTAGTGAAAATAAAAGTACCAACTTATGAAAATAAGTTATTTTTCTTGTAAAATATTTAATATTATATTTTACACTTTGTTTTGGCCTCTCAATTTTAATTTTGAAAATCATCATCATCATATATAATATTATTTAACGTTTTAAAGATAAATTAAATTTATAGCATATTTAATAATAATAAAGCTATTTATAATTTGTCCTTTCTAGAATACAAAGAACATTTTGTTGTTATTGTTAAGAGGGGAAATGATGCTTCACATATGTTATGTCTAAATCTTCATATATACATATTTACCAGCGGATATCAATTATTTTATAATTCAAGATGTTTCTTGACTGCAATGTGCAATTTGTATGAAAGTTGCATGAGTGTTTCAGTACTTTTGGTAACAAAATACAATAAGATAAAACAAATAGATGTTCCTCAATTTTGAGAAATGATATTTTGTTATGCTAGAATCTATTGCCTTCATGGTAACTTTACTAGTAAATATGTGTGTCTTTTTTCCTACCTAAGCCCGTCCACTGCTTTACTCTCTCCATAGTGTTTAAATGTTGTTTATCTTCCAATGCAGTACAGCACACACATTTTTTCAGCACTCAGTTACACTTAACTTTGTTTTAAAATGAATAGGACAAATGTTGAAAAGTGTTTCCTGGGGTCTGAGCAGTGTTAATATGAAAGTAGATGTTTAAGACTAAGCATTATCTTATGCTGAATTTGAATGTAAGATTCTGAGTGACAAGGTGGCCATATGTTCTTTAGTACATGTCCTGAATGTGTTGTTTGTGAAAGGTCAAGTATTCCTTTAAGGTCATGGACCCAGGACAGGGACCCTTCCTGACCAGATTTAAGGGTAGCACTGATGTGATCATCAGATTGTCTGTTTTTCCTGGGTACAATTTCCATAAATGCTCTCCATTAGATTCACATAACCTAGCAGTGTCTGCCACATATTAGGTGCTCAAGAAATGAAAAGAAGAAAGGAAGGGAAGGAAGGAGGAAAAAAGAGGACGAAGGGAGAAAGGGAGGTTGGCTATTATATTAACTTTTCCTGCTTGTGGGGTGATGGGGTGGGAGGCATCTCTTAGCTCATTTGGCGGTGCTTTCTTGAAATAGACATTTTAAGCTCTTCTTGATAGTAGATAATTTTTAATATAGGGAACTATCAGTGTCTTTGAGATAATCAGCCAGGAAATATATTCAAATTATCAATCCACTCTGCTAAATGAATAACATTTAACAATTCACAAATAACAAGGACTTTATAGTCTTTTTGTTTTCTATCTAAACAAAGTGCTTATTAGTAAATAATCACCTGATAATCAACTGTTTGAAGTTACTCACCTACTAGTTACTTTTGTCTTTTTAACACAGTTTAACTGTTCTACCTTATCACAAAACTTATTTAGCTTTATCTTTGGTGTTGGCTCTGAGAAAGACTTCGGTGCCTTTTTTGGCAGGTAGAATTTAACATCTAATTAAGTTCCTCAGACTTTACAAATTTCTTTTTGAAACAAAATCAAGCAGTTTTCAGCCCTTTTAATTATCTATCCTGTTGTTCTGTAGTTATATTAAAATATAGGTATAATAAAAATATAGTTAATTAGAGTTGGATTGGCAATATGTTTGGCAGCTATTAAAACAGTGATACACTTCAAAGTAAGATTGTAAACTTTTCTCTCAGCATTTTTTAATGCTTAATAACATGATTTTCATAAAACTTAAAATACCTGTGAATACACTAATATTTTGTTTGACATTATGGAAAATCCTCCATTGTTTACCATCTAACTCTTTCTGAATCCATACTATCCTTAGAACTTCTCAATAAGTCATAACTTTAGTGAAATGGTTATATTATATTAATAGATATTTGGATGAACACATTACTGTTTACAGAATACTTGCATTATATATGAAACTTTAAAGTAAAAATATATATGCAAGAATATATATATTTATGCAAAATAGCATGTATAAATACATACAGATTTTTTATCTATATATCTCTCTCTATATATATTTCAGTGAATGACAATTAATGGCATAAAACAGATTCACCAGCATGGCTGTCTTGGAAAAGATGGTCAAGACTTACAGAAAACATCCAGCTAAGATCAAAATATCAAATATAATTTACACCAAACTGAATCAGTACTATTTAATTAATAGGACTATGAATGATTTGATACATATAAATAATGGTAATCAAAATAAATACTTCATAAACTATCCTAAAGGAAAAAAAATTATAAATTTCAAAAACACTTACATTTAACTGCAACACAATTGCATGGAAAAAAATAGTTTAATGGCCGCAGTAAAGTGAAGAAAAGAGACAATGAATGAAAGTGAGAAGCTCTCTCAGATTTATTTCCTCCTTGTCAATGTAACTATGAGTGCAGACTCCTTCTGTATTGCTGTCACAGTTTTGAATGTCTGCCGTAGAGAAATAATATGCTGGCCTTGTAGTTATAAGATCTTTTCCACCAACTGCACGGTATGACCTTAAAGGGATTTGGACTAGATGATATTTATATCTAATCTAATCCTTTCTGTGACGATTCATTTTGTTCACTTCTCCACACGTAGAACCTAAATAACTGTTCGCTTTCAGGAACCCTGACTTTTTTTTTTTTTTAAAGATTGAAGTAACTAATCTGACTTTTCCTTCTCTGAAGATGGTCATGTTCCTCAGTCCTGCATCACACTCTCAGGCAAATCAATTTACCACGCAATGACAATAAAGACTTTCCTCTAGTCCACACCATGAAGCCTGCATCAAAGGAGTGATCTGAGCAGAAAAAGAACAAGAGCCTGATGTTATCCCGTCATGTGTAAATATGAAGTGGAGAATATTTAAATATCCTGATCAATTTTTTTTTTACTATCAATGAAGTGGAATGTAATAAAAATGTGAGGGCATTTTAATAGTATAATCTTTATTCAAAAAACATAATATGGTGAAGTAACCTCATTAACTATTAGCTGTATGCTTTCCAACCCATTACCGTTTTCCTGCTTTTTAAGTAATTTTCCTCATCAGGTAGAATGATTGCCTTTAGGGAAGCTAGTCCTTGTCAAGAACTGTGAAGGGCCCGCGGTGTTAGCCTGCATGCAAGCTGACAAGTTAGCCTTCTCAACTTTCATACAAGCTGGCAGAAGACACATGAAGGGTCCAGGCAAAGCAGGCAGCATGAATTGTGTGTTCACGTGGGCTCCCCTTGTCCACCCCTGAATCCCAAAAGTAATGCAAAGTAGGCCAACTTAATGGTGTGCATGTACTGGATTTGCATGACAACTGAGAGACCTTGAGTGTAAGAAACCCCAGCCTTGTAAAGAGGGCTGCTAGCAAACCTGCCAAACCTTTGCCACAGAGGGAGACATACTGGTTAGCCTGCCCTTTGCTCAGAAGACATACAGGAACATGAGAAGTCCATGGTGGATTGCTTCCCACAGTCAGCAAAAACAAGCAAACAAAAACTTAGAAAATTTCCTTTGGTTTACAAATCAGCAAGCTTATATATATCAGTATGTCCCCTTTCCTGAGCAAAACACACAGAAATGCTATAATTAACCAAATATTATCATATCTAACATCTATAAATGCCTATGATATTTCATGGCATTTTCATATATACTTTCATTCTAATTCTTAAAGCGTCTCCATAAGGAATATTATACTATTCTCAATTGCATAGGTAGGGAAAGTACACTTCATGCAAGGAATATTGCCTGCCTCTCAGTCATGAAACCGTTCCATAGTGGCACTGGGCTTCAAATCCAGTACAGTAAATTGAGAAGTAATTGGCATGAGACCTTAAAATTGAGTGAATGTAATAACCAACTTTATTTTTTTTAAGTTCTGGGATACATCTGCAGAACATGTGTTTCGTTACATAGGTATACATGTGCCACGGTGGTTTGCTGCACTATCAACCCAACAGCTAGGTTCTAAGCTCCACATGCATTAGGTATTTGTCCTAATGCTCTCCCTCCCCTTGCCCCCCACTCCCCGACAGGCCCTGGTGTGTGATGTTCCCCTCCCTGTGTCCATGTGTTCTCACTGTTCAACTCCCACTTACGAGTGAGAACATGCGGTGTTTGGTTTTCTGTGGAAGACAGTGTGGCGATTCCTCAAGGATCTAAAACCAGAAATACCATTTGACCCAGCAATCCCATTACTGGGTATATACCCAAATCATTCTACTATAAAGACACATGCACATGTATGTTTATTGCAGCACTGTTCACAATAGCAAAGACTTAAAGCCAACCCAAATGCCTATTTTCTGGATAAAGAAAACGTGGCACATACACACCATGGAGTACTATGCAGCCATAAAAAATAATGAGTTTATGTCCTTTGCAGGGATATGGATGAAGCTGGAACCATCCTTCTCAGCAAAATAACCAACTTTCGATCACAGCATTTCTCTTTGTTTTATTCACTTATTAGATATACTTGACTTATGTAATTAACTTAAGAGGTAATATTGTTCCTTATGTAAATGTACTAGCATAAGATCAACCTGGATGTATAAATTTATAAAATCAGCCACTCTTATTTGTGTTAGAAAGCTTATGCATCTAACTTCAACACTATTTGTTCTCTCTTTTTGGTATTTTAGTCTTCAAATGCGATTATTTTTGTGGATGATTTTATGAGAAATTATGTTTAATAACATATAATATTTTTTAAAGAAATAATTGGTTTATTTCAGAACTGCTAAAATTGTACCATGTGGCTGGGCATGGTGGCTCATGCCTGTAATCCCAGCACTTTGGGAGGCCGAGGTGGTTGGATCACCTGAGGTCAGGATTTCGAGATCAGCCTGGCAAACATGGTGAAACCCCATCTCTGCTAAAAATAAAAAATAAAAAAAAAATAGCCAGGAGTGGTGGCAGGCACCTGTAATCCCAGCTAGTCGGGAGGCTGGGCCAGAAGAATCACTTGAAACCAGGATGCGGAGGTTACACCGAGCTGAGATCGTGCCACGGCACTCCAGCCTGGGTGACAGAGTGAGACTCCATCTCAAAAAAAAAAAAAAAAAAAAAAAAGTACCATGTACTACATAAATATATTATATATTTTTATTTTTTAGAAAAAGAAGAGAAAACAAAAAATACAGTCTACTTATTACAACAGGTGTGAAAATTTGAGATTAATACAATTCTAAAGGATGCTTTAAAGTGATTTTTTGATCATTTTAAGGATATCAGAAATTATACTTCTTCAGTCTGAAGTTTTTTGTTAGAAAACTACTATTTTAAACCTCATCAGTGCCGTAGCACACTGCCTAAGTAGTCAGTGACTGGGTTAATTAAGAAGCAAAGAATCACACTACACAAACATTTTCAAAGCCAACAATGGCTAAGAGGATTTTTCCTTACCAGTGAATCTGCTTGGAAAATCCCTTTGGAACCACAGTAAACACTATTCTTTTCTCTTGCCTATTGTTAATGTAGTTGTTAGTTGACTTAATGTTGGCTGAGCCCTAAGGACAAAAGGTTGAGAAATGTACAGTTAAAATTATTAATGGAATTTATAAAATCAAGTGGTTCATTAGAGTATAATCTACTGCAGATCCCTTTTGAAAAATTTTATTTTCCATTATTTTGTGATTTGTTTCTCAGGGGCAAGTTTTAGCCTACAGATATTCACTGTGATTGGTGATCGTTACTTTGTAAAATATGTTACAATAACAATGTTATTATTTACCTTTCTAACAGTGTTTTCATTCTTCCCTTTATGTTTTCTTTTTGCACATTTTTAGCTTGGCATGGCATTTAGAGAATTAACATAACTCCGGTTATAACTGGTAAAGAATTGGTTCTCTGTAAATACCTGCTGCTTGAATATTATAATATTTGTGGGTTTGCTATAGCATATTTGTATAACATGAAATTTGTCTTTGCTAGAGGTGGATTTTAGCTTATAGCAAGATAAAGTTCACATATACTAACTTTAAATCTGAGCTTGATCCATTTTCGCTTACTTTCCTTTACAGATTTGTTGTTCCATCAACAATGGTTTATTTACTTTCCCAGAAATATTATTTCAGATTTGTCTTTTTACCAATTCCTTTTCCTTTTGCCAGAGAGAGATACAAAGAGATAAAAGCCAATTTGGGTTCTATCTTTTCTTTAATCTTTTCCTTGAACATCCAAGTTTTCAATGATCTTTCAGTTTCAATTTCTAAATGCCATTTTTTTCATTTTATTTTGGTCATGAGGATCTTAGTATAAACCTGTCTATTGCTATTAGTAATACTATTACTAATGGTAACAGTAACATTAGTAAGCAAAGTAGTGATAAGTAATTATTAAGAGTTTAATGTATGTTAGACATTGTACAAAACACACATTTTCTTATTTCTTATAATATCCTAATACACTGAGTTCTTTAAGAAATATTGAGATATTGAGTTTTTGAATAGTCAAATAACTTGGATAACATCACACAGCTTATCAATACTGAAATTCAAATTGAAACCTTATTTTTTTGTTTCAAGACTTCTTCACATTCTAAACTATCAAACTATATGTTGTGTTTAGTGAATTTTTAAAAAAAAAAAACTTTATCTACCTAATATAATACAAGTTTTTTGAGGGAAATCACAATGTCTGATATATTTCTGGCTCTATCATAGAGCTTAATTTCTTATATACTAAAAATCCGTAAAGAATATGAAGTCATTAATTGAACAACTGATATAGTTAGTTATAAAACTCATTTTTAACAAAAGGCAAATATTAAGAGTGATAATAAAATATTCTGTTAGCCTTACTTATTCAAATGTATCTGTCATGCATTTATATCCAGCTCTGTATTAAATTAAGCTCTGAAAGAGTACAGCCTAGTGTAGTGGTTCTCTTACCTGAGCTCGCATCAGAATTCTCTTCAGGTCTTAATGAATCAGATTACTGGGCCCCACCACTAAAGTAGATTTGAGGTCTTTGAGGTCTTATTCAGTAGATTTGAGGTCTTTAAGAACTGCTGGTCAGTGCTTCCAGAATCAGAAAGTTTGGGCTAGAATCCTAGCTGTATCATTTATAAGCTGTGTGAACTTGAGCAAGCGATGAATTATCTCTGGGTCTCAGTTTTTTTCATCTCTATGAAGGGTATATTAGAATTTTTGTGTGTATTAAATGACACAACATATGCAAATGTCTTTAAGCAGAACCTGGAACATCCATAAGCACTTAATAATTATTAATCATATTTACTTTGTATTAACTATAATTATTAACTGCAAACTTATTACCAAATCCTTATTAGACTGCCTTTTGGGTCGTAGTGGAAAAATCAAAGCTTTGACAAATAGATGCAGAGGTGTGATTTTCAGAATAGAGGAGAAGAAAAGGAACACGTATAAGAAAGGTATGAGAAAGGCCTTAGTAGAAGAAAGATCATCCGGATATTTAGATCCAAAACAATTGTACAAAGAACACAGAAAACCCCACAGGAAAAGAGTGTCTGTAAGAAGAAGCAGAAAACAGAATGATTTAAAATGAAACAGAGCAGAGGTCAAGAAAATTTTAGTTAACATGGTACCCAATCTGAAAGGTACACAATTAAAGATGAATTATCCTAAGCATAAAATTATTAGTACTTTACAAATAGTAACATAATATTAGTTTACTCAACCATTTTTCTTTGGAGTATGAAACATGAAACATGACATTGGTGTAATTTCTGTACTTAATTTGAGGTACCAAACTATACCAAATATTCTCCCTATCCTCTGTATATGTTAGCAATAACATGAGAAACTGGGGGAATTTTTGCAATTTACCACTCCAAATGGAAAACGCCAGCAGCTCTGAATCTGCATATTTTCTTAGCAACAGACTAGATTATTTCAGTGCTCCACTCAAGTTAGTTTTTTAAATAGCAAATGCTTAAGAGATGAAGGATGTGGATTTTCGTATGGCTCGTCCTTCACCAACCGGCCCATTTTCAGGTTAGATTTCATGTACTCTTAGATTTCAATTTAGTTAAAAAATTTAAAAAGGTGAAAAATATTTCCTTCAGTTTTTAACAAGATCAATTTATTCTAATCTAAAATGATCTGAGCAGAAAATTCAGCAGAGGCATGATTTCCCACTAAACAGTTTTAGGTAAAAGGTCATTTTATCGTCACTGTTGTGAGAATAAGTTCCTAATTGTTTTTGCATACTTCATGAAGCAGACAATAGGAAAATAAAAGCAGAGTAACTTTGCCAAGACTTGTGGAAAGAACTAACACTTCTACCAGTTTTCCTCAGAATGTAGTCTCTGGGTGTCTACCCCAGAATGACATAAGATGTTTGTGAAAAATTTTGGGGGATATCTGTAAGGCCCACTGACTTACAATTTCTTGGGTGTAGGCTCATCAATTAATTGCTTTAGAGTTCCACAGATAATTCCCTTTATCCAGAGCCTGTAGCTATCTGATGTTGACAAGCGCAGGGTTTCTGGGAGAAATTATATGGTTAAAAGCAAATTACATTTTCTTTCTTTAGGTTAAAGTGTGCAAATAAATTAAACACACCATCAGTGATAATATATTTGCTGAGAGAACAAAGCACACGGTAAACAATGCTTTACTTTATATTTAGCAGATCTGCCATATTTTTATGTATGCCATAGGTTCAGTATAGAAAAATATTCAGAGTGTATAATAAGCCTAGATACTTGAGCCTTGACCATAGTTTAGAAGACAAGAACAAAATTTTAGGAGAATGTTCTCCTCATGCAAACATTCTCATCTGGAAAATATCTAAATAGATATCCATATCACATGGAAACGATGTAGATGAAAATGCATCATATAGCTTATTAATATCCCAATTGAAAAACTAAAATGTCTCATATGTTTGTTATTTATTATATGTACCATATTATAAATGGCATATAAATAAGTTCCTTCTTTTCCAAAAGAAGAGAGACAACAATAAAAATACATTATCCTGTCATAAGGATATAAGATTAGTGTCATATACTTTTTATCTACATAAAATGTGTATGTGTAGCTGTAGAATAAATATCTAGAAGTGGGTTTAATGGATATTATTTTTCAAAATGTCACTATATCATCTACTACAAAGCTTATGACAACTTGAACTTTCATCAAAACATTAAGATAATCAATTATTTTTCCAAATTCTCATTATCTATAGTAGGTATTAATACTTTTTAAAATCTTCATCATATGAAGATAAATGTTTGTGTTTATTATAATTTTATTTATTTATGGCTGAGATTACAGATTTTGTATGCCTATTCGCTAGTTCTATAGTTATTGACCAATTCTGCTACTAGTCTGTATGACTCTTACTGATTTGTAAAATCTTTTAGTGTTAAAGCAATTTGCTCCCTTGCTGTTATACGGCTGCTCCTTTTTCTTGCTTGTCATTTGTCATTTGGCTTGGTTAATGATATCATCTATACAAGAGATTTAAAGTTTTGTGTAATCAAATTCACTAATATTTTATTTTCTGCTTTTGGTATATGTAACATTTGTGGAAAGCCCATTGACTTCTGTAATCTCTTATAAATGTATTTTTGGTGCTTTCAATATATTAATAATAATTTATCCTATATATTACAAAGAGGTAGTTTATATCTAGTCTTAATATGTTTATTGTGCTTCAGTTCCAAAAAGCCAGAATTTACAGAAAAGAATAGGTTTATTGTGTTTCTCTTAATCAAAATAACTGCTTTATGCTATCATATGGATAATTCACTAAAAAGATTAGAAAATTCAAAAAAGAAAAATTAGAATTACTCATAATAGTAACAACCAGGTACTAAACTGCCACTAGTTGTTTTATATTATTCCCTTCATTTATTCGTTTATTATCTTTTATCTGTTGTCTCATTTAAAATATTGTTTTCTAAATAAGTTTTTAAAATATGATATATCTCATTTCACCTGACATTCCTTAGAAACATTACTTTAGAAAATACATACGAACTTAATTATATAGTGTACCGTAAGTCTTTTTCCTTTTTTTTTTTCGAGATGGAGTCTCACTCTGTCACCCAGGCTGGAGTGCGGTGGTGTGATCTTGGCTCACTACATCCTCTGCCTCCCGGGTTCAAGCGATTCTCCTGCCTTAGCCTCCCTAGTAGCTGAGATTACAGGCACGCACATCCAGGCCCAGCTAATTTTTGCATTTTTAGTACAGACGGGGTTTCACCATATTGGCCAGATGGTCTCGAACTCCTGACCTCAAGTGATCCACCCATCTTGGCCTCCCAAAGTGCTGGGATTACAGGCATGAGCCACCACACCTGGCCTACCATAAGTTTTAAACATGCTACTGCAAGTTTAAATTTCTGCCATTTTACTAAACTTGTGTTTAATATCATTTTACATAGACTACTCAATGAAATAATCATTATGAAAAATTTTTGGAAGCTGAATTCCTGGGTCAAATTTTGTTAATATATTTCTAGCTTTTTCCAGATGTTGCCAAATTGTCCTCAAAAGATGTTTTACTGACTGTTAGCTCATGAACTGTGCATGAGGCTTTCCATTTACCTAAAACCTTGCCAACACTTAATAGTGTTTTAAAAGTTAAATATGTAGCAATAAAAATCTTTGAAAATTTAATATGCAAATAGTATATTTAAGTCTAATTATAGATTCCCATGCAATAGTTGCCCTTGTTGTAAAGTAAGTCACAAGATAATCTGTAAGTCAAAATCAGTCATAAAATAACCAGTCATAAGAAAATCTATATACTATTTGCTTTTATTTCTAAGAATTATACCTTCATAGCTTTCTGGCTTAAAAAGTATTACCTAATGAAATGTAAGCTACATATGCCTTCTTATTGCTTGCTATGTGCAATAAATATGTTGTTATGAAACTGTAAATTATGAAACAATAAATAAAACTTTTAAAAACAACCTGAGATAAAGATAGACCAACTACAAGTTAGCAGCAAATGAGACTGAGAGCAGATTTCTGAAATTCAAAAGAAAGATCAGAAAATACTGAAATTATATTTTTAACTTGTTGAGAAAAATAATTACCAGCCTTCTGTTTAATATCTAAATGAACTACCATTGAAGAAAGAAGGCGAAATAAAAAACAAAACAAAACAGAATTTATTCATAGCCTTTATCTAAAGAATTATCACAAAGGCGTAATTAAAAAGCAAGAAGAAAAATAACCCAATAGAGAATATATTTAAATAAAAATTAACAAAGATATCGATAGTCATGTAGTGAAATTTATAAATAATTAACTGTAAACATAAATATTAATAGCAGAAACTAGTGAGGGAGATTGAATTCAAGGTGGAGGTAAAATAAAGAACAGCGACAACATGCCGTGTGTGGGAAGAGCCACTGGAGTTAAACTAATCTGAATGTCAGATATAATTGGAGGAGAGAGTGTAGTTGTATATTTTCTTTGTATATTGCCGTGCCAAATATTTATCATAAAATGCACCTAAACATTAATATCACATAAACGTAATGTATTATTTTCAAACCAGTGAAAAGATAGCGGGGGAAAAAATCGTTAATAAAGAAAATTCCCTGAAAAACTAGATCGCCAAAACAGGGGAGGGTGAGAATAACCACTGCCAATAAAAGTTCAATATAGAGCAAAAATAAATCCCCCAAATAGTAACTAAAATAGGTAAAATAAAATCTACTCTTGAAAGAAATACATATTAGATGAATATATTATACATATCACTATATAAGTACAATCATTGAAACAGAACATCTCTGAAATATATAAAGATTAAAAGCAAAATAATGAAAAATACACTAAGCAATTATGGACAAATGACAACAATATTAGACAAAATGAACAAAAAACATTTTCAGTGATAATGAACATCATTTATGCATAATGACAAAAGGAAGAGTTAAACAGGAAGATTTAATATTTCTGAGCACTTGTGTGTAAAGGTGAACACTGTCACCTCAACCTGTTCCAGGTAAACCTCCGGTGGCCTCATTTGCTCAATATTTACCATAACCAGACAGGAGGGTCCATTGTGCACATGAGAACACTGAGGCAGGTGAAATTTTAAATGCCCTGCCTGTTCTTACATATCTAGCCATGGGCACAGCCCCCCATGTGTACCCAGTAAGCCTGGCTTCAAAGCTTGGGCTGGTGGAGGACATAAGGTGAAGTTACCTCAATCACAGCAGGAGACTTTTACCTCACATCTGAAAGAATACAGATTGTATCCAAGCACAAGTTGAACTTTTAATGCCTAAATTAGGTCCCAGGATACAAATAAAGTCTCAAAAATTACCCAATTGTTGAAAATACATATAATGTGTTTTCAGTGCTCTCAGTGAATTTTCTTTTGAAAGATGATGGATCCCAAAATCTTATATAGAGATACATTTTGAAAAGATACACATATCTAGAATAAATTTAAAGTAGCTTTCAAAATAAAATTATAGCCTTAGATATAATAGAAAAAGATAGAAAATCAAACAAATTTTTTATCACAAGATGACAAGGGGAGATACTCCCCAAACTAGAAACAAATTGATAAAAGCAGGTTAATAAAGTGGAGAATGATTTGAAATATAGAGACTAATTCGTACCCCAGAATTTGTAATTTAGAAAGTAAAATACAACAGATAAATATATGGCAAGATCCAAAGAGAAAAAAAAGATTGAAATTTCAACAAAATAATATTGAATGAGAGTAGATCTTGTAATTTGTAATTACAGATACAATTTTAAAAATTATAAAATAGTATTGTGAATAATTATGATTAAAGAAGTCTGAAAACCTGTGCAAAATGAACTTTTTCTAGAGAACCTAAATTACCAAAGTATTTTTAAAAGATGTACAATTTTGACAGGAATACAGACATTAAAGAAATTAAATTGGTTTTTAAAAGATTAATAGGTTGATTTTTTTAAGAAATTCAGTGTGAAAAGACAAAATAATGTGTTTGCATTTTCGATAGAGGAGTGAAGAAATAAATACCTTCAGACCAAATAGATATTATCTGAAACATGAAGGAATGTCTTAGTATTACAAAATCTATTCATATAATTTATCACATAAACTGATTAAAGAGAGTAAATAAAAGTGATCTTCAGAGATTCAGAAAAGGATTTTATAATATTCAGTACCTCTGTAAGATTTAGTTTTTAGCTGTTTGTAGATAGATTACTTATTTAACCCGATTAGTATTATCAAACAGTTGCAGAAAATGTCTCACTTAACAGGAGGCATTAGAACATTCATTAAAAGTCAGAGACACAGAAAAGATGCCACAGTTGACATTGACCTAGAGATCCTATCCAAAACAATAAGACTAAAAATAAGGTAAAAGATGTAAGAATTAGAAAGAAGAAATAAAGTTGTCAAGAATAGTGTAAGTATTCCTATAGTATATCCAACTATTATCTGCAGAATAATATTACACATACAATTTTAGAACTAATATTGGCATTTTTAAGATCAATATACACATATCAATAGTGAGCTAATGTAATATAAATAAAAACATAGAAAATTTAATTTTAAAATAATGGCTTTCCAGTGCCCAGTGCCCAGATCTTGATTTCTAATACCATTCTTCAAGAAAAGAAATGAGTGATTCTTGGAAAAATGAACAAAATTAGCCTGGAATAACTTTTAATGCCAGAAAATAAAAGTGTTTAAAACACAAAACCATGGAGACATCTCAGTGGGATACAGGAGCAACGTAAATTGACTTTCACTAGCCAAAGCTGCAACAGTTTCAGCAACTAACTAAATAACATGATATTATATCATCACTCATAATATAAAATAAACATGCCCTTAGTGATATAAATAATTGATTGAATAAATAAATATAAACATATGGAGAAAGAGACAAATCTCCCATAAGGAAGAATTACAAATAGTTCTTGTAGTTATTCTCTCTACTTCAAGAATAGAAGCTTAATTTCCCATTCCTTGAGTATGGGATGTGCTTAGTGATTGGTTTCCAAAGAGTAGAGTATTGAAAGTGGTGAAAAATAGCTTTACAGTGAAGAGACTTCACATATATTACCTCAGAAATGTGATTAAGACTAACTTCACTAGTGATAAATATTGTTGATAGCATGATAAATCATGATAGTTGATAAATTATGAGAATAGCACTTTACCTCTGCAGCCTCCTCTTACAAAACCCATAACCTCAGCGTAATCATGAGAAAAGTGTAAGAGAGAGATCAATCGGCATAAGATTGAGATCAACTGAGGGACATTCTAAAATATAACTGACCATTTTTTTCTCAAAACTGTCATCAAAACAAAGTCTGAGGAACTGTCACAGATTACAGGATGTTAAGCAGATATGAGGATATGTAATGTGGTATCTAGGATGGTATTGGGGATGGGGACTGAAAAAGGACATTAGCAAAAAAAAAAAAATCTTGTGAAATCAGCACAAACTGTGGAGTTTAGTTAATAGTAGCATAGCAATACTGGTTTCTCACTTGTGACAAATGTAATATCGTTTTGTGAAAAGATATCAAAAGGGGAAATTAGATAAGAGTTATACTGGAACTCTTGGTATGACGTTTTCAACAATTTTTTTTTGTAAATCCAAAACTATTCTAATATAAAACACTTAGTTAGATATACTGTTAAATGGAAAATTTCTCATAACCAGAAAATCTTTATACCTAAGACTAAATCTAACACAATAGGTAGAGCTATTATACAAAAATAGTTTAGTTTTGTCCTTTCTTTCAGAGAAAGCTAAAGACAACTGTAGCAAGATATTAACAACTTCTATTTTCTAGGAACAGATATAGCCAGTCACAACAGGAACAAGTACTGCATGATTCTATTTGTATGAACGATTTAAAATAGAAGCAGAGAGAATGGTGGTTGCCAGGATTTAGGGAAAGGGGAAATGGGGAATTGCTATTCAATGGGTATGAAGTTTCAGTTATGCAAGGTGATTTCTATAGCCAAGATGCAGAAACAGCTTAAATGTCAGTAGATGGTTAAGTAGATAAAGGAAATGTGGTACATACATGCAATGAATACTATTCAAAATTGGAAAAGAAAGAAATCCGGCCGTATGCAACAACAGTGATCAAACTGGATGACATTATGCTGGATGTTATAGGCCAGAGAAGGAGAAATACTGCGTGATTCCACTTATATGAGTTTTCTATAATAGTTAAACTCATGGAAGCAGAGAATAGAATGGTGCTTGCAAGGGGCTGGGGAAAAAAGGAAATGAAAAGTTGTTATTCAGGTGTATATTTTCAGTTATACAAGATGATTAAGTTCTAGAGATCTGCTATACAGTATTGTGCCTATAGTTAACAGTACTATTTGTTCCCTTAAATTTGTCAAGAGAGTATATCTCATGTTAAGGCTTCTTATCACAAAACAGAACAAACAAACAAGAAGGTGTGCAAGGAAACTTTTGGAGGTGATGGATATGTTTATTATCTTCATTGTGGTAATAGTTACACGGGTATGGTGCATATGTCCCAAATCACTAAATTATATTAATTAAACATGTATAGTTCTTTTGTATATCAAAAATACTTATAAAAACCTGATAATAGAAAAAGAGGGAGGATATCATATTAACTGTTCCTAGTAGAATTTACAAAGTACATTTTAAAAATTAAGTTAAAACATTCCTCCTAAATTTGAAAATGCAGAAATCTGAAATTTGTACTACTTAAACTCTCACTGATGGGTGAAGCATACAGAGAGAAAAAAAAGGCAAGAAAGAAGAAAAGAGTGAATGTATGACTTTTAAAATGTATTACAAAAATTTTGGACTAAGATTCAGAAAAAAGTAGGAAATATGAAAGGTAGAAAGCTTAGAAGACTAGAAGAAATTTAGAAAACTGACTGATAGACTAGTAGGATTGTTCAATAATTTCTGGAGGAGGTTCTTCTGGAAACTGAAATTCACAGAGAAAAAAAAATTAGTAACTTTTTCCCATTTCACAAAAAGAGATGAGAGAGTTTTTCACTTTAAGATGACTTTTGGAACTTAAAATTTATGGCAATGAGATCAAGTAGTGGTACAACCACAGAATATTTGATACTGCATTTGTAAACTAGGTATAGATAAATCTTTGAGACCAGATGGTCTCTAGTCAAGAATTTTGAAGGCAATTAAGGCTGGCATTAAACTTTTACCAATAAATTTATACAGCTTTTGAAAGTAATCGCTCTGCTGGAACCATTCTGGCTTGAGGAGTGGGTTGACACTCATACAAAAATAAAGTCTCACTGTAAAGTCTAGAATTACCATCTAGTTCCATATTAGAAGAGATGATGAAAATCTATGCAAATATATTGATATCACTCACATTCTAATAAATACTTTTGAGAAGAGAAAGTGTTTATTTATTTGTCTGTGAAAACAATATCTGTCTACAGTGAAAACCACAGGGAAATGGGTACTGTGTGTTAGAACCTGGGATATCATTTTTTAACATCTTTGTGAAATATGGAGAGAAATCCACTGCCTAATTTTATTGCATTTTCTGCAAGTCAGTTTACTCTTCTGCTTTCAATATATTTATTTCCATTTACTCTTAAATTCTTTCTTAGTTCCTCAGTCTCAAATTACATCCCATGCTTGTTCACTTTTAATTTCAGTCTTTTATTTTCTACAGCTATTTCCTCCCATATCACATCTTCGCATCTTCCTATACTCTTGACTGTGCCAAGCTTCCTGAAATTTTTTATTTTTATGCAGCAGTAGAAATGGTAGACAGGCAGGTTGCAGATATAAGCTTGCCCTCTAGCTTCAGATCTTAGCCAGTGGAAAAGTGAAGGTCAAAATCTCCCTGTCCAGTCTCTCATTTCCAGCAAGGCTTTGTCTTGTTTGACTCTGTTAACTTAGCAAGCTCATTTTCATTTTCCACTATATGATTTTCTGGCACTGTCAACTGAAGGGCATAAGAAAAAAATATAGGCTTTTCATTAGGTGTTAACCTGAGCTGTTTCCACTCTTGCCTAGACTTTTCTAGCTCTGTGTTAATAGGAATGTATCTCCGCAAGAAACCCCCTGATTTCTACTGTCACATTCTCACCTTACTTCCTGGCTATTTTCTGAGTTTTATATCTAAGTATAGCTTTAAAAATGAAGGAGGGTTAGAAAAGTGATGGAATCCAAATAAGATCTGTGATATTGTTGATAGCATATGGTGCCTTTGTCAAATTCCTATTTTTGATATCCCATGTTTATATCAGATGTTTTCATTAGGGGATGCCGGGTGTAGGGTTCCAAAAAACTTTCTATGCTAACTTTACAATTTCTAATAAGTCTGATTGTTTTTCAAAATAAAAAGGTAAAAAAATGAAGGTGGAGAAGACCTTAAAATGTAGCACCAGTTTTATAGAAGGACAGCTGCCCCATTCTATGTTTTGTACTAGCTTTGGATTTCTGAGTCTGGAGGCAAACGGCAATTTAAGACAAATGGTTTTTTTCAGTATTGTTTTTGCAAGTGAACTTTATTTCAGAAAACATATTTAAGTTTTCTAAGATGTAACAACTAAATATATTATTTACTTCTTTCACAATCTGTTTATTACCCATTTAGTTTATAAAAAGTCTTCAAAAATCCCTATTACAAGTTGCCTATCAATTGAAATTCTAGATATTTTAAGTTACTCTTCATCTTTTAAAAAAATCTTCCTAGTTTTTGTTTTTGAGTTTATATATATAGTATATATATGTGTGTGCGTATATATATATATATATATATTTTTTTTTTAATTGTTGGTTTGCTTTTGAGGAGTGGGAAGTGTTGCATCAGAGTTTATAAGCAGATGCCATTTTAAGCCCAGAGTATCCTAAATCTGGTGATATTCCTTATGACCCTTTTTAGTAAGCCTTTTTTTTTTATTCAGAAGTCATTAAGTTTGTTTCTGTGAGCAAGTAAATTGTGTCTGACCAGCTGTTCTATTACACTCATTTCCAGAAAGAATTGAATTTTCTTCTGAACTCTGAACTCACAATGCTAAACTTGGCAAAATGTGTTTTCTCATCCCTACCCCAAAAGACCAAACACACACAGTTATTTAATATGATGTGATTTTGAGTCTTGGCTTAAAATGAAATAGAGGCTTATAGCAACTACAACAGTATATTTTCCATGAAGGTCCATTTGTATGTCTTATAGAGTGAAGAAAACACCATTAATGCTGAAGTATTATTTGCAATTTATTCTTTATTGGATCAATTGTAATGTAAGTGGAAAATTTTTTACCAGACCACAATGCCTAGTACCCTTCCAGCAGTCTGTAATGAAATGACTACAGGTGATTTATGATTTATTAGTAAGGGCATTCCAAAATCAGCATTATTCTTGAAATGTGCTATGAGGTTCACTGTGTCCATTAAAAATTAAATAGGATTCTTAAAGTCTGGTAGTGTGCTTCCCACCTAGCAAAATGTATAACAGATAGAGAACATTCAGTCAACTTACCAAAAAATTGTTAATAATATAAATAAATGAAAGGCAACCTATGGATGAGCAATTTTCTATGGCACATGTGTATGTCTCTGGACAGTTTTGTCCTACATTATCTTTTCAAGGATGTTTATATAACAAAATGCCTTGGAAGGTAGAGATTAATTCTCCCTCTAAGACAGATGGCAGGTTTGTTCCTAACCAGAATAACAAAACTAATGTCTTCCTCCTGCACAAAGTTAGACAAGTTTGCCAGCAGCCTATTGTCATATTTTTTTAAAGCTTTAGTGTCTCCTTAGCTGTAACACAAATCTACTGTGTGCACAGTACCACATGCACCATTTGCATCACTGCTGTGGGACTTGAGGGGCATGGAGAACCAATGCAAACATAAACTTCATGTGTCTTGTTTCATGGGAATGAAGTCCTCTGTTTCTTACCCATAAATTTTGTGTCTTCTGCCAGTAAGTATGAAACTCTAGCACACTAGCTTGTTAGCCTTCAAGTACAGTGAAATCTCCTTCCCTTCAAAGGTTCTTGACATGACCATTTACCGTGGAGCACATTTTGACTGTGTGAGTAGCTGGGGAGAATGTGGGGCCAAGGAAGGTCATTAGGATTAAGGAGATGAAGTTAAGAGGGAGGAGCCAATAGAAAAAAAAGTTGAAGATTTGTAAAGGAAATAAGGTTAATTAGTGTAGTCAGGACTTAGAGCAGAAAGGAGGACCCCCCAAAAACCGGAGTAAAGCATGGCTTAGAGCAAGAAGAAGGTCACTTCATTCTATGTCATTGATGAAAAGAGAGAAAGGATGGTTGTGGCAGTAAAAGTGTAATAGATAAAGAGGTGGAATATTGAGGTAAATCAAGCCTGATAGCCACAAGTGTCTAGGTTGTCATGCTATCTGCTTAAAGAAGTGGGGTAGAAATTTGGTACAGAGAAAATTTGAGGAAAGGGGACAGTTCTGAAATTTTGAGGAAGGGAATGGTAAAAGTAGCTGACAAAAGACAGATAACAGAATTGGCAGGTGGTGCTGAAGGCCTAGCTGAATTCCGAGAGTATCAGTCTGTAGAGTTTTTAATACAAATGGTTCTATGATGGTCTTTGGCAGAATTAAGTTGCTCTGAAATAAGAGAGAAGGTCAATTTTAGAATTTTACTTTCCTGATATGTAGTAAGAATAATATTCGTTATTGAGTATCTTGAGATAAACCTGAAAGTCACCTGTCTGTCTCACATCTTAACTAATGGTACATTCACATATGTAAGTTGACCATTGAAATAATGGATGAATAACATTCCCTTATAGAGGGACTCACCTTTGATTTGCAAGAGTTGAGTTCGACATACATTTTCTGACATTTTTCTACTGCTTGATGTGGTCCTCCCCAACCAACTAATTGTATTACAGATTAAATCCACCTTCATTTGAAATCACATATTAATGAGGGGCCTATGGCATGAAACTAGTGTTAATTTGTATGGATGCCTCAGTTCCTTTTATCATTGAAAACTAGCCAGACCATGTCACTAAAGAGCTGTGACTGATGGAAACTTCAAAGAGGCACTCGGCGAATGCATGTCAGAGAAATTCTTAATAATAATAAATCCTCTGACACGACAAGAGCACTTAAGTCTGATGGTGACAGTTTAGTTTATAGAAATAAAGCCAATGTTCTCTGCTCCATTTTCAGGGTCTGAATGGTTTTAATCATGCTGTTTGGCAGATAGCTACATCAATCCATCTCATCATATCTAAATTCTGCCATCTTTGGCTAGTCATCCACAGACATATTTCTAAACTTCAAAAACAAATCAAACCTCATTTTTTTTTCATTTTTGCTCAGCAGCCATATAAATATTCTCTCATTTACAGTTTGAAAATGAGTGAAGCCACTGAGAAATGAAACAATGCTCTATTTTCCTCAAATTAGAAGCATTGAGATTACTATCAAATCAACTTTCTGCAAAGGTTTATGTTTTAGAAAGCATTGCTAGGGGACAGTAGTTATTATGCTGAAACTTGGTAAGTTAGTGGGCTCTCTATTTTCTACTCCTTTCATGACTTCATCAAGCCAAGATTAACTTCTTTTTTTGATTCTTTCCAGGCATGAGTTTGAATTAGCCTTAGGGGAGTCCATCTCTCTGGAAATGCCAGGTTGTAAGTAACTGGGCCTAATATCTGACCCACTGTCTTCTGTGAGTTTCTCAACTCCAGTCTTCTCAACTTCAACACAAGCAACAACCTTGCTTGTGTTTGTCAGAAAAGTTTGGGTTTTCCCCGAGTCAGACTTTTCCAGGAATCCCCTGCATTATGCACACTGGCCTACATTAATATCAATTTTTAAATAAAATAAATCATATTGTGCATGTTTAAGGTATACAACATGAAGATTAAGATATTTAGAGAGAGTCATGCATCATAACAACTTTTCAGTCAATGATGAACTGCATATACAATGGTGGTACCATAAGATTATAATACTGTATTTTCACTGTACCTTTTCTATGTTTAGATATACAAATACTTTCCATTGTGTTACAATTGCCTACAGTATTTGTTACTATTGCCTACAGTATTCAGTATAGTAAGAGGCTGTAAAGATTTCTAGCCTAGGAGTAATAGGTATACCATATAGCCTAGGTGGGTAGTAGGCTCTACCATTTAGGTTTGTGAAAATACAATCTATGATATTTACAGAAAGATGAAATTGCCTAACGATGCATTTTTGAGAACATATATCTGTAGTTAAGCACCCATAACTGTATAGTAAAATGGCTTCTATAGTGGAACAAATTAACATATCTATTATCTCACATAATTATCTACTCACCACCCCAGCAGCTATCATCTACTTATTTAGCGAAAATCCCGAATGCAATAAACTATTGTCCACTTTCGTCTTCATGTTGTAGATTATATTTTTTGCCTTATTTATCCTACATATTTGCTACTTTGTATTCTTTGACCTACATCTCCCCATTTTCTCCACTCCACCCAGACACTGGTAACAACTGTTTTATTCTTATTTGACAGTTTTTTTTTTAAGATCCCATGGGCTACAAAAGCAAAAATAAATAAATGGGACTATATCAAACTAACAATTTTCTGTACAGCAAAAAACAATTGACAAAATGAAAACGCAACCTACAGATTGGGAAAATATATAATTGGAAATAGTGAGAAAACACAAAACCATATTAAAAGAATGAAGTAAGAATTTGGATATGCATTTTTCCAAAGATAATGTAAAAATGGCCAACAGGTACATAAAAAGGTGGTCAACATCACTATTTTTCAGGGTAATGCAAATCAAAACCACTAGGAGATATTACCTCATACCTGTTTGAATCGCCATTATCAAAAAGATAAGAGATAATGTGTTGGTGAGGGTGTGGAGAAAAGAGAATATTTGTTCACTGTTAGTGGGAATATAGATTGGTGAAGCCATTATCAAAAATAGTATGGAGGTTCCTAAAGAAATTAAAATTAGAAATACCATGCGATCTAGCAATTCTTCCCCTGCATATATCGCCAAAGGAAACAAAATCACCACCTCATAAAGATAGCTATACTCCTACATTCACTTCAGCATTATTCACTACAGCCGATACGTGGATATCTTCCTAATCTCTATTCCTTTCCTTTCGTTTGGACCACAATGGAGTAAGACTGTAACTAACCAAGAGCCATTCCTTATTAATTTCTTTATTTTCAGATTCCAGCATAAACTTGTACCTTACAAATATTATAACATAATGCAAAATAATGTTTTCAATTTATGTAAGCCATATAGATTTGAATCCATGCTCTACGACTAATCTTAATCTCACTGAACCCAAAGATTCCTCATCTGTAAATAGGAATATTGAACTATCCCTCATGATTTATTATGAGGATTAAATGAAGGCTAATCAAGCTAGCTTTTGTTTTCTAAAAAGGCGGCTTATGTTTGAGGATTCAGGAGTACCTCATGGTACCTCAAAGACAAGGGAAAAGAAAGAACTAAAACCAAACTGGATGCCCCTCTAATAATGGGCTATGTCACATATGTTTTCTTCTTTATCCCTTGAATCCAGTTCCTCTGCCTCTCCAAACCACAATGTAGAAATCATAGTTGAGTCACCTATACAGAAAATGATTTTTCTTTTCCAAATTCCTTGATAAAAGGTGGGTTCTTCTAGCTAGGGCACCTGCCCACACCTGTTCCTGGATGAGAGAGGAAAATAATCCTGCAGGAACACAACAGAAAGCTGGTTTTCCTAAGCCACCACCAAGAGCATACAGATTAGAAGGCAAATCTAGGTTTAAGGCAGAAGAAAGCAATATTTTTCCACTACAGAGTTTATGTATTAAAACACAGATTATAGAACAACAATGTCCAATGGAGCTTTATAACGATGAAAAAAGGCACCTAAAATGTAGCTAATGCAAACAGATAAAAAGTATTTGATTTTAATTAATTTACATTTAAGTAGCCATATGTGACTAGTAACTACTGTGTTGAACAGTGCAGCTACAGAATCTTGTAATCAACAAATGGAATTTGTTAATATGAGGTAATCTCTAATTGTTTAATGAGTCTATAAATGATTGAATGGATGAGCCTCTCTCAATCCAGACCTTGAAGGCCACAAAGCAAATTGACCTACCTACCGTCTCTTATCATTCAGAAATGGAAACAATCAATTCTGTTATTTTTACTTTTTCTGTAATTTCCTCTGTTCTTTAGATACCTGGAAACAGAAATATCCTTGGAATGCTCAGAAAGAGTAGAGCTAGAAGAAGGCTGACTGAAACACAGTTTCCAAGAGTAAAGGGAATTGTCAGAAGTTCAGAAGTTGGAGCAAAAAAGGGTGAAAACAGCAGATGGAATAATAGTAATTACCTATTCCACAGTTTCACCTGAGATATGCTTTGTACACAAGTACTCTGGTCAAGGACTTAAATTCTAAACAAGTTGTTAATAATTCAAGTAGAAAATTAGATATTTATAATTAATCATTTTAGATAATAGCTGGTGTTGTAATCATGAAAAAAAATTGACAGCCTCCTGCTTTCATGTAGCTTATTATCTAGTAAGTGACATTAAAAAAATCAAATAATGACACCAATATGTGTGAGTGCCATGGAAACCTATTTGGGGGCAGGAGGGGCATTCACAGAGGTTAGGAGGATAGGAAAACTTCTTAGCTAATAACTGCAAAAGGAGCACAAGATAATTAGGTGACGAAGGCAAGGAAGGTCATTCCAAGCCGAGAAATCAATACATTCAGGCTCTAATGGTGATGGAGGACATAGAGAATATGAGAGATTGACAAATAGCCAGTATGCATTAAATGGAAAGGGAATTATGTGGCAGGGATGGAGAAAGAAGAGAATGGAAAGGTAATCCCAAATTAATAAGTTTATCTTCAGAAGGAGTTCATTAATGAAGGAGAGTAGAAAGACGTATTTGTGATTTTTAAAAAGTGACTTTGGAGTTTGGACAGACAGATGGGGGGCTAAACGACCAACACAGTATCTGAGACAGAGACAGTGATAACTTGACCCAGGATGTTGTGAAGATAGAGATTAATTAATGCATACGAATGATGTTTAATAAATATAGTTCTTGAGACTAGAGAGTCTATTGAATATTGTAAATGTGTGAGGTAAACAAATGATCACTTTTCTGTGTCTAACTGCATGGATGGTGGTATTTTTTACTCAGATAAGGGTCACTGGAAGTGATCAAGTTTTAGGGGCAGTAAGAGGGATTATGGATTTATTTTTGATGAGTGTGGCTTTTGAGACATCCAAGTGAGATATAAGAAAGTTAATATAATTGGTTAAAGCTTTTAGGAGTAGTCTGGGCTGGAGACATAAATCTGTGAGTCATTTGCTTACAGAGACAAGCAAAGCTTGGGGTAGAAACAAGAATACCCAGGGAAATAATACAAAGTAAGGAAAGGAGGCCACTTAGGAATAAGCCTTGAAGTATTTGAGTAGTGAGTGATTAGGTAAAAAGTACCATTACTGCAAAGACAGAAGGAATAACTAGAGAAAAATAGGGACAAAAACGTGTCTTGGAAGTCAAGGTAAAAAGAGTGGTCAATCGGGTTAAGTTCAACTAGGAAATTAAGTGGAGTATTGTCAAATGACCATTAGATCTGTTAATACTGTTGTCAGGGAGGGCAGCAGAAGAGGCCAGATTGGATTGGGTGAATGTTTGAGGGGTAGGTAGAGCAATAGAGGTAGAAATTATTAATGATTCTTCTAATAAAGTTGTCTATGACTAGGAGATTCATTATATTCATTGATGTTTATATGCTAGACTTAACTTTCAAAGAAATACATCAATCTGGCATATTTTATTTCCCTTATATCTATCAAGTGTCTATAATTACTATTCTACCAAGAAGTAGAAATTAATTATTTAGATTTTATATATATATAATGTAGGAAAAATAAATATTATTATATATATATAATATAGGAAAAATAAATATTAAAAATTTCACAATCCCAACATTCTAAAACATTGCTTGTATTTTGGCTTCTCCTAGTCTTAAGTATACACATTTCCATCAAATAGGTTTACGCTACTTTAAAGATATAATTCTAGTTTAAGCTTTTTTCACTAACATACCCAATGTTTATCCTACTGTAGTAAAATTTTCTGATATATATTTAATGGCATCATAGTATTCCATCAAGTTTATTAAACCAAAATGTTATAAAAGATGCATAACCATTAACTGCATGTATAAAATATATTTTATTTGCATATATTAACAGGTAATATTTGTATTTATATATTGATAAAGTAACTTTAGTAAATTCTTCTTGATTCTCTTCTCTCCTACATACGTGGAGTTCTTACAAATTATTTTAGAGAGATGTCCAAACTTAGATTATTTACCTTTATTAAAAAAATCTATGCCAAAAGAAAACCATAAGAGCTTTTCACGTTGCTTGATTACTGAATGACTCTTTAGTATATTCATAGTTATTTTATGTAATTAAAAAATGTAAGTGTTTCACAGAGCTGGAACACAGGCTTAGAAGGATGTAGTTAAGCATTATATTCTGGAAATAGAGCTAAACTTTGTGATATATGGAACATAACTAGGTGATGAAACTTTGTTCATTGACTGCAGCATTTCTCTGAGAACGTTAGTATTCAGTAAACATGTTCTGGGTAAATGTTGTTCCACTTAAGGCTATTTTTATGTGTAAGAGTCAGAATATAGATCTGGATTTTACCTGTGAAAAGAGAAGATGTTACTCTTTTATTATTTTTTCCTTTAAAGATTATTAGTTCTTATATCTCATTAGTGTTCAACTTCTACCCTGAAGATAGAAAATTTAGTATGTAGAGGTTTGGGCACTGAAAGAGTTGATGGAATCTATAAAAGTGGAATCCTTCTCACTGGTAGGATCAATGTTTGTTTTGGAAGTTTTATTTAAATAAACGTTATTTATCTGATAAGAGGTAGGATTATGTAATTATTGGGGATTTGTTCTACTCTGGTGAATCTAAAAGCAGTGTTTTTCCCACACAAAAATTACTATAACAATGATAATAACAAAAATAATAGAGAGGGTTCGGCTTATGATTGTGATTCTATGATCTCTAGACTCATTTTATATGCCCCCTTACTATTAAGATAGTATTTATCGGAATGGATTTCGTTAGACTGCTGTCTTCCTTCTGGGGGTAGAAGCTGCATTACAGACTATTGACTCACAGAGGGTGAGGCAAACTGACAGGAGATGGAGGGTATAGCAAAAGGAGGGAGTGAAAGGGCACTATGGGAATTATAGAGGATGCAATAGGAATTCAACCAGCACCCTAAATTCAGGGAGAGGTGTATCCAATT
This sequence comes from Homo sapiens, assembly GCF_000001405.40. Classification (NCBI taxonomy): domain Eukaryota; kingdom Metazoa; phylum Chordata; class Mammalia; order Primates; family Hominidae; genus Homo; species Homo sapiens. The sequence continues at coordinate 77,364,517 of NC_000002.12, read as the reverse complement.
TTCATTATGGCTGCTAGGCTGTTAGAGAGTTGTCCCTTTAAAATATGTCCGGCAATAGGTTTTGCCTGTAAGTGAGCATTTAGTCCTCTGCTGGTAACACATCCTTTCTTGTTTGACTTGAGTCCACAATTTCCTGTAGTTCTCTAAGTCCTTTAAAATTGAATCAACGTTGTAGCTTTCTCCAAATACAGCCCTTATATACAGCATTTATTTTGAAGACTCAATTTTTAGAGGAATTTTAAACAAATGTGTACAGAGGAGCAGAAGGTAAACATTCATGTGCTCAGAAGCCACTTGTCCTGCTATGATGTGGCAGGTGTGCTGATGTTGAATGCAAATATTCATACAAACACAGAGGGATAAACAAGAACTTGTTTTTTTTTTTTTTGTAGTCATCCATGGCATTCTCTGCTTCTAAATATATGGTTGAGAAGAGAGCCTTTTTCAATGAAAATTTCCCTTTTGGGATTCAAATTTAGGTGTGTTGAGAGGGAACACATGCAGCTCATTTATCTTCAGTAATTTCGTAACTGTGGTAAATGTGTCAATCATATGGGGAATTATACATCACTTGTAATTGAAGCTTTCCATTATGCCAAAAAGTACTTCAGTTCAATTAGTTTAAAGATTTTTCTTTTCATTTTTGAATTCAGAGAGTTATATAATATGTTTTGTTAAAATTCCAAAGCACTCCTCCTAATACCTACTTGAAAAGGAGGAGATAAATATTATATACATAATCTGTGTTTAGTTAGAGCTGTGGTCTTCACATAGGGAATCAATTATTTAAGGTAAATTCTCCCCTTTTTATCAAGGACTTCATGATAATGAGAAAGCATTTTGAAGCGCACATTCATTAGTCATTTACTATTTATTTCACAATTCTGAATCAGAATAGAATTTCGGATTGGATGCAAAGCTCAGTAAACCATACCAGGATGACAGGACACAGAATACATGCAATTATGCGTGGCCCTGATTCCTTAAAGGACATAAGGGAAATTACCACCACTGCCTCTGTTCAGTGAGATGACAGGAATAATACTTGGCTTTGTTAGTTTCCATCTCATTGTTGTCATTAGGGACAACGCTGGAGTCTGTCAGTTCAAGGCGAGATGCTATATTCTTGGGAGTATATTTTTCTTTTCCTTCTGCTTTCTTGACTACAGTTTTATTATTGTTTTCCTTACCTCCTATTCCTTTTTTTCTTTTTAATATTCAATTCCAAGGACTGAAAATATTTATATAGCCAATGACAACTACATATTATAAAATGTGGAGCCATTGTGTAAGTTTTAAATGATAAGCCACGGTAAAATTTACTGTGAATTTTAATTATGGAGATAGTATAAATTCTAAAGGGACAAATAACACTGTAGTTAAGAATATGGATTCACGAAGTAAACTTCCTGGCTTCCAATCCTCACCTTTGTTGCTTAACCCTTACTGATCTTAGACCAGCTATTTAACCTTTTTCTTTTTGCCTCAATGTTCTCATCAGAAAAATGGTGGACAGTAATACTACCCATATGGATGTTTATAAAGAGTCATGGTTAAATACATAAAATCAAACATTAAAAATTAAATTAAATTTATGTTTTCTTTTCAAATTAAGAAACGGGCTAATATTGACTCGGTCAGCTTGAGTTCTTTACAGATGACTGTTTCAGTACTCTCAATCCTACAGGCATGTTTTTTCTTGCCTAAGAAATCTGTAAATCAGATACTTAAAAAAGGACTCAGTTATTTGATTTTTACGAACAAAAAGTAAAAGAAAGGAAGGAGTAGCCACAGTCTTATGGCCCTGATGAAAGGACAGAGCCAGTTAGACTATCCTCATCACTGGTCAGATTTTACTTCCCATTAGATGGGCTTCTCTGGGACAAAAGACGAATCGGACCAGTCCCCAGATTACTGTTCATGGGGCGGAAGGAGGCATAGGATCAGTTTTAGGATGATATCTGAACAGATTGGGGTAACACGGACCACAGCACCAGCTTGTGATCATAGTTTAACCTTTTCTAATATTCTGTTTTTAGCTTTTGTCTTTCAAACCAACTAGTTTCTCCTTCAAAGGTGTTGGATTGATTTCTGACTGGTTTATTTTCTCTCAGACAGAATGAAATATATCTCGTTCTATATACTTAGAACTATGTACTTTATCTTACTTAGGCACACCAGTCTCATATACTAGAACTTCTTCTGTCCAAGAAATAATGAACATAAGTGAGAGGTGAAATGTGTTTGTTAAGACTATGGACTCCGGAGCCAGTCTGCCTCGGAATTAAATCTGAGATAAGCCTCTTTCACCTCTTTCAGGACATTAAGAACTCTTCCTTCCTTCCTTTCTTTCTTTCTTTCTTTCTTTCTTTCTTTCTTTCTTTCTTTCTTTCTTTCTTTCTCTCTTTCTTTCTTTCCTTTTCCTTTTTTGAGACTGAGTCTAGCTCTGTCACAAGGCTGGAGTGCAGTGGTGTGATGTTGGTTCACTGCAGCTTCCACCTCCTGGAGCCAAGTGATTCTCCTGCCTCAGCCTCCTGACTGAATAGTTGGGACTACAGGCATGTGCCACCATGCCCAGCCAATTTTTGTATTTTTAGTAGAGATGGGGTTTCACCATGTTGGCTAGGCTTGGTCTTGAACTCCTGGCCTCTAGTGAAAGAATTCTTTCTGAATCTCAGATTTGTCACCTGTAAAATGTCAATGGTTGTACTGATAGAAAGGGAGAAAGAAAGATAGAGTTAAGAAGTATTAAAAAGGTAAAATATCTGATGTTAAAGTGGAATGATCCTAAGGGGGCATCCAGACTTCAACCTACATCACCAAGCCTATATTTTGCCATTTTTGTCTATTTGTATTTATTTTTATAGCTAGTTTATACCAGGCATAGTTATTTCACGGGGAAGATAAAGGACATGTTTTTTAGACAATTCTTTCAATTAGCTAAGCTGTGAAGAGGATATGTGGGACCACAGTTAGCAGAGAACGTAGATGTGAGGGAACAGTTTTTTTAAGGATGAGATTTGAGCATTATAATTTGTCTAAGAGATTAAGCCAAAACAGACAGGAAAAAGGATGAAGCGAATGAAGACGATCAAAATAGCACAATGTCTTAGAAAGCAACAGGAAGGAAAAGTTTTAAAAAGGGGTAGAGTTTAGCTTGGGGAGGAAGTTTCTTTAACCTAAATGAGAAGGAAGAATGGAATAATGCACAGAGTTTGTTTTCTTTTACCAGTGGCAAAAGGAGGAAATTTTAAAAAGTTACTACCCAATTTTTTTTTTTTTTAATGAAGGAGGAGAGATCATGTGCTAAGAGAAGTGAGTGGGTGAAACACATGAGAATTGAGAAAAGAAATCAATATTTAGAAGGGTTACTGAAGGAGCTGATAAAGAACCAACTAGGGACATATTGAGGAGGATCTGGCATAGCTTAGAATCCAGATAAAATTGGTAATTTTATGAGGCTGTAATAAGATGGTGAGTTTTTTTAATGTATTCAGTCAGCTGTCCAAGACCAGAAACAGAGAGGCACAGTGGTTTGATTCATCCTAGTCTGGGATAAATGGTGGGTATGTAAACAAGAAAGTTAAGCTCAGTAATAATGATAACAATGGCAGCCTATGTGATAGTTTCTGAATTAAATATTGAGGGAAAATAATGGATTGGGGAGAAAATTACAAAGTAAAAACAGGTAATAGAATAAGAGTATCCTGGAGAGATCAATAGTGACTATTAAAAATTAACCTTCCTGATTTATTTGTTGAATTTCATTCAATTCCATTTAGTTACATTGTAATGCCTTGAAATATTGGAAAGTCTTAATCTCAAGATCTCACTTCTGCTCTGCTGCTCTCTACTAAGGAGACGTTTAGGGAAGTCAAATTACTTTTGTGGGCTAGTTCATTATCCACAAATTACAAGCACTATGTATGTATGTATGTATGTATGTATGTATGTATGTATGTATGTATGAATGATTGTATTGTATCGTATCGTATCGTATCGTATCGTATCGTATCGTATCGTATCGTATCGTATCGTATCATATCGTATTGTATTTTTTGAGATGGAGTCTCGCTCTGCCGCCCAGGCTACAGTGCAGTGGCCGTGATCTTGGCTCACTGCAAGCTCCGCCTCCTGGGTTCACGCCATTCTCCTGCCTCAGCCTCCCGAGTAGCTGAGACAACAGGCACCTGCCACCACGCACGGCTAATTTTTTGTATTTTTAGTAGATACGGGGTTTCACCGTGTTAGCCAGGATAGTCTCTGTCTCCTGACCTCGTGATTCGCCCACCTCGGCTTGCCGTAGTACTGGGATTACAGGCGTGAGCCACTGTTCCCGGCCTACAAGCACTATTTATTATTGGGTGGCATTCAACTCATATCAGCTGAATGAATGAATGTATACAATCATTACAGTTTAAGATAAAATTGGTATGAGTTATCATATACTTATCTAAAAAACATAAGATTTCTCTTGCTCAAATATATTAACAAATATACTTTTTTTAAAAAAAAGAATTCAGAGAAGACTTCATGTTCTATAATAGTAACTAGGTTAGCACTTGTAAAAATTTTGGTATCATTAATGTCTCCTTTAACTGTCTTAAATTTGTCATAATGTATCTCAAGTTAATTTATCCTGTTGAATAGAAGTGCAAAGGAACCTGTAAAGCAAATACTGTGTACCAGGCACTTTGTGTATCTTATCTGTGTCTCCCTTAATTCACAAAAACATTATCTGAGAGAAGTATGACTGTCCACATCTATTAGTTGAAAAGAAAAAATTAGGCTTAAGGCAATTGTGTATAGTGGCAGATCCAAGATTCAATCCTTGGCCAATGAAAAATGTGTGACTCAAAATCTCAGCTTTTCCTACTGTGCAACATTGCTGTTAGTTTGCAGAAGGACTGAAAAACCTTAATGATCATGTAATTTACAACACTATATTTCATAAAACCTAAGTGTACTATGCAGTAAAGAGCATCACATTTTTTATCAATTAGAAAAGGGCTTAGAATGATCAGGAGATGGAGGAGGGAAATTGTTAGGGCAACATAATTTCTTTTTAACTACAATAGTTAATATAATGTAGTATTGATGAAAAATAGAATGACAAACTCATAGAGGGACTGAAAATGTCTAAGAATTTTATATATGCCTTTTTACCTGAGAGAGGAAATGATTGATTATATAAAAATCTCATTTGAATAATTAGTTTGGGTTGGGGGGACATCTAGAAGACCTCTGCTTTAAAACACGCAACAAAATGAATTTCTCTTACTTAGACTAAAAGGTTATAAAGTCATAAAACAAGAACATAAAATAATTAGAAACAAAGGTGGATAGTTATCTGATGTTAGGTGTGAAAATCTACGACCAAGTCCAAACAGAAAATGATAAAATGTTCATACATTTATTATGTAAGACTTTAAAAACTTGGTGATTAAAAGCATCAAAAACAAAGATAGTAAACTAGGAAAATATTGTAATTAGATGAAAATAAAGGATTAATATAATTAAAATGTAAAATTCTTTCATCATTCAATAAGAAAAAGTTGTATTAGTTGAATTACCTAATAGGGGAAATAAACCAAGTTTCAAGAGAGATAATTTAAATAAAAGAGTATGTGTTGGCCAAGTCTTGGATCTGCCACCATACACAATTGCCCTAAGCCCTAATATAAAGTATGTACTAAATATTTGTACATCACTAGTAAGAAAATGCATTTTTAATTAAATTGGCAACAATTTCAAAGTTTTAAAATATCTGTTACCGAAGCCATAAGGTAATGGGGAATTTCATTCACTGTTGTTGGGATGATATATCAGAAATGTCTCTCATGAATGAAATTTGTTATTGTACATTCAGAGTTCATATTTTTTGACATAGTACTTCAACATCTAATAATTATCTTATTAAAAATATTCAAATATGTGGGAAAATTATGCGTTGAAGCGGCTATGGTTCAAATATTTGTCCCCTCCAAATCTCATGTTGAAACTTGATTCCCAGTGTCGGAGGTGGGGCCTAATGAGAGGTGTTTGGGCTGGATTCCTTATGAGTGGCTTGGTGCCATGCTCTTCGTGGTGAGTTCTCCCTCTTAAGAGACTTGGTTGGTTGCGGATGGCAGGAAGGAAGGAAGAGAATGGACTAGTTCCCGCAAGAGTGGATTGTTATAAAGCCAGGATGCCTCTTGGCTTTGCTCTCCTAGGAACATTTTGCCTTTCATCTTCTCCACCATGTTTTTACTCAGCAAAGAAGCCAGGCAGATGCTGGCACCATGCTTCTCATACCGTCTGCAGAACCACGAGCCAAGTAAACTTCTTTTCTTTATAAATTACCCAGGCTCAGATGTTCTTTCATATCAACACAAAACTAAGACAGAAATTTATACTATTAAAAATATAAACAAAACACTACAATGTTTTTCTTAATATGAAATCATCATGCTTTAGGAGAAAGGTTAAAGAAATGATTTAAGTATATATGAGATGAGGGAAACCCTGATTCTAAACCAGTATATATGGTTTATATTCTAATTTTGTCCAAAGTATATATATTTAAACACATTATTCATGAACATAGAAAAGTTCAGGGAGGAAATAAAATAATAAGAATCCCTCTGAGTGGGAAGTTATTTTTTCTATTATTTTTTACCCATCTCTGTTTATTAAGATTTTATAGTGAGCCTTCATTACTTAAAACATTGTGTGTGCATATATGTGTATGTGCACACTAATGCTACACTCATTAAAAAGTACAAGATTTTTCTTAAAAAATATATAAAGTCATTTAATAAAGTAAGCCATACATCATTTTAATCTTAAATTTATAAAAGTTTTAGTTAAGTTTCCAAGTGTGCTGTGATGACACCATGTCTTTTAAATGCCTTTGTCTTAACACCTAATATAGCTCCCAGCATAGAGTGAACAATCAAATTTGGTTTGGCAAATGAAGAAGTTCATATTTATATGCATAACCCATGGGAAGATTTGAAGCAGACATTTAGCCTAACTAGATGCTTTTCATTTAATTAGTATTCAGGAGGACCAGGAATATTGGGGAAGGATTTTTCTAAGCAATGATTAAAATACCAAAGTAAAATTGAATATGTGGCCATGATCTTGTATTTTCTATAGAATGTTCCAGCTGTGCTAATTTATAATGCATTGTGGGAAATAGAAAAAGGTCAGGATCATCATAACTCATTTTGCAGCAGTATAATGACATCTTTTTGTAAGACGTTATTCTTATTTTTGGTTTCATTTTGTTTGTTTTTCTTCTTCAAAGACTTTTGAAATTATCCTTCACTTCCATTATCTAAACAAAAATGAAGTCGATTTAAATTTTTTGAAATTAGAAAACAGGAATATAAGTGTCATGACTACTCATAATAAAATATCTCAGGCATGACATAATTTAATCTGGTTTGAGTTCATAACCATGAAAAGTAAATGTAAAGTATAGTATCTAGGTATTATTTTGAATCACTAATAACTTAGGATGCCATTGTAAACTACTTCAAATTGAGAAGAGGAAGGTATAGTGAATTCCTAAGTATCAGTGTTTCATAATTATGACCATTAAAAGACACATTATACTCTTTCAAAAAAATCAAATACATTAATTAATTAGGCCTTCACAACAATTTTAGTAACTAGAACATAGCACGCACCCTTGTGTGCATATAGGAAAACCGACACGCTGAAAGTTTGAGAGATAACATATAAAATCACAATACTAATTGGCCCTGGTGTTTGGACTGGATTTCAGGTTTTTGGTTTTATCTCAATTCCAAGTGGAAACTTAGACTTAGCATTACCCATTGACCTTTGTAGTCATTATACACATTTATGTGAATCTATATGCTGAAATGATAGCATAGGCGCTACAGACACATGGACAAATTGTCTTAATGATTCATTTTAACAGCATTTCTCTAAACAAATTGAATCCTGTACTCGATTTTAACCACCAAAATTGAAGATACCTTCTTCCTTTTATGTGATTTTTGATACTTCTGTTCCCTTTGATACTTCTGCATTTTTTCTAACTCTGAGGTCAATTTCAGAGTGAGTTTTGAAGCTCCCTTCTCTTAGTTTCTTCCATATTTATGTATTTTCAGTTATTATTTCTCATTGAGTTACTTATGCCTTTCATTGAAATCTCACCATCACACTAGTAGATACTTACAACGTCAAGCCTGGGTTACTTCTGGAATCTCCAAATGGTCTAATTTTCTTTGAAATGTTCTTCAGATTATCATAAAGGATAGTGTCTAATAAGTATTCCTAAAATATTATTATGATCATGTTACTGTTCTGAGTAAGATCTTTAATGTTTCAATTAATCTATTATCTCATTTAAAAAAACCACTTTATCCTGGCATTCGAGGCCCACTTATAATTTTTTGTCATTGTTTTGAGACAGGGTCTCGCTTTGTTGCCTAGGCAGGAGTGTAGTGGCACATTAATGGCTCACTGCAGCCTCTACCTTCCTGGGCTCAAGTGATGCTCCTGTCTCAGTCTCCCAAGTAGCTGGGACTACAGGCACATGCCATAATGCCCAGCTAATTTTTTTGTAGTTTGTAAAATTAGGCTTTTGTCATGTTGCTCAGGCTGGTCTCAAACTCCTGAGTTCAAGCAATCTGTCCACCTTGGCCTCCCAAAGTGCTGGGATTACAGGAATGAGCCACTGTGCCTGGTCCCACCTATAATTTATTTCCAATATAAACTCCAAAGAGAGTTGACACATGTTCCACTGCACTGCACCAGAGCCAATTAGACAAACTGGATTCTCTCAGCAGGTGTCACTTGATGGACTATTTATCTTTACCTTTGCTCCTTCAAAGTATCTTTCCCAATCACAAGGGTGTGATTTTTCTCTTTTTAGCTTTATTCTCCTTGGTTGAACATTTTGATACTGAGAAAAACAAATGGAATCCATGTTTTCATTGTCCTTTTCCTGAGTGTTGTATTGTTCTCCAGTGATAGCATTATTGTAGCAATTTGTTGCCCTGAAAGTAATCAGAACAACCGGTGATTAGTAAGAATGAATCATTTTGGCATAGGAAATAACTTTTTCAATATGGATACTTTACTCTGAGTGGTAAGAAGTCCTCAAAGCAACCCTATGAGGGCTTCTGGATACAGAAAGCAAACTACTGGAAATTTACTCTCTATTGTCCAATTTAAGTTATTAAGGAGGGGATATTTGATGTTATATTATTTGTACTTAATTTCAAAAACACACTGTCAATTGTTATTTTGATATGAACTGGAATTATGAGGGGTGACATCCAAAAGATGCTATCCTACATTACTTACCTACATATACATATGGTATAATAAATAACACTTTCATTTTATTCATTAGACCATGACATGGTAAACATCAGTGGCAAGTTATTAGAAACTGGAATGTTTGTAATATGGAATCCATGCATGAGAGGATCATGTTCTTTCTCATATTCAATAGTACATTTCGGTAAAATAGAGGATTTTACAGAGTGATGAGCGATTGTGCAGTTGTATAAATTGTTTTCATTCCCTTCTATCTTTATGTATATGTAAAACCAGTGTAAGCCAATTGAGGAAACAGGGGCCCTTAACCAATGAGGGACAGAGAAAAGTGGGCTTTGTGTACCACCCAGGGTGCTGTGGATCTGTAACTCTGTTCTGAGCACTGCCATTTGCCTGTAGATTGAGAGGTAGAAGAGCTGGGAGTATACATATTCTGCCCTGCCCTTAGCCAATGGCTGACGAGTGTGGAAGTATGAAAGGCCAGCTTCCTTGTCTAGAGCTGAAAGTACCTCTGAGGCATAATTAATGTCCTAGAGACCCCCATCATACCTGCATAAAGCTGAGATTGCCTGAAATCACGAGTGCTGTCTTTTTTTACTTTCATGGTCCTGCTTCTGTGACTCCCTTACCAGTCTCCTGGGAGTACCCTAATAAAATACTTGCCCATGATGACTGGTTTCAAGGTTTGCTTCTGGGAAACTTACCGAGTCACATAGTTGGTTAGTGATAGCCAAGTTTGAAATATGCTACTCAAACTAACCGCTGAAGCATTACCCACCCCCACCCAATAAATACAATTTCTAGGAAGTACGTCTAAGATATCTACATTTTAAGAAGATCTTCAGGTGATTTTTATACATGCTAAAATTTAAGAACCACTTATCTGGATATGCATCCCTTCACTCCTAGCCTGGAGCTCTTTTATAGCTTTATTTCTCTCCTCTACTCACGGCTTCTCTACTGAAGTAGGAGGTGGAACTTTGGACCAGATTGAAGACTAGCTGAAACAGGAAAGAGGCAAAAGCATCTCTCCTTAAGACATGACCACTGGTGCCATATCAGTTTACCATTGCCATGGCAACACCTGGAAGTTACTGCCCCTTTCCATAGCAGTGACCCAGAAGCTGACACTCCTTTTCCAGAAATTGTAGAATAACCTACCCCTTAATTTGCATGTAATTAAAAGTGGGTATAAATATGACTACAGAACTGCCTCTGAGTTGCTACTCTCAGCACACTGCCTGCGGAATAGCCCTGCTCTACAGATGCAGTCATGGAACTGTAACACTGCTGCCTTGATAAAGCTGTTTTCTTCCATCTTCCACCACTGGCTTGCTCTTGAATCCTTTCCTGCGAAGCCAAGAACCTTCCTGGGCTAAGCCCCAGCTTTAGGGCTCACCTGCCTTGTATCAGCTGCATTTCATATCAGTTGGGGGTACATTATTCAATGTTATATTAGGACTTAGATAATAATTTGGTTGGACACATGTACCCTAAAACTTAAAGTATAATAATAATAATAATAATAAATTAAGCAGCATTCTTACACATGAAAAAGCTTCAAAAGGTAAAAAAGGATTATAAAATAAGTAGATGAAAATATAGATGTTTATGTAACTTCACCAATGGTGTCATTATCCCCCTACATAAGGTTCAGGAAAGACATATGTGCAAGGATGTTCATTACAGTTTTATGTGAAATACAGAAAAAGTGGAAAGCATCTGAAAGCCTAATAATAGGTAATAGATTTTTGTATTATGAGTTAGCCATACAATAGAAAAGTATTTCATCTTCAAGCATGTCATTGAGGAATTTACAAACAAGAGATATACAATGCACAACAAAGGTATATCTTTGTAGCAGGGCTACCCCACAGGCAGTGTGCTGAGAGTAGCAACTCAAAGGCAGTTCTGTAGTCATATTTATACCCACTTTTTAATTTTATTTTATTTGTGCAAATCAAAAGGGAAAGAAAGCCTTGAGAACTATCCAACAGATGTTAACACCTATTAACTGAAAAAATAAAATTATCTTGATTATACTTTTGTTTGTAAATTCTGTTGAGTTCTGCATTTTCTAATATTACTACATCTTACCTTAATTTCATAATGTAAGTAAAAGCATTTTAAATAATAGTTTGAATTTCATTTATCACATGTGTTAAACTTTTGGCACTTAAAAATAAAGAAATTAGCATTTTATAATGCTTAATTTAAATGTGCAATTCATATTCTTAGAATAAAATTAGCCATAAATTTTAATCTTTAAAAATATTCATAAGGACAAATATGTAAATTAATTATATCTACTTGTTTTGATTTGTTTAATATTACCAATTAGGCTTCTTGCTAAAAATCTTGAATAGGCTTTTAGTTTTTATGTTATTTTTTGTTTCTCTATTAGTCTTCTTTCACTGAAAAGGCATTTATAATAGCTTGTACTAAGGAAAAACAACAAAAAAAAATTGTTCTTCCTTATTCTCTTTCTCTGGAATTTGCAAGCCAGGTTGCAAAAAAATTTTATCTTGGTTTGGAAAATGAAATTGTTGTGTGGCTTAAGGGATTTCTGTATTGTCATATTTAGACCAATAACTCACATTAAAATATAGGTCTATCAAGCAGGGACAAACTTGGTCTCTCCTCAAATGAAAACACCTGGAGCAATGAGAACTTCTGATTACAACTATGTCCAAGCAATTTCCTGGGATAGTGAGTACTTTAAATAAGGTGGGCCATGTATAAAATTAATTGCAATTCCTGGAGTTGACAAAATGATCCAAGAGTAATGAGGATCACTTAATAATGGCCAGAATAATCTGTCTTCGGTGTGTTAGGTAACTGAGAGAGAGCTTGAATTTACTCTTCATTGCAGTCAAATGTAGGAAACTAACAAATTTTCCTCTGGCCATCTGATGGGTTATACATCAAATCAGTAAAATGACTTCACTCCTAAAATCTAATTATTATTCAAACATAGATAAGAATAACTAAACAAATAGCTTTAAACTCTTATTCAATAAAATGGAAGGTTAGGCTCGGCATCAAAAGGCGAGAACAGCTTCTTATGAATGCTAAGCAGAAGAAAAGAAAAGTTGTCCTATAATAATAGAATCTTCCCTCATTGCCAATTGATGCTCATGATTGACTACGGATTATGACATCTTTATGCAGCTTGACCTTTAATTTCTCACTTTAATTTACACTGTCACATATTTCAAACATGTGATGAAGGTGACTTCATTAATAAAGTTGTACAAAATGAAGAAAAGAGGATACTCAGAGAATTGAAAAGCAGAGTATTATCAACCATTTCTACATACATTTCACAGTAATTGTTATTTGGGTTTAAAAATATTGTTCCAAACACAATTACACACACACACAGGAAAAAAATGTTTGTGATATATAGTGTGATCTTTTTGTTCCTCATTTTACTTGGCCCCTTCCTCCTCTTTACACACATTAACTACCAAGTAGTCTGAATTCATGACTCAATATAAATCACTCTATATCTTTCTCTATGCTCATGTAATTATGTTCGAGTATACATGTATACACACTCATTCACATTAACTATATATATATATATATATATATATAAATTTGTCATGGTTTCACAAAAGCATGTTAATTTTTGCTCTTTAAAATTCTTTAAAAATATCTCATGGAAATGTTTCCAAATCATTTGGTTTATTTCTGCGTAGTCTTTAATATTCCATGGATCAGATGTATCATAAGGTTTTCAACTATCCTACTGCTGGTGGGAATTCAATTTGTTTCAAGTCTTTCACCATTATATTTTAATAAATACTGCAATAAACATCATTACACTTACATCTTCAAATATAGCTGCTGTTATTGCTATGAAATACAACACTTAAGTTGGGAATACCTTGTCAAACTAGGCATCTCTTTCTGAATTTTATGTGTTTTTTTTTTTCCTACTTTATTTCACAGTGAGCTATATCAATGTGTGTTTCCTCCAGTAAAAGGAGTTGGCGGTTATTATTCTTAGCAAACAAATGCAGAAATGGAAAACCAAATACTATATGTTTTCACTTATAAGTGGGAGCTAAATGATGATAACACGTGAGCACATAGAGAGGAACAATAGGCACTGGAGCCTACATGAGCATACGGGGTGGGAGGAAGGAGAGGCTCAGGGAAAGTAACTAATGGGTACTAGGCTGAATACCTAGGTGACAAAATAATATTTAAAGAAACCCCCATGACATGCATTTACCTATGTAACAAACCTTAATGTGTACCCCTAAACTTAAAATGCAAGTTAAAAAAGTTTCGTTTGTTTAATATTTTAATTTTTTTCAGTCATATGCTTATAGTGGTATTTCACTACAGTGAAGTCTTTTATACATGGCATATTTCTGAGTACTGGTGAGTCAGAGCAATATTTCATATGGTTTCTGAATATTTTAGATTGTTTTCTTCAGTAATTGCCAATTCATATCATTTATTATTTTTCCTTTAGATTGTTTGTCCTGTTTTAGTCTGTTTACAAGAGTTCTTCTATTTTGTAGATATTATAAAGGATTGCTTGCTGGTAAAAATAAGTTTTCCAAGTCAATTGTTTGTCCTTTTGACTTTTCTATTGCACTTCCATAAATGGTTTTTAATTAGTTTTATACTCAAATATATCTCCATTTCCTTTCATAGATTTTTGGATTTCAAGTCTTGATTACAAAGTTATACCTTAACACTGGACTATACATACTATTTTAGAAAAATTCTAGAAGAAATTTTAGAAAGCCATTTAAATATTTATTTCAAATGTATTAATTTTTATCAATTTTTTCTAAATTCATATTGTAACACCTCAGCATTTCCAATTTCTTTTTTTTTTTTTTTTTTTTTTTTTTTTTTTGAGACGGAGTCTTGCTCTGTCGCCCAGGCCGGACTGCGGACTGCAGTGGCGCAATCTCGGCTCACTGCAAGCTCCGCTTCCCGGGTTCACGCCATTCTCCTGCCTCAGCCTCCCGAGTAGCTGGGACTACAGGCGCCCGCCACCGCGCCCGGCTAATTTTTTGTATTTTTTTTTAGTAGAGACGGGGTTTCACCTTGTTAGCCAGGATGGTCTCGATCTCCTGACCTCATGATCCACCCGCCTCGGCCTCCCAAAGTGCTGGGATTACAGGCGTGAGCCACCGCGCCCGGCCAGCATTTCCAATTTCTTCGTGATAAAAATTTACGAGTGAAAAAGTTGAAGTTCCTGAAGTTAAATTTCCCATTTATAAAGATTCTGAACCTAGTGCCAGGGAACTAACTGGAATTTATTATTGTATATGGTATAAGATAGGGGTATAATATTATATTCTCCTAGCTAGCTAACTAGCTAGCTTTAAAAACACTAGTTAAGTAATTTATAATCTGTTATTTATGTACTAAATTGGAATAACACTACTTTCATAACATTTTCATATATGCTGGAAATTTATTTGTGTGTATTCTTATTCTAATCCGTTAATGTGTCATTATTTTTTACAACTTCTATATGGATTTGACTACAGTAAATTTATGTGTTTTCTAATGTCTGATAAAACATATGTACTCATTTTCCTTTGTTCTATAGCAAAAATATTATTTTACATATTTATTCTTTATTATAAACTTTAAGATTCTCTTATCTCTCCCTTCCCAATGAAAAAACAAACGACAACAAAACTCTAACAGTTACCTTCATAGTTATATGACATTTTTAGTACATTTTGGGGAAATAAGTTCCAGTCAGTAGTATAGTATCACTTCCCATTTGTTTAAATCTTATTTATGTTTTACAAAAAGATGTTAGAGTGTTTCTGTTACCATTTCTTCTAGACTTTTCGTATAAAATTCATTCATAAGCATTTTCTAGGTTTTTTTTTTATTGTTGTTGTAGTTGTGAATAGGAGATGTTTTATTCCCATCTGTTTTTCTAAGTAACTACTGCCAGAATAGAGATGAGCTAGAGTTTTATTTTTTAATGTATTTACTTTATATGCAGCCAAGGTACAAAAGTCAATAATTAATTTTAATGGCTTTTCACTAATCTCTAATTTCATCACCAAAATAGGTATTATCTCTACTTCTCTGATGTTATTTTATTTTCTTATTGCATTCACTATGTCCTCCAAAACACTGTTGATTAAAAAAAATGGAGCTATCCAGCATCTCTGCCCACCTCCTGATATTACTGGAAATGCTTTTAGTGATTTGACATTTATAATCATATTTGCTGTCAGTTTTAATGGTCTTCTATTTTTGTTTTCTTTAGAGTTTTTATTATAAGTGGCTGCTATACTTTATCAAATGCCTTTTCATTTAATTTTCTCATTAATTTGTTGATGTAAGATTATGTTGATAGTTTTTTTTATATCTAACCACTTTTGCACTCATGTAATAATGAGTTCTGCTTGAATATATATATATTTTGTATTAATGTTTTCTATTTGTTATTATTTTTGTAATTTTTATAAACGTACATAAGAGGTGGTTATAATTTATTTATTTGTGTTCATTTAAAATATAGGTTCATTGAAGAAATTTAAAGATTATATATAAGCAAAATGCTATTTTTTAAAAAAATCATAATTCCAATAACAGAAATAAATGTTTTTCATATTCTTACAGATATATTCTTTAAAATATTATATTTAACTTTGTATATTTGTAAGGTATATTTCACTTGACAATTATTTTTTATCTTTTCATAACATTGTATGTGTGTATATATAAAATTATATAAGCTTATAAAATTTTATTTTATAATATTAAATGTGTGTATATATAATTTTCCCTTTTTCTTGAAAATATTATATTTCATTTTCAACAAATATAATGGAGCACGATACAGGGTATAAAATAAAATTAAAAAGAAAATTTCCTTTTTTAAAATTTCTTTTTAATTTTGTTGTATTGTATTGTATTATGAAAACCTTTCAAACTCTGAATCCTTTTATAATTTCTTCCACTTTTGTCTAGTCTAGTGAATAATACTGTTAAGTTTAACAGTATATACAACTTATCTAAATGGTTAAATGAGCATACAGGTCAAAAAGTATGCTCACTTAACCACTCAGATAGGTTTTGACTATTTTCCAGCCCTGCAGAAGTATATGAAAGAGGCCTACCTATGAAACTTTGGAAATAAAAAAACATATATAAGTAAATATGTGTGTGTGTGTGTGTGTGTGTGTACTTGTGTTTTGTTAATTGTTTGGTTTTTTTCAAGTTTGAGCATTTTTATGTTCAACAAATATTTATTGAGCACCCAATTATGTAATATGACACGGTTCAAGCATCATTAATTATGTACATGCTTAGATAGATATAAGTAGATATATAAAGAAATAGATGATGTAGATACAGATATATATGTGCCATATTATTTGATGATTTATGTGTTCATATTTTAGACCAGAGCTACCAAGAATATGGGCTGCAAAGTGATACAGGTTCATGAACACAATAAAAATCAAGTTTAGAAACTTTTATAGCAATTTAACAGAGTAATTTTATGTCTGTGGAATTTGAATATGAAAAATGAAGACTTGTATATTTTTAAAACTTTATTTTTTGCAATTCATTTTTATTATATTTTATAAAACTGTATATCCATGATTTATTTAAAAAACACAACTAATCTGTCACTACAGATAATTTGAGAAATATTATTTTGGTAAATTATGTATTTTTTATTTTGTGATGAGTCCACTTAATACTGTAATATAGTGTTCTACAGTTTATTAATAATATTATACACAATGTTCCAAATAAGAGTATGATATAAATAAATAGTCCAATAGTACTCCAAATATTCTGGTAATACATTTCTGTAAGTATTTTTCAGGATCCTGGCTAGAAATAGCTATTAATTTAAATGAAGTGATTAAAGAAAGATTTACAAAGGTGCTACTTACAAAGGCAGAGAGACACAATGACAAGGGATATTGAAAACCCCTAGGATTGAACCAGTGTGAAGCTATCACAGCTCCTGGGTCTGAACAGGAGGCCGTAGTGACGGGAAGTCTGTCAAAACTATCGCTTTAAGGTTTAGCCACTTGATAGGAGTTACGGTCTTTTGTCAAGGCGTGTAAGTGTTATCAAATCAGAGACAGTAGAGAGAGAATTGAGGAATAAACATTTTAATTGCTTCTTTGCTTCTTTGGCCACCCTATATTGGCCAAACCAGTTGAGAGCTGGAGTGCCAGAGAGTTGATCGATGCTGTCCCAGGGCAGGGAAGAGGGAGTGCAGAGTGCATCTGTGGGAGAGAATGGAGAATATGTCGCATCACACACATAAATTTTCATGTTTTGAGTAGTGCATATTAAAGAAATATAAATATTAATTCCCAAAATTTTCAAGCCATCCTTTTATTCTGTAACTTTTTTTTAAAATCAATCTATTGTGATTATTTTCACTTAAGTAATGATTTTTGGCATTATTTCAAGGGCTTCTTATATTATTATTACTTAATGAAACCCCTATTCTTAGTTAAATTTCATGGAATTAAACAATGTTAAAATTAATTTTGCAATTAAAAACCTCATCGCTACATTTTTGTCTATATCCATGATTATTTTCTTATTTTATTTCTAGAGGTAGAGTTCTACAAATTTTTGAAAAACTTTAAGGAATATTGTACCAATGTAAAATTCCTGCTGACAGTTATATGAATATATGAATGTCTCTTTTTCCACATTCCAGTGTCCATGTCCCCATGTAAGTACATAGACCCCCCCAGCACACACATGTGTACACAAGTACTTGCACATATACATTTCTATCCGTCATTGTTTTGGCAAATATACCTTTTAAATTTATATTTAATTGATAGTGAGATGAAACATTGATCATATATCAGCCATTTCTAATTTAGTTTTCTATGAATTATCTTATTGTGAATTTTCCCCTTTTTTATTTGGGTATAATTGGGAGATATGGCAGTTCCATCACCTCACCAAGTACCACTTTTTGTGGTTAAACTCTGCCCCATGCCTATTATTGTATCAACTTGTCCCTAGATTAGGCAAAGTACTAATCTGTTCTTTGTTCCTATATTTTACCATTCCCAGAATGCCATATAACGGAATCATACATTATGCAAACTTTTGAGAATGGCTTATTTTACTCACCATAGTACCTCCTTTTATTCATAAGGGTGACGCAAGTACCTATAGTTTATTTATTCTTTTTTTTATAAGTAGTATTCTATTATAAAAAATACTAGTTTGTTTTATCCATTCAGTCAGAAAGGGTATTTGGACTGTTTTCAATGTTTATGATTTTAAATATAACTGCTATAAACATCATGTACAAGTTTTCTTTGAATATATATATTTTTTCTTTGAATATGTGTGTGTCTGTGTATATATATATATACACACACATATATATATATGTTTTTCCTCAGGGGTAAATATCTGACAGTGAGATCACAAATTCATATGGTGAATGTATATTTAACTTTAAAAAAAACTTCCAAATGGTTTTCAGAGTAACTCTTATCATTTTGCATTCCCACCTGCAATGCATGAGGGTTGCAATTGCTGGAAATTCTTACCAGCAAGTCAGGAGGTGATTGTTGTTGTTTCATCCTACTACATGTATAACAGTAGTATGTCATTATAGTTTTAGTTTGCATTATCCTAATGACAAAGAAGATTAGACATCTTTAAATATGCCTATTAACCATCTGTATATCTCCTTCAATGAGTTGTCTTTTCTAATATTTTGTCTATTTTTTCCTGTTGGACTGTTTGTTTCTTACTGTTGAGTTTTTAGAATTCTTTATATATTCTTCACAAAAGTTCTTTTTAAGGTGTGTGATTTGAAAATATTTTTTCCACACTTTGGCTTGCCTTTTCCTTCTCCTACTCCTGCATTTCTCAGAGCATAAATTTTGAGCTTTGATAAAATCCCGTTTACCAATTTTAAAAATAGAGTTTGACATTCCCTTTTTCTTTTTAATTATTGTGATTACACCATTTATATTTAATATGATTGTTGATGTGTTTGTTAGGTCTGCCATTTTATTGTTTTATCTTTATTCATTTTTTTCTGTTCATTCCTTGCTCTTTTATTCTTTTAAACTATTTGTATATTTTTATAATTTTACTGAATTTTTATTGAGTGTTTTACTATTTATATAATTATTTTAGGTATTTGTATAATTAATTACAGTATTATTTTAGTTATTGATTATTATATTATCAATAACTATTTATATAATTATTTCCCTATCTATTTATATAATTATTCAAGTCTAGAAAGAATTGATCATAGATTTGGGGCATGAGAAAAGAAATCTGGTAAGGATTGGGACATAATTTACCCCCAGGTATGTTCATCGAGACATTAAGGATTGTATCCTAGTCTTCATGTCTGTCTCTGTGGGTCGCAGAGAGACTGACTCATGTTAGTAACTCCGGTTACTCTACAATTTACTCTCTTTAGTTTTCAGCGGTTTGATTGGGATATAACTCAGCATAGACTTATTTGCTTTTATCCTATTTTTGATTCACTGAGCTTCTTAAATTTGTAAGTTTATCACTTTCACCAAATTTTGGAAGTTTTCAGTCATTATTTGTTTAGCTTTTTTTTCCATATCATAATCTTTCTTCTGGTACTACAATAACACAAATGTTAAACTTTTGGTATTGACCTAAAGGTTCGTAAGGCTTGATATGTTCATTTTCCCCTGATCTTTTTTGTTGTTATTGTTCTGACTGAGTAATTTTATTACATATCTTCAGTTTCATTGAATTTTTTCCTGCATAAATTCCATTATTCTATGAAGGTCACACTATTGTTTTTAGTTCTAAAATTTCCATTTAGCTATTCTTTATATTTTCTGCTTGAACTTGCTGTGTCTTTATTTCAAGAGTGTTTACCCTTCTTCCTAAAGCATCATTGTAATGGCTGTTTATAGTCTTTGTCAGATAATTTCAACACCTGTACCATCTCAGAATTAATTGGTATATGCTAATTGTGTGTTTTATTATGAAATAAGATTTTCATTGTTATTTTTCATGTTCTTTTGACTTGTTTCTTGAATATGTTAATATTATGTTATGGAATTCTAGGCCCTGTTTACCTCATGTATCTGTTGATTCCTTTTTTGTTTGTTTTACACACTTCTATAAGCACAAATCAGAGGCCAGAATTTCACAGCTTTTAATATTGATCTATTTATTTTTTTCCAGATCTTTTATTCTCTTTAAAGCCATCGTATCCTTCGTTCTATTTCTCCACTGCAATAATCTAATTCCCTGAGGACATTAGTACTAAGTATTCCAATTTCCTGGAATGCTCTTCCAACAATCTTACTTGTGTAGCTTTTTCTTTGTTTTTAGATAGCAGCTTAATTTTTCTTCAGAGAAGCTGTCCCTGACCACCTGCATATTTATATCACAATCTCTTATCTATTTACCTTATAGCACAAACTACAAAGGTTTTGTCTTGATTATTATATATCACCACTGTTAATATAAACATATCAGCTTTTCACAACAGTAAATGACAGAGTAGGTGCTTCATAAACAAGTACTTAATGAATGAATAAAACTGCTAAATGCAGCTGGAGATTCTTTAGTGATTTTAGATTATATAATAACTATAATAATTGATATCCTTTGCCTTTTAAAAATATTTTTTGGAAAATTTAGTACAGGTTACCCAAGTACAAATAGCCAGATATGACTAAAATTAAAAACCAAATTTTAAAAGTACAATGCAGAATACAAGATACTGATTACTACTAGTTCAGAGCAACTAGTCTTCAAGAGTTAATATACATAAAATAAAATCCAAAAATTAATTTGGGGTTTGAGAAATCCTAATGTTTTAATTCAATAATAAAATTTGTTCTGTTTTCTGTGAAACATTAAAATATGTTTTCCATGGAAAAATCTATTTTATGACAAGACCAAGCAAGTTACCTAGGAGAACTGTTTTGTAGCATGTGTTAAAAAGTATGAGAGCTTTCCATTTTCTACGGAAAAAAATATCTTTACCTGTGTCTGTAGAGCTCTTTTGGTTGCAAGTGACAGAAACTCAATGAGCTAGCTAAAGTAAAATAGAGGTTGAAATGTTTCTACTTACCTCAAACGACCTGGGGGAAGTGGCTTCAATGATGACTGGATATAGTGAATTAATTTGCTTTCCTCTTAATACCAACTTCAAACTGTCTTACTGCAAAAGAGCTTTAGTCATAACTAGAACCACTTTATCACAGTCTTTTGACAAAAGCTAAAGAGTATCATTATGCCAGGTTTGGAATCCTTGAGAGAGGTGCTTATGGCCCAGTTTGGATAATCTACTTAGTCTCAGGATTCTAATTGTAGTTCATGGCATAGAGTCCTCAGTTTGAACCTGCCTGGGGAACATACCACTGATGTATTTACAGAGTAGCCGCTTTTGCAGTAGACAACTCTGCTTTTATATTAGAAGCAGAAACATTACATTTCCTGGGTATAGAGGAAAATCAAACAAACAAAACAACCTACACCATCTAGCTTTGACAGTTTTAATTTATTAAATGACTGTTCTCTGGAAGATATTTTATTATACAATTGTGTATATATTGTCTTTGAAAAAATAACTTTATTCTCCAAATTAAGTAATTTTATTTCTATTTTCCCATGAAGAATCTGTGTTCTAGATATTAAAAAATTTGTTTAAGATCTAACAGTTATGAATTGGCAAACTGGAGACTTTAAGCCCCATCTGTATCCACAGCTGTTGCTCTTTACACTACAGTAGGGCTTCTCAGGTTTGCCACTATTGATAGTTTGGGGCAGATAATTATTTGTTGTAGAAGCTGTCTCTTATGTATTGGAGGATGTTAATTATATTCCTGGCCTCTACTCACTAGTAATGAATAAAAATTCCTGACCTGCACAGTTGTAATAACCCAAAATATCTCCAGCCATTGCCAAATATCCTCTCAGGGTAAAACCACCCTGGTTGAAAACCACTGACGTATACTATTGACTTCTAACATTTGTTCTACGTACATCAATCATTCATGATGCTCCAGGAAAGAGTGCTCTATAAGCAAACATATTTAAAATACTTTCTACATACTATAACTTCATAGCAGAGTGTATTGGTATAGTACATTGGTATAGCACATTGGTATAGCAAAAGGCTCTGAGAAATTGTGCAGTAATAAAACTTACCCAAATTTATTTAACTTAAATGTTTTTAAGTCTCTGATACACCCACTAACTGACATTGAAATTCTGTGATACTGTATTACTTCATCCATCTTGATCCCAATGCCTTTGTATATTCTATTAAGCCCCTTACAATGCCTTTCACAGACTTTTATTCTTACAGGGACCTTTCCAAGTGAAACTGGTCACACAGTTTTGTTTTTACAAATGCTTTCTTTCTTCCCATAAATGCCCTTCTCCTTTACCCAAATTGAGAAACTCCCATCCATGCCTAAAACACTCATATTAAAAGGTCACTACTCAATATAAACTTCCTAGTTTTCCCCAAAAAGAAATTATTTTACCATAGAAGTCTCTCGGCATTTAACCTAAATTGCAAGGGCATTAATTTTTTCATTCATTCAACAGATAGTTACTGAATCCATTCTCTTACGCTAAACCGCAGCATGCGTGGTTCTTGTCTCGTAGGGCACAATAGCCAGCAGCAAGGGAAAAGTTAATGTATAATTATCCAAGGAAATGTGATAAACATTGTTTTAGAGGAAATATGGACTCTTCAATAGCAGCTGAAATAATGTGGGATATGGTAAGGAAAGGCTTACATGAAGGAATAACGTTTAAGCAGAGTCAAACTAAGCAGAGTTCACCAGGAAAATGAGAACAGTGATGATGGAGGGGGTATATACCAGACAAAGCCAAAACATAAACAAAGACTCAAAAGCAAGAGAGAACATGATTCATTCATGGGTACTGAGCAACACAAAAAGCCTAGGAAAATTTGATCATAGATTTTGAACATGAGAAGAGAAATCTAATAAGAATGAGGATATATTTTTCCTACCTGGGTGTGTTCAGCTAGACATTAAGGACTCTGTCCCAGTCTTTATGGCCCTCTCTGGGTAGCAGAGTGAGTGACTCATGTTAAGTATTAATAAAGGAGTTTGAGTAAACGGACTCTTCTGTTCTAGATATTCCAGGGAATAATAGGAGACATCCACTATAGCCACTGTGTCCATGGAGGATTTCATTTCTCTGGTAGAACATCTAAAAATTGGAATTGCAAATGCTTTATATCAGGGTTTCACACCTGCTTGAATTTTCTCTGACTCAGAGGTATTTTATGAGATTGTGTGATATGCACTGTTAAATTTTCTGTCTATACTCTCACCAACTAACTTTTTAAAACATCTTCTTTACTTTGAAATTTAGATCATGTTCCCTGAGCAAGGTCTATATTTTTATTCTATTAAACAACTTGTAGTGTCAAATGCCTGAAAAGAATATTGAAATCATGAGTTATGGAGGCCAAAATGAAATCATTTCTCATGCTCAATAAATGATAAATCAAGAGAATACAAACACGGTGGCACTATAAATTATTTTATTTCTACACTAACTTGAATTCCTGGCTCATAATTCCATCCCTACCAATTCTTCTTTACTCCTTGTTCTCTGCATGTGACAATAAAAGTGTTTTAAAGGTCAACAATCCATTTATGAGTTTTATTGTGGTTAACTTGCTATTTCAGCATTTAAGTTTATATTTGATGTTCCAAATGTGGATATCTAATGTTTAGTAAGAACTTACACTGTACCACGTAGTGTATTAAACTCATTAAATGTATTAAGTCATGTAATCTTTATAGCAGTCTTATAGAACAGATTCTATTATTATGCCAATTTTATGATTGAAAATACCAACTTGGAGTGTGTTTTTGTTTTTGTTTTTTTACCCCCAAGATCTGTGAACTCATAAATTGTGGACCTATGCACTTCTGACTCTTAAGCCAGGTTCTCAACCACCACTCTATGTTGCCACCTCCAGCAATGCGTGGTGGAGACTTTATATTTAAAATATATATTTTAGTGATACCAAACAGATGCATATCTAATTACCTAGTGAAAAGAAAATTTACTCCATGCAATCTTTCCTTTTGAAAACTGCATTGAAAATATGTTATCATTTTTTAAAAATCTACCAGTATAATGTACATCACGTTTTTCATGGCATCTGTTTTATCCTAGCATTCCTTCGGTTTCATGTAGACTCTTTTATATTCAAAATATAGATTTATAGCCTTTAAGTTTTGTCCTCTTTCTTGGTCTCAGTTGTCAACGTGCGTCATTCTATTTAGCATATGAAGCAACATGCATTGCAGAGGATAAAATTAGGTGTGAGGGATAAAAGTACGCAAGCTTCCCCTGATACAACCTTTCCTCTGCTCAGGAGAGTGAGCCCCTTTTTCCCCTTCACTCCTCACATTATGTCTGGCCTATGAAAAAGGATATGTAGCTCTGTCTTCCTCTTACCTTCCATCTTTTCTTCATATATCTGCCTTTGATGCATATTACATTCAAGAGAGGGAATCAGTGTAATACAGTCGGGGGATTTAAGGACTAAGACTCTGGAAATTATAGTAATTAGCTGTATGGTCTTCACCACTTCATTTTTACTTCAAGTGTCTCATTTCTTCATCTCTAATTGAAGGCACTAATATATGCATTATCAATCGACAAAGTATTTAGTCATTTAACAAGTATTTATTGAACACCTGCTACATGCCAGTACTAATTTAAATGCTAGAAAAATCTTTGTTTTCACTGTGGTGGCTTTATAGAATTAAAGGGGAGAAAAGAAAAAAAGTCGTCCTAAAATTAAACAAATTTAGGAAACATAATTGCCTATAAATTATATTTAAAGTATTTTTAGAAAGTCATTTGAAAAAATTCTTAAGAAAATTTAAATATACGTTAAGTAAATTGCAGTTAAAACAATTACAGTTTTTTAAAATTTTTACATTCAGGAGGTACTTGTGCAGGTTTGTTACTTGAGTATATTGCATGATGCTGAGATTTGGGCTTCTGTTGATCCCATCACCCAAAAGTGAACACAGTACTCAAAAGGTAGGTTTTTTTTTAACCCTTGTTCCCCTTCATTCCCTCTTTTTGGAGTCCCTGTATCTATTGTTCCCAACTTTATGTTTTTGTACCTACAGTTTTCCTTCCACTCATAAATGGGAACATGCGATATTTGGTTTTCTGTTACTTCATTAATTAACTTAAGATTATGGTTTCCAGCTGCATCTATGTTGCTGCAAAGGACATAATTTTGTTCTTTTTATGGCTGCATGACATTCCATGGTATAATATGTAGCACATTTTCTTCATCCAGTCCACCATTGATAGACACTTAGGTTGATTCCTTGGCTTTGCTATTGTGAATAGTGCTGCAATAAACATACGAGTGCAGGTGTCTTTGTGGTACGATGATTTATTTTCATTTGGGTATATACTTAGCAATGGGATTGCTGAGTCGAATGGTAATTCCATTTTTAGGTATTTGAGAAATCACCAAACTGCTTTCCATTAGGGCTAAATTAATTTACATTCCCATCAACAGTGTATGAGTGTTTCCTTTTCTCTACAACCTCATCAACATCTGTTTTCTGTTTTTTTGTTTTCTTTTTAGTAATAGCCATTCTGACTGGTATGAGATGATATCTCGTTGTGGTTTTGATTTGCATTTTTCTCATGATTAGTGATGATGAGAATTTTTTTCATAATGTTTGTTAGCCACTTCTGTGTCTTTTTTTGAAAAGTGTCTGTTTATCTTCTTTGCCCAGTTTTTAATGTGGTTATTTGATTTTTCTTGTGGATTTGTCTAAGTTTCTTATAGATTCTGAGCATTAGTCCTTCATTGGATGCATAGTTTATGTATTTTCTCCCTTTCTGTAGGTTGTCTGTTTACTCTGTTGACAGTTTTGTTTGCTGTGCAGAAGCTGTTTAGTTGAATACGGTGCCATTTGTCCATTTTGGCTTCTGTTGCAATTGCTTTTGAGGACTTAGTCATATATTATTTCTCAAGGTCAATGGCCAGAATGGTGTTGCCTAGGTTGTGTTCCAGGGATTGTATAGTTTGGGGTTTATATTCAAGTATTTTATCTATCTTAATTTGATTTTTGTATCTGGTATAAGGAAAGGTTTCACTTTCAATCTTCTGCATATGGCTAGCCAGTTATTCCAGCATTATTTATTCTATGGGGATTCCTTTCACCATTGCTTAGTTTTGTCAACTTTGTTGAAGATCAGATGGCTGTATGTTGGCAGCTTTATTTCTGGGTTCTCTATTTTGTTGCATTGGTCTATGTGTCTATTTTTGTACCAGTACTATATTTTGCCTTGTAGTATAGTTTGAAGTCAGGTAAAGTGATGCCTCCGACTTTGTTCTTTTTGCTTAGGACTGCTTTGGCTATTCAGGCTCTGCATTAGTTCATTCTCACACTGCTATAAAGAAATACCGGAGACTGGGTAATGTATAAAGGCAAGAGGTTTAATTGACTTACAGTTCTGCATGGCTGGGGAAGCCTCAGGAAACTTACAATCATGGTGGAAGGCAAAGGAGAAGCAAGTACCTTCTTCACAAGGTGGCAGGAAAGAGAGTGGGAGCTAAGGGGGAAGAGCCCTTTATAAAACCACCAGATCTCACGAAAACTTGTTCACTATCATGAGAACAGCATGGGAGAAAACACTGCATGATCCAGTCATTTCCTACCAGGTCCCTTCCTCAACATGTGGAGATTATTGGGATTACAATTCTAGATGAGATTTTAGTGGAGACACAGTCAAACCATATCAGGCTCTTTCCTGAATCCATGTGAATTGTAGAATAATATTTTTATTCTAATTCTGTTAAAAAATGACATTGATAATTTGAAAGGAATAGCGTTAAATTTGGAGATTCCTTTGGACAGTATGGACATTTTAATGACCTTGATTCTTCCAAACAATGAGCATGAAATGATTTTCTGCTTACTTGTGTCATGTATGATTTCCTTCAGAAGTGTTTTGTAATTGTCTTCGAAGATAACTTTCACCTCCTTGGTTAGATGTACTTTTAGGTATTTTATTATTTTTGTGTCTGTTGTAAATGTAATTACAGTCTTAAATTGGTTCTCAGCTTGAATGTTATTGGTGTATGGAAATGCTACTAATTTTTGTGCATTGATTTTGTATCCTTAAACTTTGCTGAAGTTGTTTGTCCTCAGGTCTAAAAGCATTTTGTCAGAATCTTGAGTGCTCTATGTCTAGTATCATACCATCTGAAAAGAGACACATAATTTGACTTCTTCTTTTCTTATTTGGATGTCTTTTGGTTCATTGTCCCGTCTGATTTCTGTGGTGAGGACTTCCAGTACTATGCTGAATAGGAGTGATGAGAATGAACAACCTTCTCTTGTTCCACTCATTAGGGGAATGCTTCCAACTTTTGCCCATTCAGTATATGATCTTGGCTGTGGGTTTGTCATTGATAGCTCTTATTATTTTGAGGTGTATTCCTTCAAAGCCAGGTTTGTTGAGGGTTTTTATCATTAAGTAATATTAGATTTTATCAAATGCTTTTTCTCCATCTACTGAGATAAGCATATAGCTTTTTGCTTTTAATTCTATACGGTGACTCACATTTTTTGATTTGCCTATGTTGAACCATCCTTGCATTTCAGGAATAAAGCCCCCTTAATTGTAGTGAATTATCTTTTTGGTGTGCTGTTAGATTCAGTTTGCTAGTATTCTGTTGAGGATTCCTGCATCTATGTTCATCTGGGGTGTTGGCCTGTAGTTTCCTTTAAAACTATAATTTTGGTAAAAAATTATGAGCTAACTGGTAAAAGTGCAAGCCTCTCATAGGATGTGGCAAAAATGTGCCCCTTCCTTCCTTTCTTCCTTCCTTCCTTCTTTCCTCCCTTCCTTCCTTGTTTCCTTTCTCCCTTCCTTCCTTCTTTCCTTCCTTCTTTCCTTTCTTCCTTCCTTCCTTTCTTTCCTTTCTCCCTTCCTTCCTTCTTTCCTTCCTTCTTTCCTTTCTTCCTTCCTTCCTTCCTTTCTTTCTCCCTTCCTTCCTTCTTTGTTTCTGTCCTTCTTTTCTCCCTTCTTTCCTTCTTTCCTTCCTTCCTTCCTTCCAAAATAATTTCATGCAAGAATAAGTAAAACTACTGGATCAGTAGTTTGCAACTACTCTGACCTGCAGATGAAATCCAGCCCACTGCCTATTTCTTTAAGTGAACCCAGTTACTCCCATTCATTTTTGTATTGTGTACAGTTGCTATTGTGCTACAACAGTGGAGTTGAGGACTTGTGCTAGAGGCTGTATGGTCCATGAAGCCTACAATATTTGCTATCTACCTCTTCTGAGAAATAGTTTGCTGATTCCTACAAAACTGTTATGAAAATTATAAGAATGAGCCTAATTTGGGCAAATTTACTCATGCATTCAAAATATTTTTGTTGAGTGCCTGCTATAAGTCAAATAGCAGAGATTCATCAATGTTCAAAATAGATATAACACCCTGCCCCCATGTGGTTTAAGCTCCAAGAACAATAATTATGATAAATGAATATTATTTAGAAGTAACAAATAAAATAAGCAAATTATTTATGCTGCATGCAAGAACAAATTCCAAAAGATAAGAGTAAGTGGATAGGCTGGGGCAAGGTTCAGCTTAAATAGTAAGATACACATGGGCCTTTCTGAGTAGGTGCAACTTGAGAACGTACTTAAAGAAGATGAGCATTGGCTATGGGGAAATCCAAAGTGTTAGCATTTCAGGCAGTGGGGAGAGCAAGTGCAAAAGTCCTGAGTCAGGAGCATGCTTGTTTGTTGAAGGATCAACAAGGAAGAACCCAGCCTGAATGAAGGTGACTGAACAAGAGGAAGGGTAGGTGAAATAGAGGTCATAAAATCATTACAGGAACCAGATTGTTCAGCATCTTATAGCCATTTCAAGCTAATAATTTTTATGCTTAAGTGGGAAGTGATTTGGAGGCTTTCATAAAATAGACAGATCGAACCTGGATAAATGCACCAGAAGTTCAAATTCCATGCTATATCAATTGGTAGATTCTATAACAAAATAAAATATGATATAACATCCAAATTAATATAAGCTAGTTGCAAAAGGTAACATATTACTAGTATCTATAACAACTTAGAGGCATTAAAATGAGAAAGGAAAAGGAAAAAGCTAAAGAAGGAACTATGAGAATGTAGAGAGTGGGAGTGAGAGTATTCAAATAGAAACTAGCATTTACTAAATGTCTATCATATGCTAGGCATACAAGCATTTTAGATATATTATTGGCCAAAACACACATGCAAGAGAGTTATTTCTATTTTGAAAATGAGGGCAACTGCCCAGTGGGGGTTAGAAAACTAAAAGAAAGTGAAAGACTAGTATCCTATCTTTGACTAAAACATAGTTCATCTCCGAGTACCATGCTACAAGAAGGATGGATAGAAATTGTAGAGAATGAAGATAAACATACCAAGAAGAAATCTAACTGTATTTGTATTAGTCCATTTTCACACTGCTGATAAAGACATGCCTAAGACTGGGCAATTTACCAAAAAACAGAGATTTATTGGACTTGCAGTTCCACATGGCTGGGGATGCCTCACAATAATGGTGGAAGGTGAAAGGCAAGGAGGAGTAAGTCACATCTTATGTGGATGGCAGCAGGCAAAGAGAGAGCTTGTGCAGAAAATTATTGTTTTTAAAACAATCGGATATCATAAGACTCATTCACTATCATGAGAACAGCCCGGGAAAGACCATGCCCCCATAATTCAATCACTTCTGGCCTAGTTCCTCCCATGAAATGTGGCAATTGTGGGAATTACAATTCAAGATGAGATTTGGGTGGGGACAAAACTGAACCATATCATTCCTCCCCTGGCCACTCCTAAATCTCATTTCCTCATATTTCAAAAGCAATCATGCCTTCCCAGTAGTCCTCCAAAGTCTTAACTCATTTCAGCATTAACTCAAAAGTCCACATTCCAACATCTCATCTGAGACAAGGCAAGTCCCTTCTGGCTTTGAGTCTGTAATATCAAAAGCAAGTTAGTTACTTCCTAGATACAATGGGGGTACAGGAATTGGGTAAATATAGCCATTCCAAATGGGAGAATTTGGCCAACACAAAGAGGCTACAAGTGCCATTCAAGTCCAAAATCCAGCGGGGCAGTTAAATATTAAAGCTCCAAAATGATCTCCTTTGACTTCATGTCTCACATTCAGGTCATGTTGATGCAACAGGCGGGTTCCCATGGTCTTAGGCAGCTCTGCCCCCGTGGCTTTGCAGGGTACAGCCACTATCCCAGCTGCTTTCATGGGCTGGTGCTGAGTGTCCGCAGCTTTTCCAGGTGCATGGTGCAAGTTGTCAGTGGAATTACCATTCTGGGTTCTGGAAGATGGTGGTCTGCTTCTCACAGCTTTCCTAGGTGGTGCCTCAGTAGGAACTCTGTGTGGGGGCTCCAATCCCACATTTCCCTTTTGAACTGCCCTAGCAGAAGTTCTCCTTGAGGGCTCTGCCCCTGCTTCAAACTTCTGCCTAGACATCCAGGCATTTCCATACATCCTCTGAAATCTAGGCTGAGATTCTCAAACCTCAATTCTTGACTTCTCTGCACCCACAGTCTCAAACCACATGGAAGCTGCCAAGGCTTGGGGCTTGCACCCTAGGACAGGGTCAAAATGCCACCAGTCTCTTTGCTAAAACATAACAAAAGTCACTTTTGTTCCATTTCCCAATTTCCCTATCTCCCAGTGAGACCACATCAGCCTGGATTTCATTGTCCATATCATTATCAGCATTTTGGTCAAAGGCATTCAACAAGCTTTAGGGAATTCCAAACTTTCACACATTTTTCTGACTTCTTCTGAGCTTTCCAAACTGTTCCAACCTCTGCCTGTTACCCAGTTCCAAAGTTGTTTCCAAATTTTTGGGTATAGAAGAACCCCACTCCTGGTATCAATTCACTGTATTAGTTTCCTTTCACTCTGCTGTTAAGACATGCCAAAGACTGGGCAATTTACAAAAGATGTGGACTTACAGTTCCACATGGCTGGGAAGTCCTCACAATAATGGCAGAAGGTGAAAGGCAAAGAAGAGCAAGTCACATCTTATGTAAATGACAGCAGATGAACAGAGAGCTTATGCACAAAAACTGCCATTTTTAAAGCTATCAGATATCATGAGACTCATTCACTAACGTGAGAACAGCCCAGGAAAGACCCGCCCCTGTAATTCAATCACCTCCCACCTAGTTCCTCCCATGACACGTGGGAATTGTGGAGTTACAGTTCAAGATGAGGTTTGAATGGAGACACAGTCAATCTATATCAGTACTGTGAGGTGAGAGCTTCCAAAAATTAAAATGTGAATACCTACAATTGTGACAAGTTGAAACTATAGAATTCTATAGTGTAGGTGTAGGACAACATGCAGTAAAACAATTAGTGACTATTACATTATGCATGTGAGTATAAACCCAATTAAGTGTTAAAAATATGTAATAGATTTAGGAATGAAGCAGACTTTTAATATTATTACTGAAGAAGATAATATATTTGGGGCTATAATCTGATTATTCTCTGATTGATCTCTAAAAATAAATATGATTAGCAAGGTTTCCTTCAAGCCAATCTAAAGACAGAAGCCAGATGGAATTGGGTATCTGATTTGGCTAAGGGAAGAAATCCTCATGACCAATTCTCATATTATCCTATGCATACATACCCCAGTTTCTAGAGCACTACTTTTTCAAGCAGGATAAATCAAGTTTATAATTATAGAGGAAGGTTATTCTAAAACGTGTATGAATAATTGAGACTATAATGTACTAATTATGTAGCTCCTGATTTCTGTCTTCTGTTGACTCTCACCAGAAGTTCTAAAATACCCAACCAATTGCCTTTTGTGAAATACATATTTATTGTTTGGTTTATTTATGTAAAAATTCCCATTGTCCAAGTCCTGTTGGAGGAAAGAGTGCAAGTAAACCTAAAAAAAGTTGTTTTGTCTTTTACTAGATTGAATTTTGAAGAAGTTTACCTTGCATTTCAAAGAAATCCAATCCAGAAATTTGGACAGTTTAAAATATGAAAAGGATTTTTCTAGAAAACTGGGGATGAAAGTTCTTCTTAAGAAACATATTTGCATCTCTATTATTTATGATAATATCTGTCACTTTGCCTTGATAAAAAATTGATCTTAATTAATTAAATTATACTTCCTGTTCTATAAGTTCTTCAGTATATGACTGGTATTCAGAAAATTTTTACAAAAATAATTAAATTGTGTAAATCCACTTTTTTCTTTAGGGAACTATCCAACCACCATTGCACATGTTTCTGGCAGGGCTTAACACGAAGGATTGGATTGTCATATAACACTAGAAAAAAACAGAGATTTTACTCAGTATCAACTGCTATTAAAGTGTCAGAATAGAAGTAATCATGAGATGCAATAAAAGGATGGAAAAATCTAGAACCTCAAACACCATTCTTCAAATCTGTTCTTACCACATCAGGATTTACTCCAGGCCCAGATTAACATAGGAGGTTTTGAAACATGGTATGAATTCAAATAACGTACAGAAGAGTAGTTGATTTGTTCATGGAACTTCACTATTTTCATTTAGATATGTTCATAAGCTATGTGTCCTATCTCTTCCAAGGGCAGCCCCCAATAAAAGGAGAGAATGGATGGCAGGACTACTACTTAATCATTTAGTACATAGCTTTCAATTACAGTGTCTTTCCCTGTCCAATTCTTAGAGTAGGCCTGGATAATCGCTGCCCTCTATCCCACTACCCCAGCAACACTGCTTGGCACAATGAAGGGTATATAACCCAAACAATGGCATCCCTTGGATTGATATATAATCCTGGGAGATTTTATGTCACTTTGTCTGGTTTTCTTTTGGTTTGCCTACTGGGATTGCTAAGCCTGTATTATGGAAAGAATATACATCTGTCATAAGAAAGAATAATGCTAACATGAAGAAAAATACAAACTGGAAAGAGAAATAGAAAAATAGAATAAGAAGAAACAAGATAAGAATATTGTCTCCTGAGTTAGATTCCTAAAGTTGTGTTTTCTTTGCATCTCTAGATCCACCCACCAGTTGCACCTTTTATCTTTCAAATTACATAAACCATTTTTGGAAATGGATTGCTGTCACCTTCACACAGACATACTTAATGAATAACAATATATATACATATAAATCTTAATTTGAGTCATCCTGCTTTATTTTATAATGGATAAAAGTGCCCTTTTGACATTTTGACAAGTTAATCATTTTCTATACCCATAACTTAAGAAGCATTATGAAATGCTGGGATATGAAAACAATTTCATGATTGAGGAGAATTAAATACATGAAACTTCCTATATTTTATTTTTTCAAATTAATAGTTTTACTGATAGAATGTTTAGAACATACTTTTGTCAACAAAAAAGATGAGTATAAAAGCAAAAACAACCCATTCATCCAAATAGCTGAAGACAGCAATGATTAAATTTGTCATATTTTATTAATATGTATAAAATAAACATATATACACATGCATATGCACATAAAATAGAACTCAGATTATACATGCAATTTTTTCGTTTTATTTCCAATGCTGTAGGAATTTTTTTACATCATTAAAATTCTTCGTAAATATAGTTTTGGATGGCAGCTTATCAGCTTATTATTTTTTTATTTAGTGTAGGATGAAACTCATTGAAGGATCTCTTCTCTCCCCACTCAACAAAATACAAACAATTAGTAATATTTTAAATATCACTCTTTTGATTGCAATCAGCACTATTGAATAAAGCATTATTAATTTGATAGATGTCAGCTCCTTCTGTGAGTAGTTAGCAAGTCATTTGAACCATGTGGGCACATTGTAAGTAATGAAGATTAGGGAAGCCAACAATTAAGAGTAAAAAAACAACTCTCAAACTTTTGCTGAATGCCTATTCTGCACTGAACAAATGGTCTCCCCACCTACAGTCCTGCCCCCCCAGATTACTCCTCTTCAAGTGACATTTATTTATCAAGTGACATTTCAAAAATACAAATCTGAGCCAGTTACTCTATCATCCAAGGTTCCAGCCAAATCAAGTGTGCTATTTCACAGAGAAGAGGAGCAGGTGTGATCTGAGCCTGCCTTCCATGGTCCTTTGCCTCCTCTCTCATATGCCAATCAAACCCAGGTCAGCTCCTTTCTTCAGTTTACTGGCTTATCCTTGCCTAAATGAATTCACAACTTCTGGCTGAATTCAGCTCATGATTATATTGATGGGACTCTTGTCTACCCCTGTAACGCATTCACCGTTGTCAGTTTGGCCATCTGGAAGAATTTTCTACCTCTTTCAAGACCCAAAACAAATGCTGCCCCCTCTATAAGTTATCCTTCACTCTCTTCTCCACCTCTCACCTACATTCCAGTCACAGATAAGTATCCTGTCCACTCCCCTCCCAGAAGTCCCCGTGCATCCTGCTGGTGGCAGGCATTTGTGGTCCATGTGCGACATGTGTTGACCTGCATGACACTCCCTTACTAACCTGAGCACCTTCAGTCCAGGGGCCATGCTGTATACTTTCTTAAAGTCTCTGTGCAAAGGGAGTGCAGGGAGCCTTCCCCAGATTTATTTTTTTCTTAGTATTTAGCACTGTTCAGCATACTCTAGATTTACCAAGCTGGCTTTTCTTTCTTTAAAATTGACAGTCATCCCTTCTAGGATGTAAACTCCTTGAGGATAAGATTTTGTTTCCAACGTGTTCATGGTAGTATTCTTCACGGATAAATTGCCATCCAAAACCATATTTACAAAGAATTTTAATGATGTAAGGAAATTCCCAGAAGGATTCCTAGCCCAGCACACATTAGGCATTCACTAAATATCTGCTGAATGAAAACCTGTTTGGTTAGAAATTCAGAGGGCACAGAAGGTAAAGGTACAATTTTATGTAAACAATTTTTTTGGTAATTTGAGCTGAATTCTGAAAAGCCATTCTTAGCTGAGTATATTATAACTAGTAACTGAAACACCACAGACTCCTCTGTGATGAGCAGTTTGCTGACCTATGGTTAGTCTTAGCTTGGGACAAACTATCTTAAGTACTGTAAGCTCAGGAGACTCTGTTGATATCAATGTTCAGCAGCCATCTCGGACAAGACGCATGAAATCCTGGCTATTCCTTATATTTTACAGATGAGAAAACTCAGTTCAGAAACACCCCAGGTGCCAGACCAAGGTTACCAGGTAGCTGTCAGACCATTCAGCCTATTACTGCCTCACATAGCTCTCAGAGATCCCTGCTCCAAAGGATTCTATACCTGGAGCATGTGCAATGCCTTTCGAGATATCAGCACTGAAGCATAGAAGCCATTTGTCAGCTTGTTTCAATTTATGTGCCTATAGTGCAGCCCGAAATCCCTAAATAGGAATAAATCACCTGCTGAGTTATGTGAAGAGTCCTGTGTAACTTCTCCCAACGACAGCACTTGTAAACCATAGATCGTAGCTCACTGCACTCTCCCCCAGGGCTTCACATTTTGCACATGAATGTATAAAATATTTGAGAAGTTATAGTTTTAGAAACTGTCATGGCAAAGCTCTAATCCTTATATCCTCAAACTGTGGCCTGAACATTTTCTAATGAAATGGTTGTAATCAATGAAAGAAAGAAAGAGGATGAGGATGAGACAATGAGTGAAAGGAAGAAAAGAAAGAAGGAAGGGAGGGGGCATGACTGCAAATCTCCCTTTTCAACTACACAGTTGTAAAAATGTCAACCCGAACAGCAAGCTTCAGGATTCTCCATGGAAAAATCAGTGAACTCTCTGTCAGCAATCACATCCAAAGCTGGCAAGGTTGCTATGACTGCCAGAGCAGTGCTTTTATGTGGCTGGGATTTTGCAGAGAGCTATTATTCAGTTAGACCTAATAGCAACAACCTTCACCTACACCTTTGAGCTCACTTGGACTTTAAATTTAACTTAATCTCAGGTTATATCAAGGAGGCTATGGAGTTAATGGATAAAACCTATTTGCTGAAATTATAACTTTTATTACCAAAAATAAGAGGTCACCTAGGGTTTAGCACAGTATGTAGTAAGAAATGCAATGCCATGTCTCTCAACACACGTATTTTGATAAAAGGTGGATTCCAGTTGTAAATCTGTGAAATGACAAATCCACGAAGGACCCTTTCTTTCCCTATATGTTTTCAGTTTCTTGTCCGTTGTTGTCTTCTGTCCCTCTTTCTATGATTGCCCCCACACTCCCTTTCAAAAATTTCCTCTGCTTTTCCCTCTTTCTCAGTTCCTCTCTTTACTCTTTTCTTCTTTCTTGGCTTCTTATTTTCTTTCATTCTGTTTTTCTTCCTTTTTTTCTAAGTCATACTTACATTTTTCTTTCTACACACCAGCTATTGTATTGGTTTCAAGGGGGATAACCCTGTGAATATCACTGGGTCGCCTTCTCCCAAGGAAATGTACTGTCTAGAGAAGGTAGGCCTTTCTATAATTAAATGGAGGAAAACAGAAGGCAACAAATAACATCAGTCTCAAATCCTGTAATTACATAAAAGAATAAGAAATCCCTCAATTTTTCTCCTTTTCATTCCTACCTGTACAACATATAACCTTTTGTTCTTTTATTTCCTTACCTACAGGGAATTTGAATTGTTTCTTTAAATAAAAAAATGTACCATGCCAAAGGAACAGTTTTGCATAACAATCTTTATTATACATGGCCAAATAGCTTCTCATTGTTATGGATAGGCTACAAATCACCCTGTAAAAACTGAACTCTATGCCCACGTAAGTGGTATGTAATATTGGAAAGCTGTAGGAGCTGAGAATCTCAAAATTATATATAAACATAATTTGCATCACATTCTTGGGTTACTCCATTTTCTTTTTAAAATCTATCATAGCATTTTTATATTTTATACCGTATAATTAGGCTTACAAGTTATTGGAATTCATACAAAGTTATACTTTAGTACCACAATAGGTATAAGTAGCTTAATATAAATAATTAGCTTGACCGCTATCCTTTTGCCCAAGTGAAGAGCTATCCTACTCCTTTCTTTCAGGAGGAAAATCTTTTTCCCTGCTCCTTTACTGTATCCATCATAGAAGAGAAAACTCCAGATTAAAGAACAAAACAAACATCCTTTTGCCCACAACCTTTCCTGCAGCAGAAACAGCTGAGCCGCTGGTTTAGGAAACTCTGAATTCTGAAATTAAAATTGCATGAGAGGAAAATGGAAGCACATAAACAGCATCAAAGAAAAAATTTTGTCAAGTGATGGTCTCAAACACATGTGAAGACGTTTTTGTGACAAGATGGCAACAGAGGAAGGGAAAGTAGGCTGGTAGGATATAACACGTTGTCTTTCCATTCATTGGCTGGAAATAAGGTTAGATTCTATAGATCCTATTCAATTTAGAGATGATGAGAGGAGTAATCCGTTTTGACTATAAAGAGTTATAGGTGAGGCAGAGTACAGTCCTTCATAGCTGTAATCCTAGCACTTTGGGAGGCCAAGGTGGAACAATTGCTTGAGGCCGGGAGTTCAAGGCCAGCCTGGGCAAAATAGAGAGACCCTGTCTCTACAAAAGTTAAAAAACCAATAGCCAGGAATGGTGGCTCATACCTGTAGTCCTAGCTACTCAGGAGGCTGAGGTGGGAGGGAAGCTTCAACCCAGAAGTTCGAGGCCACAGTGAGCTATGATCATACTACTGCTGTCCAGCCTAGGAGACAGAGCAAGATCCCAATTCTAAAACTAAAATAAAAGTAAAATTAAGAAGAGGTATAAGGGAAGAAAGATTTATTTTCCTTGCAATTTCTAGGTTTGTGCCTGAGGCTCCTATAACAGAAGACAGATTAACAAGAGAAAAGTAGATACATTTATTTCATACAAGTTTTACATGATGTGAGAAACTTCGTAAGGAAAGAAACACCAAAGAAATAGGTAAACTTGTTTTTATGCTTAAATTTGATTAAAAGTGAGCAGTCATGGAACAAAATGGTATGATCTAATGATAATAAACTGGGACAACTTAGTAAGATCTGTTTGTTGGAATTTCTCACGGCATCTCTGTGTCTTTGGCTCCTTTCCTCCAGATAAAGGGAGCGCATTTCTCAAATGAGGATCCTGTGACCTGCTCTGGGGGAGCAGAGTGAGGAAAGGTCAGAAAATTACCTTCCTAGGTTTTGTGACCTGCCTCACAGGAAAAAAGCACAGCAAAGCTAAGAGTAGCCTTCTTGCTTCTACTGTTTTCTCAAATGCCAAGGTGCCATATTTGGGATAATGTGTCCTGAAGCTCTTCAGAAGCAAACTATGAATGGTTTAAAAATGATCCATAATGGTTTTGCCTTTAGAGTCAACCATAGATAAAGCTGATGGGCTGCAGAGGTGGGGAAAAAAGCTTTCACACATCTTTTTTCCGATACATAGTACAAAGAACTGAAAGCTGTGAAAGTACTTGATATTATTTCAGAAATAGCCTCCACACCCAAACAAACCAAAAGGGTAAAGTTCCCACACTCAACATAAAAGGGCCCTTAGAGAGGAATTAGAGAGAATTGTGTTAGCAAATGGCTCACTGCCAATTACATATCTTCAAGAGGAGTCTTGACCGTTCTCTCACACTACTCTCTCTCCCATTCCCACGCTGCCTTTACTTTTTATGATATCAATACACTCTAATTTTATTTCCAGTCCTTTCTGAAATCCAGAGCCCTATATAGCTAAGTGACAACTTGACATCTCTACTTGGTTTGTTCTTATAGGTCTCAAACCCAGTGCCTCCCAAACTGAACTCACGTCTTGGCCAGTTCCACCCACAGTGAGAGTAAAAGTTGCTTTGATAAAAAGATTGAGAATCATCCTGGAAATCTTTTTGTCCTTTGC
This sequence comes from Homo sapiens, assembly GCF_000001405.40. NCBI lineage: Eukaryota > Metazoa > Chordata > Mammalia > Primates > Hominidae > Homo > Homo sapiens. The sequence goes on along the minus strand of NC_000002.12, from coordinate 77,325,275 downwards.
CAAGTGCTCAACTATCTTTTTTTTGTTTGTTTGTTCCCTAGAACCAGAGGCTGATACAGGGATTTGGATATAGAAAATATTCTCTTTGAAGGGGGGCAGTCCTTTGGCGATTTCATTATTGTCTGGGAGTATAGGTATGAAGAATGTAGAGTGGTATATCACTTCTAAGAAATTTCTTGTGTTTCTCTGCAGAAAGGAGAAATTGTGAGCCAAGCAAACAACTAAATAGTAGCTGCTTCAGTGGAAGGGATGTGCATGGAATACTATAACATCTAGTCCATCAACTAACTATATTTAGTTCATTACCAAATTTCATTAATTCAAATTCTTAAATAATTGTTGATTCAGCTACCTTCCTTTATCAGTCTACCATGACCTTGGTTCGAATCACCTACAGGTATTTTTACTCTTCAAGACTAATAAACTCTTCTCTCAATTGTTCTTTGCAAATCTGCCTGTATGCCTGTCCAATCAATTCTTCACAAAATAGTCAGTGACTTCTTAAACAAAATGAAACCATACCATGGCCTTACTTAAGAATCTTGGGACGTATCCCAAAATCTATAAGATGGCCAACAAAATGTAGTATAATCTTGTTTTCGTCAACCTCTCCAGCCACTTCACTAACCATATAAATTCCATACCTCACTCTATTATAACTACAAGAAGATGTTAAGAGTTTCCTAAGAGCACAAAGTTATTTCCTGTCTCAGGGCTGATGTGAATGCTGTTGTCCTTCTCCTAAACCCTTTTCTGGATTAAAAAAAATCTAGAAAAGCGTTTAGGGGAAAGATAAAAATCACATCTTCAGGGGATCCTTATTTCCTGGACTAGATTTGAGCCTCCATTTATATGCTCTCACACTATTCCTTACTTTGGTAGCACTTCTGTCAGAAATATATTTGTGTGCATATGAGCTTACCTATTTAATAATCTGTCTCTTCCTCCAGCCCACAGGACTGTTAAGTCCCAAGAAGGTAAAAACCTTATCTGCTTTATGTTTGCTACTCTGTTTCCCATCTCCAATACACCTCAACACAAGCTAAGCTCTTAATAAATATTTGTCGAGAAAAAATATCAATAAAGTCAAATACATGTGGGATAGGGAGAGAACACCAGAAATATTGCAACCATTTAAGCCTGAGCTCTATAAAAATGAAAACCCCATGTTACTATGTTTATTTAGGTCTGTTTGGAGGTAGTGGTGATGTGCCTGAAGAATCTGTATTCTGTTGGTTAGAAAACCTAATCTGAAAATGAATAAATGCAAGCCTAGTAATTATGACGATCTAATATTTATTGTCTAATAATTATTATATAGGTAATTTTCTATTATACAGGTAATTTTTATACATGTTAGCTCCCTTAATTCTTATATCAGCTAGGGACTATTATTGTCCCCAATTTATGGTTAAGGAAATTAAGAACTACTGAAGTTAAGTAACTCGCCCAAGACCACACAGCTAGATAGTGTGACATCAAAGTTTAAGCCCATTGTCTCATCCATGGTGGAAGGTTCAAATGTATGAAATTTATCATTAGAAAGATGCAGTTCGAATTGCAACTCTGATGTCTTTTAAATGTGTGATCTTAAGTAAGCCATTTAACCTCTCCAAATCTGTTTCCTTAGCTATGAAATGGAGGTAATCAAAGTATCTGCCTCCCAATGAACCATTTAGCACAATGCCTTTTGACCAGAAATTACTTAAATAATAACTGCTATCAATGCCATTGTGATTAGGTATTCATTTTCAAGCAGCAGGAAAGCTACATGAAACTGGCATAAGAAACAAACAGAAATGTTTGGCTTACCCAACAGAAAAGTTCAAACGTAGGGTGGACTCCAAAAAAATGTTAGAGCCTCAACAGTATTTCTCAGCATTCAAGTTTTCTCCCAACTCTAACCTTTGACAGTAACAGCTTAATGCAAAGGCTAGATCCCATTACGTTCTCAAGATGGCAGCAAACAATAAAATGCTGGCCTCTTTCCAGTTCAGAGACTGTTCCTCCGCTGACCACCAAAAAATTCTGGGGAAAAATTTCTGGCATTTAATCTGTTTGGAATAACTTTAATCAGAAAGCAATCACAGTGGACAGGAGATTGTCATATGACAATTAGGTCTGGGTGACTGCCCACTGGAGCAAGAGGAATAGAAGCACAGAGCCAGGTGTATCATAATCATGGTTCCCCCCAGGAGCCAACATCTTTTGTCTATGACTTGTGAAGAAAAAGTGACGCCTCCATGAAACATCTAGATCCTATTGAGAGACAATAAATGTTGGATGGATAACAGATCAATTTGACCAAAAATTATTACTATTGTAGTGTTTTTATTACTAATATAAATATCCATGTAACAGTTATCAGATGCTGACATTTCTATTTTGAAAAACTGGTTACATACAATAAGCTGGGGTGGAAGAAAGAGAGAGAGAGAGAGAGAGAGAGTTTATGTAGTTCCAACATCCCAACCCTCAATCCTGGACTTTCTCTGTTATACGCATAACAAAATCAAATAGATTTTTAAAGTTGTGTGTGAACTGTAGATATATCACTTTTTAAAACAAACTTTGGCATCTGTTTGATGAGGATCGCTTACTGATATTGGATCTGTGAAGCTTATTTTTACCCTAGAACTAAGTAAGTGTTCCTGGCAGAAGCAGTTTTCCCCCGAAGCCATTCCAAACTCTTGTTTTTATCATTGACTACAAAATTTGTATGAATGCATTTTTCTCCTTATTGGATATAGAAATGTTCTAACACTTAGGAAAGTATCTGTTGAATGAATTGTTAAACTTTCCCTATCATGTAGTGAAAGCAGAATAATTTTTAGTTTAACTGTGATATGAGATCACATCTTGAAACACTAAGAGTTTATCCTCAAAGTGGTTAGAGGAGTCAGATGCAGAGTAAACAGTCTTCATGTCAACTATGTTACTTAAAGAGATATATTTGGATCACATAGAAGGAGTGGTGAAATAACACAGTGATATTTAGAGGAAGTTACCCATATATAAAGAAAGTCATATTCTTCCTCATCTACCCATCTCCCAAACCATCAGAAAAATCTATTCGTATAATTGCAAACCTTCTTCACAATGCTGAGAAACAGTGCTTTGGAAACAAAGAACTTGAACTCAAATGACAACTCCACTATTTCTACCTGTGTGACTTGATTTTACTAGATTACCTTTGAAACTCAATTTCTGCATTTGTAATGGGGAAAATTAATTTTCAAAGAAGAAAAAAGTAAAAACCTTTTACCCTCCTACAGCTCAGAATTTCATATCTTAAATTTCAATTTGAAATAATCTTCTTCAATCCTCTCAAGAGAATGTAGAAAATGAGTTCTATTGAATTCACAACAAAGCTATGTAGCAACAGAGGATTTCTTTGTTCTGTGTTTATAATTCATTAGGTCAAATGCTCATATTAACAGTCTTTTAAAGCTCCCAGAATTAATACCTTGCCATATTTTTGAAATCTCAAAAAAATTCTAAATTTATTCATTGCACGATAATCTTTCCTTAAAAATAAAAATCATCACTCCTTTCCTGCTAATGTTAAATTCACACATCAAATTTGGCATGGTTAAAAATATCTATCTAATATAAAATATGAGGATATTTCCCCCCGGTTTTGTCTTATCTCACATTAAGTCATGGCAATTCATTTCTTTTTTCTTTTCTTTTCTTTTCTTTTCTTTCACACACCCCCCCCCCTCCCCGATTTAGCCAACACTTATTTGGAACCTACTGCATGCGAGAATCAGGTAACAACCTGGGAAAGTTAAAACACTTCAGTTTGGATTTTCTAATGTCCCCTGTATGGGAGACCTTTCTAATTCCTGAACTCACAATTGCCTTCTGGTTATGTAAAACTGATTTAGATCAGAAAATACTCTTATTTATATACCAAGGTTTCTAATAAAAGGGAAGCTGAAAAATTGATTTTATTGCATGCACACACATAGACTAAAGCATTCTACCAATAAAATCCACCTTCTGTTTCTCTAGGCTTATAATTTCAATATGCAGAGGGGAATCTCTGTCAGCATGCAAGAGAGAAACATTTTTCTATTGTTTTATCAAAAGATCTGAGGACAGAAAGATTGAAATGCATCCATTTCTAGTAACCACCAGATGGTGCTTTTAGTAATAAAGTTATGAGTTTACTTGAATATTCTTTTTGTCCTTTTTTTAAAAAAATAAAACTAACCAGAAATAAGGATAATATTTTGCCATGACATAATGCAAAGTCTATATTTTTTATTCTTATTAACATGTGTACTTGCAAATCTCAGTACAATTTTTTCAATATCCCTATCAGGTATGTCAAATAATGACAGAGATGAAATATCAAAAAAGCTGAAGTTAATATAAATATTAAAGCTTAATAATTTATTTAAATGTTCTATGTTTATATAGTTGGAGTAATATAACTCCCATTACATATAGATTCACATCTATTGTTTTAATTCATGCCAGTTTGGTAATACATTTTTTTCTCTGTGTATTTAATATTTTTAAATAATAAACATTAAAAATTTTAAATAACTCATATAGGTATAATAACCATGAATATAAGATTTCTGATCTTTCATAACAATAACTTTATTAACATTTGTTCTTACCATATTTTATTTGGTCTCTTTCTTTGGTTCTGGCCTCCATTTCTCTTATATCCACTTAATTGCCTTATGATGTTCTTCTTCTGGTCAGCCACATTGAGTCCTTTTGAGACAGACTTTCTTAATTTAAAATAAGTAGGCAAATAACACTAGGCAGTATTTTTATAATAATTGTAATTTCAAATATCTCATGCGAGCACAACAGAGAAGAAAAAGCCATATTGTAATATCCATGAAGAGTTTCATTCTCCTTCCATTACCATTGTCTATTAGGTGGGACCTCCCTTGTGGGAAATTAAGGGTGTGGGTGAGATTATCTGACAACTCATAACTCGTATGTACCAGTTGTAATATGAGACTACTTTTATTATTATTTCTTTTTCCTTTCAGTCTCTAGTCTCTTGTTAAAGTACCCTCATGTCTGTGTGTGGTAGTCATTTTATCTTTCATTTTTGACTTGAGTATGAATGGATTTGGCAGAGCTGACATTAGTAAGGAAAAGGGAGGGCAGAGGCCTCAGAGTACGTAGTATCTAAGAAGGCTCAACAAAGACCAAAGTAGGGACAATGGAGAGTGACTCGGGAAGCCTGAAATTAATAGGCCGGTTTCCCCTAAAAAAAACAACAGTTAGAGGTGCATGTTACATTTTCTTTTTCACTGTTTATTGAAAGTTAATAAAAAAGTAGTTTAACTTCTAAGTGAACAACGCTAGAAGGGATGTTCTATGATGGTTCTCAGAAAAATTATCCAAATATACAAGCCTAGACTTTGAATCCCAGATGTAAAGCATATATGAATCTTCACCTTTGGGGAAAAATAACACATCTTTAATAGACAACAAATCTTGATTTCAGTGGATGTCAAATCCATGTAGTATGGTTATTTCAAAATGTAGGTGTCCTTAGTTTTAAAGCCAATTGTTAATTGTTCAGAAAGTGCTACATTTGTACGACATACACTCCTATTTGAGAAATTGTGTAAGCCTGTACGCCAGAAAATCTGAGATATTTACTCCCATAAAATCCCATATTGCCTTATTTTACAAGATGTAGGAGAAGGGGACATAAGGATAAGCTGAAGGCATTCAAAAACTCCCTGGTTCCTGAACCACTTACTCCCCTAGGCTCCGCAGTGAGAACCAAATCAGCTTGAAGGGGTGGAGCAAGAGATGGTTGAGTGAAATCAAGTAGCAGGTAGGTGTTAGCTAAATTATTTAATTTTTACTGAAACTTGAGGCTGGCTTTTTTTTTTTTCTTTGATGTGGAGTTTCGCTCTTGTAGCCTAGGCTGGAATGCAGTGGCGCGATCTCGGCTCACTGCAACCTCCGCCTCCAGGGTTCAAGCGATTCTCCTGTCTCAACCTCCCTAGTAGCTGGGATTACAGGAGCCCGCCACCACACCCAGCTGATTTTTTGTATTTTTAGTAGAGACAAGGTTTCACTATTTTGACCAGGCTGGTCTTGGAACTCCCAACCTCAAGTGATCCGCCTGCCTCAACCTCCCAAAGTGCCAGGTTTACAGGCATGAGCCACCACGCCCATCCCAGGGCTGGCTATCAATATAGATGTGTACCAAGCTATACCCATGATAATTAACTGTAGCCCTTGAGTAATCCTGTTAAAAATATTTTCTCTATCTATAAATGGAGAAAATAGCTGTGTCCAGTTATCCTTGACTATCTCAGTTGAAAAAAATAAATTGCACCCTAAGTATACAGAGGGTGCAATTATCTTGAAACATTGTTTCAAGATAAAAAAAAAAGAGCAAGTAGGTATTTAAAAAATCTACAACACTCAGAATTTTACAGAAGTCAATCAGATTTACCTTAGTTTTCTAGTGTTAATTCTTATAAATGTTTATATTGGTTTAGCTTCAAATGAGAGTCCGTTGATGGAAAGATGAGTGTTATTCTCCTTTAAGAAACTACCCATTCTAAAATTATAATGATCACTTTTGTATGCAAATAAAACAGTATTCATGCCACATAAATGAACTGATATTGCCTCTTCCTTTACCCAAATTAGATAAACTATCCTATTTCAAGCCACAATGGTATTAAGTAAGGAGGTTATTTGATTTGGGCTTTGTGCCTTGAAAAGGGTAGTTATATTTTCCAGGTGTCATTTTAATTTTCAGCCAGAAGATAACGTGACCTGCAGCAGTTCTATGAAAGTTTTGGGTCTGAGTTTGCTTTTTCAAGGTGTTGTGAAGTCCATAAATGTTGACTTTGAGCTTCCTGTGTGTTTCAACATGAGTCAGATCTAACAATTTAAAAAATATGTAATTTATGCCAACTGATTTACCATGCAAATGTGTTTTAAATAAAAATAAGAGTGTTGGGGCCGGGCGCGGTGGCTCACGCCTGTAATCCCAACACTTTGGGAGGCCAAGGCTGGTGGATCACGAGTTCAGGAGATCAAGACCATCCTTGCTAACATGGTGAAACCCCGTCTCTACTAAAAATACAAAAAATTAGCGGGGCGTGGTGGCGGGCGCCTGTAGTCCCAGCTACTCGGGAGGCTGAGGCAGGAGAATGGCGTGAACCTGGGAGGCGGAGCTTGTAGTGAGCCAAGATCGCGCCACTGCACTCCAGCCTGGGCGACAGAGCGAGACTCCGTCTAAAAAAAAAAAAAAAAAAAAAAAAAGTGTTAGGAATTTAAAGGAAAATGTTGGTTTAGAGATAAAAACAATAATACATTAGTTTTATATCTTTTGAGAAAATAAAATCCTTCATGTGAGCCTTTGTTAACATTCTCACTGAGCTATAGTAAATCCATGTTTTTTGATAGTTCTTAGATGTGAAGTGCTTTTTCTTTTGGTAATCAATAGGCAATATTCAGTCAGTGGTAGGTTTTATCTATATAGGGAACAGAAATAAGCCAATAAGCCAAATGTATTTATTACAAGATTCAAGCAGACTAACTTCCAGCCCCTTACCATTCCCCTCACCCCACCACAGTGCACTGGCCATATTGACTGTAGTCTGCCTGTTCTGTGTGAACAACATCAAATACTGTCATCTAATTTTAGGTATAACACTGACATCTTCATGAAGAAAAGGCACATGGGGGAAAAATTTCTATTTAGTGTTTACGATAATCTTTCAAATAAAAAACAGGGGAAAATATTATATTTATTCAGAGATAACACAATTTATGACAAACGTATAAAGGTTAATGAAAGTTCATAGGAATAAAGTCAGAAAAGCTAAAAGAAAGCAAGAAGAGCCTAAAGAGAAGACAGAAAACAACACAGAAATATTTATTTTAATTCCTGATAGAGATAAAATGGCCTAAAAGAAAACCTTGCTTTTTAACTGGAGAATGAATAACAAAACTGATTACTTTGATTATATTCACATTATTTGTCCATTATTTATAAAATTGCAAAAAACTGCAAATATGATAATTACACTTAATATTTGTCATATGTTATTTTAGAACCCTAACTTCTTTGATATAGAATATTTGGATGGCAATATATAAGCTATTTAACTTTTTTTCACTTTACATTTTATCATGAAGATTGTCTCAACTGTAAAAGGCTCTTAAATGTGATTCTAAATGTTTATATAGTATATTCCCTTGTATAATTTTACAATCATTTATTTGTTTTCTATGATTTGATTTCTTAGGTCAGTTCCAAGTTTCATTATTAGAAATATAGTTAGGAAAAACTTATGTGTTTATTAAAATTCACTGATGTTCAACTATTTCTTATCTAAAAGTAGAATTGCAAGGCAGGCACAATTTAAAGATTTCTGATACTTAATTGGCAAATTGCCTTTCAAAAAGAGAATAGGTAAGGTGCAGTGGCTCACGCATATAATCTCATCGTTTTGAGAGGCCAAGGCAGGTGGATCGTTTGAGGTCAGGAGTTTGAGACTAGCCTGGGCAACATGACAAAACCCCATCTCTACAAAATATCCAAAAAATGTAGGTGTGGTGGCATGTGCTAGTGATCCCAGCTACCCAGGAGACTGAGGCAGGAGGACCGCTTGAATCTAGGAGGCAGGGGTTGCAATGAGCTGGGGATACGCACTGCACTCCAGCCTGGGTGACAGAGTGAAACTTATGTCTCAAAAAAAAAAAAAGATAGCAATTTATATTCCCATTATATTTTCAGCCCTGGTATATAGGAGTATATGTTTTGCCAAACACTGGCCAGCTCTGTAGAGACATTTAAAAAAATCTATGTCACATGGATTGTTTAAAACTAATATTGTACTGTTGTTTCAATTTACTTAAAAAACTTTACAGTTGACATAGAACATTTTTAATGTGTTTATTAGCAAAGTCTTTTCATAATTGCCTATTTAATCTCTCAGATTATCTTTTTAATTCTCAGGCTTGCTGAGAACTTACGCATCATTCTGTAAAGTGCTTTACATATATTATCTCCTTTCATCTGGATGACTGCTGTACTTGGGAGGTGTTGAAAGTTCCCATTTACAAATTGGAAATTAAAGTTTACCATGTCACTGGCCCCAAATTATAAAGCAAGCAGCAAGAATCTAGAACCATTTTGCCTCTGTTAAAGAGAACAATCACACTAGACAAGATGGACAGACAGAAGTTGATTTTATTGCCAACAATAGAAGACAGACCACCAAATTTAGATTCCCTGTTCCAGTGAGAAAAAAGTCTGGAGAGTTTTTAAGAACCAGGATAGGGGGCTGACAGGTTACCTATGTTTGCTAATTACTTTGCCCAAAGGAAAAGTAAATGCTCTTATATCTTCATGGCAGGAGGTAGTTTGACAAATTGGAGCAAGGCTCCAGCCAAAGTTGGCTTCTACCCTCTCATAGAAGCTAAGAGAAAGGGCAGTATCTTCTGTGATGATCACATTTTGAAGAGTTAGTTCCCAGATCCTTGAGAAAGACAGACAGCCCTGGGTTGTAAAACTGGCAAGAGGCTTTAAAAATATTTACTTCTCAAAAGGGCAGAGAGAGAATGTACAATTATATTGCTCTTACCACCCCCAACCAAAAAAAAATTGCTCAAAGGAAAGGAAGGTTAGGGTCTAGAGTCAGGAAGAAACCTGAGTAAAGTTTAGTCAAGCATTCATAAGAAATTTTGTTATTCAAATAAATTAATGCTCATAATTAGTCATAATTATTACAAATAATTTTTAAAAGCTGTATTTTACTTTACAATTTAGTAAATTTTACAGCACTAGCAATCTATATTTGTTATAGAAAAATGATAAAACCTTCAGTGACAAAAACTATCTATACTAGTTATGTATGTTATATGAGTTATATATAAATGTATGTATTATATGAATGAGCAATACCTTTTAAATATTATTCCTTGTGAACAAACACTTCTACAATGTCATCCTAAATTTCATTTTGACACTTTATCAGTGTTTTATGATTTTTAAGCAAGCTTTACTAGTTCACATAGATTGGTGTCAACCTAGTCATAAATGTGTAGATGTCACACACTATTCCAGAAAAAAACCTTTAACTTTGCATAATAACATATTATTATTATTCTTTAATACATGCAACAGTGTACAAATAGATGCTTCTCTCCTTACGATGGGGTTACTTCCTAATAAACCTGTTGTAATTTGAAAATATAATGTCAAGAATGCATTTAGTACACCTAACCTACTGAGCCTCATAGCTTAGCCTAGCCTACCTTAAACATGCTCAGAACAATTCCATCAGCCTACAGCTGGGCAAAATCATTTGACAGCATAGTACGCTGCAGAGATCGAGTGTTTACCCTCGTGATTGCCTGGCTAGCTGGAAGCTTTGGCTCGTTGCTGTGGTCCAGCATCACTAGAGAGTATTGTAGAGCATATTGCTAGCCCAGAAAAAGATCAAAATTAAAATTCTAAGTAAGGTTTCTACTAAATGTGTATCACTTTCACACTATCATAAAGTAGAAAAATCAAACCATTGTTTAGCTGGGGATCCTCTGTATATCCTGGGTAATTTGCATGTAATCCTCTAAAGATCCCTAAGGGTGAGGTACTATTTTCATCTCTATCTTTCAGATAGGAAAATTTAATCACAGAGATATTAAGTTATTCCCCTAGAGTCACACAGCTAGTGAAATAATCCTGCCGAATAACTTTTAATTAGTAATCCTGCCAAACATAAGACATACATTAAATGAAAATAGCTGATTGAAAAGCGGTAAATATGATAAGATCCTATTCTTAGAAAACTAGTTTAGATATATCTATAAAATGTATAAAAGGCTATAAATCAAGATCTGAACAGTGCTTCTCTCTGTTGATATGCATTTTGTTTTATTATTTTTGTTAATTATTATTTAAGCATGGAATGCACTTATATTTATTTTTGAAAATAGATGATTGATGCATCTTCATTCACTGAATACTAAAACATAGCAAAATTATATAAAACAAACCAAGAAAAATGTACCTACAGTATGAAGAGTTATATAATTATGGACACCATCTACTGCAACTTTTTCAGTATTTGAACATTTAAGAAAAACAAATAAGCTCTTAGAAGCTTTGAATATGATAAACAAGCTTGATCTAAAATATGCGTGAGTTTGCTCCTTACAATGATCTGAAATCTAGACATCCTCTAAAAATTACCTCTTTAGCCAAATAGGATATTGTAAGTTGCATTACAAACTATTTGGTGATAGCAAGGGATCTTTGGTTCAAAACTGGGCATAATGATTCCCATTGCAACGTGTCTTCATTTTATCATAGACTTTTGTAATAAAAAATTTAAAAAACAGATTTTTGTTTAAGGAAAATGTAATAATGCATTAAAATATTTGATTTTGAGTGGGGTGTGGTTTCCTAAGGAATTTGAATGACAATGGGTAGTCTTTGAAGAATCATTGATGTTTAGGAATAACTTTGTCTTCAGGGAGAAGAGTGTTGGTATTTTCAGAGTTAGGCTTCAGGAAGAACACTCTATCAATTGTACGTAGGAGGAGAAATTGGGGACAGGATTACCACACAGATGATCATAACAATTGATTAACAAGAGGGATAATATGTGCTATGACTTCAAAGCAGATGAAAACAAATATAGGGCAGAAGAAAACTAGGAAGGGTGCTCAGGGGTGCTGGGATGAAGGGAAAGGTAGGGAGGCACGTCATAGCACCAGGTCCCAGGAAAACGTAGGGAGGAACATCACAACACCAACTCCCAGGAAAACATAGGGAGGTACATCACAGCAACAGGATTACAGGAAAACGTAGGGAGGTACATCACAGCAGCAGGTCCCAGGAAAACGTAGGGAGGCACATCACAGCACCAGGTCCCAGGGAAGGGTAGGGAGGCACATCCCAGCACCAGGTCCCAGGAAAAGGTAGGGGGGCACATCCCAGCACCAGGTCCCAGGAAAAGTTAGGGGGGCACATCCCAGCAACAGGCCTCAGGAAAAAGTAGGGAGGCACATCCCAGCACCAGGTCCCAGGAAAACATCGGGAGGCACATCACCACAACAGGTCTCAGGAAAAAATAGGGAGGCACGTCACAGCAACAGGTCCCAGGAAAACATAGGGAGGCACATCCCAGCACGAGGTCCCAGCAGGCTGTTTTTGCATTTAAAGTTTTGATTTTAACTTTCTCAAAATCTATGTCTATGGGTTAATGTTTTCTAGTGATGGAAGGAAATAAAATATCCTAAAGAGATGGTACTCAATTTTTATATAACTTTATTTACTCTAACTCTTGGCATGCACCCTTATCTTTCTCAAGTGTTTTCCCTCTGTTCCCAGAACTCAGATCAAATAAGAGGCGTCTGTGCTAACCACTCACTTGACCTCATTTGTGTGACTTCAATATCTCAAAATTCTCCCTTAACATATTCTAGAATGGTTATACCAAATCTCTATCATAATTAGACTTATTTCAGTGGGTATTTGCTTTTTTTTTCTTTTACTCAGTGTAGGTCAGGCTTATTGAATGACTAGTTTCCATTTAGTTAGAAAAGATTTTAGGAAAGACAACAGTTAAGCCATGATTTGAAAATGGAAGAGTGTGTGTGAGTGTGTGTGTGTGCACGCGTGTGGTGTGCTTTAAGAACCAAATACGTAATTATGCAGAGTTGAACTAATTGAAGTATAGGTTTCACAAACCAAAGAGAAATAAATACAATGAATATTTATGTATTAATTAACAAAAATCCATTAAATGTATTTGTCTTTAAATTTTAGATTTTTAAGTTGAAGTTCAAAGTAAATCATTGAAGCCAAGCCTACTGATCTAAAATTATCTGGTCATGTCAGCAAAATAAAATTATATTTACATAATTATGGGTGGTACCTCGTTGATACAACTAAATAGGATTCAATAGCAGCATTTTTCAGTCATTGAAACAATCACAGTCCAAAAGAGGTTGAAAGGCAATGTGAATAAAAGAGTCAGTTGTGTATCATTAGAAAGATTTAAGTGACACCCAATTAATACTGTGGAATTACACACTTTTGTAGAAGAGAATATATTTTGAGAAATAGATGAGAAAAATTGATATTAATGACAGGGATTTGTGGGCAGTGAAAAGGATTGAAGTCAAATGACTTACAAAAGAAACACCACATGTTTCAACAGTTTATGGGTCCAAGGTGGGGGTGTGGAGAGTGGGTGGGGGCTATGGGAACTCATCAACACTCCAATATTGAGGGATGACAAAAGGGAAAATATACTGTGTCTGCTATTTATTTGTGGGGTAGTAAGGAGGAAACAAAACCAGCGTCCATTAAGCCCCACATGCTTTGCCTCATATCCATTTAGAAAGGCTAGGGTAAAAGTAAAACCAAATTTACTCCCAAGTCTCCTGACCACTCTAATTTTATTTTTTAACAAAGCCAGAATTCTCACTGGTTTTGTGTCTTTTGTGGTTTTTGTTTTCTCTTTCTTAAATTTGTGTCTGACCTGTGTCTTGGGTTTGCAGCCAAATTTGTCTTCCCATCATTATTGCTCACTTCTTCTAGTGGCTTTACTGCAGTAGCTCACTATGGGCTTTCAGATCAGCATCACACCTGCTGCTATTTATTTAACCAATTCATACAACCTTTCATATATGCCACCTACTATGCTAAACGCTTTACAAATTTTAACCCATTTGACTGTCAAAGTAACTTTATGAGGGAGACAGGCAGTAGTGCCATCAATCACCCACACTTTAATGATGTGCAAAGCAAGGACTTGAAGCTTGCCTAATTTCCCACGGCTGGTAAACATGATTCAATGTTGTGTTCCCACTCCTGAGACTATGCTCTTCACCCAGGTACTCCATTTTCTCCCACATCAACATTCATCCCTTAGATGCCTTAAATTAAATAATTCCTCCTGAGCCCCAGAAGAAAAATGTTTTAAAAATGCATTCAAATTCAACTGGTCTAAGTTGTTCTTTTATTTTTTCCAAGAAAACTCAGTACCCTCAAATGAGGTAGATTTCCTGTAACAACATTTGCAAACCTCTGCTTACCAGTGAAAAGCCAACTTTGCACTTCAAGACCTAAGTTCTTGAAGAAATTAAAAACACATGAATTATGTGAGATTTAAATCTTTCAAATACATTACCACATTCCTACTTTAAAAGTCTATTTTAGGTCAAATGATATATATATATATGTGTGTGTATATAAATATCTCTCACACACACACACCACACACATAATATTCTCTCTCTATATATATATGTGTGTAAATATATCTCAGACACACATCACATGCACATATAATATTCTCTCTATATATATGTGTGTGTATGTGTGTAAATATATCTCACACACACACACCACACTCACAATATTCTCTCTCTAAATATATATGTGTGTGTGTATATGACATCACAGAATATTGCTGTGATTATTATTACCAGTGCTGCAGTGCTCAGTATTATTTAAAAAATCATGGTAGTCTGTACAGGTATTGACACATTGCTTGTAGTTGTCTGATCTTTCCCGCAGCAGCTGCTGGGCTTTTAGATGGAGAGAAGCCTTTGCTGCCACATCAGACAATAGTTTTGTGACAGATGTTTCATGTTCGATTGAAGGAGCACAGATGAAAATAACAGTCTCTCCATGCTTGTGAGACCACAGTTGAAAATGAGCAGTTGTCCCCCTTCCAGACAACTGTTATCAAACCCACAGAACCTTGAAATAATTTGCAGCCTGCTCTGCACTAAAATGAGGCCCACATAGTCCGTGAGGCTGGCAAGCTCTAGTCTACAGACACACAGAAGAGTCCATTTTCCTTTTCTGAAAATTCAGCTGTTACAACCAATGATTGACAACTAATGATAAAAACTGCCTCAAAGATTTTGGTTCTTTGCTATTTTCAAATTTATATATATATATATGTATGTGTGTGTATATATGTGTGTGTATGTTGCTGTGTATAAATTTTAAAAACAGATAATTATGACAAAAAGGAGTCATTAATAATCCTAGTAGAGATAGCCATTGTCAACATTATGGTATTTGTCCTTCCCCGTACATACACATGCAAATGCCTTTTTAGTTATAAACATATGAGCTTAGCATATATAGTTTTATAACTTCATTTTTCACTTAGTACTAACTCATGAGAATATCTTAGTGTCAAGTATACATTTCTTACCCAGAGCCAAAAAAAGTTTTTTTTGTAAAGAGCAAGATAGCAAATATTTTAGGATTTGTTGCCTAGATAGTCTCTGTCACAACTGCTCAAGTTGGCCATTGTATGGTAAAAGCAGCCACAGACAATAGTTAAAAAAAATGGTGTGGCTGTATTCCAATAAAACTTTATTGACACAAACAGAAAATGTGCAAGAATTGGCCTGTGTGTCATGATTACCCAAGTTGGCCTACATTATTATTTTAATGGCTGCATAATCTTCCATACTATGGAGATGGGACGGTTTATTTTAGCTTTTTGCTGTGGTGAGATATTTCTCGTGCTTTTAGCCTTTTGTTATATCTATCTATCTATCTATCTATCTATCTATCTATCTATCTATCTATCTATCATCTGTCTATCTATCTAAACTTCTGGCCTGCTAAGGATTCTACTGCAGTCATGTTGCTCAGTGCAGTGGCTAGTATCCCAGGGGGCTAGCTTTCCTGCCCATTAAGAACTCTTCCAACCTGATTGGACTTACAGGCCTTTCCCTTCTCAGCCAAAGGGTCTTGGTGAGCCTTGGATTACCTCCATTAATTGTCTGAAATGTATACCACTTTATGAAAGAGATTGATTACAAGACATTCTTTAATTGGTGTGCTGTTTTATTATGGCCATATCTGCACCAATTTTAGAGATATTCTGCAAATTTTTCAGCATTTGAATGTGTTTTTACATAGCTTAGAAGGTCAACGAAGTTTATTTCTCATATTTTCACGTTTCCTGAGTCTTAAGTACAGGAGGGAGAGCCAAACATTTGTCACTCTACTCTTCCTGAAAGACCTGTCCATTTGGTTTTTTAGTCCATGTTTCTATGCTAATGTTATTTGAAAGTGCATTATTTGAACTGTGCTTCAGGGTCTGCATTTCTGAGTTGAAAATGATAGGAAAAGATTGTCATAAAGTTGCTCTATTTCTGCTTTTTTATTTCTAACTCACATTATTCTTTTTGTTGAATAGGTTAATAGGATTGTTTGGGCTCAGACAGCCTTCCTTTTATTTACATTTCTGTTTGTTTTGCAATTTGTATTATCTATGCCAGGAAATTCTGGGTTTGAAAATGAGATTCTTTTGTGATACTGAGTTTATGGTTAGTGTTTTTGTTTTTGTTGTTTCTTGAGTCATGGTTTGTGTATTCTACAGAGACGTGGAGTTTGCTTAACCGACCCCAACCCCCACCCCCATGCCCCAATAAAGCATAATTGGATAGAGGCTGCTACCAAAAGCAAAAACAAAAACAAACCAAATAAAACAGAACAAAAGAACAAAAAAGAAAACAAAACAATTTGGCCTAAGAGACAGTAGGTCTTTTAGCAAACTTTGTCAATGTACATGGATTGCTGTGGTGATAGATGTCAGGAAGTGGGAATGATAGAAGAAAAATGGGGAGATAAAATGGTATTTATTTCTTCACTTACATAGTGTGGATTAAGAGACATTATCTCAAGATAACGGAAGAATACATACAGGCTTATATATGTTATTTAAAATGATAAAGATAAAAAAATGCCTATCTACAAAACTCACATGAGGAAAGAAAATATGATCTAAATTCCTCAAATTAAAAGGGGCTAGTCAGTTGATAATATTCGAGCTAAAATTTAAAAAGTTGAGGTGTTAGTCGATTGTTTATAATTACAGCAGTAACTAATGTAATAATCATGACAAGATGGAATGGTGCTGAGTATTGAAACTTAAATTGTAAAACAAAGGTATTAGTATCTTTCAATTTTTGTGTTGTGTTAGTCTTTACCATTTGGGTATTTTAACATGAATTTGAATTTCATTTTATTAACGATAAATCCCTTTATTTCATACCAAATATTTTATTATTATTGTTCATTCTTTTCAATCCTTTACCTATGCAGAAGCAAATAAAATGGTAAAACTATATATAGATAAAATTATATATAAATAATATATAACATATACATATATATCTATATATCTATATATGTTATATAGATATATAGATATATAATGTTATATAGATATATAGATATATAATATATAATATGTAACATATATGTTGTATATATCTATATATTTATATTTCTATAATATATAGATATATCTATATATTTATATTTCTATAATATATAGATATATCTATATATTTATATTTCTATAATATATAGATATATCTATATATTTATATTTCTATAATATATAGATATATCTATATATTTATATTTCTATAATATATAGATATATCTATATATTTATATTTCTATAATATATAGGTATATCTATATATTTATATTTCTATAATATATAGGTATATCTATATATTTATATTTCTATAATATATAGGTATATCTATATATTTATATTTCTATAATATATAGATATATCTATATATTTATATTTCTATAATATATAGATATATCTATATATTTATATTTCTATAATATATAGATATATCTATATATTTATATTTCTATAATATATAGATATATCTATATATTTATATTTCTATAATATATAGATATATCTATATATTATATATCTATATGTAGTGTGTGTGTAATAGAAGTGACATGTATTATGTATGTATATAAACATTGAATTATTAAATTTCAGAAGCAAGCACAAATCCTAAACATTACATATCATATACAGGAAAAAATCTATTTGATGTTTCTTAATGAATGTGTGAATTCCTGAAATATGAAATATTGGATGGATAAATATAATGAGAAAAGCACAGCTGAAAGGCAAAAATGTGACTACTAAGTCACATTTCAGAGAAAATTTCAGATTGGTCTTTAATTTATTTATATTTTACTCTATCAAATTTTAGAACTCAAAGTAGACTACAAAAATATGGGGGCCGGGCGCGGTGGCTCACGCCTGTAATCCCAGCACTTTGGGAGGCCGAGGCGGGCGGATCACGAGGTCAGGAGATCGAGACCATCCTGGCTAACACAGTGAAACCCCGTCTCTACTAAACAATACAAAAAATTAGCCGGGCGTGGTGGTGGGCGCCTGTAGTCCCAGCTACGCGGGAGGCTGAGGCAGGAGAATGGTGTGAACCCGGGAGGCGGAGCTTGCAGTGAGCCGAGATCGCGCCACTGCACTCCAGCCTGGGCGACAGAGCGAGACTCCATCTCAAAAAAAAAAAAAAAAAAAATATGGAAAAGCAGTATATAGCTATTTTAGAAAAGTATATGAAATAATGAATAGCATTTAATTTTACTTTTAAATGATTGCAAACATTTCACCTCATTAATTATAATTTACTGGCATTTAACTTTTTTCCCTCTATTTCATTACTTTATAAACTGATTGAGAGGAGGAAAAACAGCATATTTGAAAGTCAGGGTCAATATATTGAACCCATCCTCAAATATAATTGTTTTTCACATCCCAACTTGGAAAGGTATCAGCATCACAGAAAATTGCAATGACTTTATCACTAATTGGTCTCAGGTTAACCGCTTTAGGAAGAAGAGGAGAGCGATATTAAGGATTTATAAGCAGCAAAAGCTGAATAATCATTTGAATGCTAGAGGCATCACATTTGCATAACATTTTGGGATATGTCTGCTCCCAAAGTCTCAGGTGTGACTTAGTAGAAACTATTAAGTTTAGGGTTTGGCAATAGAGAGCCAATCAGCAATATCCAAAAGCCATGCTAAGTTGCAGTAGAGCTATTGCAAGGAGGTTACATACCAACCTGATATAAGCCATTGTTCCTGCAACCTGTGAGGTTGTGTTGTTCAATGACATTTTAGATGCCAAAGTATGCAAAAGAACACAAAATTTTATTTCGGTTTCTTATATATCACAAAGGCAACACATATTAAAATTCCTTTAAAAATATACCTTTGATTTGGTAATTCCACTTAAGATAGTTTATCTTCTGTATATAATTAGAAAATTAAGGAATGGAAGACAATATTAAAAAATTGAACCTAATTATGTATACCCAAACATCTGGGATTGGATTCACAAATTATGGCACATTCATACAATGAATAACATGTAAACATTAAGAAGATGTAAACATGGACATGTGGTCATAATACATGGTTAAATTTAAGTGAAGTGTGGGTTGCAAAATGATGTAATCCAGTGTATACATAAAAATGTACATACTATTATCCTGGCTTATGTATGCCTTCAAAATATTGTATGCTGAATCAGTGATAATAATTTCATTAATATATTTTTAAAAGTTTAAGATGTTCCAGAATTATTGTTTTATTATTAAAATATAAAATAGATAATTATGATTGTATTATTTAAACATAATACTTTGCACATTTCTCAGAAAGTATAACATCCACCTTTTTTACTTTAAATTTGAGGTATCATATCAAAAAGTCATCTTGCCAACTTTTAGTAGTATAACAAAGCAACGATTTGAAGAGCTCTGCAGTAACACATGGATATGCAATGAAAATTTTAAAACATGCATTGAGTTTTAGGACTATGCCTGTTGAATATTAAACACCTGAAATTGCTAGTGCCTAAAGCACTTCATTCAGCAAAATGTATGTAAACTTTGGAACGATTTTAAAGGCACAAGTCTTAATAAATGAAGAGCAAGGTTGAGAAGAAAGTTAATCACAAAATTGTTTTTGTATAATCAACTTTTTAGCTACTACCTATATTGAAACTGAGATTAGTATTTTAACATTTTGAGAATTTAAATTAAATTCAAGCACATCTCTTAACATGTTCCTAAGAGTCTCAAAACAATTTGCAATTTAATTTTTATAAATTAAAAATTACAGCGTATAGGATTTGTGTTTATAACATAAATATATAAGAAATTGGAAAAATTAATTTCTGTATATCAACACAGAAAACTAGATAATTGATGTTTTGGTGTTGAATTAACTAGTTTTGGATTTAGAAAAAAATAATTAAATCATAATCTCAAATAATTAAGTTTTA
This sequence comes from Homo sapiens, assembly GCF_000001405.40. Lineage (NCBI taxonomy): Eukaryota > Metazoa > Chordata > Mammalia > Primates > Hominidae > Homo > Homo sapiens. The sequence goes on along the minus strand of NC_000002.12, from coordinate 77,305,125 downwards.
TGTGTAGTTTTTCAACCTCAGCTTATATAGTCCAACATTCTCAGAGATTAATGTGCATTAAAATGTTTCTTTTTCTCATACATATACATGACATGATCTTCTATGATGAATTAATCTACAATGAATGAATGAAAAGATTGGCTAATTTAGGCTCTGCATAATTCATGTTATATTATAAAGGGACCTTAAATGATATCGTTTTAACAACATTAAATATACCATAATATTTTAAGAAGTTTTGGACTCAGAAAGGCATTCACTTGAACCTTGGACTAACTGTGTGATCCCAAAAAAGGTAATCAATTACTTGAAGCCTAAATTTACTTATATGTAAAATGGACATAATAATACCAATTTCACCTGGTTTAAGAGTAAATGAGATAATGTAGGGAAAACACTGAGCATAATGACTGATCACATACTAATTGCTTAGTACATGCTAGTTATTATATTAACTCAATTATTAGCTATTGGGGCATTAGTACACATAACTGATAGCCATTGTCATAAATCAGAGACAAGAGCAATTCCCCTCTTGCTTTCTGTTTGACTTCTATTCATCCTATGTCTCAAGTATTTTTTTCAGGTTTGCCAGCTGACTATTTTTTTTCCATTTATTCTCAGTTGTTTCATGGATAAAAGAAGTTCCATTGAAGTGGTCTAGATGGAGGACCACTTGCCACTAAACCCAATACCTCTTCTTTCTGGATTCAGGAACTTGGCATTCACTTCTCTTTATAAGATAAAATATTTGCAAACTATACATGTGATAAAGGCTTAACATCCAAACAAAATCAGGAATTCAAACAATTCAATAGCAAGAAGTCAAATAACCTGATTTTAAAAATGGGCAAAAGACCTAAACAGATATTTTTCAAAAGACATACAAATGGCCAACATGTATATGAACAAGTGCTCAACATCACTAATGATGAGGGAAATGCAGAGCAAAATCCCAATAAGATATCACTTCATTTCTGTTAGAATGCCCATTATCCAAAAGACAAAAAGTAACATGTATTGATGGAGAAAAAGGAACCCTTGCACACTGTTGGTGGGAATGTAAATTAATAAAGCCATTATGAAAACCAGTATGGAGGTTTCTCAAAAAGTTAAAAATAAAATGATCATATAATCCAGCAATCCCACTACTGGGTTTACATCCAAAGGAAATGAAGTCAGTATATTGATGAGATTCCTGCAGTCCTGTGTTCACTGAAGCACTAGTCACAATAGCCAAGATATGAAATCAATCTAAGTGTCTGTCAACAGATAAATGGATAAAGATAACGTGATATATATAAACAATGGGATACTATTCAGCCATAAAAGGAAGGAAATCATGTCATTTGTGACAACATGAGTGAATCTGGAGAACATTATATTACATGAACTAAACAAGGCATAGAAAGATAAATACCTGAAGACCTCACTTACATGTGAAATCTAAAAAAGTTGATATCATAGAAGTAGATAATTGAATGGTGGTTACTCATTCAACAATTTTTTATTAAATGTATACCATGTGATCAGAGTTAAAAAGTGTTGAGGACAGAGTAGTATGCCCTTTGGGACACTAATTGTGTTTGATAAAGTCTGAGCCAGCAATCAAACCCTTTTAGAGACTCACCACTTAAAGTAATCATGCTTGTTCTAATTTATTAGTTTTCCTTCTTCCCTATCAAAAGAATTGTATGGAAGCCTTTATTTTGTTGGAAATATAAATTATAAATGTCTTCTCTGCTAAAATCCGCTGGCTTCAGTCAAGTCTACTTTTAAGTACATACTAATCAACCTGTGACAATCAATTTTATTCTGGAAAACAAGAAAGGACACCATTTTTTTTTGTTTGTTTGTTTGTTTTGAGATGGAGTTTCGCTCTTGTTGCCCAGGCTGGAGTGCAATGGCACGATCTTGGCTCACTGCAACCTCCGCCTCCGAGACACCGGGTTTTAAGCAGATGACTAAAAATTTCAGTTTTGTATTTGAGGAAGATTTTTCTGGGAATATTATAGAGGGAGTGAGGCAGATACATAGCATAGTGCTCATCCAGGAAAAGCAAAAATTGTCAGGGCCTGAGCAATGGTGGGGCCTAATATATATATTAGTAGATAGATCTTTTTATTTTAACATTAAACAGTTTTGTCATTTCTGTTTCCAGGAGCTTCCACCTACTTTGCTAAGTTGTATTCCTCTTTTACCCTCCCACCCATGCCATGCAAAATGGCTTTCTATATTAGGCTATATTAAGACAGACTGCTTTATCCTGACATTGTCTTCACACAAAGTAGCCCTTTCTCTTCCCTTCCCTAATATCTCACTGATAGAAGTTCCCACAACCTCATTCCACAGTCTCAGGAAGGGGCGTGTGCACGTGTGGATGTTTCACTCAAAAGCACTGTAGAAGACACATAAAGGTAGTTTGATACATCAAGTAGCTTCTTCTACTATAACCAGCACAAATACCTCTGCTGTTGAAATAATTCCCATGGGACATTATAAATCAGTAAGATTGACCAAGTATTTACTGAAATTACCTCCTCATACACAAAGAGGCTGTGTGGTTTACTTTTTTATTTAATTATCAAAACAACACTGCTAAAGCATATTTTTACTTGCAACCCTGTGATATTTTTCATTATATTCCATGCCTTTGAGGAACTCTTGAATCCCAGTATTCGTGCTTTAGAGAGCCATTTGCAAGGAAAACAGCATCTGAATTGTCATGTTCAGTGATTAAAAATAAGTGTATATTTGAAATAACAAAGATGTTTAATTTTTAAAATAAAAAGTAGATCTATTTACTATTTCTTGAAATAAATAAAAAGGCCTGGAACTGATATCATGGATGCCACACTGAAGCAAGACTGCATGGTGTTGTGGCTCAATTATTTCTGTATTAGATGCATATTTTATTACTTTAAATTTAAACTCAGTTAGAAATATTTTTGATGGAAATTTTACTGCCCTGATGTGAGTTTGCAGTGATGACTAGAAAAGTATGTCTTTATTTCTATCTATTCCTCTATTGCTTTTCTGATGCATGGAAAATGAGCCAATTTCTGCTTAGCTCTCTTTTTCTACCTAGATGACAAAGAAACTAAGAAACTATGTCTAAAATAGTTTTTAAATGATTTCACCTTTTCTCATTCCTGGTGAGTCTTCTATGACTTTAATATTTTCGAGTGTTGCTAGGCAATATCTTAAATTTTCTTTATTTCTTGCAATTCCTTAACTTCTCTGTTACTGGTAAGTTATGAGTGGAGGTCAGAGGCATACAATATGTGATATCTGTGCTGTGTTGGAAATCTCTCCACAGCCCACTAATAACTGAATTTAATATAAAGAGAATAGGATACTATTCATTTGCAGCTCTATTAGCAAAAATTCTGCCTAATAATTCAAACATAGGGAGAAATATAATTACATGAGTAGATTGCCAGCTGCCTCCTGCATTCCTCTGGTGTCTCATGGGGCAGAATAAAAGCGACTGCAATTATAGTTCAACTCTCAGAGGAATATTAATGTGATAGTTTTAGCAATAGCTTTCTTATTTTTTATCAAGTTGTGTTAATAAAAAGGATGGCTCTGGTAATTTGTGCAGTATTACTTTTTGTTAGTAGTAATTACTACTTAATATAGTCTCTGTGACATAATGACATAAAGAAATTCTTCCCAGGACATGCACCATCCAAATGGAAAACCTCATGAAATGCCATTCTTATTTATTAAATATCTTATAATATTTTATGTTGGTAGTGCCTGCTTAAATTATTTTTAGCAATAATTTGTTTTATCAACTATGGTGTTGTTATATATCTCAAATTCAATTATGTCATTTGATAAACTCAAAATAACAAATTCCTGACACAGTTATGATATTTTGAAGCACAAAATTATCTATTTTTTATAAAACTGTTTAAATATTTAAGGTTGAACAGAAAAGCAACCTGAAAAATTCCATGAAGCATCTAATTTTGAAGTACATTGAATATGTGTAAAATGTATTTTTCTATGATAGGTTTATATCAGTGCTGTTAACTCTAGATAAACTAGAAAGTCCCAGCAACTTTAAAAGAGATATAGCATGGATTCATATCCTGTTAATTTAAAAAAAAGGAAAAGAAAAAAAGTGCATCTATCTAGAGTCATTTAAAGTGCTTTTCCATTTACCACAACTGTAAAAAAAAATTCCATTTAGCACAACTGATAAATGGAAAAACACCTTAATGACTTACATCTTCCTTTTACTTAGTATGTATTGGAATTTTTAACTATGAAGAAACAGCACAGAGTAACATATATTAAATAATACAAGTTGCTATCTTAATCAAATGGATGAAGCTAATAGAAAAGCACTAAATATAATTGATAAGCACTAAATGAACATATGAGCAGGCATATTAAATATATTAAATATGTTCCTCAGATCCTTTTCCAAGAAGTAGTAATTAATCAATACATGAAGATATGCTTGCATGTTATATTATATACACATGATTTACAGCAGCTGTAGCTGTTTGTTGAGGGTGTCCTATGTGCTAGGTGTGTTAAATGTAATGTATACTTGTTATAACTTTTTCTTCACTACATATACTATTTATTATAAACTCTATATTACAAATAAAGAATTGAGCCGCATACAAAGCAATTAGCTCTAAATTACCCATCTAGTCTTTGGTAGAACTCAGTCTCAATCCTAGGTTCTAATGCTAAAGTCTCTTAACTCTTAGTTATTTTGTCCTCTTCTTTGAGGACTCTGACCAAAGTTTAAAATATTTCTAATTTTTCACCTAGATAGTAGCATTAAAGATTAGTACAAATGTTATAGCTATGATAGCAGTTCTAATGAAAGAAAATGGTGAGTAATCACTTCTGCAAATTAGATATAAAATAACCTATGTTTCCTAGAAGTCATTGCTTTTAGGTACTCTCTTGAACTGTTGGCTTGAAATAAACTTTTAAAAATCATCATTGGCCAGGTGCAGTGGCTCTTGCCTGTAATTTCAGCACTTTGGGAGGCCGAGGCAGGTACATCACGAGGTCAAGAGATCGAGACCATCCTGGCCAACATGGTGAAACCCCGTGTCTACTAAAAATACAAAAATTAGCTGGGCGTGGTGGCGCATGCCTGTAGTCCCAGTTACTCCGCAGGCTGAGGCAGGAGAATCGTTTGAACCTGGGAGGCGGAGGTTGCAGTGAGCCGAGATTGCGCCACTGCACTCCAGCCTGGCAAAGAACGAGACCCCGTCTCAAAAAAAAAAAAAAAAAAAAAAAATCATTACCTTACATCATGTCCTCACACTCAGTGACAATGTGTTGTTAGATTTCCGTATATCTGTCAACATGTTTTCTTTGAAAGGCTGAAAGTGTTTCTTTTCAATAACTTATGATGGATAAACTCCTTGAGATTTCTTGCCCTCTTCTTAGAGTGTCAGTGTGTCTTACAATAGAGAATGCAACAGTTTTACTTAGGCTTTCATTTTTCCTTCATTCTATTTTGGAACTAGATGACTAAAATAAACAAGCGTTCTGCTACCATACAAAAGGAAAACAATTTCCCAGTTCTTAGAATTGATGATGAGTTTTGAAGAGTCTATTATTTAGTTCAGAAATCTTCTGGGAATTATTTTAATGTTGAATTAATTATCCTTTACCACTTATAATATGGAAATAATGAAAATGTAAATAAGACTGTGATATCTGTGTGTGTGTTTGTATATATACGTATATATACACACATATATACGTATATATATACACACATATATACATATATATACGTATATACATATATACACACATATATATGTATATACGTGTATATATACATATACGTGTGTGTGTGTGTGTGTGTGTGTGTGTGTATATATATATAGATAAAGAGAGAGAGAGATTGTAGGAAGAACTACCTAGTATTTCTCTTCCTTCTTACTAAAGCTAGTCTGCATTGTTGCGAGGGACCATGTAGAGTGTCGTATTAAAATGTAATTGCTATTCCTATATTTGTGCTCTTAGTTGATACTTTGGTCAGAAAGGAATCTCCCTGTGTCTCATTAAATATAGAACATTTTTATACGTTATGTAAACCTTCTTGTATACTGTTTTGTATTGTGTTTTATATAAACGATTTTATGCATCATCTTCTATATATCCTAAAAATTATCTTAAGTGTTTCTCATAGAGCTTGATCAATAGTAAATATTTGTCACTAGGAGGTTAGAATTACAGTTAGTAGTAAGAAAAAATAATTTAAGCTATCAACAAAATTCAATTTTGTATTGGAGAATAAATGCAGAAAATAGCATTGCTTTTATTCAAGTTATTTTTCCTCTCTAATGATAGCAGCAGGATATTTTCTGATGAATGGAAGATTAATTAGTTAATTACAAATGTCATGAGGTTAAATTAGGGAGAGTATTGGCAAACTGCATTGCTAGTTCATGATTTTGGTTTATCATCTATCACAATACTTTTCATCTCTGGCAGGGCATAAAAATTGTCTCTAGAATTTTAGACATCTGTTCATGGGTTCCATCATTTAAAAGAGAGAGTGATTTAGTAAGTCTGATGTGAGACTCAGAAATTGATTTTAAAAGTTCCTTTAACGCCTGTAATCCCAGCACTTTGGGAGGCCGAGGCGGGCGGATCATGAGGTCAGGAGAACGAGACCATCCTGGCTAACACGGTGAACACCCCGTCTCCACTAAAAATACAAAAAATTAGCCGGGCGTGGTGGCGGGTGCCTGTAGTCCCAGCTACTCGGGAGGCTGAGGCAGGAGAATGGCGTGAACCCGGGAGACGGAGCTTGCAGTGAGCCGAGATCGTGCCACTGCACTCCAGCCTGGGCGACAGAGCGAGACTTCATCTCAAAAACAAAACAAAACAAAAAAGTTCCTTTAGTGGTTGTCAAGTGAAGTAATTTTTAGAACTACTTGTCTGACTTTATTAGAATGTATTCGTTTGATAATAGATTCAGACATAAAATTGGGGGATACTATTCCTACTGACTGATTAATCCATTCGTCTCTTGATCTTGGATAAGTGAGAGGCAGAATTTACTCTCTCTTTACTCTCTCTCTCTTTTAGTTTCTTACACATCACATGCTCATCCATCATGCTTAATTCGAAAAGGTGCTGTTTATGATTTGAAATTTACATCATATAAATTTTCTTTGGAAACAATGCAAGATTTAAAAACAAAACAAAAATTATCTTTGTAGGTGAATAAGTCTTTGACCATGTGATCTTGTGTCAGTCCTAAAGCAGCATTGTAACAAAGGTGGATGTTTTGGAGAAGCTCAAATTGATGAATTAAGAGCATGAAGACCCATAAAGTGGAAAACTTCTCTCATTATATCATTATTAATTGACTTTAAAGCTCTACTCTCTTGGCTTTTAATAGAAGAGTGAAAATCTGAGAATCCCTGATATTACTGCCATAGGGACAGCATAGAGAGGCTCCTGGGAAGACTGTACTCAGGCTTGGTAGGAGAAGAACCCCATGGTGTAAAATAGACCAAAGACCAACCCAGACTTAATTAATCCCTGGGTCCAAAGGCATAGAAATAAAGAAGAAAACATTGGCTAGCTCACGCATGAGGAAGATGCCTGAAGATCAAACTTCTAAAGTCTGTGTGTACTTCTGTCTTTCCTCTAACTCTCTCTTTATAGATAATGCTTCTAAATTGGAACCAGTAGCCTCATTAGAGGCACAATAGAGCATAGTGACTATAAAATAATTAGGATGGTCTCTGTAAATCAAAACAATAATCAGTCTCATTAAATTTTAGTTAACTTTTTATAGACCTAAATAAATAAAATAGTCAATTATTTTTACTATGATATAAAATTCATAAAGGAGGAAAATTCTTCTAAATAGTAAAATATGAGAAGGGCCTCCTACGGCCCCCTTGTGGCTTCTAAAATGCTGGAAGAAAACTTCCATGTAAATGCAAAAGACAAAACGGAAACAAAAACAACCATTACCACCACAACATCAACAACAACAACAAAAAAACAATAACAACAAAAACAAAAAGAAACAGACAAGAAAACAATAAGAAGATTTACTAATGCCGGCATACTGGAGGAATCTCCATTCATTACCCCAGGGAGCCATGATGAGAGTCGAGCTTTAGGGAATCTGCTCCCCTGTGCTGAGCCTAGATCTCACTTTCTGAAACAGAAACAAAATGAGAGGCACAGAAGCTTAGCATCTTAACTATGTCACTATGCATCTTAACTCAGAACGAGAAAAGTGGACAGGAATTCCTTTACCAAAGTACTGCTTATTCTCACCTTGGGCATCGTTCTACATTCATGTGAGAAAAGCAATATCCATGACACAGGTAAGAAGGAGGTGTGGCTGGTGGTGGCCCAGCTCACTCTGGGGAGTGCAATTCCTGAAGCAAAGCACTTACTTACAGCAGGTAAAGTTCCTAATTTAAAAATGATGATGTTGTTATTTTGACAAGAGACAAAATCCAATTATACCTTGTTTACTTGTCCCAAATAAATGTATGCCTTTTATATAAATTAACCATGCCACCAAATGGAGTAGAAGTTATAAGGAAAAAGAGTGTTGTTTTCTGAATTTAATTCATAAATTTAAAAAATTGTGTTCAGGAACAACGTACCATAGATAAAATTAACAGGCATACCAAAAACCCAAGAAAAATGCTGTAATATGTCTTATTACAAAGAAGGTAATGATACTGTTACTGAATAAATAGGCCAAAAAAATCGAAGATGCTATCTCCCACCTTCAAAAAAGAAATACAAATTACTTATATAAAAACCATTTAATGTCATTGATACTTTAGAAATGCAAATTGAAATGATGATATACTATTTTGTTTTCTTATGAGAGGAAATATTAACTTGTTAAAATATATTTAGTGTTGGGGAAAATATTGGGGAATAATTTCTCAAATATTTCTATCGTATCTACAAGTTGCCATGTATTTTCAGGTTGAAATTTTTCAACAAGTTTAAAGGCTTAAGAAATATTTGCATTATTTAATCTAATATATCTGTCAGAGCAAAACAGTATACAAAATAATTAAGGATTTATACGAAGAATTAACTACTCAGATATTTGCTGTAGAATTTGTAAAACAATAAGAGCACTGGAAACAAATATATTCGACAGGTTATATTATCAAATCAAATGATTGTCATGGCCTGAGTTGGGCCCCCTTAAGATTCATATGTTCAATTACTAATTCCTTGCACCTCAGAATGTCCAAATATCTCAGTATTTGGAGACTAAGTCTTTAAAGAAGCAATTAAATTAAAATGAGGTAATTAGAGTGGGCCCTCATCTAATATGATTGGTGTCCTTTTAGGAGGAAATTTAGATACAACAAATAGAGAAGAAAGACAACGTGAAAGTCAACGTGAAAGGGAGGAGATGGCCACCTACAAGCCTGGGAGAGGCCTGGGCTAGGTCCTTTTCTCAGTCTTCAGAAAGTACCAACCCTGCTCGACACCTTCATTTTGGACTGCTAAACCTCCAGAACTATGAGAAAATACATTTCTGCTGTTGAGGCCACTCAATCTGCAGTACTTCTTGTGGCAGCCTTAGCAAACTAATGCAATGATGGTCATGTCATACAGTCAAATATAGCAATTTTCCAATATCTTCCTTGGGAGAGGAATTTGCGTGGACTTGCTAATGTGGGCATAAACGTGGTGACAAACGTAAGAGCTCCTAACTATCTATATCTTTAAGTAATGTATGCTTTTAATTTAAGGGAAAAATATAACTTTGTAAGAAATATTATAAATAGCAGAAAGTTTCCTGATCAAAAAAGGAATCTTAACATGGGGTAAAACAATTACTAAGACAAAAACCTACTGTATCCAATATAATATAAGAGGGTACTGTAGGTGTGTTCTTAAAGTAATAAGTAAAATAAAAGAAATTATGTTTGCTTTAAATTAAATATTTAAAAAGAATGACCATATCTGCATTTCCAGAAAGCTCATTAAATTTATAACAAGTGCAGTAATATAAGCACTATGGCTAGAAATGCTAGTATTATTGCTAATATGTAAAGCTGGCAGTACCCTTGAAATGAGATGATTTTGATTCACCTGGAGTCATTTTTATAAATTTTTCATGATAGTTACATAAATGTGATTTGCATTATATTTAAATGTTGCTTTAATGTAACACATGAGTTAAATACAGAAAAAATCATATATACTGTTTAGATTTTTTCAGTTCTAAAATATAGATGGTAATAAAATATAAATCCTATGTACATTACCCATTGCAACTGAGCTCAATTCTTTTCCAGTGTCATTTCGAGTTCCCTGTTGCCATAGTTGCTGCAAAGAAGATACATTTTTCTAAAAGATTTATAAATAATGATTGCAATGTTTTTAGCTCTTTGTAGTGAAATACAATATCCAATACCTCTGAGAAGAACATAAATCTAAGCAGCAGGGAGCCATTCAGGTCACACTTGAGTCTTATTACAAGTAGGGCAAGAATCTCTCACTGGTATCCATTAATGTGCATTCTCCTGCCCACTCAAAAGATAAATTCCATGTAGTTAGCTTCTGAAGACATATGTAAGACTGTCTTTAAACTATATATCTGCTTTTGTTACTCCAAGATCTGGTCAAACACAAAACGGTTGCAATTTATTGACCTTTCTAAATACTAAATCAAAATATTTAACCTATATGAATACATTCTGCCAAATGCATGCATTCTTACTATATCTAAATATTAGGTAAATTCTAATTTTTGTTTAGCAGGGAAATAAAAATATCTATATTTGATAACTGATATTAATTATGGCTCTTCACATAACTGAAAATCAATGTTCCAGAGTCATTTTCCTCCTGATTTTCCAAAAAAAGTCACTATTGATCGAATAGTTGATTATATTATTCCAAATATACTGCGTGCCATCTGAAGTAGAAAATATACTTTAATAAAAATCCAAAAAACAAAAACAGAGAATAATTATAAAATAATACGTAAGGGTCTACAATCCAGAGATAAGAAAAACATGTTTTTGATGTACACACATGCATATATGCATACACACATGCATCTATGTGGTATACATATATGTTTTTGGCACACACACATTACATGGCTGGTCTAGACCACGATGCAGTAAGAAAACCTTATTTCAATGACTTAAAACAACAAGTTTATTTGTTATTCATATATATATTCAACACTGTTTAATAAAAGTGTTTGGTCCCTTTTGTCATTCAGGGACCATAGGCTGATAAAGTTTTACCTCTATGACATCACGGTCTCATTATGAGGGTCCAGGGCTTACCATAGTAGGGAAGGGAGGATTAGTGTCCCACACCAGCAATTATATTCTTTGGACATAGCCCTTAAGTTAGTCACATGACCTTGTCTAATTGCAAGGGATTGAAAATTATATTCCTCTCATGAGCCTGAAAAGAGAGTAAGTGGCTGTGAATCAGCACCAAAAGGACAATCACAATGTTTTTTCACAAAAATATGTATGTTCGTTTTTCTTTTTGTGTTCTTTCTTCTTGTCTGTCTGTCAAAAATGCATATGAGCTTAGACTTTAGCTTATTTGTGTGTTGATCAAGAGAATGTCAATAATAATACCGGATATTTTTGTCTTAAAAAGTAGACATCTTTATTATTTTAGTGGTTCCCTGGTTTTCCGTTATAGGGATTTCTGGAAAAACTGTCCGCTTTGTTCATTTACCCCATTTCCTGGATTTCTCTTAATGGGTTGAGCCCTGTCTTGATAACTGCTTGAAACATGCTGTGTCTAATGAATCACAAAGTTTAAATACTTCTTTCTGTCTTACGTATGTTTGTATTGGCATAAAATAAGTTCTCAACAAATGTTCTTACTACTTTTGGTTATAGTCAGAACTTTCTTCATTTGGGTTTTATTTGCACTGTACCTTGTGAAAAGTCCTTAGTTTCATATTTAATGACACTTTTTTCTTCCCGATTATACATTTTCATTCTACTTTCCAAATATGTCAGATGTTTTCTGTACATTTCCAAGAGAATTTGACAAGGGAAGCTATCAAGTATACAAGCTCAATGTACTGATTTTATGTCAAACTGAAAAATTTCCTCTTGACACAATATGGTATATATATTTTTTTATTATTATACTTTAAGTTTTAGGTATTTTTAAAGCAATGTAAACTTAAAGTCATGCGATCTGAATTAGGTTTCTAATTCTGCTATTAACGAGTGATGTGTTTTATTTATTTTTTATTTTATTTTATTTTTAATTTTATTATTATTATACTTTAAGTTTTAGGGTACATGTGCACAATGTGCAGGTTAGTTACATATGTATACATGTGCCATGCTGGTGTGCTGCACCCATTAACTCGTCATTTAGCATTAGGTGTATCTCTTAAAGCTACCCCTCCCCCCTCCCCCCACCCCACAACAGTCCCCAGAGTGTGATGTTCCCCTTCCTGTGTCCATGTGTTCTCATTGTTCAGTTCCCACCTATGA